>NC_000005.10:145703659-146328659 GCF_000001405.40 Homo sapiens
AACTTTGTGACAGATCAACTCCACACCAAAATCATATAGAAAAGAGAGATGTTCAAGATATAGTTAGAGGGAGAAAGGGAGAAGACAGGAATGGGTACTGGAGCATCACACAACAAATTTCCCCTGCACCTGTCCTCCACACCTGAGTGCATAAAGAACTCTTCCCAGCAAGTCTCAAATTTTCAGGTCTCTTTCACAGCTACGTTTTACAAAATCACAAGACTCATTTTACTCATGCAACTTAGAGAGAAAATAAATCCATAAAGTCATGGCATATTTTATTCAACAACTGCCCCAGAATTAGAGTCACAGTACCTGAGGTGTCTTCCTCAGTTGGTTCAGAAGCAGGTTTTGTGGTTAAAGTTCTCCCTGATGAAACATCATTTCAAGGGGGTTTCTGGATGTGAGCTCACTGGGCTGTAACCATTGCTAATCGAGCTTGGAGATTTAGTTGCTGGCATTACACACAAGATGTGAGACAAACGCTGGGCTAAGCGATGAGATGCCAGCCCAGATTGGCATGTGGATCATTTTCACTCAATTTCCCTCCACTGATGGATCAAAACTCTAAGCACAGCAGTCAACCAGGAGAAAATTCCAAAATTTGCATCTGTCCATCCAGCTTCCAGCTGCAACCTGGAAACAATGTAAAAGACACAGAGGAAATTCCCAACTTCCAATGATATACCAAGCAATGAGATGAGAAATGAGCAAAACACGATCTGCAGCCCAAATATGGTGTTACTGGGGTGACTTCCCAAGTCCACAGCAATCCATGAGCAACAGTCTGGTGTACTCAAAACACACTTGAAATCTGGAGTCTGCATACTCATATTTGACAAAGTACTACTTGAGAATCACTTGGTGTTACTAAGGTTTAATTTCTTCCTCTGTAAAATAGGAAACAATATAATGAAATAGAAAACTTTTGAAATATCTGCCTAACCCACAACTGTTCCTCTTAATGTCCCCCAGTGTATAGAGGAGCCACTTTGTAAATAGTTTTCCGCAGGAGCCATTTTTGACAACGGCTGCAGTTGACTGGACCAGGAGTGAAATCTTGAGAAAGTTGGGCCACCTATGTTTCTCTCCTAGATAAAATTTAGAATTGGGCCCGAAAGGGAATATAGTCTCCTTCAGAGTGGTGGGACCAGTAAAACAGAGAATTGGGCTGTTAGCAGCCAGATGCACTTGTACTGACAGGGAGAGGCAGATGAGCTGTGCAAAGAGATTAAAAAGCACACACAGGAAGGAGCTGAGAGTCATGACTGCTTTCCAGGCCCTTTCAGAAGCCCAGCTGAGCCCAGGGGTTGCAGGGCAAATCCCCTATTTTTAAAGTCAGTCTTTCTCAATTCCATTTTCTTGTTTAAGACACCCAAGGTGGTTTCCGTTACTTGCAAGCTAAGAGTATTTATGAACATATAATGTCTAACTCACTCGGAGGGTCTGAGAATTAAATAAAATAACGATGCTTTACAAATGGAAAGCACTCTAACAACTGATAAAAAAACAACAGATCTGAACCCAAAAAGTACCTTTTTTTTTTTTTGAGATGGAGTCTTGCTCTGTCACCCAGGCTAGAGTGCAATGGTGCAATCTCAGCTCACTGCAACCTCCACCACCTGGGTTCAAGCAATTCTTCTGCCTCAGTCTCCCAAATAGCTGGGATTACAGGCACCTGCTACTATGCCCAGCTAATTTTTGTGGGTTTTTTTTGTATTTTTAGTAGAGACGGGGTTTGACCATATTGGCCAGGCTGGTCGTGAACTCCTGACCTAGTGATTTGCCCGCCTCGCCTCCAAAAGTGCTGGGATTACAGGCATGAGCCACCTGCCCAGCTAAAAGTACCATTTTTAATGAAAGACTAAGAAAGATGATTTTGGAGATGATATTTATTGACATAGAAAGATGTTTATCAATAACCAAATAGTTAGGCTACCAAAATAGAAATTGTTTATACCGGGGTCAACAAATACTTTCGGTAAAGAATCAGATAGTAAATATTTTAGGTTTTGTAGGCCATATGATACCTGTCACAACTAATCCATTTTACTGTTGTTTTGAGGAAGCAGCTATAGATAATATGCGAAAACAAAATAGATGTGCTTGTGTTCCAATAATATTTTATTTATGAACATTGAAATGTGAATTTCATATAAATTTTACATGTCACCAAATAATATCCTTCTTGTGATTTTTTTCTCACCATCAAAAAAATATGAAGTATAAAATCCAATCTTAGCTGTGGGCCATACACCACCCATGCACACATGTGCGCCTACACACACACACACACACACACACACACACACTCCCCACAAATTTGATTCAAAATGTTAGAAAGAAAAAAAGTTTATCTTAAGGTAGTGGATTTCAGGGATACTTATTTTCTTGTTTTTGTAGCATAGGCATATATTACTTATGGAATTATTTTTAATTAAATGGGAAAAAAAAGGTTAAGTCATAAAGTGTAGATGAAAGACAAAGAAGGAGGCAGGAAAAGGGCAAAGTTGGAGTGCACAACTCCACCAAGGTCCCCTGGAACTCTAGCATTCTTCCTGCAAGCTAAGCTAGCTCCGGGTCGCACTGGAAGCCACAACTATGCCACTGGCACAAAGCAGGAATACTGTCTGTATCATCACAGAACCACCTTATGAAGAAACTCAGCATCTAATTCCAGAAGTTATAATAAGAACCACAGTGTTTTCCAGAAAGAAAGAAACAAAAATTGATGAGCGTAACTCCTTTTTTTAGGACCCAGTTGATCAATGGATAGTTGGTTTTCCTTTATAGAAGGGAGTTCAAGGGAGCGCCCACTCAAACTCTAACCACGGCCTGAATATTTCTATGGAGCAGCTCTGCCCGGTCTTCATCTAGCCTCCACCCATATGAACTTCATAGGGGAAATACAATTCAATGTCTATGGGTCACCTCCTGTGCACTAGGCACTACGCTAGGTGATGTTCAAAAGATTTGCTCACTCTGCCAATAGCTGCAGTTCACTATCTCAGTGTCAGCATTGTTCAGTCTAATATGACTGAAATATAAAATAAAATAATAATAACAGTGTTATACTTGTGGCACCATTAAAATGTTGTCTCATTTTAAGTCTTCATGTTACCTATGAAACATAAATAACCCCAGTTAAGAAATGAGGCTCAGAAAGACTCAGTGTCTTAATGAAGATCATCCACCTGGCAGCTGGCAAAGCCGAGATTCAATCACATGCCTGGACTTCACAGTGACTAAACATCCTTTCCTAGGACCTTGCATGCAAGTTAACACTTGGAAGCCAGTTGGAAATGCAGTGTCTCAGGCCTCATCCTCAGGCCTGCTCATTCTGAATCTGCATTTGACACAATCCTTAAGTCACTCGAGTGTCCTTCAGATTCAAAGGAAATGAGGACGTGAAAAAATTTATTAAGCATCTGTGGGTGAGGCACTGTGCCACTGTGATACGATTATTTTTCTTTTAATCTCCACAATGACTCTGATTTTATACTCATTTTATTAATATATTGGTGAAGAAGCTGAGGCTCAGGGAAGCTAAATAATTTGCCCAGGACCCATAGCAAGCAAGTTGCAGTGAGTGGCAGAGTCAGGATGTGACCCCAATGATCGTGACTGCACTCTCCCTCTTGATTTTGTGTCAGGACTGAAGGAAGTTGAAGGGCCAAGTGGCCAACCTGCAAAAGGCTCAGCTGACCTTTGGAATCTGAGTGCGCCAGTAATGTCGGAAAGAAGGTAATTTCTGTATTATGAGCTCCAAGCTTATAATAAACCACAATAGAGAATAAGGTATAGGATCCTTAAGTGTGTCCACCAGGAATGAGACTTTTTAAAAAATCTCCGCTAAGTTAGTATGTTTAGTTTCCTTAAGAAGCTTATCCATAAGGTACTGAAATGGTGGCCTTTAGAATTGACAATTTTCTCCTCTCTGATTCAACTGGAAATAGAAATTAGTCTCAGGGCAACTACCAAGTCCACTACCAGCTGAGGAGAAATAAAAGGCTCTGAACGAACACTGAGAAATATTGGATCTTTTCAAAATAAAGACAGACCAAAAAAATTACTCAGATCAAGTCAAATCCAAATCTTCCTGATTTGGAAGTTCCTGGGATTGTTTACATTGTGTTGTCCCTATTCAAATTATGAAGTACTGTATACCCAAAACCACAAGGAGAGCATGCAAAAGGCTGCCACAGACAAGAAGGAGAGAGAGCCTGGGAGACACCCAGCATGCTGCGTGACCTCAGCCCCCACCCCACACAATCTTGCCTTGTTCAAAGCTGTATTCTTTTCACCTCAAAAGATGCCTGGCACATAGCAAACACTCAATAAATACCTGTTGAATAAATAAATGACTGAATAATATAATGCAATGATTATTCCATGTATCTGATGTTGCTCTAGGAAATTTGAGATGTGCTATTGGGGTGTCTCCAAAGCACTCTTGGGGTGGTTGGGGGTAGAGAGAACAGGCCCGCTCTTCCCCTCCCCACCAGCTTCCATCCAACTGGAACATCCCTGTTTTATATGTTGGGCTTCAGAGTAATATTTGACCTAAAGAAGCAGTCTCATCACTAAAAAGGAAAAAATAAATTTTGGAAAACCAGTAGTACAGTAAGAAAATGATGAATCAAGAAAAAAAAAAAGGATAGATTCTAACTCTTATTATTGGCTGTGTGACCTTAAGCAAGTTGCTTAACCTCTCTGGGAACCAGTTTGATCATTTATAAAATAAAATAGTTTATTGAGTTAGATTATTTCTAAGGTCCCTTCCAGCTCTAATGTAATTTTATTACATCATTTTAATTGTCATCCAATTGTATTGTTTTTTTCTTGTATGTATGTTTTCTGATTTATTCTAATTTCTTTACAATAAGCATTATTTTTGTAGGAAAAAAGATTTATTTTCAAAGACATATAAATTAAACAGAAAATTTTTTTCAACTATTCTCTACATTTGCATTGCTTTTAACAAAAGCTAGAAGATGTGTTTTCCCCCATTCTTGCCTGGGGAGAACAACATTTGAAGTCATGCTGTAGGGAGAGCTGAGCCTTCAAAAGCAAGTAATGCTTAATCTGTTCTATTTCTGAAGCACAAAATAAAACCAAACAAAATAGAAAAATAAGCTACCGCTATGCCAGTGCCAAGTTTCCTCATGCATAAATAGAGATCCATCCAGAAAAACAGCATTCTCAGTCGGGTGGGACAAATCCTCGTGTGCTTTTGTGGAAAATTCCCCCAGCAAGCTGGCATCAAAGACACTGTCTACAGCTGCCTCTATATATGGCCAGAAAACTACACAAAGGTTGTGAGATGCATGAGCTTTGCTGTGGCAAGCACCTGGGTGAGAAAGCTGCTCCAGCCCTGATCCTATGGCATAAACATGGCTGACAGCCCTAGACCTGACTGCAAGACCACCTTGAGCAAAACTAGCATAGGGCAAGACCTACAGTTGCTATTCTTGCGTCTTTTCCTGGACCGCCTACCAAACCCTACAGAAGCCCACCCACTGATTATCTCAGTAGTGCTCAGCTTCCCTTCCCCAGGGACCTACAGTTAATCCTCTCTTCTTGCTTCTTCACCAATACCTCTCTTAGGAAGGGACCCATAGCCACAATCATTTCAAAGTGCAAATAATTAAGTAGCTTTCTGTGCTATCTCCCCCAGGTGATTACACTTTAATGGAAACCAAGGAATAGTTTTCTACTTGTGGAGTTTCTGACTTTGGTGAGATTGGTGGGAGACAGCAGGAGCAGGGGGAGCTTCCAGATCCATCTGCAGTTATACATCAGAATTGCTTCATCATGCAAGTGCAAGACTGGCCTTCGCTAATCGAGTGTTGGATTCCATCAGGTGGAATGAACATTCTGATGGGAATAAGAAAAAGCAGGTTCTAGTCCTTGATCTGTATTTAAAAAAAAAAAAAACAAAATGAAGTGTGTCTGCTCTGTTTGGGCTAGACCATTTTTCAATTTTTTAATAATAACAAGACAGGAATTTTAGAACATCAAGAGATAGGAGCCAATCACCAAACTAAAGATTTTCATACTTCTTATTCTCTTTCAAATACAATGCTCAAATAGTATGTAGACAGTAACCATTGCCAACCCCATTTTTAGCTCCTCATTCAGAAGGCCCCAGATCCCAAGCTGTGGTCACTCCCTTAGAGACTGGAGCAGATGAGATCGGAGGAATTGAATGTGATCTTGCAATAAAACTTCTGGAGGTCAATTCCAGTTTTCTTCTAATAAAGAGGGATTATTCCAACCCATTTAATTTCTGTCCCTGGAGAAGCGAGATCTAATATTTAAATCTATTTATGGGGTTTTTTAAATTGCTTTTTTGGGGAAAGGGTCAAATTTCTTGCCAATCTATTTCAGAATCTATACTTACCAAAAGGATGATGGAAGAGGATTTCTAATCCAAAGGAACTTTTTCCAAGCAATTAGTAGGTACTATTAATTTTTCCTCCATGAAGGTTTGGACGTGTGCCAAGACACTGTCTACTTTGCTTAAGGCACAATATTTTACTTATCTCTGATATACATAAATATGTTATATATATGATAAGTATAAAAATATTTACTATCTTTGGTACTACTTATGTTTCTATAAGAAGAAAATTGTGTTACATAGCTGTACTAATGAATCCTAGGTCTATGTGGGATATTTTCCCAAGTGCTATCTAAAGCAAACTGCCATTAACCTTGGGAAAACAATTAACCTTTCTGGGCCTCAATTTTTCCCTTTTTCAAAAAGGTAGGAAATAGAATTAAGTGCTATTAAAAGATTCTTCTAGCTCTAAGATTCTGATTGCATGATTCTAGTTTACCTACCAAATCAGTCAGACATAGGTTTAGCTTCATGTCAGAGGAATTCTTCTCCCCTGAACTATGGCTAAAACAGAGAACGAACTATTCTCTCCCAAGAAAGAAGTCAGGAGGCAGGCAATCCAGACATAGCATAAGTGTCCATGATGCCAGGGCTCAGACACTTTTGTTCTTACTGTTCTACAAGAGTGACACTCTTAACATCACTGCCTGGTCCAAAATGTCGCTGAGGCTCACGCCATTTCATCTGCATGCCAAGTAGCAGAAATGAATAAGGGATAAAAAAGAAGGTTCTTTACAGAGGTTTCCCAGAAGCTGTCATAAGACATCTCTGCTTACAACTCATACACCAGAACTTAAACACATTGCTGCACCTCTCTGCAAGGGAGGTTGAGGAACAGAGAATTTATTCAGGTGGCCATGCATTCAGCTAAGCACACAGGGTTCTGTTTCTAAGAGGATAATATTAGAATAGACAATAAGTAATCTCTGCCACACATACCATGAAGCTATACTCTGCAATTTCACTTATCTTTGTTTACACCCCTTGACCCTCAGCTCAAACCCTTTTAATTTCCTGAACCCAAGCATTCAAGAGGATCAATACCTGCCATCTGCCCGCTTTTAGAAGTAATTTTCCAACTACCAGTACACAATTTAACTGAACAAAAATCATGTTTAGAATTTGAATCAAGAAAATTTCATTTTCACTTAGAAAGTAGGAGGTCATAGAAGAGTGTTGTTGCCATTCTAACAAAAAGAATAGGACAGTGACCTACAAAATCGCAGTTTTGTGGAGGCCATTAAAAATCTTGGGTTGCAAAGAAATCCAGAAGAACCAAAGTCCAGAAAATAGTGAGCTCCTGCTAGGAGAGAACATACCCATGGCTGCTTTCATCCTTGGTGAAGTGGTGAAATGAGGAGGAAGCTGCCATTGATTTGGATAAGACCATCTGAACCATTTTGAGTTGTGAAAGGCTAAGTGAGCGCTATCATGACTGCTCAGTATCTCCAGGAGCCCCAGCCACAAATCTGCAGCCACCTGCCAAGTCTCTCCCACAGACCTTCACTGGGTGCTTACATGGAAATCTGGGGACAGAGTGGAGAGCTGTGAGAGACTCTCCCTGAGTTTGCAGGTGTGTAGTGTCTGCTGAAGGCTGAGGGCAGAGTAGGAGAACTGAGAGAATCCCTCCAATGCACTCCAGTCCCTGAGTACTTACGGCTGTGTGTTGGGTGGGTTGGGGGGCGGGGGCAAGAGGACTGAGAGAAATTGCTCACAGGCACTCTGGGCTTCACTGAGTGCACTACCACAGGCAGAGGCAGGGTAGCACAGTGGGGCACAGAGAGCCAGGGGCAGGACTGAAGACCAAGGAGAACGCCCCAGTGACCCAGTAAGTTGGCAGCCAGACTGCAAAGCAAAGTGAGCTCTCCAGTGGTTCAGAACGCTGGTAGCTGCACTACAAAACACAAAGGTATCTCCAGAAATTCCCTCTACTCAAATCCCAAACCCTACTGAAGGGAGACTCCTGATGCTGCCCATAGATCATCTGAATCCAGTGGTGAACTAAATCTAACTAAAACAACAGCAAAGCCCTGATACAATCAGCTAACGCTGGTGTGCTGGAGCCATCAAGGTACTGGCTTGAAAGAGCTGATTGTCAAATGTTCAGCAATTTTGTGAGTCAATGTTAAATACCTGCACTATTAAATTATATACACTTAAATAAATGAATTACATTTTAAAAGGTAACAAACACTTAAAACTCATCACTTCCTAATGATTTTACGGTATTTTATAATTTTATATATATTCTTGAAGTTATAGCTATTGTATTTGTATATTAGAAATATTACATAATAATATATTACTGTGCTTCTCCCAACTCTCTGTTCTGTGACATCATGTTGATAGTTTGAAATTGGCAAGGGTAGAAATCAGCAAATGCTGTAAGCCAAGACTTTTCTTTCCAAAGATCCAGGTGTTAAACATCAACTAGCCCGCCACTGATAAATTAGATTGACCAGCCCTCTACACTAGCAGCCTAGCATACAAAGAAGCAATACCCTTTTTTAAGGATAAATAGCATTTATTTCAGCTGCTACTGTTCTTTTATATATAATATCCAGCATACAATTTTAAAAAATACAAGGCATGTGAAAAAGCAACAAAATGTAGCCCATCAAGAGAGAATATAGTATATGGAAGCAGACCCAGATATGGCTCACATGTTGAAAATATAAGACAGTAAATTTGAAAGAGCCAATATAAATATATCAAAGGATCTAGTGGAAAAGGTAGACAACAGTGGGCTATTTCAGCAGAGATGAAAGTTATTACTTATATATATAAATTCAACACATATATGAAAAAATGGAAACATGAAAAGTGAAAAATATCAGAGATGAAGAATATATTTGATAGGGTTATCAGAAGACTGATAAAAGCAGAGGAAAGGGTCAGTCAAGCTAAAGATAGGTCAATAGAAACTGTCTAAATTGAAATACATACAGAAAAAAGAATGAGGGGAAATAAAGAAGAGAAGAACAACATAGAACTGCGGGACAATATTAGATTAACAAACATATAACTGGAGTTCCAGACAGAGAGAATGAAGCAAAAGAAATTAATATAATGATTACAATCTTCCAAAATTAATGACAAATCAACTACAGATCCAAAAAGCTTACCTAACCCTAAACAAGCTGAACAAAAATAAAAAACATACCTAGACACATTATAGTTAAACTACTAAAAGCCAAAGATATAGAGAAAAATCTTAAAAGCAGCCAAGGTGGTAAGTGAGAAGGGGAACATTGCATACAAGAGAACTCTAAGAATGATATCTGACTTTATATATATATATATATATACTTTACATTATATATATATAATGATATCTGACTTTTATATATACTTTATATATATCTGACTTTATATATATACATATATATGTATACTTTATATATATATACACACACTATATATATATACTATATATGTATGCCAGAAGACAATGGAATTACATTTTTAAAGTGCTTTATATATATATACTTTTTATATATACTTTATATATATACACTAAAGTATATATACTTTATATACATAAAATATATATAGTAAATATATAATATATATTTATATATACTATATATAAAGTATATATAGTGTGTGTATATATATATACACACACTATATATATATAAAGTCAGATATCATTCTTAGAGTTTGCTTGTATGAGAGTTCTTCTGGCACATATATATATGCCAGAAGACAATGGAATTACATTTTAAATGTAATTACATTTAAATGTAATTCTGGCACATATATATATGCCAGAAGACAATGGAATTACATTTTAAAGTGCTGAAAGAGGGGGAGAAAACCTGTCTATATTCAGTGAAATTGTTCTTCAAATATGTGTTCTATATTCAGTGAAATTGTTCTTCAAATATGCATGGGGAATAAGCACATTTTCACATAAACAAAAACTAAAAAAAAAAGTCTATAGCAGACTAAGAACTGGCTAACTCTAGAGCCAACATTTTAGGACAAGAACTGAACTGAGCTCCTGATGACTGCACCTGTAAACAATAAACCTTTATTTTTACCCTCTCGTCCCCTCCCCAACTCCCAGCAAGATGTCCTCAGGAAGAGAGCATGAATATAGTAATGAAATAGGCTCCTCTGTGGTGTTTGGTCAAGTTTTAGGCACAACACCAACCACTTTTAGCCTCAATCCACTCTGTTTATGTTAGAATTAAATAAGTGTGACAGATTGGCATGAAACTTCATGACCGAGATTTAACAGGCACAAATGCCCAAGGAACCAAACAAGAGCTAAGAAGAACTCCCCATGGGACTTCAAGGGAATAAGCTTGTATTAATATCCTTCTTGGACAGAAGTAACTTCCCTGAAGTATCTTCCCTCCAGGTCAATAAACCCTATTCCCTGCTTTGAAAATAAGAATCAAATCGTTTTTGAAGCTGGAGCTTCAAAAACAAAACACCAGGAAGCTAGGACCTCTTCCCTAGAATATTTCAAGAATTCTGCCTTTCCAGGAAATAATATGTGTTAAGTTCCTATTAAGTGCTAAGTAATTTCATATATTTTACCTCATTTAACCTTTACAACCGATCTTTGAAGTTCAAATTCAAATCCAATTTTGTCTGATTCTAATATCTGTGTCGTAAGTTCACAAGTCTCCTTGTTGCCAAATCCAAACTCCCTTTCTCTCCTTTTATTTTACCAGGCCTTTCAATAAGCACTTAACAGTTAACTCGCCTGCATTCTTGAAGCACTTTCTTCTTGTTGCTTCTGTGCCATCCCTCTTTCCTGCTCTTCTTTCTACTTCATTATCTTCTCTCTGTCTTTTTTCTGGGCTCCGCTACTTATTCCTAACCACTCAGCAGCTAATCCTGGGCCTCTTTCTCTATTTTACCTACATACTCAATCTAGGAGTATGTCGATAACTTAATCCTAGACCTCTTTCTCCATTTTATCTACATACTCCATCTAGGCAAGCCTTCCCAATGCCATGGATTTAAATACCACATCTGTATTAAAGACTTCAAAATTTCTCCTGGAAATCCACACTCATACAATCAACCCTTTATTTGTCATTTCTGTTTGTACTTCTGATAGAAATGTTTGCTTTTTTATTATCAAAACAGAACTTTTCTATTCCCCAGGAATTCTTCAGTCATCTTCAGTATAAATAGCATCTCCACTCACCGAATTACTCAAGCCAAAAATCTAGAGGTTATCTTCAGTCCCTTTATTTCCTTATCCCCCAAAATCAATGCAATAGCAAATCTAGTTAACTTGTCTTCAAATGAATCCCAACAGCCATTTCTCCTCTTTACTTCTACTACCCTAATCTGAGCTGCCATCGCCTCTTGCCTAGACCATTGCTATACTTTCTAACTGATCTCCCTGATTCCAATCTTACTAAAATCCATTTTCTGCAGAATAGCCAGTGAACTTTTTGGAACTTAAATCCAATCAAGTTACTCTCCTACTTAAAAATCATCCAATGCTTCCATCCCACTTAGAATGAAATCCAAACTTCCCACCCCAGCTTACAACCACCCACATGATTGGATGCCTGTCTTCTTCTCTGACCTCATTCTGCTCCCACTTCACTCACCACTGCCCATCCACACTGGTTTCTGTACTTCACACCCACCACACTGGCTTCCACCTTAAAGCCTTTGCGTGTGCTAGTCATGCTCCAGAAATGTTTCTCCCTATGAGTGTCCCATGGATGGCTTCTTCTTGTCATTTAGGCCCAGTAGATAAACTGTTACTTCTGCAGAGAAGGCTTTCTTGACCATCGATCTAGAGGAGTCACCAAGTAAAATATCATCACATCATTGTATTTTAATTATCTCCATGGCAAGTATCATTATCTATTTTCTTGTTTATTTATTTGTTTAGGTCTAACCAAGCTTGTCCAACCCATGGCCCTCTGGCTGCGTGTGGCCCAGGATGGCTTTGAATGTGGCCCAACCCAAATTTGTAAACTTTCTTAAAACATTATGAGATTTTTTTTGGCGATTTTTTTTTAGCTCATCAGCTATTGGTAGTATTAATGTACTTTATATGTAGCCCAAGACAACGATTCTTCTTCCAATGTGGCCCAGAGAAGCCAAAAGATTGGACACCCCTGGTCTAAGTCTTCTGTTAGAATGTAAAATCCAAAACCTATCCTGTCTTGTTCGTCATTGTATATGTAGCGACTAGAATAGTGCCCAGCACATGGTGGGCTCTCAACAAATGTCTACTGAAAGGATCAGTCGATGAATAACCAAGGAGACAAAGCAAAGATGTTTATCATAAAGGAAGAGAAAACCACCAGGAATCCTTCACTGAGAAGAAATCGTGGTGAGCTACCATGTCTTGACACTTCTATATCAGAGCCACCTTGTTTTGGGGTGGGTGCTCAGAAACCTCTTTCTCATCTTCAAAGGCAAGTCAAGATTTCTTCTTCTATCTATATATTTCTTTTTAACTTTTTACTGTTATAACATTAAAGACATTTTGAAAACATAAAAAGGCAATCTATGATACCATCATAACAAAGCAGCTTTCATGTATTCATCTTTCCTTTGAGTTTTTATTCATAAGAAGACATAGTTTTCACACAGTTGCAACCAAAGTATATACGCTATTTTACTGGCTTGATTTTTACACTTACTATTATATTATAACCATTTTCTATGCTACTGAAGATCTGAATATTTTTGTAATATTAATAACAGCTAGCATTTATTGAGAGTTTGCTATGTGCCTGGCATTGCTCTCAACACTGGTATTGTCTTGTTTTATCTGCACAATAACTTTTTAGAGTGTGTCCTATTATTATTTCCATTTTGTTCTATTTTCTCTTCTGGACAAGGCACTTGCACCTGCACACTATATGTATGAACACAAAGTTGATTGTTGATATTGACTGACACAACTCATATACCCATCAATAATGGAATGCGTGAATAAAGTATGATACATCTAGTCTGTGTGCACTATACTGCTATTAAAAATAAGTACGTGAAACTATATAAGAAGATATGGAAAAAATATTAAGTGAAAAGAGAATCAGAAAAATATGTTTATTATGATCCCATTAATGCTTATTTTAATAAATCATGCATAGCTACATTAAGGAAAGCCACATACTATTTTATTCTATTTCTCTGAAATGTCTGGCCCACACAAATCCCTAGTGACAGAAAGTAGATTAATGGTTGACAGAGGCTGGGGAGAAGGGGAAATGGAGAGTGACTACTAACAGGCATGAGGTTTCTTTGAGGGTGATAAAGATGTCTGAAAATTAGACAGTAGTTATGGCTGGTTGCTCAACTTTGTGAATATACTAAAACCCACTCAGCTGTACACTTTAAAATGGTTAATTTTATGGTATGTGAGTTATGTTTCAATAAATAATATGTTTTTAAAATAACTGAAGAAAAAAGTCTTATCATATATACGCATGTATTTGAGTAAAGAAAGAGGATAAAACGATGCACAGAAAATTGGTAGTGGTAGAAGAAAGAAGAGGTGGAAATATGTAAGACAATAAAGGGAGTTTCTTTCTGCCTAGTTCTATTTCATTTGAATCATATGATTTGATACAATTACAATTTTATTTCTTGTATTATTTAATATAATAAATTAGATTTAAAATAATTATAATAAAATTTAAAACTTCAAATCAAGTAAGTAAAATTATAATAAAATATTATAAATTAAAATCAAGTAAGTAAAATGGGCCCTAATATTTAATTTTTGTTAGCTAACCAAAGTGCTAAGATCAATACTATCAACAGATGTAATATAAATGAGAGGATTGCAGGGTAGTGTTTCTCCTTCTTAGTTCATTTGTCCTTCAGAGGCTGAGTATTTTCTTCTCCATGGTAAGAATAACTTTTCTGGATTCATAATGGGTTTTGACATTATACTACATTAAAAATATATATAGCTACTGTCGACTCTTAAATAGTCACCCTGGAGAGTGACAGTAAGGATAATTGAAGTTCGTGGAAAGCAAAGAACAAATCTGACACTGCTATATTTTCTTATTTTTGTTTCATCCAAGAATGCAAAATAAAATGCTCAAATGCAACAGTGAAAAAGTAGAGGCATTATCTGTAGATTACATATGGTCATCTACTTAGGAAAAACAACAGAATCTAGAGACAAGCTATTAGAAAAAATAAGAGCTTAGCAATGATGCTGATATATGATTGACCTACAAAAATCAATAGTATTCCTCAACACCAGCAATAACTAATTAGAAAATATAATAAAAAATAAAATAAGCAACAAACTATGAAATATCTAGGAATTAACCTAAGTGACAAAACTGAATATCTCTCCAGAAAACAATCCTAAAATCTAATAAAGAATGTAAAAGATGATTAGAATAAATGGAAAGATCTTCCATGACTTGAATAAAATTAATAATAATTTTCAAGACATAAATTTTCCGATAACTAATGTATAAATTCCCAGTCAAATTTCAACTTGAATGCATTTGAGAAATTTATCATATTTGCTCTAAAATTTACAGGGAAGAATAAAGACCCATGCTTAGCTAAGTAAACCATAAAACAAAAAACTAAAAAGCAAGCTTCTAGATATTAAGATATATTTATTAAGCCATAAAAATTAACAAATAGACCAACGGAACAGAATAAATAGCAGAGAAACACACTAGTGTGTTTGAATACTTGACATATGACAAAATGCAAATAATTAAGAAAAGATTTGATTGTTTAAGAGAAGGTATTGGAAAAAATGTTTATTACATGGAGAAAAATATAACTGGTTTCCTCCATAATATTACATGAAAAGGGCCACTCTTGATAAGTGTAAGATGTGAGGGTAACAGGTAGAACCATAAAGTTAACTGAGGAAAATGTCTTGGACTTTATAAATAAATAAAATAAAAGCATACACTATATGGGAAAAAGAAGGTGACTGATTTGATGGCATCAAATGTAAAGAGTTCTGCTTTCTGGGTATCCTGAGGATAATGATGGCCATCTAAATCTGAATCACTTGACAACATTTCCAAACCATAAAGATTAACAAAAGTACAAATAAAACCACAGGAGACACAAACCTTCAGGATAACTGGAAGACAGAGAACACTAGCTCCCCCTGAAGGCATTTGTAGAGAATGTGGGAAGTCCAGGAAAACTGTGGGAAGAGAAAAGGGGGAGTAGCATGTCTAAGATTAAATTAAAATCACCCTGAGAAAGAGAAGGCCTATACTAATCATGAAAAAATTTAACAAGAAGAGTGACTGCAGGCTTTAAGATGTGTAGGACTCAAGGTGGCGGCCTCAGAAGGGCACAATAACTTGAGAAAAAGACAGTATAAAGAAAAACACTTCGGAGTCTTGATGGTGAAGAGAAGCATGTAAAAGAAACAAAATCCTACAAGACAAAAGGTAGTAAAAATATTGGGAGATAAATGGTAACTTTCCCATTACGAGAGAGAGAGAGAGAGAGAGAGGGAATACATACATATGTGCATGCATACATATATTTATACATAATGACAGATCGATATCCATTGAAGAAGCTCCACTTCATTACACAGATAGAAGAGGGATCTCTTGAATTAAATGCTTATAGTCTCCCCGGATTGCCAACCTGATACACAAAATAAAGACTGAAAAAGAATCTACATTTATACAAACCTACCGGAAGGATAAAATGGAAACCTAAAATTGAAACATTCAAAATGATAAAATTCCTCCCCCTCCAACCTCCAAAACAACTACAAAGCCAAAGAAACTATAGTGCAATACCCCAAACTAAATCCAGTGTCTTCAAACAAGTATGTAGGAATATGAAAAACACCTTAAATCAGATCATCAAAATCTAAGGAACAGAAATGTACATAAAACAGAAAGAAATTAAGTAAGAGTTGATTGAAAAAAAGAAATCTTCTCAGAAAAATGAAAAATTAAATTACAAATTACCCAAGGAATATTATATGCAAATGAACATGTGATAAGAGGAAATGAAGAAAAGCAGAAAAATGAGACAATAAAAATAAAACATTAAAAGGGTCTAAAAGGAAGTGATTTAAATGAAGGACAAGCAAAGAAGATCCAATTACATGTAATTGAACTCTCTGAAAAAGAAAAAAGAATGTAATAGAACTAATATTTTAAAATATAATTTCAGAAAATGTTCAGGAAATTACAGAAAATCTAAATCCACATACTAAATGGGCCCACCAGATACTTGAGAAAATTCACCCTCAGTAGTCAACCCTCAGATATATTCCAGTAAAATTATGAGACATTAAAGATAATTTTAAAAAAAAAACCTCAGGTCTCCCAGAAGGGAAAAAAAAATCTTACAATGGCAACAGAATTGTTAGCATCAGACTTCTCAAGAGCAACATACAGATCAAGGCAAGAAGCAAGCAGTATTTGCAAGAAATTCAAGAGGAAAAAAAATGTGAACCAAAGATTTTATATTCAGCTAAGCTGTTCTTCAAGATCAAGGTCTAAAAAGATAAATAAATAAAAACTAGTTTTACATATGTAAAAACTTGGAGAGTCCTGTATTCATGACTCCTTCTTGAAGAAACTACTAAAGGACTAGTTTCATCCATCCATGTTATCACTGTGAAAATTTAGGTAAAAGGGTTAATAGTGAGGACTTAATACATATAATTTTAGATTTAAGACTAAAACAGAAATAGAGACAAAGGTAGAAAAATAACATAAAATGTCAAATGCTCCCATAAAATAAAAATAATCTGAAAAAAAAGTGAAAGAAAAGGGAGAGGGGAATTGGAAAGGAGAATAAATGCATTGATTGTTGTATAGAAGCAGTTCTCAAATGTTTTGGCCTCTGAAATCTTTTACACTTCTAAGCTTTTTGAGGACCTCAGAAAGTTTTTGTTTATGTGAGTTATATCTATTATGAAGTAGATATATCTGCCATATTAGAAATTAAATTTGAAAGGTTTTAAAATATTTTTTATTTTAAAATAATAAACCCATTACATAATATAAAACTTTTTCCAAAAAATATAGCAGCAAGAATTATTTCACATTTTTGCAAATCCCTTTAAGGTCTGTCTTAATAGAAGACAGCTAGATTTTCATATGTGTTTCACACTTTCATTAGCCATCAGAGCAATGATATCATCACTTACCATATAGCCTCTGGAAAACTTTCACACGCATTCATGAGAAAAGGATAGTAGAAAAGTGAAATGATGTCTTAGTATTATTATGAAAATAGTTTTGATCTCACAGATTCCATGAAAGCGTTTCAAGGATCCCCTACTGAACATTTTGAGAACAGCTATTGTATAGATCAAGGGGAGGAGTCAAGGGTATGTCAGAAACTGGCAAGCCAGAGAATAAAGGCTAACCAGCAGACAAGGGAATTTTTAAAAGGTGTAAATACAAATGTTATCACTAAATACCTAATCCTAATACCAAAAGAAATTTTAAAAATTAAAGAGCAAAGCAAACACATCATATAGAGAAACAGAAAATGTAATAAAATCACATAGTAATTTTATAAAAACTACAACTGAAATAAAGTGACAGAGTATAGATCAAACATAACAAGGATATTAGTTAATTGTGGATTGGCTTAACTCATCTTCTAAAATAAAAATATTTCTGAATTAACTCACCAACAGGTATCAAAGCCAGGATGTATATAAGACCCACACCTAAAAACAGTGATTCAGAAGAGCTAAATCTAAAGGGATGGACACAGACATAACAGGAAATAGAATTAATAAGAAGGCAGGGTTTGCAATCCTGACATAAGACAAGGTAGAATGCCAACCAGAAAAACCTTTTAATGTAACAAAAAAGCACTTTAATGTTAAAATCTGTAATTCAAAATAGAGATAAAACATTTAGGAATATTTATGCACCAAATAACAGAGCAACCACCTGCATAAAGCAGAAACTGTAGGAGAAGCAAGCAGAAATATACAGAAGCACGCTAAAAATAGACTTTAGTATCCTACACCAGGTCAAGTAGACAAAACATTGATAGACTTAAACAGCATTCTCAATAAGACAGATCTTACAGATCTTATAGAAATGTATCAAACATTAAACCCTGATAATAGAAAATACATTTTCCTCTTTAGCACACATGGAGCATTTACAAAATTGATCAAGTATTAGGTAAAAAAAAATCGGTAAGTCACAAGGAGAAGAAATATTACCGACAACACTCTCAGATTATAATACAATAAAATAAGGAATATGATAATTCAAAATTTAAAAACTCAACTGAAAATAATTTGGGATTTTTTCTGAGACAGAGTCTCGCTCTGTCTCCCAGGCTGGAGTGCAGTAGCACAATCTCAGCTCACTGCAACCTCCGCCTCACAGGTTATAGCGATTCTCCTGTCTCAGTCTCCAGACTAGCTGGGATTACAGGCGTGTGCCACCACACCTAGCTAATTTTTGTAGTTTTAGTAGAAACCAGTATCAAATTAATAATTTTTTTTTGAGACAGAGTCTCACTCTGTGTCACCCAGGCTGGAATGCAGTGGCACAATCTTGGCTCACTGCAGCCTCCACCTCCTGGGTTCAAGCGATTCTCCTGCCTCAGCCTCCTGAGTAGCTGGGACTACAGGCACAGCACTACAATGCCCAGCTAATTTTTGTATTTTTGTTAGAGACGGGGTTTCACCATGTTGGCCAAGCTGATCTTGATCTCCTGTTCTAAGCTGATCCGCCCACCTCGGCCTCCCAAAGTGCTGGGATTACAGGTGTGAGCCACCACACCCGGCCCCAAATTAATAATTTATTTTAAAAAATACAGTTTACCAACATTGACTAAAGTAGAGTTTAGAAAACTTAAACCAACTTTTATAGAAAAAACATTGTATCAAGGCTATACCCCCCAAAAAGGTACCAGGAGCAGAAGTTTTCACAAGGAAATTTGACCAAACTATCAATAACCAGAGAGACCCGATGTTACAAAAATTGTTTCAAAACATAAAACATGAAGGAAAATTGTCAAAAATCATTGTATGAAGCAAGTATAATATTGATACCTAAATTTGATTGTCAAAAATTTAAATAAAATTACAGACCAATATAGCTTATAAATACTAATGCAAAAATAGTAAATATTTACAAGCAAATAGAATTCATCACCATACTGTGAAAATAATACATAATGACCAAGCAGAGTTTATTCCAGGAATGCAATGTATCATAAATATAAGAAATTCATGAATATAAAGTAAGCACACAAACACACCATGATTCTGTAGCCACAGTTTTATTTTATACAAAAACACTACAGAAACGTGCAAGACTTGTACCAAATATCCTATTGGGTGCACAGACCAGGACTATTCAATGTAGAGAGGTCTGTACAAAGGAGTAATTACATGGAGATGGGATTATTGAGACCATTTTGGAACGTTTGCAAAACGTATCACAGATAAAAAGCTATTATCTTTAATATATTTAACAACTTAAAAGGGGGAAATAACTAAAGCCTTAATAAAACAATGAGTTAAAGGCACAAGCCAAAAATTCATTAAAAAGGCATACAATAGTCCTTAATCATATGAAACTATTTTAATTTTACTCATAATAAAAGAAATGCAAATAAAATGACACTGAGATACCATTTCTCTTCTATCACATTGGCAAAAAGTTTAAAAGCTTGGCAACACATTCTGTTGGCAAGGCTTGTGAGGCACTCTCATTCATTGCTGGTGGGAATGTAAATGACACAACTCTTACGTTGGGGGAATTTGGCAATCTCTAACAAATTGTATGTGCATTTTTCTTACAACTCAGCAATCTCAAATCTAGAAACTTACCCTGAATATATATCTCCAACAATAAGAAAAGACATTTGCATTAGGTTATTCATAGCAGCCTTATTTATAAATGCAAAATATTGGAAGTGACCTAAATATCTATATATAAAAGATTGATCAAGTAAATTCTGATGCATACACACAATGGAATGCTATGCATTTGTAATAAAGAATAAAGGATAGCTCTATGAGCTAATATGAAATAAGTTCAGCATATATTGATAAGTGACAAATGCAACATGCAAATATACATATATTTCAAACATGTCTATGTAAAAGTAGTTAATTACAAAGGGAAAAATGGTTATCGGCAGACTCGCCTTAACCAAGTGACCTAGGTTAACAGCTTCAGTAACGGTATAAATTGGTATCATGGTCCCCTTGATATGATGTTCTGAGACCACAATATTATCTTTATATTTCTGCCAAAAAATTATGATCATAAAAAAATCAGACAAACCTAAACTTAGAAGCCATCTACAAAATAAAACGTTAAAGACATGAAAAATAAAGAATCCTGAGGGTCTGAGATAATGAAAGGAAACAAAAGAGGCTTAAGCAGAATCCTGAATTGAAGGGAGAAATATCAATCTATAATACCAATATTAAGGTGATTGGCAAAAGTTGAACATAGATAATGGATTAGATAATAATACTGAATCAATGTTAAACATCCTGATTCCATACTTATACTTTTGTTATTCCTCGTTGATGTTTTTAGGGAAAACACTGAAATAACAAGAAGTAAATAAATATATATATATATATATATATATATATATATATATATATATATATAATGCCTGTAACTTACTTGCAAACAGTTCTTTAAAAGTATAAAAAATGAATGTATGTGTATACATATTACATATATAATATATATAATATAAAATATTATATATTATATATATATGTAACAGGGTCTTGTTTTGTCACTCAGGCTGGAGTGAAGTGGCATGATCATGGTACACCATAGCCTTGACCTCCAGGCTCAAGCAATCCTCCCACCTCAGCCTCCAGAGTAGCTGAGACCACAGATGCACACCACTAAGCCTAGCTAATTTTTTAAATTTTTGTAGAAATGAGGTCTCACTATGTTACTTAGGCTGGTCTCATACTCCTGGACCAAAATGATCCTCCCACATCAGCCTCCCAACGTGCTGGGATTAGAGGTATGAACCACCACTCCCAGCCAACAAATACTTTTTAAATGTGGATCTCTGTTTGACAATAATATGAACAAAGTAAAGTACTTGAAATGTCTAAAATTCATAAGTTATTGACTGTATGTGAAAGGAATTCAAAGCAACAAGAAAAGAGCAATCCCAGTAGAATAAAAGACAAAAGCAATTTACAGAGGAGGAAACCCCAAAAGTTATCAAACATAATAAGGTGCTCAGAATCATCGTTAATTTGATAAATTCACATTTAAAAAACAATGAGACAGCACTTCACCTCTAACTCACAAACATTAGAAGTCTGAATAATTCTTGGAGTTGGTAGAAATGTAGGGATGTAAACCTTTAAGCATTGCTAACAGGTATACATGGAATAGAAACCAGTATAGCCATTCCAGATAACAAATGAGCACTACTTCATTAACTTAAATATATGTCTGCTGTTAAAAAATAAAAAAGTCACTGGATATATTTAAAATGACAAGAAAGACCTTATTCAATACTATTGCAATAGCACAGAGAGGCTGAATTCAACTCCACTGAAACAAAAGGCAGTAAGATTCTTAAACGCTGGGAGGAGCTAATAGAAAACTACTAGAGAGTACTAAAGGACATCAGTGTAGGGAGGGTGGCCAATGTGATTAGGTCATCTGTGTTTGCTAATTGTCACTTTCCAAGGGTAGGCTTTTCAAGAGTAGGCTTCTACCCTCCCATAGAGACTGAGAAATGTGGTTCTATTGCCTTCAATGATTATATCTCAACAGGCTGACTCCAAGATCCTTGAGCAAGACTTTTCTGGGTTGTAGAAGATTTACATATTCTATAGGGAAAAACTTGATAATTAGAATTAAGAATTTAAACAGAAAGAATTTACACGTGGGTGCAGTAGCTTATGCCTGTAATTCCAGCACTTTGGTAGGCCAAGGCAGGTAGATCACTTGAGCCCAGGAGTTTGAGACCAGCTAGGGCAACATAGTGAGACCCTGTGTCTACAAAAAAAATTTTTTTTAATAGCCAGAGTAGTCTCAGCTACTCCAGAGGCTGAGGTGGGAGGATTGCTTGAGCCCACGAGATGGAGGTTGCAGTGAACCCTGATCCTGCCACTGCACTCTAGCCTGGCTGACAGAGCAAGACACTATCTCAGAAAAGAAAGAAAGAGCAAAAGAGAAAGAAAGAGCGAAAGAGAGAAGAAAGGAAGGAAGGAAGGAAGGAGGGAGGGAGGGAGGGAGGGACGGAGGGGGAAAGAGAGAAAGAGACAGAAAGAAAGAAAGAAAAAGAAAGAGAGAGAGAGAGAAAGAGAGAAAGAGAAAGAAAAGGGAAAGAAAGAATTTACAATTGCATATTTTCTCAAGTAAATACTCTAAGCAAAAGGAGGTCAGGGATCTATAGTCAGGGAGAAATCAGTCTAAATTTTAGTCAAGCTGAGAAGAACATTAAGTCTGTCTTGGTCAATGCCTATTAGCAATTTAATTCCTGGAGATGGATGAATAGATGGATAAGTAGATGATTAACAGATGGATGGATAGATATGTAGACAGATAGGCGAATATGTACAAGTATGTTCACTGGCACTATTTTTAGGACCAGGATCAGGAAGTTGGAGTCCACCAAGGTGCCTATCTCTGGGAGAATGGATAGGCAAAGTATGATGGATATACAATTATGTAGGTTAAATATAAATTGCCTTGCATCAGTTCCCTCAGCCCAGTTCTGACACCAGCTGTAGCTTTTCACACTGACAGCTTTCCACCTCAACCTTCTGTAGCATGTCTATTAACTTTTCACACTTTGAACTTTCACTCAAACTGTGGGAGCTTGCTCTGCCCACACAAATTGTACACTAGCTCTTGAAGCTTCTGTCTGGAAGTAAATTATAACATTTCATTGTGGTAGCGTGATCAGACCCAACACCAGGTCATTGGGGTGATGAAGTCCAGTGGAGTCAAAGGAATGAGAAAAGACAGTTTGAGAGATAAAGTGGGTCCAGGGGGCCAACGTGAGTATGGAGGCTGTGAAGGCCCAGAGTTCTGGAAGCCCAGACTATTTATTGGTGATCAAACAAAGAAACAGGTGGTGAGAATGTGGGGTTGAAAGGGAGCACTGCGTTAAGCACCTGATTTACAGTTGTGATGGTTTAGCATTTATATGGCCAATTCCAAGACACAATCAATCTAGGAGACTGGGAGGGCTAGAAGCAAGGAGCCAGCAAGTCTAGACACACTCCAAAGCCATGAGGGGGTTCATGCCCTGAGCCCTGGATTCTATCCAACCCACGAGGGGTTTTATGCCCTGGGCTTAGATTATGGTGCGTCAGGGTAGCCTTCCACCCTTTAGCACAGAGCTTGGTGTTCCAAAGGCCATGAGGGGTTTTAGACCCTGGACCCTGGACATGTTTCAAGACTCTTTTACATTATGTCAGACATGCAAGCCCTGCCTCAGCTTCTCCCAATACTCAGCTTTCCTCTCAACATGCCCCCCTTTTCTTTTTCATAAAACCACCACAGCTATCATTGCTTGTTCTTGATG
This sequence comes from Homo sapiens, assembly GCF_000001405.40. Classification (NCBI taxonomy): domain Eukaryota; kingdom Metazoa; phylum Chordata; class Mammalia; order Primates; family Hominidae; genus Homo; species Homo sapiens. The sequence goes on from NC_000005.10 coordinate 145,727,553, forward strand.
ACGGCTTTCTCTTCAGAGGCAGCTTCCTCTTCAGAGGTGGCTTCTGCATCTGTAAACTAAAAGGAGACAGCACAAGCACACAACCACCAGAACAAAATCCACAAATGTAGAGCCTCCAATGGCCTTCAACTGTAAATCTTTTGGAACGGGATAAGAGTTTTTAAGGATCTCAGTTACAATACAAATAGATGGTGATGTCTCCCATGGTCTATTTAGAGACACAGGGATCCAAACTCCTTCCCTGGCTTTAATTATCAAGACAGTTTGATTTTTATCAAAGGTTGAATCAAGGCAGGTAAACAAGCAACATTCAGGGCATGTAATAAAGTGTGTATTTATATCAAGAGTAACATTTCCTATTGCTAGCACAACTGTGAATCCAAAAGGTCCCACTGGAGAGAAAAGAAAGAGCATTTTTATCCTTACCTCCCTCCCCTCTGTTCATTTTATACTTTCCCTCTCAGATTTTGACTGGACTTTGAGCCATAGCTAATTTCCATAATTCAGAATATTCCTGTCTGTCCCTGCAAATCTCTGCTAGTCTTTGCTAGTCTCTACGTTTGTACCTCTTTAGGGCACTGACCAGTACCTCTCTAGAGCACTGACCGTATATTGCTAGTCTTTGCTTTTGTACATCTTTAGGGCACTGATCAGTATCTCTTTAGGGCACTGACCTTATATTGTTAGTCTTCATCTATCCCTGCCTGTCCCTGTCTGTCCCTATGATACCTGTTAGTTCCTGTGAGTTCCTGCAAGTCCCTGTCTATCTATCTCTATTTATCTCTATCTCTACTTACTTATCTCTACATCTTCCTGGAAACCTTTTTTATGGCCCTGGGTAGAGCTCAGAAATCCACACTTCAAGCTTCAGCAAGAGACAAAACAGGGACCCCGGATCTGGAACCAGATTGAAGGGAACAGGAAGTGTTCTCCCCTCCCAAAGCAGGAAAACCAGAGTTTGGTCCTTGCAAATTTCTACTCCACATCAGCATCATCCTCAATTTCCTGGAATGAATTGTTGATCATGGCAATTAACACATTTAGCAAAACAATGACCACTGTAACATTATAGACTCCATAACGAACATAACCAATATTTTCAATGAATTTGTGGTTATAGTTGATGACCACTGATTTCACTTCAGCAAGTCCAAATATAGCCCAGAACAGTGTCTTAAAACTCTCTTCAACTGTTGTGAAGGCTTCATTTTGTTTTGCACCAATGTAGTAGGAGTAGAAGTTGTACGTTCCAATCATAAAGGCCACAAACACCATAATGAATATGACCATGAACCTGAAGATGTCTTTGACTGCTCCTCCAAGTGACATCTGCAGAGGTCCAAAGCTTTCATTTGCTGGCAAAATACAAGCTATCCCAGAGAAACTCAAAACCACAGCAACTGCACAAAGACCTTTAGACACAATCTGAGGATCAGAGGGGTCCCACTCCCTCCTGGCCAAAGTAACATTGGGAGATAATGTGAAATACTACATAATAAATGCCTTAAGAAATTCAAGTAAGCAGAATGTTTGCTTTCACTTGGTCCCATTGTTACCCTGGTTTCCGAGTACTCAGCTTTCCCACTGAGCTTCTTTGACTTTTGTCAAGTCCTTCAAAGTATCATTTGTATCAGTGATGCTCTGGGTTTCGGAAGCATGCCAGAATGCCCTGAATCTTACAATGAATGATGCTGCAAAAATTGCTAACATACCAAAATCAAGCATATTCCACAACTCAAACAAATATTCCTTGGGGCCTTGAGTCCAAATTTCTTTACATTTAGCCCATATCATGCCTCTGTTCTCATTAAATCTGTTTTTCTCTAGCAGAGGCAGGTTACCCATGAAACTGAAGCTTCAAGATGACTTTACTTGCCCAGGTTCCTTCTAAGTCCTCACTTTGTCTTCTTTTTCTCTAAGTGGGGCCCTCTGAATAAACAAGCCTCAGATTCCTCTGGGTCTTACACCCCATGCCTCACCCTCTACATAATAAATGCCTTAAGAAATTCAAGTAAGCAGAATGTTTGCTTTCACTTTGTCCCATTGTTACCCTGGTTCTTCCGAGTACTCAGCTTTCCCACTGAGCTTCTTTCAGTCATCCTTGGGTGTCCGTTGACGATGCGTCCTCTGCTTTTACATGCTCTAGCATTCCTTCACCGGGGTCTTTCTTGCCCCATGTTGGGCAGCCAGGAATGTTGGGGTGATCAGACCCAACACCAGGTCGTGGGGGCAATGAAGTCCGGTGGAGTCAAAAGAATGAGAAAAGACAGTTTGAGAGATAAAGTGGGTCCAGAGGGCCAATGTGAGTATGGAGGCTGTGAAGGCCCTGAGCTCTGCAAGCCCAGACTATTTATTGGTGATCAAAGAAACAGGTGGTGAGAATGTGGGGTTGAAAGGGAGCATTGCATTAAGCACAAGATTTACAGTTGTGATGGTTTAGCCTTTATATGGCCAATTCTAAGACACAATCAATCTAGGAGCCTGAGAGGGCTAGAAGCAAGGAGCCAGCAAGTCTAGACACATTCCAGAGCCACAAGGGGATTTATGCCCTGGGTTTAGATTATGGTGCGTCAGGGTAGCCTTCCACCCTTTAGCACAGAGCTTAGTGTTCCAAAGGCCATGAGGAGTTTTAGACCCTGGACCCTGGACATGTTCCAAGACTCTTTTACATTATGTCAGACATGCAAGCCCTGCCTCAGCTTCTCCCAACACTCAGCTTTTCTCCCAACACACTGGCCAAAGTAATTCTCATAGCCATGCCCAATTTCAAAGAAGAGAAGAGAAGTGTAATTCTACCCCATGCCCGTAATGTAGAAAGCAGGTAATATTTAACAAGCAGCACTAATAACTAGCACACTCTCAAAATGCCAAACTAAGGTGATTTTGACTATTCATGCATGGCATGAAGATCCATGAACAGGAGTCATTTGTAATTTTGCTGAGGCATAAATTTGAATCACCCATGCTAATGAGGATGAGGTTGGTTGGAAGAAGTACAAAAGCAAGTTTGTTACCTGTGAGTGAGCCTAGATAACTACTCAGCATCCACATCACATCATATCACATCGCAACTTTGTTCTGACAGAGCAGGAGCATCGCCATCTTGGACAAGCCCCTCATTCTAAAGTTCACCTTAATAAAAAAAAAACTGCCTAAATCCAAAGGGCATCAGTCTAATGACTAAGGTCGGCATGACCATAAACCACAAATAACATCTCTAACCAGAAACATTCCAAACTCCTCCCCAGCCAGAGACAGGCTAGCCCTAAGATAAACCCCCTCCAGCTGGGAAGATGCCAGTCTCGAGATGACATCCCTCTGGCCGGAAAGATGCCTGCCCCAAGGCAAACTCCCCTCCACCCAGAGACATTCCAACCCCACCATAAAACTTCTCCCTCAAACAGTAACATTCGAAGCTTCTGATAAGCCCCCTCACCCTAAAACTAATACATACTCTTAATCTGTAAGAGAAAGCACTCCTGATAGAAATTGGCCAGGAGTGTCTCTCAGGTTTTAACTAAAGAAAACCTGTCTTTAACTGCCAGCTGCATTTCGTGTTTCTTTCCTCTTTAACTCTTACATGTTCTACATTGTTGCATGTGTACTAATGTTTAAAGCATATATTTGCATTTCACAGGGGAAATTATCTGCTGGGATTCCCAGAGTTCTTGGAACATACTCAGTTTTGAACATAAGGATCCTTTCATTGATCCATTGATCACAGCTATGGACCAAGGCAAATGTTAATATCGGCTTCTATTCTCAGCCATAATCCTGCTCCATTCCTAAAATGCAGAGTGACTAAGATGCATACTGACAGGGAATCCAGTGAGTCCAATTTGTCAGAGAGGTATTCACCCATCAAAGTGGTCTGAACACTGTGGAACTCTTCATTCCAAATTGTTAGAGAGTACGACATGGGAAAAAGCACTGGATTTGGAGCCAAACACTTACTATCTGAATAATCTGGGGCATGACATTAAATCATTCTTAGCCTTACTGTTTTCGTTAGTAAAATGAGGCTAATTACAACATGGCAGGTCATTTCTCCCTTCCTCACTATACTTTGTTCCTTCTACCCCTCACTACTTTTGAAATTATGCTATGAGAAGTTGTCAAATTTAGCAAAGAAAAGAGTTTTTGTCTCCATTACGATGAATCAGAAATACCTGCGCCTCTTTCTATAAAAGAAGGCACAGGCCATAAAGGTCTACCTTTCCCTCTCAGCAGGGACCAGAATAGAGGACTTCATGTCCCTGATTCCAGGGGGAAATCTGAACCCTCAGGAGTAGAAGGGAGATAAGGAGATTAAAGACAGCAGAAGCCTCTGAATTATCTCCTAGAGTACACTTTTGTAGACCGAAGGATAGTTCAATGAGGAAAGTAAAAAGCTGCTATATATCACCTTCTGTGTTTTCCTCCTGGTAATGAGCTATACCTGCATACCAGTCTGGACATTCTGTGACAATGGTTACAATAATTACAATAATAACACTATCACTAAAGGTAGCTATAAATAAATAGGTGCTCGAAATCTGAAGTGTTATATTTAAATTTTGGGGATTATACTTGTGGCCTCCTTGATTACAGTTTATGTCACTGTAGAATTCCACCAGAGAGCAACTGATTAGGAACACATTTTGCAGTCCTTTATCTTGCTGAATCTAGAACCATTGCTTACAGTTTTCATGTCCTGAGCCTGTCTCCCATCTACTTTATCAGAGACTCCCTAACACACTTTTGAGAAATGAGTTACTCCACACATGTAAAAAGGCATGACAGATACAGAAAAGTTTTCCAACCAAAACTAATCATTAGTGCTAGAGGTGGAAGAGTTCATATAGATCACTAGCACAGTGTTGTCCAATAGAACTTTCTACATTGATGGACATGTTCTATATCCGCACTGTCCTGCACAAATGTGCCACTAGACACGTACAACTACTGAGCACTTGAAATGTGACTAGTGAGACCTAGAAACCAAAATTTTAATTGGATATAATGTTAAGTAATTTTAATTTGAATTTAAATAGTCACATGAGCCTGACATTCACTGTACTGGATAATTCAGATTTATGGCAAAGTTTCTTGACCTGAGGCCTATAGATCCTCTAGTATCCAAAAATAACCTTCAGAGATGCATAAAATTACCAAAATTGTAGATGAAATGTTGAGTATGCAAAACAATACTAATTGTCTTTCAATGATACATAACTATCCAAGAGCAAGTATTAAATAAAACAGTGGGTATCTATGGGGAGGATAGCACAGGGGTAGGAGTGGAAATGGGGATGGGAAGTGAAGATTAAAATATAATAAATACAAGGACTAAAAGTGACAGTGGACCAAGAATTGAAGAGAATAATAACTCAACTCTTCATTATCCAAGGCACTAAAAATAAAGGAACACATTATTTGTATAGGTGTTTTTCAAGGTCAGTCTTAGCTTTCATCAAATTCTCGGTGGAAGAATGGTTGAGCCCAGGAGTTTGAGATCAGCCTGGGCAACACACTCAGACCCTGTCTCTACAAAAAAAAAAAAAAGAAAGAAAAACAGCTGTGCATGGTGGCGTACACCTGTAGTCCCAGCTACTCGCTACTCGAGAGGCTGAGGTGGGAGGATCACTTGAGCCCAGAAGGTCAAGGCTGCAGTGAGCTGTGATCATGCCATGGCACTCCAGCCTGGAAGACAGAGTGAGATCTTGTCTCAAAAAGAAAAAAAATCTCAATGAAATCCAAGACTCCACCTAACACGTGAAGAATCACCAACATAAATCCATTCTCTAGCCTCAGAAACAAAAGGGATGGGAATGGATGTGGGTTGGATTAAATAATATAAAATCTGCACAATTAAGATTGGCAGTTGGCTGGTTAATTGAGAAAGTGAATAATTTTATCTTAAAGTGGAAAAGCTTTAAAAAACAGCACTCATATTACTCTGCATTATCTTCCTTCCATAAATCAAAACCATACTGCACCTTCTGATTTACCATTTGTTTCTCTAGATGAAGCAAGAACATTAACATATTTCTGAAGCAATCTGAGTACAGAATCCTTCTAGATTTTCACAAGTGTCCTAAAATTTTACACTTAGCCAGCCCACATCTAACTCAAAAGCAATCTTTTTTCAATTTAACTTAATGAGTCTTTCAAAAGCAAGAAAGTAGGGTTCATAAAAATATCCTCTGTCTCCTCTCAAATGTCACCAGTTGTGGTGAGCAGAATAGTGGTCCCTGAAAGATGTCCATGCCCTAATCCTTGGAACCTGTGAGCCTTTTACCTCACATGGCAGAAGGGACTTCGCAGTTATAATGAAGTTGGGAATCTTAACGTGAAGATACTATGCTAGATTATCCAGCAGGCCCAATCACAGGGGCCCTTATAAAAGAGAAGTGGAGATCCAGAGTATAATTTAAAGATGCTATGGGGAAGGACTGAAGATGGAGGTAGGGGCCAGCGACAAGCTAAGGAATGCAGGTGGCCTCTTGAAGTTGAAAAAAGAAAGGGGACAGATCTCTCTCCCTTAGAGCTTCTGGAAGAATGCATCCCTGCCAACATCTTGATTTTTTTAAATATTTTTAAAGATGGAGTCTCACTCTGTCACCCAGGCTGGAGTGCAGTGGCATGATCATAACTCACTGCAGCCTTGAACTCCTAGGCTGAAGCAATCCTCGCACCTCAGCCTCCTGAGTAGCTGGGACCACAGGTATGAGCCACTGCACCTGGCTCAAAAACTTGATTTTAGTCCAGTGAAGCCCATTTCAGACTCCAGTACTTTGGTAAGGTATTACATTTGTGTTGTTTTAAGCCACTAAGTTTGTGGTGCTTTGTTAAAGCAGCAACAGAAAACTAGTGCACCAGTTTACATAATAGGTGATTAAATCAAATTATTATAAATGCAACGAGCATCAACTGGTTTGGGAACTAATGCAAATTATCCTTGGGAAACATATAACTCAACTTTTGAGACCAAAAGTCTACCAATGAATAAGTGAGGTGTACTAGCAGTGATTATTCAGGATGCTGTGGATATTAATTAGCATGTTTTATGAAAAAATTGAGATTACTCACTAATCCAGCCAGCCAATCTCTTAATCCAGAAAGAGACCATTTATTTTCATGGCTAACTTTTATTTGAATCACTACCTGCCAGGGACTATGCTAATTATTTTTACAATGACTCTATAAATATATACCATTATCAATTATATTTTACCATGAGGAAACTTAAATTCAGAGTGATTAAATAACTTGTCTAATCACATAGTTAGTAAATGGCAGACTAACTAAGGAACACGTGAACTATGATCCACTAATGTGAAAGCTTAGGCTTTTAAGGCTCCTGCTGAATCTGAGTTTCTCTATTTCCCAGAAGCTAACGGAAATGTTTCATTTCACAGATAAAAAGCTACAGCTGGGCGCAGTGGCTCATGCCTGTAATCCCAGCACTTTGGGAGGATAAGGCGGGCAGATCATGAAGTCAGGAATTCGAGACCAGCCTGGCCAACATGATGAAACCCCATCTCTACTAAAAATACAAAAATTAGCCAGGCATGGTGGCGGGCACCTGTAATCCCACCTATTCGGGAGGCTGAAGAAGGACAATTGCTTGAACCCAGGAGGCAGAAGTTGCAGTGAGTTGAGATTGCACCATTGCACTCCAGCCCGGGCGACAGTGTGAGTCTCCATCTCAAAAAAAAAAAAAAAAAGCTACAATTAGTCTAACTCATCTTAACTCCAACAATGTAGTAGTCAAGATCACAGCAAGAAATAGAATAACCATACTGGATAATTGGGAGGGAGTTTAATAAAGGGCTTTTACAAAGATGCATTTTTATACACACTCAGAAACACAAGTGAGTCATAACATAGTTTACTCCACCTCAGAGAAAGAGGGAAAATAAGATTTGAGACAGTGACATGACATAGTGTAAAGAACATAGTTTGTGATAAGGAAGCATAACTCAAGAAGTATACAGATATTTCATGACTGGAGAAAAAAAGAAAAAGAAAGAAGTATAAAGACATTTATCTTTGGTGTATTTAGCATTACATGACATTACTATGCAATTACATTTTAGGTGTGATAAGTATGTGGCCATGTAGTGATTCCTCTTTAGCCACTTAGTACCTGTGTGCTCCTGGACAAGTCACTTACCCACTGTGAGCCTTTGATCCTTCATCTTAAATCACCTGCTACCATCTTCACACGGTTGCTTTGGGGATTAAATGAGATAAGGCATGTGGAAGTGCTTAATCAACTAAAGCACCCTCTACAGATGTAAGGGATTGCAATTACGTGTGAACTAAGTGAAATGGATGATCAGCATGACCGACCACATTGTGAGACTAAAACAATCTTACTCGGCGCTCTCTCTGAAGTGAGTAGAATTTTAGCTCATCAGAGAAATGCCAGATTTTGTTTAAAACCTTGCTGATATTAAAGGTTTGTCACCCAGGACCTCTCATCACTGCCTCTGACATCTGGGAAATGCAAATTGAGCATCATTTTAAAATAAAACAAGATGACAAATTAAAGTCTGGGCAGGTTCCTTTGCAATTACAACCTAACACTGCAACTGGTTCTTGTTAAAATGGTTTCATTAAATCCAGGTCTTTAATTCCCTCTTGCAATGTATAGTATTTAACTGTTGCTATACAGTGGGATCACATATTTGTTATAAAAATAAAGTGCTAAAAATCACAAGCCTTTGGTCTTTGTGCTCTTTAATGTTTCAATTGAGTTCTTTGCATTTGTCAGCCTGTCTTATTTATTCTTCATTGTCAGAATGATGAGGAATCAAACCTCACAGAGGGTAACTAACTTTCCCAAGAACACACAGCTCTATCTAAGACAGTGACTACTAGCCTCAAGTGATATTAGCCTCAAGTGACTATTTGAATTCAAATCTGAATTACTTAAGATTATATAAAATTAGTCATAATGAGTAGACTATTCAGACTTGTTCTTTGATGAAGAGGTTTTTGTTTGACTCTATGATCTATCTGGTGAGCCAGAATACATGCTAACTGAATAGGGGAGAGGATTTTTAAAATTTTTCATCTTCCATACTTCTGAGCAAAATATTTGTTAAACCCTGTAAAGGGACAGAGGGCAGCAGATAGATGAGCAACTGACGTGGAAGGTAATTCCCCCAAAAAAATATGTAAATGATCAATAAATAGATGAAAAACTCTTCATCAGCTTCATGGGAAAACAGACTTTGTTTTGTGAACCCAGAGAGCTTGGCACATAGGAGATGCTCAATCGTTGTGGACAAGATGAATAAACATTCCTAGTAATCAAATAAGTGCAAGATAAAACCATAATTAGATGTCTTTATTCATCTAACAGATGATCAAAATTTCAATGTTGCTTTTCATGATAAAATCTAATGTCAGAGCTCAGGAGAAGACCTCAGGAACAATTTTATTTTGGGAATTATTTAGAGGGTGGTGAAGAAAAAGAGAAGAGAATTGAAAGAGGATACATGGGAGAGAGGAAGAGATAAAAGGAAGAGAGAAGGAAAAGAGGAGAGAAAGAGAGACCGAGACTTTGAGTTCATCTATTTCAATTATCTTACTTTACAAATTTATTCAAGTTGGGACCAATTCTTGCCCTCAAGGAGTTTACAGGCAAGCAGACGAGACAGGCTCTGAACAGTTATTACAAGAAGAAGCATAGGGTGCTAGGCGGGAGTATAACAGGGGACCCAGACTCGTGTGCTGGCTCAGAATGAGCATCTCAGAAGAAGCAATGTTTCCGCTGAGAAATAAAGGAAAAGTGGAACTTAAATAGAGGAATGCACGCAAAGATTTCAACTTACAAAAAGTCAGTGGTGGTACAACTAAAATCCCTGGATGTTATTTATTTAAAAAAAAAACAAAAACAAAAAAAATAAGAAGACTGTGAAATGTGGAGTGAAGAAGCTAGGAAACTTGGGACCCAAAGAACAACACTGCTGTAAGTTCCTTGAGTTTTATTTTTGCCTCACATATCCCAGGTACTAGAGAAGCTGGCAGCCTGAAAACAGCAACAAGCACAGATAATTTTTTAAAAAGGATGGTCTCTCCAGGCAAAAGACCAGGAAAGAAGCAGTCTTGCAAGGCAGAAATGTTTAGAAGATAACCTCTGTACTCCAGCTAAATACCATAGAAAAAAACTGACTCACCATAACCCACACTGGCAAGGGCCTAGACTTTCACCCTCACCAGGATGTAACTTCAGGGAGGGCAGGGGGCCAATCCTCCTGCCAGGGTGTTGCCAGAGAAGACCTAGTAGGGAGTTGGAAGTGTCATCCCACCAGCAGGTAATGAGCCCCACTGGAGACTGTGAGGAGCCTGGACTTACACCCCACCTGGCAGAAGGAGATACCTCTTTCCTGCCGCACTGAGGTAGTTCTGGGAAAAGCCTAGTGAAGAGTTAAGACTTTCCCCAAACCCATAGTGACAGTGGAGGCCAGATAGGGAGCAATAATAAGACACTTCTACCCTTCCCAGGGTGATATCAGTGGAGTCTAGTGGGAAACCAGAACTCCCACTCCCATCAAATGGTAAAAGAAGAATCCACTGCCTCAGATGTCAACAGAGACTGAGTGGGAACCTTTATCTCCACATCTCAGTAACAACGTATTGCCCACCCTTCCCCAGCTGGAGTAATGTCACAATAACCGAGCTAAAACAGATCATTTAAATAAGATTCATAACATAATACCCAAAATATCCAAGTTTCAATAAAAATATCACTCATATCAAGAACCAGAAAGATCTCAACCTGAAAGAAAAAAGGCAAGCAATGGATGCCAACATTAAGATGACAGACACATTAGAATTATGTGGCAAACATTTTTAAGCAGCCATCACAAAAATGCTTTGGTAAGCAATTACAAACACACTTGAAACCAATGAAAGTAGAAAATGTGAGCAAAAAAATAGAAGATATAAAGAGCCAAATGGAAAATTAGAACTGAAAAAAGACAGCCAAAATTTTTAAAAATGCAAGAGATGGGCTGAACATCAGAATGGGGAAAGGAAAGAATTGGTAAACTGGAAGATACAACAATAGAAATTACTCAATCTAAACAAGAGAGAGAAAATAAACTGAAAGAAAAAAGTAGACAGAGCTTCAAGATATGTGGGACTAAAATAAAAGATCTAACTCCTGTCATCATAATTCCAAGAGAGAAGAAAAAGGGTGAGGCTCTTTGAGTGAGTACTCAAAGAAACAATAGCTGAAAACTTCCCAAATTTGGCAAAACACATACCTTTACAGATTCAAGAAGATGAGTGTTTCTAAACTGGCCAAACCCAAAGAAGCACATATCAAAACACATCATAGTCAAACTTCAACAAAAGTAAAGACAAAGAAAAAAATCTTAAAAAACTGTGAGAGGGAAACATCACTTTTCCTATAAGGGAAAAACAGTGGATTTATCATCAGAAACCATGGAGGCTACAGGAAGTGGCAAATTTTCAAGTGCTGAAAGAAAAGAATTATCAACCCAGAATCCTAAATATCCAGTAAAAATATCCTTCAGGAGTTAAGAGGAAATCAAGACACTTTCAGATGATGAAAAACTGAAAAAATTAGTCACCAGCAGACTACCCTAAAAGAATGGCTGAAGTATATTCTCTAAACATAAAAACAATTTAAATAAGAAATTTTGAGAGGGGCTGGGTGCGGTGGCTCACGCCTGTAATCCCAGCACTTTGGGAGGCTGAGGCAAGTGAATCATGAGCTCAGGAATTTAAGACTACCCCGGCCAACATGGTGAAACCTCATCTCTACTAAAAATACAAAAGAATAGCTGGGCATGGTGGTGGGCACCTGTAATTCCAGCTACTCGGGAGGGTAAGGCAGGAGAAGCGCTTGAACCTGGGAGGTGGAGGTTGCAGTGAGCCGAGATTGCACCACTGCACTCTAGCCTGGGCAACAGTGCGAGACTCCACCTCGAAAAACAAAAAGAAATTTTGGAACATCAACAAGAAAGAAAGAATAAAGTAAGAAAAATATAAATAAATATAATAAACTTTCTCTTCTTGAGTCTTCTAAATTATGTTTAATAATTGTAGAAAAAAGTTACAACATTCTCTGATGTGGTCCCAGATGAATGTACAAGAAATATTTAAATAATTGATTATAAACAGGAGAGGGTAGTAATGCAAAGGGAGGTAAGGTTTCTACATTTCACTGGGAGTGATAAAACAACCATATCCATAGGCTGTTTAAAGTTATGTATATATAATGTAATATATAGAGCAACCACCTAATTTTTTTAAAAAACTGTACAAAACAATTTACTCAAAACCATTATGTAAATTAATCAAATTATAAAATGTATCCAAATACCTAAAGAAAGTTTTTAAAAAAGAAAGAAAACAAAGAAAAAAATAGGACAAATAGAAAAATAAATAAAAAAACATAAGCCCTATGTCAATAATTACATTAAATGTAAATGGCCAAAATACACAAATTAAGTCATAAACTGGAAGAGTGGCTTAAAAACCATGACTCAATCATATGCTATTAACAAGAAACTCACATGAAATATAATCACACAGGCAGGTTGAAAGTAAAAAGATTTAAGTATATATATCATACAAACACTCATAAAGGAAGTAGGAGTGGCTATATTAATACAGTTAAAGTAGATTTAGTGCAAAGAAAAGTACTAGGGATAGAGTCATTATATAATAATGACAGGATTTATCAAATATATATATATATATATATATATATATATATATATATATATATATATATATATAAATCCTAAATGTGTATGCACCATACAACAGAGCTGCAAAATATGTGCAGCAAAAATTTATAGAACTGAAAGGAGAAATACAGAAATCATTATAGGTGGTGACTACAAAACGTTCTCTCAACAATTGGTACAACACCTAGATAGAACACCAACTAGGATATAGAAGAATGCAATAACACTATTGAAAAGAATCTAACTAGCATTTATAAAACATTTTACCCAACAACATGAGAATATTCAAGTACCCATGAAATATATATATTATATATATAAATATATATATATTATATATATAAATATATATATATTATATATATAAATATATATATTTTATATATAAATAAAATAAATATATATTTTATATTTAATATATTATTTATATTAAATATAATATAAATATATTACATTAAATATTATATATAAATATATTATATATTTATGTATAAATATATAATATATTTATACATATCTTTATACATATATGTATATACATTATACATATATACAAATATATATTTATCGATAAATATATATGTACATATATTTATCGATAAATATATATGTACATATATTTATCGATAAATATATATGTACATATATTTATCGATAAATATATATGTACATATATTTATCTATAAATAAAGTATATATTATATATTTGTGTATAAATAAAATATATATTATATATTTGTATACAAATAAAATATATATTATATATTTGTATACAAATAAAATATGTATATTATATATTTATGTATAAATAAAATAAATATACATATTTTATGCTTTACATATAAATATATAATATATAAATATATAATGTATAAATATGTAAAATATATAAATATATATTTTATTTATATATAATATATACTATACAGATATAAATATATATAAAATATATATATAATATATAATATAAATATATAATATATAAATAATATATATTTATATTTTATGTATATATAAATAAATTATATATAAATAATTTATTTATAAATAAATTATTTATATATAAATAAAATTTATTAATAAATAATTTATTTATATATAAATTTTATTTATAAATTATTTATATATAAACAAAATTTATTTATAATTTATTTATATATAAACAAAATTTATTTATAAATAATTTATTTATATATAAACAAAATTTATTTATAAATAAATTATATATAAAATTTATTTATAAATAATTTATTTATATATAAAATTTATTTATAAATAATTTATTTATATATAAAATTTATTTATAAATAATTTATATATAAAATTTATTTATAATTTATTTATATATAAATAATTTATTTATAATTTATTTATATATAAATAATTTATTTATATATAAATAATTTATAAATAATTTATTTATATATAAATAATTTATTTATATATAAATAAAATTTATTTATAAATAATTTATTTATATATTAATTTATTTATATATAAATAAAATTTATTTATAAAGTATTTATATATAAATTTATTTATAAATATACAAATATTTATATAATAAATATATAAAACATTTTTATAATTTAATTTAATAAATAAATTTAACAAATAAATAATTTAATTTAAATTTATATATAAATAAACAAATAAATTTATTATAAATAAATAAATTTATTATAATTAAATAAATAAATTTATTTAATTATAATAAATTTATTATAAATAATAAATTTATTATAAGTAAATAAATTTATTCATTAATAATAAATAAATTTTATTAATTTATTTATAATTATACGTAATTATATATTTATAATTACATATAATTATATATAAATAAAATTTATTAATTATAAATAAATAAATTTATTTATTTATTATAAATTTATTTATTAATTATAAATTTATATATAAATAATAATATATAAATATACATTTTTATTTATATATAAATAAAATATATTTTTATATAAATAAAATATATATTTTTAATACAAATAAAATATATATTTTTATATAAATATTTATATATATAAATAAAAATAGATATATTTTTTTTTTCTGGCTACATCCTACGCCAGAAAACAAAGCTCAACAAATTTAAAGACTTGAAATAGTACAGAGTTTTTTCTAACTCAGTAGAATCAAACCAGAAATCGATAACAGAAAGACAGTTGGGAAATCTCCAAACATTTGGAAATTAAACAACAAACTTCTCATTAATCTAGGAGCCAAAGAAGTCTCAAGGGATACCAAAAAAAAAAAAAAAGAACTAAATTTAAAAGAAAACATACCATATCATAATGTGTGGAACAGAATTAAAGCAGTTAGAAAGAGAATTTATAGCACTATATGCATACATTATAAAATAAAAAAGTCTCAAAACAATAATCTAAGTTCCCACCTCAAGATCAAGAAAAAGAAGAGAAAATTAAGCCCAAAGCAAGCAGAAGACAGAAATAATAAAGATAAGAGCAGAAATCAATGAGATATAGCAGAAAAGCCATACAGAAAATTAAACTAAGAACTGCTTATTTGAAAAGATCAATAAAATTAAACTTCTAGCAAGACTGACAAAGAACAAAGACAGAAGATACAAATTGCCAATATCAGGAATAAAATGGGTTATCACTAAAAACCAGGCAGGATAATAAGGAAGTACTATTTGACCAAAACTTGACAACTTAGATGAAATTGACCAATTTCTCAAAAAATATAAATTACTTCAACTTATCCAATATGAAATAGAACATTTGAATAGCCCTTTCAAGTATTAAGAAAATTAGGGGGCGGGGCTAAAATGACGGACTAGAAATGGGGGTGATAGAGGCTCCTATGCAAAAGAATCTGGCCGGGCGCGGTGGCTCACACCTGTAATCCTAGCACTTTGGGAAGCCGAGACGGGCAGATCACCTGAGGTCAGGAGTTCAAGACCAGCCTGGCCAACATGGTGAAACCTTGTCTCTAACAAAAATACAAAAAATTACCCAGGCATGATGGCGGCATGCCTGTAATCCCAGCTACTCGGGAGGCTGAGGCAGGAGAATTGCTTGAACCCAAGAGGCAGAGGCTGCAGTGAGCTAAGATTGCACCATTGTACTCCAGACTGGGCAATGAGAGTGAAACTCTGCGGCAAAAAAAAAAAAAAAAAAAGAAAGAAAAAGAGAAAAGGAAACAACCATAATAGGCATGTGAATCCTTCACTGGCAACCAAGGTATCCAGGTTCTCTCATCAGAACTGACTAGGAGGCTGGCAGGATCCATGGAGAGCAAGGAAGAGCAGGGTGGTGTGGCGGACCACCAGAAAGCCACACGGGGAATCCCCACCCCCCAGCCAAGGGAGGTAGTGAGTGAGCGTGCTACCCAGCGTGGAAACCGTGCTTTTTCCACGAAACTGTGCAACCCGTGGGTCGGAAGATCCCACTGGCGAAACCACGCTACAGAGGGCTGGGGTCCCAACCCTGGAGCCATGCAGATTCTCAACAGCCTCTCAGCCTCTCAGCTGGAATCTACTTAAGCCTACCCAGCTCCCAGGGGGAGGGACAACCACCATCATAGCTGCAGCTGCCTGCTGTCTAAGCCATTTGAGCTCCTTGGGGGAGGAGCAGTGGCCAGCATTGGGACTCACAACTGCCTAACACGCTAAGCTCCCTGGGCCGGGGAAGGGCAGCGCCCATCTCCATAGCCCCAGGCCATGCTTTTCCCTGCTGCAGCCAGGGAGGCTGGACAGCTTGGTCCCAAGATGTATCCCCCATAGCCCAACACACCAGCTGTGGCAGACTGTGGCCAGAGTGCCTCTTCAGGCCTGACCCTGACTCATCCTTCCTCATTGGGTAGGGCTTCCCTGCAGGAACTCCAGTAACTCCATCCAGAGGCTCAGGGACAGAACCCAGATCTCCCTGGGCCTGAGCCCCTCAGGGGAGGGGTGGCCACAGTCTCTGCAGACCAGGAGACTTAGCCTTTTCTCCTGCAGACCAGCAGACTTAGTCTTTCCTCAGACTTAGTTCTGAGGAATCTGGGCAGACCAGACGAGGGGTTTCCCCCCATTGAAGCACATCCACTCCACCAAAGGACAAAGTGCTTCGTTAAATGGGTCCCGTTCCCTGTGCCACTCAACTGGGTGAGACCCTCCAACAGGGGTTGTGAGACACCCTGTACAGAAGGAATCCTACTGGCATCAGGTTGGTGCCCCTTGAGGTCAGAGATCCCAGAAGAAAAAGCAGCACCCATCTGTGACATTTTCCAGCCTTCTTGAGTGACATCGCCAGGCGCGGTAGTGAACCAGATGAATAGGGCCTGAAGTGAACCCCCAGCAAACCACAGCAACCCTACAGAAGAGGGACCTCACCATTTAAAGAAAAACAAACAGAAAGCAACAACAACAGTATCAACAACAACAGAAAGGCCGCACAAAAACCCTACCCAAGGGTCAGCATCCTCAAAGATCGAAACTAGACAAACTCACAGAGATGAGAAAGCATCAACAAAAAAACACCAAAAATCCAAAAGGCCAGAGTCCCTGTTCTCCTCCAAATGATTGCAACGTTTCTCCAGCAAGGGTGCATAATTGGACAGGGGATGAGATGGAAGAATTGACAGAAGTAGGTTTCAAAAAATGGGTAAGAAAAAACTGTGCTGAGCTCAAGGAGCATGTTCTAACCCAATGCAAAGAAGCTAAGAACCTTGATAAAAGGTTAGAGGAGCTGCTAACTAGAAAAACCAGTTTAGAAAGGAACATAAATGATCTGATGGAGCTAAAAACACAGCATGAGAACTTTGTAAAGCATACACAAGTATCAATAGCTGAATCGACCAAGCAGAAGAAAGGATATCAGAGTTTGAAGACCATCTTGCTGAAATAAGGCATGCACACAAAACTAGAGAAAAAATAATTAGAAGGAATGAACAAAGCCTCCAAGAAATATGGGACTCCATAAAAAGACCAAACCTATGATAGACTGGAGTATCTGAAGGAGATGCGGAGCATGGAAACAAGCTGGAAAACACACTTCAGGATATTATCCAGGAGACCTTCCCCAACCTAGCAAGACAGGCCAACATGCAAATTCGGAAATAGAGAGAACACCACTAAGATATTCCATAGCAGATCAACCTCAAGACACATAATTATCAGATTCTCCAAGGTTGAAATGAAGGAAAAAATGTTAAAGGTGGCCAAAAAGAAAAGCCAGGTCACCTACAAAGGGAAGCCCATCAGACTAACAGCAGACGTCTCAGCAGAAACTCTACAAGCCAGAAGATACTTGGGGCCAATAGTCAACATTCCTAAAGAAAAGAATTGGGCCAGGTACGGTGGCTCATGTCTGTAATCCCAGCACTTTGGGAGGCCGAGGACGGCAGATCACCTGAGGTTTGGAGTTTGAGACCAGCCTAGCCAACATGGTGAAATCCCGTCTCTACTAAAAATAGAAACAATTAGCTGGATATTGTGGTGGGCACCTATAATCCCAGCTACTCAGGAGGCTGAGGCAGGAGAATCGCTTGAACCCAGGAGGCAAGGTTCCAGTGAGCCAAGATCACACCATTGCACTCCACCCTGGGTGATAAGAGTGAAACTTCATCTCAAAAAAAAAAATGAAAAGAATTTTCAATCCAGAATTTCATATCCAGCCAAACTAAGCTTCATCAGCAAAGGAAAATAAAATCCTTTCCAGACAAGCAAATGCTAAGGGATTTAGTTACCACCAGGCCTGCCTTGCAAGAGATCCTGAAAGAAGCACTAAATATGGAAAGGAAAAACTGGTACAATCCACTGCAAAAACACACCAAAATATAAAGACCAATGACACTATGAAGAAATTGCATCAACTAGTGCGCAAAATAACCAGCTAGCATCATGATGACCAGATCAAATTCATATATAACAATACTAACCTTAAATGTAAATGGGCTAAATGCCCCAATTAAAAGACACAGATTGGCAAATTAGATAAAGAGTCAAGACCCGTCGGCGTGCTGTATTCAGGAGACCAATCTCACATGCAAAGTCACACATGGGCTCAAAATAAAGGGATGGAGGAAAATTTACCAAGAAAATGGAAAGCAAAAAAACAAACACAAAAACAAAACAGGGATTGAATTCCTAGTCTCTGACAAAACAGACTTTAAACCAACAAAGATCAAAAGAGACAAAGAAGGGCATTACACAATGGTAAAGGGAACAATTCAACAAGAAGAGCTAACTGTTCTAAATATATATATGTACCCAATACAGGAGCACCCAGATTCATAAAACAAGTTATTAGAGACCTACAAAGAGACTTAGACTCCCACACAATAATAGTGGGAGCCTTTAACACCCCACTGTCAATATTAGACAGATCAACAAGACAGAAAATTAACAAAGATATTCAGGACTTGAACTCAGCTCTGAATCAAGTGGACTTAACAGACATCTACAGAACTCTCCACCCCAAATCAACAGAATATACATTTTTCTTACTGCCACATGGCACTTATTCTAAAATAGATCACATAATTGGAAGTAAAAAACTCCTGAGCAAATGCAAAAGAATGGAAATCATAACAAACTGTCTCTCAGACCACAGTGCAATCAAATTAAACTCAGGATTAAGAAACTCCCTCAAAACCACACAATTACATGGAAATCGAATGACCTGCTCCTGAATGACTCCTGGGTAAATTACAAAATTAAGGCAGAAACCAAGAAGTTCTTTGAAACCAATGAGAACAAAGAGACAATGAACCAGAATCTCTGGGACACAGCTAACACAGTGTTAAGAGGGAAATTTATAGCACTAAATGCCCACATTAGAAAGCCAGAAAGATCTCAAATCAACACCCTAACATCACAATTAAAAGAGCTACAGAGGCAGGAGCAAACTAATCCAAAAGCTAGCAGAAGACAAGAAATAACTGAGATCAGAGCAGAGTTGAAGAAGATAGAGACATCAAAAACCCTCTAAAAAAAAAAATCGATGACTCCAGGAGCTGTTTAAAAAAAAAAAAATTAACAAAATAGCAGCTAGACTAATAAAGAAAAGAGAAGAATCAAATAGACACAATAAAAAATGATAAAGGGGATATCACCACTGACACCACAGAAATATAAATTACCATCAGAGAATACTAAAAACACCTCTATGCAAATAAACTAGAAAATCTAGAAGATATGGATACATTCCTGGACACATATGCCCTCCCAAGACTAAATCAGGAAGAAGTTGAATCCCTGAATAGACCAATAACAAGTTCTGAAATTGAGGCAGTAATAAATGGCCTACTAACCAAAAAAAGCCCAGGACCAGATTGATTCACAGCCGAATTCTACCAGAGGTACAAAGAGGAGCTGGTACCATTCCTTCTGAAAATATTCCAAACAATAAAAAACACATTTCATGAAGCCAGCATCATCCTGATACCAAAACCAGGAAGAGATACAACAAAAAAAGAAAACTTCAGGCCAATATCCCTGATAAACATCGATGCAATAATCCTCAATAAAATACTGGCAAACCAAATCCAGCAGCACATCAAAAAACTTATCCGCCATGATCAAGTGGGCTTCCTCCCTGGGATGCAAGGCTGGCTTAACATATGCAAATCAATAAACAAAATCCATCACATAAACAGAACCAAAGACAAAAATCACTTGATTATCTCAATAGATGCAGAAAAGGCCTTTGATAAAATTCAACATCCCTTCATGTTAAAAACTCTCAATAAACTAGGTATTGATGGAACATATCTCAAAATAATAAGAGCCATTTATGACAAACCCAAAGCCAATATCATATTGAAGGGACAAAAGCTGGAAGCATTCCCTTTGAAAACTGGTAAAGACAAGGATGCCCTCTCTCACCACTCCTATTCAACATAGTATTGGAAGTTCTGGCCAGGGCAATCAGGCAAGAGAAAGAAATAAAGCGTATTCAAATAGGAAGAGAGGAAGTCAAATTGTCTCCGTTTGCAGACGACATGATTTTATGTTTAGCGAACCCTTCATCTCAGCCCAAAACTTCTTAGACTGATAAGCAACTTCAGCAAAAATCACAAGCATTGCTTTACGTTAACAATAGACAGAGAGCCAAATCATGAATGAACTCCCATTCACAAATGCTACAAAGAGAATAAAATACCTAGGAATATAGCTAACAAGGGATATGAAGAACGTCTTCAAGGAGAACTACAAACCACTGCTCAAGGATATAAAAGAGGACACAAACAAATGAAGAAACATTCCATTCTCATGGATAGGAAGAATCAATGTCCTGAAAATGGCCATACTGCCCCAAGTAATTTATAGATTCAATGCTATTCCCATCAAACTACCATTGACATTCTTCACAGAATTAGAAAAAACTACTTTAAATTTCATATAGAATCAAAGAAGACCCTGTATGGCCAACACAATCCTAAGCAAAAAGAACAAAGCTGGAGGCAACACGCTACCTGACTTCAAACTATACTACAAGGCTACAATAACCAAAACAGCATGGCACTGGTACCAAAACAGATATACAGACAAATGGAACAAAACAGAGACCTCAGAAATAACACCACATATCTACAACCATCTGCCCTTTGACAAACCTGACAAAAACAAGCAATGGGGAAAGGATCTCCTATTTAATAAATGGTGCTAGGAAAACTGGCTAGCCATATACAGAAAACAGAAACTGGACCCCTTCCTTACACCTTATACAAAAATTAACTCAAGATGGATTAAAGACTTAAATGTAAAACCCCAAACCAAAAAAACTCCAGAAGAAAACCTAGGCAATACTATTCAGGACATAGGCGTGGGCAGAGACTTCATGACAAAAACAGCAAAATCAATTGCAACAAAAGCCAAAATTGACAAATGGGATCTAATTAAAGAGCTTCTGCACAGCAAAAGAAACTATCATCAGAGTGAAGAGGCAACCTGCAAAATGGGATAAAATTTTTGAAATCTACCCATCTGACAAAGGTCTAATATCTAGAATTTACAAGGAACTTAAACAAATTTACAAGAAAAAAACAACCCCATCAAAAAGTGGGCAAAGGATATGAACAGATACTTCAAAAGAAGACATTTATGCAGCCAACAAACACAGAAAAAAAGCTCATCATCACTGATTATTAGAGAAATGCAAATCAAAACCACAATGAGATACCATCTCACACCAGTCAGAATGGTGACTATTAAAAAGTCAAGAAACAATAGATGCTGGTGAGGCTGTGGAGAAATAGGAACACTTTTACAGTGTTGGTGGGAATGTAAATTAGTTCAACCATTGTGGAAGACAGTATGGCGATTCCCCAAAGATCTAGAATCAGAAATACCACTTGACCCAGCAATCCCATTACTGGGTATATACCCTAAGGAATATAAATCATTCTACTATAAAGACACAGGCACATGTATGTTTATTGCAGCACTGCTCACAATAGCAAAGTCATGGAACCAACTCAAATGCCTATCAATGATAGACTGGATAAAGAAAATGTGGTACATATACACTATGGAATACTACACAGCCATAAAAAAGAATGAGATCTTGTCCTTTGCAGAGACATGGTTGAAGCTGGAAGCCAACATTCTCAGCAAACTAACACAGGAACAGAAAACTAAACACCGTATGTTCTCACTCATAAGTGGGAGTTGAACAATGAGAACACATGGACACAGAGAGGGGAACAACACACACCAGGGCCTGTTGTGTGGTGGGGGGCAAGGGGAGGGAACTTAAGAGGATGGGTTGATACGTGCAGCAAACCACCATGGCACATGTATACATATGTAACAAGCCTGCACATTCTGCACATGTATCCCAGAACTTAAAAAATTAAATTAAAAAAAAAGAAAAATATTCCATTTATAATTTAAAATCTCCCCCAAACAGAAATCACCAAGCCGAGAAGTTGTCACTGGAGAATTCTACTAAACATTTAAGAATCTATACCAACTCTGCAATCCTTCTAGAGATTGCTGAGTGTTTAACTATGTGCCAGGAACTGCTCCAATTGTTTTACATGTCTCAACTCATTTAATCCTTTCAACAACCCCATAAAGTAGGCACTATTGTTACTCCCTCACATATGAGGAAAATGAAATCCAAACAGCTTAAATAACACAGCTAGTACACAGCACTTCCAGGATTCCAGTTTAGCTGCTGGCTCCTAAGCCCTTATTCTCACCCACCACATTATGCAATCCCTAAATTTCACAGAGCTTGGTTTGTGGCCATTGCTCAAAAAATATTGGAATCAAATCAGATGCTAAGATTTCTTAAGTTTTCATCTTAATCTATTGCCAAATTTTCAAATTTCACTTTTATAACATGAAATTCAGATCTGACCAGGATATGCTATTTCAACAAAGAAGTTGGGATACTACCATATTTGCCATTCTTAATAGAAATATGTGCATTTTGTACACTTTAAAAAAGGTTATTCCTGCTGGCAACTGCCATACAATTCCCATTTCAGATAACAGTTAAAATATATCTGAGAGAATAAACCAGAAAAGAGGTGTTATTGGAAATGGTAAGAGCATCACTAAAGCAGAACCAGCTGCACCAATATAATTACAAGAATCAAGAATCACAACACAGCTTCATTAGTTTTTTCCATTGTGTTTGTTACTTTACCCCTTCAAGACTAATTATACCAATTCCCATTGATTTTAACAAGCACCCTGGATTAAACACTGTAGACTGACTGGTTAGAGATGTTGCGGTATAGAGGTATATCTGAACTGCCTCCATTTAGGAAAAACTGGTATGTTACAAGCATTATATTGACAAATTACATTTTTTTCTGACCAGGAAAACAAAAGAGGAAACAGCGTTTCCCAAACACATACACTACAGGGAAAATCATCTAGAATTTAATGTTTGATAAATGCTCATTATATTGATATATAGGACTTCTTTCTCAACTAAGAGCTTTAGTAACTAAGAGCTCTATATTAACTCAGTATTCAAAATAACCCATGATGCTGCTGATGGCAAGGCTTACCCAGGCTTCCTGGATATGCTGCGAGAACATAGGCTGATTCTGCAGAACATGGAAATTTCAGGAGTTCCAGTGATTGGGGGTGGCCTCAATCACGGCTTCTCTAACTTTTTCAAGAGACCCCAGATCCCTACCAGCAGAACAGGGCTCTGGAGCATTTGGCAATGTACTGATCACAAGTAATTGTATTAGGCTGAACCATATGCAATTGCCATTCTTTGGTATCTCCATTACATTCAACCAACTATAACACTTACTGTGTGTTAGGCAGCATTCCAAGCATTTCCAGTGCCCCAAACACAATTAAGTCTCACTTTTTAAAAATTAACAATCCATTCCAATTTTACTTTCTACAAAGTTGCTTGCCTGTTGTAATATAAAAATACCATTTTTCCACAAAGCTTTGAGAAAAATTAATGCTCCAAAAGAAGAGTTTTTGGGCCAGGCACGGTGGCTCACGCCTGTAATCCCAGCACTTTGGGAGGCCGAGGCGGGTGGATCACCTGAGGTCAGGAGTTTAAAACCAGCCTGGCCAACATGGTGAAACCCCATCTCTACTAAAAATACAAAAATTAGCTAGGCGTGGTGGCGGGTGCCTGTAATCCCAGCTACTCGGGAGGCTGAGGCAGGAAAATTGCTTGAACCCAGGAAGCAGAGGTTGCAGTGAGCTGAGATCGTGCCATTGCTGTCCAGCCTGGGTGACAAGAGTGAAACTGCATCTCAAAAAAAGAAAAGTTTTTGTCGGTCTATGCTGTGGCTTAACACACCCCTCACAGAGATGACTGCAGATCCCTAAGAGAACAAATACCCTGTTTTGAGAATTGCATGCAATACCCCCCAGAAGGAGGTTTCAGAGGTAGACCAGCAGAAAACTAAATGTCTAGCTGACTCCTCGCTCTTCCCCAATACTTCTCTGCAAAACCCTTTCCTTTAATAAGGCTCAAAAAAACATTGTTAGCATTTATTTTTCCAAGAAGAAATGGTTCTCATAGCACTTGACAGAACAATTAACACCTAAAGAAACAAGTTACAATGCTGGCTTCTGAGTTGACACGTACAGAAAGACTACTTTCCATACTGGAATAGCTCCAATAGTAATCTGATGCATACTGTTTAATGCAATCGGAAACCATAAAATTGTGGCCATCTAGTGCCACCAATGCGACTCCAAGATTTTTAAGGTCTTTATGTCCAATCACCAAGAAACTAGCAGAAAAGCGTCATTAAACTTTCTTGCCATACCTAAAGATATGTTGGGGGCAGGGTTCGGGAGACGGATTGAATTGAACACTATAGACCT
Organism: Homo sapiens; assembly: GCF_000001405.40. NCBI lineage: Eukaryota > Metazoa > Chordata > Mammalia > Primates > Hominidae > Homo > Homo sapiens. Next base: position 145,752,561 of record NC_000005.10, read on the forward strand.
CCATGCTACATCTTCCAATTCTCCAAAATGTCATTTGTGAAAGAAAATATCAGACAATAGAGGTTTTCCTCCATCACCCTCATCTAGTCAGTGACAGCTATGACCTTGGTAGGGTTCTTAGTTTCTTTCTTCCTCTCCTCACCCCACATCCTGTCGCCATTTACAATAACTATATTTTGGGGTGATTCATTCATTAAACCCTTCCTGCCTGCTTTCTGTAAGCCTCCTGTCCTGGGGCCCAGGGAATTGTTTTTTGTTTTTTGGGTTTTTTTCTCTGATTGACAAGAATGACTTTGGTTTCTGCAAGACTAATGACTACATTCTTAAACAAACACAAATGAAAGAAGGGGCTTCAGCCCAGAAAATAATTTCCCTACAAACCACTGAAGAAACTGGCAGTGCAGTAATTTTAAAGTTTAAACAATTGATGAGTTTTCAAATGTAAGGAGACACCTAAACTTAAAATGGAAAAACAAAAACATGCAACTGGCCAAGTTCGCATTTTCTCCTTTGTCATCGGATCTAAAAGTTTATCCTGGCACCGGCACAAAGAAGTAATGATTCCATCAGCAGCCTAACAGATGGCAGGCACGAAATGGCTCTAACCTTCTCTGAGAATGCTGGAGAATAGCTCTGTGGAGTTTAATTTAACAGGATAGTGGCTGCTATTTTCTCTCTGCTGCCTCTAGCACAGCATGCAGTCCACAGCTACATCTTAAGGTCCGGCCCTGCAGTTACTCAGGTTAACCCTTCAAGACAATCAAGTGTCTGGAGTTACTGTGGGATCCTTTTTCTGCAAGGGGTTCTATTCCAACAAATGCAACTTAAACTTTTGATCATAACCAAACAGGCTGTGCACGAAGTAGTATTTTTAGAATCTCTTTTCTTCTATTAGCATTTAAGAGGCACTGAGGCACTTTTTTCTAGGACAGTGAATTGTATTTTTCTGAAGGACTTGAGGTAAAACACTAGAAAGGAGAGATCTTTTGTCTCAAACTTCCTTCTCCAGCAAGCTTCCTAAAGGTTACTACTGATAAGAGAACATCATGACTTCTGGCTTTGGTAGGAATAACTGCCCATGGCTTCAGGATCACCTTGGGAGCTACATGCAACCCTGATGCTGGGGCCTGCATCAGGCCAGCAACACTGACCAATAAACCAGAAAGAATCTCTGAGGGTGAGACCCTGGCATCGGTGTTTTTTAAAGTTCCCCAGGTTTTACCAATTGGCAGCTAAGGTATAAAATACTGCATTTAAAATTTTGAAGACAGCATTTCAAAATTCTGTAAGTTAAGCTTCTTTCAGTTAACTTCTGTCCTGAGTCGCTACCACAGTGACTTTGCCATTCTTAGGACTCTCCCTTTCCACCTTCCTCAGTCTTTCCAAGGCTTGTGTTGAGGTTCTCGGGCTCGCAGGACTAGCCCACACAAGTCAGCATGCTACCCTCCTGCCCTGAGACATCAGGGAAACACTGTGCTGATACTGCAGCCTGAATTCAAGGATGTCCTCAAACCAGGCTGTAACCATCAGAACAGCTTGAAGGTAAAAAACATTTACACCTCAATGTCCTGTACCTTGCAATTTGTGTACTGCAGAGCTCCTACCTGACTCAGATGAGGTGGTCTCATGCAGCCAGCTCCACCCTTCTGTATATAAGGCTGGGCTAGAGAGAAGCTATTATCTCACCAAAGGTATAACATGCCCTTCTCTCACTCAGACATTATTTGCTGGTGAGCTTTGGGGCCACAAACCTATGTGTTTCTGCTGATCTCTCCACTGTGCATCCTATGCTAATTTTTCTTCTGCATCCTTTAAATAAGTAATCATTGTTTGATATACCCAAGAGATAACTGTGTCTGGTCTTACCATCAATTGGTTCCCACTACTGCCATCTGTCAGTGCACGGAATCTTTTAAAAATTCATGGAAAATGCATATTATGAAAAACTATGCATGAATTTCAATTTTTTTCACCAAAATAAACTCATACTAAGTTGTTATAATATGTCTAAACAGGATCTGGTTTGAGGTACTAAGGAAGCTAAAACATTAGTTTGAAAAGAGCCCCTACCAGAACAACATAAATTTTGCTAAGATTGAAACAAAAACATCAAATCTATGGTGAAGCTTGGGATGAATGATGAAATCATTGATGTCTTACAATTCTGCAAAGAAATCAGCAGTTTACAAATGCATAGCTCATTTTAAGAAGGGACCAGATGATGCTGAAGATGAACCCTACAGTGGCAGGCCATCCACGTCAATTTCTAAGAAAAAAATTAATCTTGTTTGTGCCCCAGTTGAAGAGGATGGCAATTAGCAGAAGCAATAACCAACACCACAGACATCTCAGTTGGTTCAACTTATATAATTCTGACTGAAAAATTAATGTTGAACAAACTCTACACTCAATAAGTGTAAAAATCATTGCACCCAGATCAGGTGCAGACAAGAGTGGAGCTTTCTATGGAAATTTTAAACAGGTAAGATCAAGATCCTGAAGCATTTCTTCAAAGAATTGTACAAGGAGATGAAACATGGCTTTATTAGTACAATCTTGAAGACAAACTACAATCATACCAATGGCTACCAAGAGGTAGAAGTGGTCCAGTCAAAGCACAAGCAGACTGGTCCAGAGCAAAGGTCGTGGCAACCGTGTTTTGGGATGCTCAGGGCATTTTGCTTGTTGACTTTCTGGAGGGCAAACAACAACATCTGCTTATTATGAGGGTATTTTGAGAAAGTCAGCCAAAGCTTTAGCAGAAAGACACACAGGAAAGCTTCCTCAGAGGCCTTCTCCACAATAATGCTCCTGCTCATTCCTCTCATTAAAGACAATTTTATGAGATTTTTCATGGGAAATCATTAGGCATCTACCTTACAGTCCTGACTTGGATCCTTCTGACTTTTTTTGTTTTCTAATCTTAAAAGAAACCTTTAAAGGCAACCAATTTTTCTTCAGTTAATAATGTAAAAAAGACTGCATTGACCTGGTTAAATTCCCAAGACCCTCAGTTCTTTAGGGATGGACTAAATGGCTGGTATCATTGCTTTAAAAAGTCTCTTGAATTTGATAGAGCTTATTCTGAGAAATAAAGTTTATATTTTTATCTTTTAATCCCATTTTCCTATGAACTTTTTAAAGCTCCCTCATATAATGATACACGCCTTCTAGTGACACACTGGACCAAAAGAGAAAACAAATCCTGCCGTATTCCTGCACACAGCAGATGCTCAATAAATGCTGGCTGAACTTAGGGCTCTACCCCTAAAGGAAGGATCATCACCATACCTGGGCTCTAGCATTAACAGGGTGTGGACAAGACATTCTGGTAACAAGGCACGGAAACCCACCCAAACACATTCAAGTAAAATGAGGACAAATGAAAGGATAAATACGAAACAGAAACAAAGTACAGAAAATAGAGCTGAGCCTCACAGGCCAACAAGAAGCTACACTCTCTCTCCTTCACCCTTTGGAAACACCTGGCTTCATTCTGTTTGTCCATGTTGGGCTTCATTACTTCTCCCTCTGCAGGTCCTGGTCCTTCGTTCCATTAGCACCTGGCCCACCCAGGTCACTCAATAATGGTGGCCTCTGCTTATTTCTGGAAGAAACTCTAATGTCTCACCTTGAGGGAAGGCAGGGAGCTAACATCGTATGGTCAGGATAACACCCTCATCTGGGGCAGCTGAAAAGGACTAGGATTATTACTATAAATGATAACCACAAGCTTGGCTGAGAGATGGGATACCCCCCAAAATTAGAATGCACACATAAATATCAGCTGTAACAACTTTATTTCAGAATGACTGCAGGAAGGAATTTCATAGGTAAACAACTAATTTATAGCTCTATATCACAATAACACTGAATCAGAAACACTTCATCCCACATAAAAATTTGGCCTGATCATTTTTTGAGTTTTAATCCTCTTAAGTTTCACATTATAGAACTGAATACACAAAAACACTAACACAGCTGGGGGAGACAATGGTTTATTGATCAAGAGAAATTATTTCTAGCAATATCTCACTTGCCGCGAGTTCACAAATATGACAACTGCAGATGAGGATAAAGAAGTAAGTTAGGGGAAGAGAGTTGAGCCACTGAAATAATGTCACCAAGTCAATGTAGCAAAGTACATTCATTTTTATTGCTAGAACAGCCTCTCAAAACCTCATTCAAATCCTCTCTACTCTTATTCAACATATAGTATGCAGTTACACAATTTCCCAACCCCAGGGCAAATTAGAGAAAGCTTCCTAGAGGTAGGCACAGTAATGGGAGAGATAAATGACAGATAAAAGTGAGGGAAAAGAAAAACTCTAAAAACCATGGTAGAACTCAAAGAGCAAATGTATCTGGAGCCTTCAGTGTAGGGACTTTAACAAAACTAAGTAGGGCCTGAAAGAATTAAAAACATATATGACGACTCTGAAAAGATTTAATTATCCCCAGTAGACTGTGTTTGCAAAAGCAGAGAAATGTATACTAAATTAAGAAATAGTTTGATGTAAATGATTGAAATAAAGTAAAAAAGATGTGCAAGTTAAAAGAATAACCTTGAGTTTTCTACACCATGCACCGCACAATGTCTGATAAACAAGTATCAGTACATATATACTGCTTATAAAATACACAAAGTAGTTCATAGAAAAAGAATACAGCACCTTTTTCATCCATATATGACTGAAACTATAAAAGCCCCTTCCTGGTAAAAGCACCTCAGTCATATAGGGATAGTTCAAGTCAGCTTCTCTCTGCATAAGAACTTTATACTGTGTCCTGAATGATCAACTGAAATTCCACGAATCAGAATCGCTGGGGAAAGGGACTGAGAACCTGCACGTTAGCACGTTGCCCCAAAGATTTCTGGTACATGTGAAGTCTGAGAATCACAGGGTAAATCATCGCCTTGAAGACAGGAGGAGACTGGCCAGGTCTGTGAATTAACCCTTTCCCACTCTTGTTTCTAGTGTGCCCAATAAGCCTGTACTCCTGGTTTTGACATTTCTTAAGCTACACAGTACAGAATAAAAAACATGGACTTCTAAATGTTTTATCACAAAACATATAATTTAAAAAAATTAACAAGCCCTAATTAATTCCAAAAAGAGGACAGACACAGTGGCTCAAGCCTGTAATCCCAGCACTTTGGGAGGCAGAGGCAGAGGCAGGAGGATCATTTGAGGCCAGAAGTTCAAGACCAGCCTGATAAACATAGTGAGACCCTATCTCAAAAAAAAGTAAATGAAAAAAAAAAAAAAAAAGACCATAAAATTTCTAAGCCATATATGTGAAGCTGGAAGCAATAGCTGCCTGCAGGGGGAAAATTACTGAGTGAGGAAAAGTAATCCCTGAGGATTATTTAGGAATGAGGAGGAAGATACATCTAAAAGTAGTCTTAGAGGAGAGGCAGAATAAAACTTACATCCAGAGTACAAAAATGCAAATCCATTAAAGCTTGGCCAGGATGTTTAGGCCTGTCCTTAACACTCTGGAAGCAGAGGCTAAAAACTACTGGCTGGCAAACATGTTTTTTGTTTTGGCCAGCACAATGTTTTAAACAATTCTGAATTGGTTGCCAATAAAAAACTAGGAGATTTTTTTTTTAATTCTGTCTTTTCTTAGAAAATTGGAAATAGGAAATACTAAAAAAGACCAACGACACAACCGCACTGTGCTGGAACCGGGCACACAAGGCAGAAATTCAACCTCTCTGTGCCTTGGTCTATTTCTAATAAAAAAATTCCTGCTACAAAGATCCTTTCCAACCACAGAGATATTAAGAAAAAAATTAAATATTGTCTGCAAATACCTAAAAGTCACTGTAGTGTTCTTAGCTGCCCACTGGAACTACCAAAGGAGTTTTTTTTAAAGCTGATGCCTTGGTTCCACTACCTGAGATTCTGATTTTTGGTCTGAGAAGCAACCCAGGCATCAGAATTGCAGAAAGCTCCCCAAGCAATCCTAACAGACAGCCAAGGTTGAGAACTCCTGCCTTCAGAGGATGGGAGTTTTTGAGTGTGAAGGGTTAAACTTACTCTAATGTCAACCTCCAAATACAAATTTCTTGCCTCTCACTTCCACAATAATTTGCATCACCTTTTATTTTTTGAAATAGGCTATTACTCCAAAAGCCTACCAAATGCCATCTACAAATTGGAAAAAAAAGGTCAAAGTGTGTTTTAGTTTCTACCATTATTTTTCCCTCCAACACAATTGAAGAATGAAACACTATGAAGCTGAAAAGAAATTAAGAGACAAAATTCAGGCAGCACAAAGAGCTCAGATACAATAAGAACAGGCTCACAGTGGCAGGCTTGTATGAAAAAATACAATTGCTTTGAAATTCATCAATGGATTAAGTGGAAAAATTTTCAGACATTTTAAAAAAAAATTTCCCCAAGACTCTCCAGTAACGGCCTGAATTTTTTTTTTTTTTTTTTTTTTTTGTGATGGAGTCTTGCTCTGTCACCCAGGCTGGGGTGCAGTGGCACAATCTCAGCTTACTGCAACCTTCACCTCCTGAGTTCAAGCAATTCTCCTGCCTCAGACTCCCAAGTAGCTAGGATTACAGGCATGCGCCACCACGCCCAGCTAATTTTTTTGTATTTTTAGTAGAGACGGGGTTTCACCATATTGGCCAGGCTGGTCTCGAACTCCTGACCTTGTGATCCACCCGCCTCGGCCTCCCAAAGTACTGGGATTACAGGCATAAGCCACCACACCCTGCCCTGATTTTTATCTTAAGAAGATGAATTTCAAATTATTACCTCTCTTCAAGATTTTTTAGGTAGTATGTATTTATATTTTGGCTTCTGATCACGAGAAATGCAAACTACTGCCATCTAAGTTTCAAACAGTAGTACCACTTTACGTTACAGTTAAAAAGTACCTTTGCAAAATGTTTTACATAATAATGGCTTCCATTTCCTGGACTTCTACTATGTACTAGGCAGTGTGCTAGGTACTTCATAGGCATGATCTCAAATCAGTCCAACAATCTCACAAAATTAATTCTATCATCTTGTTTCACAAATTTTTTTAAATGAGATTCAGAAAGATTTAAAATTGTGTTCATGATCACTGAGCAAGTAGGTGCCAGCACTTGGATTCAAACCCAGGTCTGTCTGTTGACTTAAAACCCTGCACAAAATTACCTTCTTTAATCATCATAACGCATTGGCGGAAAGACCTGTGCCTGATTATCCCCATTTGCCCAATAAAAAACAGAGAGGTTAATGATTTGCTTGCTCACCATCACAGAACGAATTAGCAGAAAAGAAACTGCCTTCCCACTCTTCATTTCATTTTTTTTTTTCCAGAGGACCAAATCACAGTTTACATATTACATTCTAAAAGCTATACTTATGGCAGTTACATATTACTTATGGATAGGATAAAAATCTCCTGATTTCTGAGAATCTTAAACATTGTTATAAATACGGCTTAGCTTCAACATAGGTCTGGTACATTCCTGTTTGTTCCAGTCCACCCGTGAATCAGGTACCAGTTCAACTCCCTTATTGGTTCCAGAATCCCCTCACGAATCCTAGGAACAACGGTGCTGATAACATAAGGGCACAAGCACCCTCTCCAGGCCTTTATCCTGTCCTTAGCTGCCCTGACACCATCATCAGACAACCAGCAGAACACCCTGAGGAAGGGCACACATATCTTACATGGTTCTTTTTTCCTTTATTTGTAAAATTATAAAGAGATTGTGTCATAAAAATCCAGCAAGAAGGTCTTATCTCCCTGAGTCCCACTATTCGAAGCAGGCTCCCAGAGGAGGGTATCATTTTATGTCCTGGCAAGAAGGTCTTCTCTTCTTGAAGCTGCCAACACTGTATCCTCAAACCTGTATTCCAGAAACTGTGTCTGTGATGTGCTGTGGCCAAGAAGTGATTCTCAAAAAAAAAATAAATAAATAAATAAGTAGACATGGATACAGCTCTCCTGCAAGAGAAAGCAAACAGGCTTTATCACCTCATAAACATGTCTCACCAATCAATACTTATTTGCCCTCTTTTCTGAAGCAACTCTTCAGAGTCCACTTGAATTCTATCACTACGGATAATTCTTGAAATTGCATTTCTCCCTCCTAATGATCTTCGAACAAGGCAAGCACCTCATTTTATTAAGTCCAACTACCCAAAGGAGCTGGTTCAGAGAAGAGTTAAGATATAGCTAAAATTGAGGTCTTAATCATTCCAGTGTGATAGAACTCTGCTATGTTGTCAAATCTCACCAAGCCTGATCTCCCAACTGCCAGTGGCAAGAACAGACAGCTGTCAGGGTTATTTGTTTTATTCAAAAATGACAGGAAATCAAAAATCTATCAAAGGGATGTGTCAACAGCAATGCCACAAGCATATTGGTTAGTGAGATTTATGTGTCTCCATTTTGGCTCATGACAAAAATCACCTTCTAAGCTTTCTCATTTTCAAATGCCCACTTGGACATACAGGTCAGAGAGTTCTGTGAAGTATCTTTAATGTTAGGTACAGTGTAGAACGTAGTCACTTTCTATGTGAATTTAAATTATGCAAATTTAAAATGTGGTATGATATAAAAATATTAAATACTGTCTCCTTATGCAGATTTCTGCAAATCCCACAAAACGTCTTTTAAGTATTAAAAATTGCAAAATTCCAAAGCTGAAAAAATTGAGTAAATTATAAATAGCACCTACCCTCTAGCCTCATCACAGTGCCACTTTATGTGCCAAACTAAATGCCTATATGTCTACTCCATTGTGTACGCGCATTGGAACTTTATGAGCAATTTTAGTGACCACTGTTGCTGGTATTTTAACTTCCTGTTATTATCATTTTAATACCTTTTTATGTCTTAATATAAAATCAGCCAAGTCTTCACAAAGTGTTGACGTTAGAGCTAATGCAAGAAAAACAAACTGTCAAACTATAAACTTTAGGGGTAAGACGTGATCAAACACTATATTTTGAAAGGCCAAACAATCACCACAACACTCCTTGATGTTAATTTAGGACACTCAATCAGTAGGCAAAAATTTTCTTCAAGGACCAGACAGTAAATATTATAGGCTTTGTAGCTATAAGGTCACTGTTATAACTATTCAACTCTGCAGTTGTAGCTTTGAACATAGTTAGAAGCATAGTTGTGTTCCAATAAAACTTTGTGTATAAAAGCAGGCAGCCGGCTAAATTTGGTTTACAGGCTGTAGTTTCCTGACCTCTACTTTATTATAGCTATAGAGCTAATTTCCCCCACTTCTTTTAATGTAGCATTTTACAACACATGAAAACAGTAGTACCCCCACCTACAACCACCCCCTCCATTTTCCATACAGTTAATTCTGAGAAATTAAAAAGTTCCATTAACATAGGCATATTTCAAACTTGACAAACTTTGTAAAAACAGTCAAGAAAATGGGAGAAAAGGAAAGGAATAAGCTGGCAGCATTCGATGCAACATCAAATTGTAGATTTATGTGGTAAGAGTACATACATACATATACATATATCCCCTACTTTACAGTTACTCCTCTGAGAAAACTGGTCATGAATTTTGAGAGTTGGAATTATATAAATCTTTCAGGAAATTTCATTGCATTGAATGCATTAAATGCAACTGTCCTGTACTAAACTCCTGGTTATATTCAGACCTCGACCATTTCACTTAAGAGAGGAGAGTAAGTTGCTTTTCACAAACAATACGATGCCCTGAGTTCATGGCTTAGCCCTCAACCACAGGACAAAAACACAAACAAACAAACATAAAAAACACACCAGCCTGGGCAACATAGGGAGACTTCACCTCTATAAAAAAGGAAAAAATTAGCCAGGTGTGGTGGTGCACGCCTATGGTCCCAGCTACTAAGGGGGCTGAGGTGTGAGGATTGCTTGAACCCCAGAGGTCAAGGCTATGGTGAGCCGTGATTGCGCTACTGCACCCCAGCCTGGGCAACAGAACAGTGAGACCATGTCTCAAAATAAAACAAAACAAAACACAGAACATGGGTAACAAGACAATAGGTAATGCTGTAAACTTGTTTAATTTACTCATATTCACTACCAACAATTTAAATCCAAACTGATTTAAAGTACGAGTTGATGTGAATCTCACCTCCCCTCTTTTCAACTGCATTTGCTCCAGGGTAGAGCCTGGCCACATTTAAGCAACAAAAAAGGGGGCAAACAAGAAGCTGAGATGCTAAAATCAGGGAAAAGCCATACAAAGAATATCATTCTTCCTATTAATCAAAAGTTGACCGAATACATGACAACAATATCTAACTCCTAGCTATTAGCTTTCTCAGTGACCTGGCATTTCATCTGTCTCCACCCAAAGAAGTGAACTCATTTAAAACTGCCATTCTCAAAGTGTGGCCCCAGGACCAGGATCACCATCACCTGGAAATCTGTTAGAAACACAAATGCTCAGGCCCCATCTCAGACCTACTGAATCAGAACTTGGGGAGTGGGGCCCACCAATCTGTGTTAACAAATCCTCCAGATGACTCTGATGCTCAAGAAAGTTTCAAAAACACTAATTTGAAGTTTGAAGACCAATAGGTGTATACCTTTCCCATGGAAATGGAGACCCCTCATTCCCTCATTTACCTTGGAGCTGACTCGAGATCCCACCCTCCAGAGTAAGATGGGATCTGTGCCTAAGCATGCAAGTACAAGAGGTGCTTAGTGAGCCTCACAAATATGCTAGCCGAGAAAACCAGGGAGATGTGGCCAAGTTGTTCTCTATAATTTTTTAAGGAACAGGGTGGGTGTAGGAGTAAACCATATTTAGATTCAATTCCAACATTTATGAGCACCTGCTATGTGTATGCCTATGCTAAATGAAATTATCTTATTTAGCTTTTCCAGTAATAAAGGAGTCTATTAATATGTATTAAGTATACAGAGGTTTCATATTAATCAAAATGGAGTCCAACCTGCAAATAAGCAGAAAGACTTTACAATTCTCCGAATGATGTTCATTCACAGGTCTGGACAGCATGCTTTACACGCCAAGGTGCTTGTATATGATGTTCCTTTTGCTTCTTTTTGGTTAACTGCTCTCACTCTTTACTGTTTATCACAATTAGAATACCAGGTTGCTTACACAAGACTATGTGTCTCAACTTTTAAACCAACACAAGAAAACCTGAGGTAATTCTACATTACCCAAGGCAAAGTTTGTTTTATTCAAAGGTTTCAACTCTCAGATGTTAAAAACCTAAGGCCTGACCAGGCACAGTGGCTCACGCCTGTAATCCTAGCACTTTGGGAGGCTGAGGCAGGTGGATCACGAAGTCAGGAGTTCAAGACCAGCCTGGCCAGCATGGTGAAACCCCATCTCTACTAAAAATACAAAAATTAGCCGGGCATGATGGTGCACACCTGTAGTTCCTGCCTCTCGGGAGACTGAAGCAGGAGAATGGCTTGAACCCGGGAGATGGAGGTTGCAGAGAGGTGGAGGCTGCAGTGAGCCGAGATCACACCACTGCACTCCAGCCTGGGCAATAGAGCAAGACTCCATCTCAAACAAACAAAAACAAAAAAACCTAAGGCCTATAAATTCTGTAAGATGTAAACCTATCATACTCATTTATTTTGGGCTTTGATTCTTTCTTAAATAACTCTGCCCTGCCCTTTCCACTACAAAGACCATTCTCCCTGATCCAGACAATAGAAATTTAGGAGGTGGGGGTAGGGAGTTGAGTAGTTCTGCAATCCCCCACTATCTGTTAACCCTATACCATTTGCCCTAAACTAGATGTGGCACGTGCTTCAGCATGAGTGCTGTCCTCCTTCCATCCTGTGCCCATGGCAGACACTGTTAACCACCAAGGCACTCTTACCCAGAGCCTGGGAATTACTCTCAAGACTTCAGAATCCCTTTCAATAGCATTTCAGGCAGTTACCCACCATCAGTGGAAATACATATGACTAATAAGAGATATTTGTTTCACTGGCCAATCAACATGCCCCTTCCTTGTTTCTCTTCCTGCTCCAATTACACTTTTAAAGGCTTCCTTTGATTATTTTCAGAACAAAAACATTAAGCCTCAGTTAATCTGAGCTGCAGTCTTTACAAATCTATAACACCTTGAGGCTCTCAATCATGGTAGATTGTGCAACAGTTTTAACAATTTGAATAGAGTTGTAACCCAGCATGTAATACAAAACTGCTCTGAAAATCAAAGAACCAAGTAAATAAAAGTACTGAAGAGATAAAACACCTGTGAAATAGTATTCTGTGCATATAACTGGGAAATGTGCAGCGTGAATAGCCCAGGGAGGCTGCTGTAGAATACCAGGCTGATAAGCATGAAAATATGGCTTGTGTAAATAATTCTGACTTTGCTTTTGGTACTCACTGATGATTCTTTATTCAGCTAAGGGGGCACCACACTGTTCCTTTAGCAGCATCTCCATGATTCTAATTCCCTATAGAAAGAAGGAAAAAAAATTAAAATGCCCTATTTCACAGACAAGTACTTTTACATTTATCACAACCTTTTCCCTTCAAAGAATCCAGGTCATGGCCATATATTCATTTCAACAAAGTAGGCTCATAGCCATACCTGACATTTTTTTAATATTTTACTCAGCAATTTCACATACATTATCTCCGCATGTGCTCAGAACTACTCAGGGACATGGGCAGAACGGAGCTTATGATCGCCATTTTAAACATAAGAAAACAACCCAAGAGTAGTTAAATAACTTCTTGAAAGTGGCCCTGCCAGAGCTAGAATGATAATGGCAGTAGTTAATATTCATTGAACATTTACAAATATGCTAGATTCACTGCTGGGGTTTTATGTGCATTACCTGGGGGTAGCGAGTGCTATGGTGTATCACTGAGACCCCTCCCAGAACTAAAGCACTCCTTCCCTTTCCACCAAGACTGTAGGCTGCTGCTGGCACACAGCCACCCTCTGCCAAAGGGAGCTGCCTTACCTGAAGTCATGTCCCTCCAGGGGCAGCATACATCATTGGATGACTGGTATGTACAGCGGTATAAAGACCTGGCCCCCTTCCCTTAATTTGGGACAACTCTGAGGAGCATCCAACCCTCAAAGCTCCCCAAGGGATCAGCTAAGACCTTTGTTACAAGTGCATTGCAGTTCAAAAATCCCTTCCCGTACCCCATGACAAGAGTTGTTCCTGAGTGCGCACTACAATACCGCCTGCAGGCAAATCTCAAACTAAGTCTGTGCCCCAAGAGCTGACCTAGGACACCTTAATACACATAAAACCTCCAAATAAGTACTATCCTTACCCACATTTTACTGACGAGGAAACAGAAACTCAAAGAGGTTTAAATAATTTCCCCGAAGTTACACAACTATTAAATAATAAAGCCAGGGAAACAGCACAGGCACCCTCTTCCTTTTCAAAGGCCTCCATGAACCTTCTTGCAATGTTCATTTTTCTACTGTCCATACCCACCTATCTACTCAGCATCCTGTCCAGAAAAATTCTACCTTGGAAGAAAGAAGAAAGCATGAATTCCTTTCCTCCTTAAAGGACAAGTTTTACAGACCAGAGGATAAACCTTCAAGTGGGAAGACAGGGTTATGATGCAATTATAAACTGAGGTCTCCAGGACATCAAAGTTGGATCCATGGGAAAGGGAGCTGCTATTTTCAGAGATCTGAGCCTGAGAATTCTTGCAGAGAAGAATAATGATAAGGGGAACTTAAAATACAGATCCCCAGGCCCCTCCCAGGAAAATTCTGATTTAATGGGACTCAAGCAGGCACCAGAGCTCTATGCCCTTAAGAGGCACCCATATGATCCTCTTATGATTAGGCAGGGCTGTGAACACCACGTGGGCCTGCAGGAAAAAGGCAGGGACTTCCTACTTGGGATCTAAGCCCAGGGATGGGGACGGAGGGTAATCAAAGGCATCGCTAGAGAAGACAATAAAATATATTTAACACCAAAGTAGACTAAACTAAAGTTAGTATTTCCTTGAGGATTCAGAAGGTCCTTCAGATTCTGCCTGGCCATCACCACAAATACTACCGTTATCTTGGAAGGAAGAAGTATTACTGGATCTTGAGAGAATGCTGAGTAGTAAGGAGTGTTTGCTAAACCAAAGCAGCAAACCACAGGACCAGGAGCACCACTGTCAGAGGTAGGAGACCTGAGTTCTAGTCACAGCTCCACCAATCATTCTGCTAGGCACCTTAGGCTGATCACTTTTACTAAGGAGTAACATAGACCACAGAGGTCAGGGCACTGAGAGCTAGATGGGATTAGTGCTTTCTATACCCAGTTGCACTCTAGCATTACTAAGGGGAGTCACAAAAGAAAACAGACTCCCAAGAGTCTACCCAAGAGTGTATTTGACTCAGTCAGAAATTTCAAGTCTCAGGCCTGAGTCTGTATGTGTGTAACATACTTCATGTTGATAAGGACAGGTGGCAGGAAAATACTGGGTAGAAAAGGGCAGTCCCTGGTGAGGGCCACACCCTCAAGCCTGGACCTGTGGCCCAAAGTCAGAATATACATTCCCGTTTTCCCATATGAATGTTGCCTTTTCCAAAACCACCCTGGCCCACCCCACCCCCCACCCTGTACCCATAAAAACCCCAGGCCCCACTGGTGGAGTGGCAGAGCAGCAGAGGAGAGAGGAGAAGAAGCAGCTGGACATTGGAGAGAAGCAGCTTGACTTCAGAGGGATGGCTTGATGGCAGGACCTCAGAGAGGAATTCAGCCAAGGACAGCCAAACTCCAGGGGACAATCACCTTTCTACTCCATCCCCTTTCCAGCTCCCCATCCCGCTGAGAGCCACTTCCACTGCTCAGTAAAATCCTCCACATTCACCACCCTTCAATTCGTTCACGCCACCTGATTCTTCCTGGATGCAGGACAAGGAGCCGGGTGCAAGTGCAAGAGGCTGTCACACTGACCCTCCACTGAGCTGCTTAACACTTAAGCCATCTATGAATGACAAAGCTAAAAGAGCACACTATAACACGCACTCCCTGGGGTTCTGAGGGTCAAAGGCAACCTCTAGATGCTTCCATAGGCCCGCACAGAGTTCTGCTCCTACTGGTTGTCCAAAAGCACTCATCCTGGCATCTGCATCTGCTCACCTGTGTGCTCCCCCTTTTGCAAGGGGTTGAGAGCTGCGTGCTGAGTAAATGAGGCAACCCCTTCATAAGTCATGGAAAGGGGTCAGAGAACTATCCCATTTCAATGTGATTCTGAAACACAACCAGTTCATTTACTAGAATTTGTAAATAGCAGCTTTACACCATCTCTTCCAACTCTGACAGTCTTGGAATTGATGAAACAGGTTATCCTTAATCATTTCTGAAGATATAGTATATACTACACTCTTAAGAGGTACCTTCCATTTAAAGAATTAGGGGAGGCCAGGCACAGTGGCTCATGCCTGTAATCCCAGTACTTTGGGAGGCCGAGGCAGGTGGATCACGAGGTCAAGAGATGGAGACCATCCTGGCCAACATGGTGAAACCCCGTCTCTACTAAAAATACAAAAGTTAGCTGGGCGTGGTGGTGGGTGCCTGTAGTCCCAGCTACTCAGGAGGCTAAGACAGGAGAATTGCTTGAACCAGGGAGGCAAAGGTTGCAGTGAGCCAAGAGCACGCCACTGCATTCCAGCCTGGTGACAGAGCGAGACTCTGTCTCAAAAAAAAAAAAAAAAAAAAAAGAATTAGGGGAAAGGGGATTGGGGACAAGGGACGAAACAACCAGTGAAATGAAATTTAACTAAATTCTTAACAGAAAACCTGCATTGTGCCCCTTTTCGTTCTTATTCCCTTAACAACAGACCCAGTTAACAAATATGTACTATGCACCTACTACGTGCACTGGGGATTAAATGGTGAATGAACAAGATAGTTCCTGCCCCCATGGAGTTTACAGTCTAGTAGATTCCAGAAAATTTTCATTCCCTCACTTCACTTTTTTATTCTAACAAATCTCTGGACAATAATTAAATGTCTTCTTTCTATTTTCAGGAAGAATAAAAACTATCACATTAATTCTCTTTCAAGCTTCTATTTACAGAGTAGAGCATAAATCCAGACGGTATGACTTTAAAATAAGAAAAGCACACTCCTTCCCTAGGAGGTGAGGACCTGCAAACTTTCCCATCCATCTAAATTAAGACCTCCACCACTTATTGAACTGAACACTAATTGACATAAGTGAAGACTGAGGTTTTCCTTGGGAATTGAAAGACGTTATTTATTGAATCAATTAAGTTCACAGGGTGACAGTTGATTTTTCTTTCCCTTTTTCCCCCCCTCTCATACCACTTCAGTCTAAGCAGAACAGTTAGAAATGGAACATGGAGAATGGCGGCAGGGAGAGAGAGGCCTATAAAATAAACAAAAAAGAAAAAAAAACACCTAACAGGGAAGCTAAGCCATGATTTAGTACCTCTCTTCGGTAAAGAAGGACCAAATCAAAGCCCAGTCAATAGAGTCCTTTCAAATAAAGTTCCAACGCTTAAATCTCAACCCCCAGGAGATCAGGCTTAAAGGGGCTAAATTTACACCACTTATCACACAATGATGCCTGAAATGCAGAACAAACATTAAGTGGATCTACCTTTATAGATAAGGCTTAAAAGCTTTTTGGACTGACAAACCATAAACCAGCTTGATTTTATTATTTCTTTCCCCTCTGAGATTTTTTTTTCTCTATTACAAGACTATCTTTCTCTATTTGCCAATGTACAGATAAGTGAGCTATCTCGCAGGTTCATTTCCCTAATACCAGAGCTGTGCTGACCAAATGTATCCCCACAAAGGAGTCTCAGAGTCAGATTCTAAACACTTCACAAATTCTCCACTCTAAGAGTCTCAGAAATAGCTGATTATTACTAAAAACACAAACTTGTCTTAAGAGGAGCAGGAATAAGTTGAAACTAAAGGTGGCTAAATTCAAACAGTATATTTACTTTGCTATAAAACTAATCCTTCCTTGAGAAGCTCTGATTTATGTAGGAGGCTTGGAAGAGAGTAATATTAGACCAAACAAAAATTTTCTAAAGCAGTTCTCAAAAGGTGCATCCACAGGGAGCTCTTAACAAAACAGAATTGCTCATTCAATTATCAGTGATAAAAGATTGGTGTTAAAGACCCCCACTGGAAATAACGCTTTCTTGTGGGTCATGGCTTTGGAGTAAACACCATGAACTGATGCACCCACTGTGTGTAAGGAAGGGCAGGGAAGCTACGTGGAACAGGGATGCAGATAAGACAAGAAGCCTGCACTCAATGGACCATTGGCCTCTTCAGAGGAAATAGAGGAATTAAAAATAACTGAAAGGCAACACAGCCTCTGAAAAACACTATGACTTTTAAAAGAAAAAAGTACAGTAATGTGCTGCTTGATGACATTTCAGTCAATGACAGATGATATATATGATGGTGGTCCCACAGGACTGTATAGGAGCTGAAAAAATCCTATCACCTGGTGACGTTGTAGCTGTCATAGCCCAATACATTCCTCATGTGTTTGTGGTGACATTGGTGTGAACAAAACTACTGCACTGCCAGTTGTATAAAAGTATAGCACATATAATTATAACATCATAATACTTGATAACGATGGTAAATGACTACACTACTGGTTTATATATTTATTATGTTGTACTTTTTATCATTTTAGAATGTACTTCTACTTATGAAAAAAATTAACTATAGGGCCAGGCATGGTGGCACTTTGGGAGAGGCTGAGGTGGGAGGATTGCTTAAGGCCAGGAGTTCGAGACCAGCTTTGGCAACATAGTAAGACCCCTTCTCTATTAAAAAAAAAAAATTTAATTAGCCAGTTGCAGTGACATGAGCCTGTAGTCTTACCTACTTAGGATCACTTGAGTTCAGGAGTTTGAGGCTGCAGTGAACTATGATTATGCCACTGCACTACAGCCTGGGCAACAAAGTGAGAGACCCTGTCTCTGAAAAAAAGGTTAACTGTAAAACAGCCTCAGGCAGGTCCTTCAGGAGGTATACCAGAAGAAGGCATTGTTATCACAGCAGATGACAGCTCCATGTTACTGCCCCTGAAGACTTTCCAATGGGACAAGATGTGAAGGTGAAAGACAATGAGATTGATGATCCTGATTCTGTGTAGGCCTAGGCTAATGTGTGAATGTATATGCCTTTGCTTTTAACAAAAAAGTTCAAAAAGTAAAAATTAAAATTAAAAATTTCAAAAATAGAAAAAAGTTTCTAGAATAAGGATATAAAGCAAAATACTTTTGCATACCTGTGCAATGTGTTTGCGTTTTAAGCTAACGGTTATAACAAAATAGTCAAAAAGTTAAAATTCACAATTTTATAGAGTAAAAAATGTTAAAGCAACCTAAGGTTATTTTGTTATTGAATAAACAAAAGTATTTGTTTATAAATGTAGTGTAGCCTAAGTGCAAAGGGTTTATAAATCTGTAGTAATGCACAGTAATGTCCAGTAAAGTCCCATGCCTTCCTACTCACCACTTACTGACTCGCCCACCCAGAGCAACTTCCAGTCCCGCAAGTTTCATTCACAGTAAGTGTCCTATACAGGTATACCCTTTTTTTAATCTTTTATACCATATGTTTACTCTACTGTTTCCTATATTTAGCTATGTTTGGATACACAAATAGTTATCATTGTGTTACAATTGCCTACAGTATTCAGTACAGTACATGAGTACAGATTTATAGCCTAGGAACAACTGGCTGTACCATATAGCCTGGGTATGTTGTAGGCTCTACCATCTAGGTTTGTGGACGTGCACTCTATGAGGTTTGTACAATGACAAAATCGTCTAATAATATATTTCTCAGAATGTATCCCTTTTGCTAAGTGACTGTATAATGGAAGAAAGGAAGTAGAAATTAATGTTGCAGGAAGGAAGGACTTGCAGAAGCCACTTGAAGAAGAGGGATTTGAGTAAGACCC
Source organism: Homo sapiens (assembly GCF_000001405.40). Lineage (NCBI taxonomy): Eukaryota > Metazoa > Chordata > Mammalia > Primates > Hominidae > Homo > Homo sapiens. The sequence continues at coordinate 145,771,494 of NC_000005.10, forward strand.
AAAGTCCAGTCGTAAGTGTGACACACAGAGATAAAGGGAAAGACCAAGGAGAAGGAGGCTTAAGAAAATGGATGGAAGTGGCTGGGCACAGTGGCTCACGCCTGTAATCCCAGCACTTTGGGGAGGCTGAGGCAGGTGGATCACCTGAGGTCAGGAGTTCAAGACCAGCCTAACCAACATGGAGAAACGCCATCTCTACTAAAACTACAAAATTAGCTGGGTGTGGTGACGCATGCCTGTAATCCCTGCTACTTGGGAGGCTGAGGCAGGAGAATTGCTTGAACGTGGGAGGCGAAGATTGCGGTGAGCCGAGATCGCACCACTGCACTCCAGCCTGGGCAATAAGAGCAAGACTCCATCTCAAAAAAAAAGCAAGAAAGAAAATGGATGGGAGTGGGAACTGCATGGGAGGAAGGAAGAGATGAAGGGAGGAAAGGGCGAAGGGATCTACATCCAGTTTTCTCATCAAAAGGTAAGAGAATACTGCATGACACTTCTCCATGAAGAGATCTTCTACCACAATAAAGCAACTTTTATGCAACTTTTAATCTGATGCTGTCTAATCCTTTTAGATGCAGAACTTTATCTAGAAAGTGGAATAACACCTAATAATAATCTAAAATAAACAGTTAAAATTCATTGGCACATACAGTGTGCCAAGCACTTTGCCTGCAATCACTTATTTTACCCTCCCATCTCCCCTTTTTTTTTTTGGATGAGACCAAGGCTCAGAGAAATTAAACAACCTGTTCAAAATCACACAGTAACTAAACCTCAATTTGACAGGAGGCAATCAGGCTCAAGAATCCAGGACCCTGAATCTTACTACACTGTGGGGATGGGAAGTTTAAATGAGAATGCAAAAGTGAAAACCCCCGACACACTGTTGGAACTAGTCTGTGTTGTGCTGCTGTAACAGAATACTATAGGCTGAGTGATTTGTAAACAAAAAAAAAGTTTATTTGGTTTACAGTGCTGGAGGCTGGGAAGTCTAAGATTGAGGGAGTGCATCTGGTGAGGGCCTTCTTGCTGTGTTATAACATGGCAGAAGGCACCACTTGGCAAGAGGGTATGTACAAGAAACCAAGAGATTGAACTCACAGTTTCAAGCCCTTTTATAATTGGCATGAATCCATTCAAAGGGGTGGAGCCCTCACTATCTGAACACTTCTCATTAGGTCACTTCCAACACTGTTGCACCAAGGATTAAGTTTCCAACATGTGCCTTGGGGGGACACATTCAAACCATAGCAGGTACATAGCAAGAGCTTTTCTTCCTTTCTTTATTGGCTGTATTCAAAGAGCCTAATAAATAAGTCAGGTATTTTAGTCCTGCTCCCAAACAAAATAACATGAATCTTAATATATGAATCAATATCTAATCCCATCTACAAACTGTTTTAAAGACAATGTTTTTTCAATTAGAAATAGCCTGATAGAATGTATGGCTTCAATATAATTTTCCCATAGTAGCTAATAAACTTTTGAGTAAGATTCATTTTTATTTTTATAAGTAACCCAAAATCTTTAGGTGTAACTGCAGAACATTAAACTGATACAATAATTCAGATGTCTTTGCTTCACATTATAAAGCTTTCTCTCTCCTTAAAGAGAATATTTAATTTTCACAATTTATAATGGAAAAGAATATATCCTCAAATAATAAAGTCTAAAAACTGGAAAGGACCTTATATTTTCTAGTCCGGATAGGAAACTCTAAGCAAAGAATCAAAAATGGTCCATCTGATTTAAAGAGATTTCCTGCAATCAAATAACAGAATGAAAGATCAATTAATAAATCATGTTGCTGATTTTCAAATAAACCCTAACCTAACATGAAGATTTAAGTCGCTGGTGTTTTTCTATTTTACAAAGTTACTTCCGCCACCTTCCAATGTGACTCAATTAATCTATTTTCATTTTGAATTTTAAAAAATTTGACCTGCATATAATTTTATTTTTCCTCACTTGCACTTCATGCAAAATATGGCCTCTCCCCCAGTGCCATGTCCATCCATGACATTTATAACATTTGATCATCTGTTGCCTGCTGGAAACCTCCATTCATGGGAAGCATACTGTTCCTTAGTCCATCTGTGCTTAATTACGAGACAGTGCTTCCTCACATTGAAGAGTAAGGAACTGTTTTAGTGGCTGGCACCAGACCATCCCAGTACCAACTCCTGTACTCTCAACTGTGCCCAAGTGAAAAGCAACAAGGTTCCTATTATTTCCCCTTTATCAGCCATTTTTTCACTATTCATCAGACTTAAGCTCAGTCATAATTTTCCCTTTTTTCTTCCCTATTCTGAGATAAAGTGGTTAGCAGCATGCTTGTACATTTTATCAACAAATTGTCTTTAACAGAATAAATGAATCCAATTGATGCTCAAATAATAAATAAATCTAACAGCTGCCCAGATAATTCTGCTTTTATCTTGTATCTCTACCCTTCTCCTTCCCCACAGGTTCATGCAATTCTATAAGTCAATGATCTTCTTTACATAAAAGGTCAGTCTACTGTGTCTTCAAGTCAGGTGTTTCCTTTCAACAAAATAGAATTTTTCAAAGCCATATTTCAGTCAAAAACCAATCTCACCAAACCTCAATATTGAATCTAATGATAATTTATTATGGGGTTACTGTATGCTGACACTTTACTTACATTATCTCATTTAACCCTCTCAATAGTCCCGTGAGGTAAGACAGTTCTGCTCTCACCATTTCCAGGTAAGAAAACTCAGCCTCGGAGAGGTAAATGACTTGTTCAAAGTCATGTAGCTAGCAAGTGGCAGACCTAGGATTTAAATCTGGATTTCTCCACCTCATTCCACAACGAGTGCTTACTTACCTCACTGAATGTGTTTCTGTGCCTGAAAATGTGTAGAGGGAAGAGAATAAGTACACTTCACTGCAGGATCACTCCTGAAGATTAAATGAGGCAACATATAAAGCTACTGGCACACAACAGACTTTTGTTAACCATTACCTCCCATTCTTCCCATGTCCTAAAAAGTAGCTACTGATTTATATATGGACTCTATCTGACTAGGGGCCCCTCATAATGGGACTCCCGCAGTGAGGCACCTCCCCACATTCAGCTAGAGGCTGATGACCTATAGGAAATACCAGCAGGGGCTCACCTCATGCTTGCTCACATTTTCCTCACCCTTCACATCACCTCTAAGAGTCACTAACACTTCTGTTTCACACTATTAGGCCCAGCAGGGTAAACCAGGTTTCCTCAGGTCATAGTAGTCATCAAAGACAGAACTAGGATCCAGTTCCAGGGAAAGAACTAATTAGCAAGCAAGCTAAGGCCTCTATCTACTAGTCTGTGCTGAGCACATTACATGCCTTCACCCTCTCACATCCTACCTATAAGTCAATTACATAAGAAAAATGAAGTTCAGCTCGGTTAAAAAAGGTGACCAAAGACACTCAATTAATAAATGGCAAAATCAGGCCAGGCACAATGGCTGACACCTATAAACCCAGCACTTTGGGAGGCTGAGGTGGGTGGATCACTTGAAGTCAGGAGTTTGAGACCAGCCTGGCCAACATGGTGAAACCCCATCTCCACAAAAAATACAAAACGTAGCCAGGCATGGTGATGTACGCCTGTGGCCCCAGCTAGTCAGGAGGCTGAGGTTGGAGAATCACTTGAACCTGGGAGGTGGAGGTTGCAGTGAGCCGAAATCAAGCCACTGCACTCCAGCCTGAGGAACAGAATGAGACTCCATCTCAAAAAAAAAAAGAAACAGTAGCATAATCCAGCTTCACACCCTGATTTTTGTGACTCTGAGCCTTCCGTATACTATCTCCTCGAAAAGATGTGTTTATAGGGTTTTCTCAAATTACCAAAAAATGACATGTCAGCTTCGGCACATTCCTTCCTACAATCAAAAAATAATTTCCATCTACATCTGCGTGGTTTTAATTTTATTAATTTAGAAGAGGCAGGGAACATGTAGTTCTTGAAATTGCCATAAGAAAAAAAGCACCTCCCCATGTATGCAAATGAATTTTGTTTTGAGCTGACACTAAGTGAAGCTCCCTTGTGCACTCTGGAGAAGCCAGAAGAGAAACATTCCACAGGGAAGCATTTCTGCTTTAACACAATATCTGCCTATCAGAATTCCATTGTGTAATGCCAACATGGAGGGCCCTTCACTTCCCACTAAAAGCCTTTCAGTACTGAACAAAGTCATCATTTCTTGGGGACAAAACCCACAGTGGGTGAATGAAGTACAAGGTTAGCCAGAGTGCTGTCATTAACAAAAGCAACATAAATATGATAGCTTGACTTCACTCCTCATCCTTTGCACTACCTGTGGAGTGAAGGAACAGTAAGTCCATGGCAAGTTTAGGAAGTGACGTTTGTGTTTTAATTCCACACACTTAACATTACAAATTAAAAAGAGTAATCAGAAAAAAAAAGCTACATACAGGAAAGCTACTAAATGATTAAAAAATAAAATCTCTATATGCAGATAATAGCCTAAAAATAAACCATGGGCTGTTTTTAAGTCAACTATTTGCAAAGAAAAAAAATGCCTGCAGTGTTTATAGTTACCTCTTATCTGTAGTTTTGTTTTCCACAGTTTCAGTTACCCACAGTCAACTGTGGTCCAAAAATATTAAGTGGAAAATTCCAGAAATAAAAAATTCATAAGTTTTTAGTGCATGACATTCTGAGACGTGTGATGAAATCTTCTGTCCTGGCACATGAATCATCTCTTTGTCCAGGATATCCACACTGTAGACACTGCTGGCCTATTAGTCACTCTGTAGCCCTCTGAGCTCTCAGATCAACCGTTGCAGTATCACTGTGCCTGTGTTCAAGTAACTCTTATTTTACTTCATAAGGGCACCAAAGTGCAAAAGTAGTGATGCTGACAATTCAGATATGTTGAAGAGAAGCCACAATGTGTTTCCTGTAAGTGAAAAGGTGAAAGTTCTCAAATGAAGAAAGAAAGAAAAAAAAATCATATGCTGAGGTTGCTAAGATCTATGGTAAGAACAAGTCTTCTATCCATGAAACTGTGAAGAAGGAAAAAGAAATTTGTACATAGTGTATGTAGAGTTCCATACTATCCACCGTTTCAGGCACCCACTGGGGGTCTTGGAACATATCCACCAAAGATAAGGGGGACTACTGTATATACAAATGCTCTTTCAAGCTCCTAAACCCTGTAATAAACTGGTAAGGGGAAGGAGACACTGAAGAAATAGATGTAATAATGTTGATACTTCTTAAAAGTTGTTCTACTATTTCAGTTGCTAACTAAGTGGGGAGTGTTCTTGGTTAATCCCTAGGATATTCGTTGTATGATTTGGTTGAGATATCCCTGCATGTATTATTATCTCCCACATGGATGATGTTCCAAATCTACCATCTGTCTTTAATGTTAAACAGTTTAATAAAATTATTCCTTTCAATAAAAAAATTAAGGCTTGTATTTTTAAAAAATTCACAAATCCTTCACTTGGTGAACTGCAAGGGTGGGATTGTTTTAAAAGACCAAGTGCTGTAAGCAATTCTGGCTCTTGTTTGGAGACTGATGCAAAATTCCCAAGACTGAGGGACAGCTCTGATTCACGTCTTATATGGAATTTGGCCAACAAATTCAGGTTCTCTAGAAAATAGTTTGTTACAGTGGCTGAAGTAAAGAAGTGAGCTGCTGGAAAAGTAAAATGAGGGGGAATTTCCTTTTTTGTTTTAGAGACGGGGTCTCACACTCTGTTGCCCAGGCTGGAGTGCAGCAGTTCAATTGTAGCTCACTGAGGCCTTGAACTCCTGGGCTCAGGCAATCCTCCCACCTTAGCCTCTTGAGTAGGTGGGATTACAGGCATGCATGAGCCACTGCACCTAGCATGAGAGGAAATTTTCAGTACCTTAAAGCCAGGCAGCCTAGTAATTATGTGCTCAGTCTGAGTCCCACTGTCTAGTTTAAATCTGGATTCTACCACTCACCACCTGTGCGATCTTGATCTTGGGCAAGTCAACTCACTTCTCTATGCCTCCTCAACTATAAAATGGTAATGATAATGATGGCAGCAGCTGCTCCAAATGGCCTGCCACTGCCATCACTGCTGGCTGCAACAGGGAGGCACGGCCAGGGCTGCACACTCCATGAAGCTGGCAGGAGCCCAGGGGCAGGTGGGAGCCCCGCCTGCCTGCGCGCAGCTACAGCCACCCAAACTGCAGCTGCAGACCCAGGCCTCCTGCTCCACGGAGCAGGTAGAAACCCTGCCCCCATGGGCACAGCTGCAACCGCCCAAAGCACACTGCAAACCAAGGCTTCCCTACACTCTTGGGGGCCAGGGGGTGGGAAGGGCCCCTGTGCACTCACAGGCTTGGAAGTGCCTGTCCCTGCTGCCTGGCTTCTCTCAGCTGTCAGGAACTGCTCCAAACTCAGAGCAACATCAGGGCCGAATCTGGACACCATGAATGGCAGCAGGAGGCAGACAGGTTCCTGGACGGAAGGGAGCAGGTCCTCGATGAAGCCCCATCTTCAGGCCAGGGAGGGCCTGAAGGCTGGGGGCGGGGCTGCCAGTCCCACCAGAGTGGGAATTTGTGTGCCTTTTCTTGGCCTGCCTATGGCCACCCAACTGGTGCACACTTTCTCCCCTCTGAGGCCCATAAAAGACCCAGGCTCAATCAGAGCTGAGCAGATGTTGGGACAACCAGCCACAGAGAAGAGCTACCCACTCCAGGGCCTCCTCTCTGCTGACAGCTCTAGAAATAGGATTATCAGCTGCAGAGGGGAGCAACCCACTCCAGAGCCTCCTCTCTGCTGAGAGATACAGGGACGACTGGACGACCTGCCTGCAGAGAGGAGCTTCTCACTCCAGGGTCTCCTCTCTGCTAGGGGCTGCACACTCTACGGGACACCCTGGATGTGGAAAGGGGCTACACACTGTGAGTTCCCTCTGAGCTGTTCTATCACTCAGTAAAGCTCCTTTTTGTCTTACTCATCCTCCATTTGTCCATGCATCTCAATCTTCCTGATCACAGAACAAGAACTCAGTACCCGCCAAGCTGAAACAGTTACAACACAAACAGTACCAACTGGGGAAGCTGCTTGTAGTGCGCCTGGCCCAGCCACAGCTTTGCAGAGAACTGGCACCCATGCCAGCACCTAGAGCTGCCTGTCCCACGGCAGCAGCTGGTGTGTCCAACTGCTTAGTGGCTGTACTCCACGCTTGCTCACACACCCCTCGCTGCTCCACGCCTGACTCACAGTCTCCCTTGGAGGCGTGGAAGCCAGGGCGGTAGTGTGAACTAAGCACAGCCTGCCAGGCCGACTGGGTGGAATGAGCCCAGCAGGCCCAAGTAAAACTCAGGCAAAGGTGTCACCAGCCACAGGTTTCCAGCCAGAAAAATGATACCCCAAAGATCCTGTAACAATAGTACTCACCATAGTGAATTGTATGGTGGATGCTAAGCAAATTGGATGAGGTAATACATGCAACATACTCAGGATGATTGATGTCTGGGGCATAGAAAGTACTCAAAAAATATGACCTGTTACTGTTACCTTTCTGATTACTCCTGTGTCATATAGAAAGCGCCTCTGTTTTTAAGAGTTTTGTTAAAAGATAATAGAATGAAAACATAAAGTCTAACCCTTTTGGAAAATAATATTATAATATGTTCATTTGTTCATTAATTCAATAAATATTTATTGAGCATTGATGATGTGCTAGGTACTAAGGATAAAGTGGTAAGCCTTAAACAGAAGCCTATCTTTCAGTGACAGAGATAAAAAACATATTCAAAGGATCATGAAAGTAGTCACATACAGTTAAGAGTGCTTCAGGGAATCTTTTCTAAGGCAATGGTACAAAAATATGAAAGGTTATATGTATAAAGTTGTTTCACATGGTGTCATTTATAATGGTAAAAGTGGAAATAACCTGAATGTTCAATACTAAAGGGCAATATAAATTATTATATAACTATTTAATGAAATATTATATAATCATTAAAATGATGAATTTGAAGTTTATGTAGTTACTGTGAAAGGGATTATAAAATATTACTTGAAAAAAGCAAGAAATGAAATTGTACTAACACTGTTTCATTATGACTGTGTTTAAAATTTGCGTATGAGACTAGAAGGAAATACGCCAATTTGGGTAATAATGAAAAGAAAACAGTTATCATTTATGAAGTATTTATTGTGTGCCAAGGTATTTTAAGTACTTCCTTATACTATCTCCTTCACTCTCATACTCATAAGATATATAGTATTATTCATATTTCACCCAGAGAGAGGTTAAGTTCATCCATACTCTATGAGGGAGGGCACTCTGATTTAAATCCACATTGGGTTGATTCCAAAGACAGGCTCATCATAACCACTAAACAATTATTTATAATGTCATAATGGGAAAAATAAGTTATTGTTTTTAACTATCTTGCATTTTACTTTTTAAGTAATGTTAATAACAACAACTAGCTTGAGCCCAGGAGTTCGAGACCAGCCTGGGCAACATGGTGAGACCTCGTCTCTTAAAATAACAACAGGGGCCGGGCATGGTGGCTCTCGCCCATAATCCCAGCACTTTGGGAGGCCGAGGCAGGTGGATCACCTGAGGTCAGGAGTTCAAGACCAGACTGGCCAACATGGCAAAACCCCATCTCTACTAAAAATATAAAAATTAGCCAGGTGTGGTGGCAGGTGCCTGTAATCTCAGCCACTCAGGAGGCTGAGGCAGGAGAATCACTTGAACCCAGGAGGTGGAGGTTGCAGTGAGCCAAGATCCAGCTGGGCAACAAAGTGAGACTCCGCCTCAAAACGACAACAATAACAACTGATCATTTGTTGTTGCCACATCCTATCCTAAGAGCTTCATGTACATAGCTCATTTACTCCTCACAATACTCTACAAAGTAGGTTCCAATATTGTCCTCCTTTTATAGATGAGGAACATGAGACACAGAAAATTAAATAGCTCAGCCAAGGTCATACAGCTGGTCAGGGCAGAGTATTCTGCTGGCTTCAAAGGGAGCTGAGGAAAAAGAACATAAATGGCTCTACTGGAAATATAATTTAAAATATTTACATGCAGGTAGTACCTATTTAAAACATTGTTAAATAAGTTTTTTTAATTTTGTTTAAAGATTTTAAAAGTCTTTTTAGGAGGAGTATGATAAGTTTTTAAATTTTGAACTATTTCAAATGTATCAGGAAGTTCAGAGAATAATAGAAAAACCAATAGGTATTAACAAATGTTAATGTCTAAAAATAACAAAAGCTACACTCTACTAAAAGCCCCTGATTGAGGAAATTTTAATTATAGCCTTTAAATTCTACTTAAATTGGGACTCAATAAGAAAGGAGTTACTTAACTCTCAAAAAGCCACCATTTTCCTTTGGAAATTCAGAGATGGTGAGCTGGAATCTAAGGAAAGAAGCTAGCCAAGGAAAAAGGAGTCAAATCTCAGACAGCAAATGGAATTCAAAAAAACTGAAAGTGACAAAGAAATGTCACTCCAACAAATCCCGCTTCACTAGACACAATGCTTCCTTTTCTCCTAACAACAGGCAGACACTGCAGCCTCCTCCCCACCGCCTTCCTGGGTCACTGCCTGCTGCCCATTAGGGGTGGCTACAACCAAAGGGGTCTTTCAGGAAGGATGAAATTCTATCTTAGAGTGGGGAGCCAGGATGAGAAATCACAATAGACAAAGGGAGGAAGAATGCTCCAGGGGAACAGCTGGACACCTCAGACAGCTCAAGGAGCACTGAAGTAGCATGCTGCAGGGCTGAAGGACACAGCTGTTGCTAAACTAGTAGATGCATCCTTAAATGAAATTACATTTACAATTCAAGTAGCTCTACCCAGAATTCTGTATTAGTCCCTCAGCTGATATGTCTGAATGACATTTTCCTGGTCTTTTTGGTCAAACTAAAAGACTTAATTCAACACAAAGAGCCTAGGAAAATCCAAGCCCAATCCTGTAAGTAATGATGCCTTTTTTTGATTTACAACAGATGTGTTCCTAAAGGCACTTAGTCCACACAATGTGCAGATGCAGCCCCTATATTTATATTTTTATATATGTATGTGTGTGTATATAGATATATAGTATATCTATATACACACTATATATATACTATATATATACACACTATATATATACTATATATACACACTATATATATACACTTATATATATACACTATATATACTATATATATATACACACACACTATATATATATACTATATATATACTATATCTATATATATACACTATATATATATATATACTATATCTATATACACACATACAAATACACAATTTGTTTTTGGTATTTCAATGCAGCCTGGCCAGAGCTGTAGCAGCTTTCAATTCTATGCCTGCCATAGGTTTATACGAGGTACATGAAGATTTATAGTGGCCACAAATTCCTATTTTCTCATTGTCTTTGTCTTTGAATTTAGCACAAAAGAGTGAGAGAAGAGGTTCAGAAAACTAATAGATTGGTTGGAATTTCCATCCAGCACAGCGGAGAGAACACAGCTCCCAAATCTCTTTGGAGAGATTAGAGGAACTAGTGGGTGTGAGAGTAGAGGAACACTAAGAAAGCAAGTCTCATATTAAGTGTTTTGAAGATGAGGACATTTTTCCCTATAGTCTAACAAGTATCTACTTCAAAGTCATATGTACACCCAGTGCTGATAGAGACAAGCCATGCATTTGTCTTGTCTCCTTCATCTGAACTCTCTGGGACTCTGACCTCCCTTGTCAGGGAATCAAAGTGAATGGCGGTTGAGAGGATGGGCTCTGAGGTCAGACCACCTGGATTCAAATTCCAGCTCTGCCACTTACTGGCTGATGACTTTGTGCAAGGAATTGGACCTTTGTGTGCTTCTATTTCCTCATCTGTAAAACAGAAAGGTGGGAGTAACCACAGTCTCTGTTCCAGAAGGTAACTGGGAAAACTAAATGTTCATACAACAGTGTAGCACTTGGCTCATGGTAAACACTCAATAAATTACAGCTACTATTATATTATATCTGGTCTTCCCCAAAGTTTCCAAAGGCTGTGTTTATAGAAGGCATAGATTAAAAATAAGCCAACATATTTATGTTAATAGAATTATAAAATGAAATTTTAACAACCCTACCACATGCTTACCATGGCTTCTGCTAATTAGCATTTTATAAAATTATGTTTCTTATTTTTAAATATTTTATTGCCATCTCAACCCTTGACTACAAACTTGTTTGAATTACCTCTGATGCTCTTAAATCCCTAGTTAGCTTAAACTACTGCATTTTGATGCAGGGCTTAAAGACTATTTGTCAGACAGAAAAATCTTGGTTAGACACTGAAGGAAGGGAGAGAGAATTTTTTTTAAAAAGTCATACAATTGCCTAATTGAAAATGACCTACCCAGTTAAGTCTGATTTTACAGAAGATGTTAGTGAAGCTCAGAGCAACTAGCTCAAGCAACACAGCCCTCAGAGAGCGGCCAAGACAGGGCCAGAGCCCAGGTCTCCTGACTCCTGGCTGGGTTGACAGGCATCTCACCGCACTGTGTGGAGAGGCCCTTTCTCCCATCACTGTGCTCTAACACATCTGGAGCTCAGAAAACCACTTACTTCATTTCAGGCAAGAGCTTGACTTCCGAGATTTCATCTAGTTTCATAGAAGGCAACGTCCCAGAATTTCAGCTGGTAAACCAACCAAGAATTCCCAAAAGCTTTACCACTTAGCAAAGTCTGTTACAACCAGGATGAATTCAAATGAGCCATCAAGGGATTGTGGATTCCCAGGTTTCACAGTCAAGGTAAAGGCATTGATTTAAACTCAGTAGAAGGAACAAAAAAATGTATCACTTACAGAATACTCATTTCCACAAAGCTGTTTTCCCTGCAAAAGCTATGTTTCATCAGACGAAAACTCTAGAGGTAATAGTAGTAGCAGGGCTGATGGGGAAGGAGATGTGTAAGAATACAGCAGCTACTATGATATACCTGGTCTAGAAATAAGCTGTTAAAAATCAGAATTCTTGGTAATATTCTCAGGACAGCTAATGAATAAATATCAACTAAATCAATCTATCTGAGCACTCAAGGGTGGGATTAAAAAGTATTATCAACAGAGGTAAATTTGAACTGGGAAATAAACCCTCTGGAATAGGGAAAAAATATTTCATCAGTTTTTTCATGTGGTTCAAGTAACAAAGAATCTTGAAAGGGTTCACATGAACAAGCAGGAAATGCAAGTCTCCGATATATAGTCAGTATACTATCACACCCTGTTCTTATATCACACTTGTGACTTCTCCTTATTCTTTTGAACGACGGTTTTATGCTCTTTTCCTCTGTCTTGGAATTACTGAATTTTGAAATATCCACTGTTTTTTAGAATTGTGACTACCCGTGTATGTGTGTTTCCTGAACAGTAAGTTCACAGATAAAGAATTGAGCACCTCAGAGCAACTGGTCCAAGGTAGGATATATGAAAGGCTTGGAGGGGGGCTGGGGCATGGTGGTTCACACCTGTAATCCCAGCATTTTGGGAGGCTGAGGTGGGCAGATCACTTGAGGCCACAGGTCCGATACCAGCCTGGCCAACATGGCAAAACCTGGTCTTTACTAAAAATACAAAAAAATTAGCCGGGCATGGTGGTGCACACCTGTAGTCTCAGCTACTTGGGAGGTTGAGGCACAAGAATTGTTTGAATCTGAAAGGCAGAGGTTGTGGTGAGCTTAAAAAAAAAAAAAAAAGAAAAGAAAAGAAAAAAAATTCATGGAGGTGGACTAAAGTCAAACAACTAGTTAATGGCAGAATCATTAACTTTCAGTAGTCTTCAAAGTAGATATCAGAAGACAAGACCTAACAATTTTGTTTTCTTCTCAACAATTTTATGAAGTGAGATTAGCCTAATTTATTAATGATAAATGGAAGTTTTAAGAAGTTAAGTCTTTCATTCAAGTTATACAGCCAGAATATGGATGATATCCAGTGCCAAATTTGCGGAATTCTCTTGGGAGAAAATTTGGCAATAAGCATGAAAGGTCTTAGCTCAGAAAGCAACAAGAAATGTACACAAATATTTATATGGCATTTATATTCAAAAATTTATTCCAATATTATTCATAATAGTGAAGAAAAATAGAAACCAACAATAACAGCTATTATGCCGATGGAATATTATGCAGGCATCAAAAATCATGTTTCCAAGGAATATGTAATGACACAGAAAAAAATGTTTATAAATATGTCCACAAATGAAATAGTTGGGCTAAATAATCCCAACTTTGTTTTTTTTTTTTTTAAAAAAACATACATATACATACATTTGCAAACATGAACAGACATATAAAAAGATCTACGTCAAAATGTTAAATGTGAATACACTGAGTATTAGAATTATGAATGATTTTATCTTACTTGCACTTTAATTAAAAATTGAAAATGAATATTTAGTAATTTTATAATTCAAGAAAATGATAAAAATATATCATTTTTAAAAGAAATACCACAAACTTGCCCTGTACCACGGTATATCTAAAATGTTTGTATTTAAAAGGCTATTACCTATAAAAATATACTTCTTAGCAGAGAATGTCTCTTAAAGCTGACAATGATTGAGGTTTTACTATGTGCCAGGCATATTTCACATATGTAACCTCACTTAATCCTTTAAAAATCCTATAAAATGGGGTTTATGATCACTTCATTCTAGAGAGAGAAAGTTTAGGGTCTGAGAGAGAAAAGTGTGACTTGTGGGAAGTGAGAAAGCCTAATCAAGGGCCAAGAAGCTTTTCTCTAAAGCTTCATACACAATCCCTATGTTAAACATACAGACAAAACTTTGTTTCACACTGAACAATCTTTCTAAAGGCACAGCATACTATGCTTTTAGTTCAGAAGTTGATATTTGGTATACGATTGTTAAGATGTCTATAATTTGCTTTAAAATACTTCAGCACATGATGTATACTACGATAGTATGAGTGTTAGTTCAAGTTATACACTAGATACAGCTAGATGCCCTAATGCAGGCCTCACATGCCAGAGGCTGTCTGTGAGCATTCTAATCAGCAACCTCGCTCTCCAGAAACTTCAGTCAGACACCAAAGGCTTTGATTATTAGCACAAGGAATGTTAAAATTGCAAATTTTCACTGGTAAAAATAATGGCTTGTTAACTAGCATAATGGATATTAGAAATGGACTGTCATTAACTCAATGAATGGAACTTAAGATACGTGGATTAGCTCAAAATTCTAAACAAGCACCCATCCTTGTGCCATCAGGGTGTAAGTCTCTATCTAGCAAGACCTTCACCCTCCAACTTTAGGGATGGCATCCACAGTTTATGCCTAAATGGTCCCAGGGCCAGCTACTATATCAGAAGATTCTGGTTACCTGATGCTCTCTATAAAATAGCTGAATCCTGCCTTTGGAATATTGTCTGCTGTGCCTTCAGTGAGCTGTTCATGCAATTCATGGCCTGAGCACCCAAAAGGATGAAGACTTAAACTTACAGAACAGGTCAACTATTTTGTGCCTACTTATAAATAAATAACTAATAAATGTCACAATATATGTGTCACAGAAATTTCCATAAACTGTTAATGAGGTTTCTGGGATGCAGCTGACCCTCAGCAACCTCTCATTATAATCAATACCCAGTATATATCAAAAAGAACTTAATACTTATGCCTACAACTCAGCATACAGGTTGGATAAGGTCAGTGTGGCAGGCAGCTTCTGATGTGGCTCCTAGTGACCTGTGCCTCCTGGTATTTATGCCCCTGTGTAATCTCCTTTTTAGTGTGGGCTGTGACTTTCTTCTAATGAAAAGAATACAGAAAATAAAAGGATGTCACTTCAATTAGTTTATAAAAAACTGTGATATTTCACCTTGGTAGCACTCTCTTGCTCTCACGCTCACTGCCACATTCTGAGATCATCTATACAGAGGCCCATGTGGCAAGGAACCAAGGGAGGCCCGCTGAATCCTACCAGCAACCATGTGAGTTTGGAGATGAAGCTTCCCCACTGAGCCTTCAGATGAGTTTGCAGCCCCAGCTAAAACCTTGATTACATCCCTGTGAAACCTTGAAACAGATCCAACTAAGCTGTGCCTAGACTCCTAATCTACAGAAACAGAGGTAATACATATGTGTTGTTTCAAGCTGCAAAGTTGGGGCAATTTGTTACACAGCAATAAATAACTAATACAGTTACTTTACAAAAATAATGCCACCAAATGTCTCAAGGTTTTTCAAATGCCTACTTGAACTACATTTGTAGTATCTCCACTTTTTTCTTGAGTCCCAGGAAATTATCTCCCACTACTAAAATGGATTTCTATAAGGCTAAAATAACAAGCATACACCCCAAGGAAACTGCATATTCTGATTTCTTTAGCTGTAGCATGTCTAGGCCAGACCTTCTTAAAAGCGATGTTCAAATTGTTTGACTTGCCCGCATTGTTTCAGTGACAAATATTTCACACACTGTTGAATTCAATCGTTCTCTGCTTCAGCCTCCTGATCACAATAAGAATAATGATGGAACTAATAATGGGGCCTTGCCAGGAGAGTGGCTGAAATAACAAATTATTTCATCACACATTGAAAATGTATTTCACAAACTCAAAAACAAAAAACAAAACAAAACAAAACAAAAAACACGTCTATGCGATTGCATAATGAGAGCTCTGCATTTCCACAGCATTTGTAGTACTCTCTAAAGATTCAGACAAACTAGGCTAAAAAAAGAATGCTTGCATAACAAGACTGTTATCACCCATGTTATCTCCTAAGCCTCCCCAGAGAAGCAAAATGTGGAATTTGTAAGCAACTATGTGGGGGTTCACCAAAACGTTCTTTTGCTTTGCGTTTGGAAATTTTTGGTTTGAGATTTTTGGGGAGTGGGAAGCTAGCAATTTTTTCACTTCACACGGAAGATGTCAATTTGGAGGAGTAGAGACAAAAGCTCCCTAAATAGTATGCCCAAAATAGTAAATGGCATGCTGTCTCAACAGGGCAATATTGAAAAGAGGCAACAATTTTTTTTTTTTTGACATAGGGTCTCACTGTCACCCAGGCTAGGGTGCAGTGGTGCCATCACAGTTCACTGCAGCCTTTACCTCCCAGCTCAAGCAATCCTCCCACCTCAGCCCCCGGAGCAGCTGGGATTATAGGCATGCAACAACATGCCCAGATAATTGTTTTGGTTTTCTGTAGAGACGAGATCTCCCTATGTTGCCTATGCTGGTCTCAAACTCCTGAGCTCAAGTGATCCTCCCACTTCAGCGTCCCAAAGTGCTGGGATTCCAGGCATGAGCCACCACACCCTGCTATCTTCACTTTTTATGTATAAATTGAACATAATATAGTATATGAACAAATAATCAGTCTATCTATGGTCTTAAAATTTCATGGTGAAAAGAGCAATTAGGGGAAAATTGTCTAAAAAGGCTCCTGAAGGGAGTAATAATGAAAAAAGGGTTGAGAAACACTGACCTAAGGAAAGCCCTCCCAAACTGGTGAGCACCTGCAGAGCATCAGTGATGTCTCTGTTTCCTCCTCTTTGGGTCCCTGAGGTCTGAGATCATGACTTGACTCTGGCCTGGGTGTCTTCCAGCTCTGCTTCACACAGTGGTTGGGCCATCTTCCAAGGCTGTAGAAATGTATATGAAGCCTTTCATGTGTCCCAGATTTCCACCAACCACTATTTTCCTTCAGATCTTTATCTTTTTGATCTGCTTTCTGAATGTACTTACTTATCTCAAGGCCTATTAAAAGCTAACTACATATTTTAGCATGACTTGAGATAAGCAAATACTTGTCTTCAGCATGTTTTTGGCACTTCCAACATACTATCTTCTATTGGCCACCACGGGTCAAAAGTGTCCACCAGCACATGAAATCTAGGCTGAGAGAGACTATGGCACGGTCAAGAGATGAGTGAATGCCTCCCAGGTTGAGGAACACACTGTATGGCACACCCACCAGTGCTCATTGGCTGATGGTATATATTCATTCTTCTGTATAGAATTGAGAAAAATTCACAGAAATGGTATACCCCATTGCTGTCATGCACACAGATAGACAACTATCTCAAAAGAAGTGGCCCACTCTCGCCACTTCTATTCAATATAATACTGGGAGTTTTGCTAGAGCAATTAGGCAAGAGAAAGAAATAAAAGGCACCCATGTAGAAAAGAAAGAAGTAAAATCATCTATGTTTGCTGGCAACATGATCTTATATATATATATAAAACCCTAAAGACTCCACCAAAAAATGGAACTGATAAATGAATTCAGTTAAGTTGCAGGATACAAAAATCAACATACAAAAATCAGTATCATTTCTATATGCTAACAACAGACTATCCGAAAAAATTAAGAAATCAATCTCATTTATAGTAGTTACCAAAGAAATACTTAGGAATAAATTTAACCAACGCAGTAAAAGATCTCTACACTGAAAAGTATAAAACATGGACAAAACTGAAGACACAAATAAATGGAAAGACATCCCATGATCATAGCTTGAAAGAATTAATATTGCTAACTTATCCATAATACCCAAAGCAATCTACAGATTCAATGCAATCTCTATCAATATTCCAACAACATTTTCCACAAAAATAGAATAAGCAATTCTAAAATTCACATGGAACCACAAAAGACCTCAAATAACCACAGTAATCTTGAGTAAAAAGAACAAAACTGGAAGCATCACACTCTCTCTTTTCAAAATACATTACAAACCTATAGTAATCAAAATGGCACAATACTGGCAAAAAACAGACACATTGAATAATGGAATAGAATAGAGAGACCAGAAATGAACCTGCGCATTTACAGTCAATTGATTTTCACGGAAGATGCCAAGAACACACAATGGGAAAAAAACCAGTCTCTTCAATAAATGGTGCTGGGAAAACTGAATATCCACATAGAATAATAAAATTGGACCTGTATCTCACACCATATACAAAAATCAACTCAAAATGAACTAAAGACTTAAACATAAGAACTGAAGCTATAAAATTACTAGAAGGAAATACAAGGGAAAAAATCCATGACATTGGTCTGGGCAATGATTTTTTGGATTTGGCCTCAAAAGCACAGGGAACAAAAACAGACAAATAAGATTGCATCAAACTAAACAGCTTATGCACAGCAAAGGAAACAATTAATGGAGTGAAGAGACAACCTGCAAGTTGGAAGAAAATATCTACAAATCACACATCTGATATGGGGTTAATATCCAAAATATACAAGGGATTCAAACAACTCAATTGCAAGAAAACAAATAACCCAATTAAGAAATGGGCAAAGAACCAGACAGCTATTTCCCACAAGAAAATATACAAATGGCCAACAGGTATATGAAAAAAAGAAGGTTCAACAGCACCAATCATTAGAGAAATGTAAATTAAAACCACAATGAGATATCACCTCATACTTGTTACAATGGCTGATATCAAAAAGATGAAAGATAAAAAGTGTTGGCAAGAATGAGGAGAAAAGGATGCCCTTGTACACTGTTGGTGGAAATGTAAATTGGTATACCCATTATGGAAAACTATATGAAAGTTCCTCAAAAAACACAAAATAGAACTACCATATGATCCAGCAATCCCACTTCTGGGTATTTATCCGAAGAATTGGGAATCAGTATGTCAAAGAGACAGCTGAACTCTCATGTTCACTGCAGCATTATTCACAGTAGCCAAGATATGGAATCAACCTAAGTGTTCAACAATGGATGAATGGACAAAGAAAATGTGGTATAGTACACAGTGGAGTACTAGTCAGCCTTAAAAAGAAGCAAGTTCTGTCATTTGTGACAACATGGATAAACCTGGAGAACATTATGTTAAGTGAAATAAGGCACAGAAGGACAAATACCTCATATGTAAAATCTAAAAAAGTTAAACTCATAGAAGTAGAGAGTAGAATGGTGGTTATCTGAGGCTGGGGGAGGTGCGAGAGAATAAGGAGATGTTGGCCAAAAGGCAAAAAGTTTCGGTTAGACAGGAGGAATAAGTTTTTAGATCTATTGTATAGCATGTTGACTATAGTTAATGAGAATATATTGTAAATTTCAAAATTGCTAAGAGTAAACTCCAAATGATCTCACCACAAAAAATGTTAAATATGTGAGGTGATAGATATTTTAATAAGCTTGAATTAATAATTCCACATTGTGTGTGTGTGTGTGTGTGTATATATATATATATATATATATATCAAAATGCCACATTGTATCCCGTAAATATATACAATTATAATTTGTCAATTAAAAATAAAAAATTAACTTAAAAATTTAAAAAACCTTTTAAATGAGTCCTCAAAATATTAAACATATAATTAATCCAGCAATTTCACTTCTGGGTATATATATATATATATATACCAAAAAGAATTGGAAGCAGGGACTCAAACAGATATTTATATACCCATGTTTATAGCAGTATTATTCACAATAGCCAAAAGGCAGAAGCAACCCAACAATCCACCAATGGATGATGTCTGTTTTCACACTGCTAATAAAGACATACCAGCCACTGAGTAATTTATAAAGGAAAGAGTTTTAATTGACTCACAGTTCCACATGGCTAGGGAGGCCTCACAATCATGGCAGAAGGCGAATGAGGAGCAAGTCACGTCTTACATGGTGGCAGGCAAGAAAGCTTGTGCAGGGGAACTCCCATCACTACCAAGAGAACAGGATGGAGGAAACAGCCCCCATGATTCAATTATCTCCACCTGGCCCCACCTTGACACGTGGGGATTATTACAATTCACGTAAGATTTGGGTGGGAACATAGCCAAACCATATCAGGTGACTAGACAAACAAAATGTGATATATACAAACAAGGAAATATTAGCCATAAAAAGAAAGGTAAGTCTGACACATGCTACAATGCAGATGAACACTGAAAACATATGCTCAGTAAAATAATGCCAGTCACAAAAAGACAAATACTGTATGAGTCCACTTATATGACATAACCAAACTAGCCAAGTTCATAGAGACAAAAAGTAGAATGGTGGTTGCCAGGGGCTAGGAGGTGAATGGGATAGGAAGTTATTGTTTAATGGCTAAGGAGTTCCTGTTTGGGAAGAGAAACAAAGTTCTGGAGATGGATGATGGTGACGGCTGCACAACAATGTGAGTGTACTTAATGCCACTGAACTGTACACTTAAAAATGGTTAAAATGGTAAATTTTATGCTACGTATATTTTGCCACAATAAAAAACAAACTTTTAATATTATTTTTAATACAAAGGTATTTTCAAAGCAAATAACAATACATCTGCAGTACACAGAAAAGCAGAAAAGAGGATACGTCATTACAGTAAAAATGGGTGAAACGTTAGCTAACACACTGTCAACCTGCAAGGCACTGTGGAGTTTAGGTCAGCTGTAGTGTAGACGACAGATGCTGAGGCCTCTGAACAGAAGGGAAGATATTCACTTGCCCCTCATAGGCCGTTTCAAGTAGCATGGCCGCATTCCTCTGGCCCATTCCAAGCTCCTCTCTTGTAACTGAGCTCCCTACGTTTGCATTCCTCCATCATTACCGTGTATCACATCGCCTCACTCTGGTTATATCAAGAACACCCAGCTTGCCCCACGCAAGTGGCTTAAGTGCACAGATCATGGATGCAGCACTGTGATGCAGAAATCAAGAGCACTCTGGGGTCAGACAAGCTTGGGTTCAAATCCCCGGTTCACCATTTACTAATTCTGTGACCTTGAGAAAACTACTTTGCCACTTGGGACCTCAGTTTCCCTATGCATAAAATGAAAATAACATTTCCTATTTCATTATGTTGTCCAGAAAATCAGATAAGGTAATGCGTGCCAAGGACAGTGCTTGGCATCTACTAAGCTCTTGCAAGCACTAGCTGTTATTTTAATATGCTTCTCAGCACTGATCATAGTGCTGGCACTGAACACCAAACAAGGCTCAATAAATTTTCTGCATCAGCAGATGTTCATTCATTGTCTGTCCTGCTTTCCACCCTGAGCTAGATGTCCCAGAAGTAAAGCTACTTAAGGCACAGTCTCTATCTTGTGAATTATGTCTTAATTCTTACTTGTGTCTCCAGCATTCTACCCAATGCCTGGCACATAGGTGACACCCAAAAAGTGCTGGTGGAATTGAACTTAAAATCTAGTTGTCTAGACTGTATGTGTTTACATGAATTTGAGGGAGAGAAAAAAAAACATATAACCATAAAAAGAAAATATGTTAAAGAAGTATGTGGCAGTGATTTTTCTTAATTCTTGAAAACTAAAACATATTTTGTATATTTGACCTGTGTTTACTAAGTTACAGAAAGTTATCAAACTTAGTTTTCACATGTACCTGTGGGAACACATTAAAATCCCCATTTTGCAGACAATTAAACTGAGAATAGGGAGGGCCAAAGTGATTTGTGCTGGGTCACAAAGGTGAGGAGAGCAAGTCCAGAGGACTGTAAGTTCAGAACCACTCCGTTTCAAGGATACATCTGTCAACTTGGCTGCCAAACGGAAATCCCAGTTCTCCTGCCCACAGATTTCCACTCCAGGAGGAAGGAGGGGTCTGACTGGTGTGTGAAAAGTCAGCATTTGTGACACAAAGGCTCCCAAATTCCAAGTTACCTCCCTTTAAGAGTGATGAAGGAAGGAGAAAAAAGCAATTGAGCCAGTCCCCAGAGGCACAGAATACGTATGACCTCAGCTTGGGGATCCATGGCTAAAGCCAGCTTTTAATTTACAAACATAAAAATATAAAGTTTGTGAGTACCTAGTTTTGATTTTTCTGGAAAAAAATAGATATCAGATCCCATCATTACCACTACTAAACAGACTCAGCAATAAGTCCTAAAGTGAAAATAAAGTCACCTAAAACACTCTTATGGTGACTTCCACAGAAACCATTTATGCAGGCTCAGCTGTGAAGGTTTATCAGGAAGTCAGGCTGATACCAGAAAAAATGACCACTTGGATAAAACAAAAAAGACACTCAGGCATAAATGGCTCCTAAAATCAAAAAGCTAATTAAACGTGGCCTCTTCGAAAAGAAAAAGTAAGTCAGAAAAGGCAAAAGCTAGCAGGAAAAATATATTCTTACTTCTAAGCATAATAAATGAGAATAAAAAGGAATCACTTTAAGAAGTTGAAGTCACCTAATTATTTCCAGGTAATATTCATCAGAAACCAACTGTGAACCTCCCTGGGCATTTCCTTTCTACTCATTCCCACACGAATGGATGGAACACTGTCCAAGGTACTATAGGTTGGGAGAAGGGAATAAGAATTAAGGTGAATGAAACCACTTCTGCCATCAAGGAACATAAAATCAAAGTGGGATCATGCTAGAAACTTTGGGGAGTATATATCCGCCCCACAACCCCTTCCCCTGAGAAGTGGCCCCTAACCCTGGTCCATGTGGTCATGGCAGAGAATGAGCCATAACTGGACAACTTGACTTCCACCTTCCTGGTGGTGCCTGACCTATAGGAGGCCAACGAGAGTCCCTCCCAAAGAATTAATAAAGAAAAGAAATAAGCTATTTTATTATTAGTGAGAATTCTATTAATATATAATATGTATGCTTGACAATGGAGGCCCATGTCCCATTATATAGCCTGGGGAGCAGAGAAAACCAGACTACACAGAAAGAGTGGAATAAAATAGACACATAGTCTTACAGACAAGAGCTGAAGAAGGAATACCACTTGGTTGCTGGCAGTGTTCAGTTCCCAGTGAAGACCTTTCTGAAGGCTGCCAGCCTCACCACCCTTGTACACTTAGAATGAGCTAGCCTGAAGTGGTTTCTGTTACTTGCAACCAAATAGTCCTAATAAATCCAAAGGGAGTAAGACCACAACACAAATTCATCTAACAAACACAAGTATTAGTGAAGTTCGTGATGCTAGGTAGGCAAGGATTTCACTTCATTCATCTGAGGGCTGCACAGTAAAGTGGCAAGAGGGAACTCTTATTGACAAAAGATAGGGATTTAAGTCCAGACTCCACCCTTTGCTAGTTCTGTGACCTTGAAGAAACACATTTAGCCCACACTTAGCACAGTGCCTAGTGCAAAGCAGGTACTCAATATATATCTGTAAGAGGAAGGAAGCAGGGAAAGCAGTTACCACGTATCGGGTATGCTTATCTTTTAAGTCAAGTCATTTCTCATTAATGAAATGGGAATTCTCATTCTCATTAATAAAATGGGAATAAAAATTTCACTTTATGTGTCTCACAGGATCAGAATGTACATAACCACTGTGCAATTAAAAGTCATTATTAGGTTCATCAGATTAATTGATGCATCAAATACAGACCAACCTCAGTTAATGAAATAATATTTATCTGAAATAGGGGTTAGCTATACCCTACAAGCCAAATCCAGCCCACCACCTGTATTTATATGGCCTGCAAGAATGGTTTTTATAAATGAACATTTGCAATCAATTTGATAATAAGGAACACGAATTTTGAACGCTGCTTCACCTAAATGTTATCCCTCCCCCTCAAAAAAATCCCATTCTTCTAGTGAATATAGCTGTATTATAAAAAAATTCAATTTATTATTACTATTATCATCATACAGAGTTTAAAGGATGCACAAAAAGTCAACTCAGTAAGAAACATGGCAATGAAATTACTTTTCTCATCAGTTCCACTATTTTTAGAATGCAATGCTGCAGAACATGGGAGTTTTTACAAACGCATAAATTGCAATATAGCAGAAAAATTTGCAATAATGTCTGAGTGAGTAAAGGTGACATAAGATCTTCCGGAAGTTCAACTACTCCCTTCAAGTCCAGGTTTAAAGAGGCTGGACCAGTCTGAATATGTGCCAGGAACCACCTCAACTGGAGCAAGAACACATCATCAATCACAACAGTATGTCTATGGTGTACAGAACGGTACTGAATATTCATTCACCGCCCTCAGCCTCCCAGATGAACACCTCCTAGTACAGGTTCATCCTTGAACCTAGACATGCAAAAATGAAAACAAGGGTCCATTGCCAGGAAGTCTCTGAGGGTCATAACAATGGTTCTTTACACCAGCGGTTAATTCTATCCCACAAAACAAAATGAGGTAAACTTATACAAAAAGTCCTGAGTAAAATCTGGAAATAAATGAGTATAATTATCATCGTAATTAATAACAATAATAAAACACTTAGGAGCAACTGCTTTATACTGAGCACTGCAATAAGCACATAAAAATGCATAAGCAATGGGTTTTGACATGAAGTTTTAAAAATAATGCTATTAAGGAAAGAAAATAGAAGATATAAATGTTATATGGAATACCATAGAGGACAGATTAAAATGGAAAAGCTCTACTTAAAATAGAGCACACAGGACCTTAGAACTCCAACATGGCTTCTGAATCACTTTCATGGAAGCCTAAGCTCCCTTGAGAATAGAGTTTGAAAACTATAAGAGTGGACAATTGGGGTCTCTGTATTTTCCTCATCCATAATATTAGGACAACAATAACAGCTCCTGCAAAGGTTTGTGAGGATTCAATGAGTTAATAATACAAATTCTTTTAGCAGTCAGTAGTACATAGTAAGTGCTCAATAAATATTAACTATCATTATCTTTATTAAATAGTTGTCATCATACTATACATTATTATTCATTCTGATTATTTCTTTTAATTAGATTATAAGTATGCTCCAAATTTTCACATACTCTTCATTGGCATATTTTTAATTTAATGAGCCATAAATGCCACTTTAGTTTTACTTTGATTTGAATTTATGTAATAATTTTGAGGTTGATTATTTTTGCATATATTTGTTTATTAACTATATGTTTTTCTCATTATGTCTGCTCATGAGTCTTATTCAATAACCCTATTGGAACTCCTATTGTTTTTTAAAATTAATGTTGGTTCAAAGCAGAAATATGGTTACCTTCTGGGCTCCCTGTCGTAAGAATGTGCTGGCAAAAGTTTCTAAAACACAGTTGAGAAATCCAACCCCTGTGATTGAAATCCTGCCTCTTTGAATGAACTCTGTCCTGCAAAAAAAACAAAAAACACATCTTTGATGTCATTCTATGCTTGGATATGTAAACGACAGACATTTCTAGCTGCATAATTACCACTTATAATCAATAAAAAATAATATCCTTAATAATTCAATAACTACCTATTATAAGAAGATTTTGTTAAAAGTAACTTATAGTTTATATAATATTAACAGTCTTATTCAAATTAAAGAATATTCATTTCATGCTGCAAAATCTCTTTTTAAAATTGAGTCTGAGGTAATTATCAATGATATGACCTTAGGTAAATTATTTAGACTCTCTATAACTCGGTTTCCTCACATGTAAAATGGGAACGACCATAGTATCTTTCTTTTACAACTACTGTGGCAAGTAAATGAGTTATCACACATCACAGGAATATGAAGAGTTCCTAACACATAAGCATTTACTAAATGTTAGCTACTATTACTAAAGAGAGTCAGATAGAGACAAGATTGGAAAGCCAGACACCTGGAATGACTTTTTCAATCCTCGATTGGAGAAGGGGTGAGACAGAAGAGATATGTCACCATCTCTACCAATTTTCATTACCAAAATTATATCAATATTAATTATCTTCATGTCATAAAACAGAGATCTAGATTACACTTAAGAGTGATAGAAGTAAGATGGCTGAATAGGAAGTCCCAAGCCTTCATTACCCTGAGAGACAATGACTTAAGAACAATATACAAACCAAATTGCCTTTATGAGAACTCCCTCAAGAATTAGCAGCACCCAGGTAGGTGCAAAGCCAAGAAGAGCCACATCAAAGCAGATAAGAAACTTTGTTGCTTTTACCTATGATAGCTCCCTCCCACCCAGCATAGTGTAACGCAATCAAGAAAAAACTCCCAGCTTCTGGCTTCTCCCTCAGTAGGGATAGAAAAGTGCTAACTGTGCATCCAACATCCTGTCTTTAAGAGGGGCATGACTCAGAGTGCTAAAGGAAATGGCAATATACTTTCAAAAGCAAGCATGGTGGCTTGTTACACTAGAGAGCCTGCAGTACCTCAGACAGACAACAAGGGTAACAAAAGATCATGGGCTCTTGAGAACAGGGGCAGTCCTCTGTGACTGGGAAATTACACACAAGTCCAGAGAAGATGCATCCCTCAAAAAGGTTTGAGAGGCCCCCAGAATCTCAAGCTAGGCTGACTAGTGAAGGTCTTCCCTGTATGAAGCCAGTCCATAAGACTGGGAGAAGTGGCTGTTTTTTTATATACCCAAACCTCAACAAAAGATCACAATGCATGCAAAGAAACAAGGAAACATGGCCCAATCAAAGAAACAAAATAAATCTCTAGAAACCAACACTGAAGAAACAGAGATCTATGAATTACCTCACAAAGAACTTGAAATAACCATCTTAAAATGCTCCATGAACTAAAATAGACAACTAAATGGATCAGGAAAAATAAAGCGCAAGAATAAAATGAGACTATCAACAAAAAGAAACTATGAGAAAAATGAGAACCAAGCAGAAATTCCAGAGTTGAAGAATACAATAATGGAACTAAAACACAATTCACTAGAGTGGCTCATTCAATAGCAAACTTGATCAAGCAGAAGAATCAGCAAACTTAAAGATAGGTTATTTGAAATTATTGAGTCAGGAACCAAAAAACAAATAAAAAGAATAAAGAAAAGTCAAGAGAGCCTAAGGGACTTATAAGACATCATCAAACAGATCATTATCCACATTACGGGAATCTCAGAATGAGAAGAGAGTGAGAAAGAAGCAGAGTGAGTGCCTATTTGAAGAAATAATGGCTGAAAATTCCCCAAATTTGAGGGAGGAAATTGGCATACAAATTGAGAAAGCTCAATGAACTTCAACTAGGATAAATACAAAAAGACTCACATCTGTGCAAATTAGTTCAACCATTGTGGAAGACAGTGTGGTGATTCCTCAAGGACCTAGAACTAGAATTACCATTTGACCCAGCCATCCCATTACTGGGTATATACCCAAAGGATTATAAATCATGCTACTATAAAGACATGTGCACACATATGCTTATTGCAGCACTATTCACAATAGCAAAGACCTGGAACCAACCCAAATGTCCATCAATGATAGACTGGATTCAGAAAATGTGGCACATATACACCATGGAATAGTATGCAGCCATAACAAAGGATTAGTTCATGTCCTTTGCAGGGACATGGATGAAGCTGGAAACCATCATTCTCAGCAAACTATCATAAAGACAGAAAACCAAACACCACATGTTCTCACTCATAGATGGGAATTGAACAATGAGATCACTTGGCCACAGAGTGGGGAACATCACACACCAGGGCCTGTCAGTGGGTGGGGGCCTAGGGGAGGGATAGCATTAGGAGAAATACCTAATGTAAATGATGAGTTGATGGGTGCAGCAAACCAACATGGCACATGTATACCTATGCATCAAACCTGCACGTTGTGCACATGTACCCTAGAACTTAAAGTATAATAAAATATATATATATATATAAAAGACTCACACCAAGACACATTATAGTCAAACTGTCAAAAGTCACAGAAAAAGGGAGAATCTTGAAAGCAGTAAGAGAAAAGCAACTCATCACATTAAGCTCCTATAAGATTTTCAGTAGATTACTTGGCAGAAACTTTGCAGGCAAGAAGTGAATGGAATGACATGTTCAAAATACTGAAATTAAAAAAAAAAAAAAACCTACAAGACAAAAATACTACATCCAGCAAAACTATCCTTCAAAAATGAAAGAGAAATTAAGATGTTCCTAAATAAACAAAAGCTAAGGCAGCTCATCACCACTACAGATTTGGATTACACTTAACTTTGCCTCATTCATTCATTTGTTCAACACACTGACTGCATGGCTACTATATGCTAAGTGCCATACTGACTGCTAGAGGCCCACAGAGAAGGAGATGGTCTCTCTCCTCCAGGATCTCACTGGCTAGTGGAAAAGGCACACAGGCAAGTGGGAGTGTGTCAGCAATTGGAGGTGAAGCATTCCATCAGAGGAAAACCACAAGGACCCAGGTAAGGAGGCGTGAAGGAAGAGAGATGTCTGAGGAGCCACAAGTTATCTAAAAATGCCCAGTACATGGTATGGGGCTTGATAAATTCTTCCCACAGGAATGACTGGAGCATAAGGTGGGTGTGGGAGATGTTAGGGTATGAGGCTGAAAGGATAATTGAAGACAAGATTGCAAATGGCCTCAGGCTGAGAAGTTTAGGCTTTACCCTGAAGGTAACGGTGGCTTGTCTTCTGAGGACACCAAGTACTCGGTATAGATTAATAGTCACATCTGCGCCACTGACTAAAACGCTCCTTGCCATTCCTTAATGCTTTTAGGCAATCTCCTATTCCCCATTTTCACCATAGTGCTTACACTGAATGAGTTCAATGAGCATTTGTTAAATGAATTAATTCAATTTCTTTGTAATAAAAAATATTCAAAACAGAAAACATTTTCTCAACCTTACATCTCTGTGGAAAGGAAATGAGAGCCACGTCTCCTGTATGTATAGTTGGCATGTGTTTATATGCATGCATATGTGAGCACATGCACTGAAACAATCAAAAAAAATCTGAGAAAATACTGGATCCAACAAACTGTCATTTTGGTCAAAATGGTTATTAAAACCTCTTAATTAGACCTCACTAATAGCAGTAGCCTCTACATTTAGATCATGCATACAATAAAAGGAAGCCTTCAGAATTCCTCTCTCCCTCTCCCCCTTCCCTTTCCTCCCCTTCTCTTACACACACACACACACACACACACACACACACACGAGTTATCCCATCCACTCTGACATAAATACCTTCCGTCTAAGCAGTTTTCACCCCTTAGATTTAAGCCTATTTAAAATGATTTGCTCATGTAAAACTATATCCTGGTGACACTAATCTTTCCTGTCTTTATTCTGGATTAGTCAGAATAGAATTTTACAGTGATTTTAATATTGAGAAATGAAAAGTTGAGCAGTCTCACACTCTTGGGAGAGATGAACTCTTCAGTCCTCAGTCCTGAAGGCAAATGTAGGTGAGGGATTAATAAGAGTCTCTTACATCATATTCTAACCAATATTTCTTTCTGCCACTTTTGGGAGAAGTAAGTCCTCAGAAAAGCACTCTTGGGTTTTGTCCACATATCAGAGAATAACAGAGCAGTAAAGCAGGGTCATGCCCTTGCCATCAACGAGATGAGAGTTTATCCTACTATATTTTAAGACTGCCAGAGAAGAAAATATTGCACTTTCCCTCAATAACTCATTGATAAAGCACATCAGACACTCTTCTTACTACAAATAGCTAACCTAAATCCCTCACACTAGAATTAATCTCCATTTAAGTTCTGTGCAAAACACAGCAGTTTACACAACACATGGTTTAATTTCAGCTTCATTTAAAAAAAAAGACAAGATGGATGGATGGATGGATGGACAGACGGACGGATGAACAGATGGACAGATGGACAGATGAGTAAGTGAACAGAGCTAAAATGTTAACATTAGGGCATTAGAATTATATATGTTATTTACTTGCTTTGGTCTTCTTTTTAGTAGTTTATAAATTTTCTATTTAAACAATATGTATTCCTTTGGCCATCACCAAAAAGTCTATTGAGTAATAAGACCCTGAGTATCACTTTTATGTAAATAAATAAAGCATTTTATAAATGGCTGTGCCTTTTAAACCATTTTCAGCAACAGTACCTGCTAACTTCTGGCTTGCTCTTCATTTAAAGTCTTGTTAAATCACCTCTTGGCTTTCCTTTTCCCACGTTATGTAATCTCGTTTCTTTGTAGCTTGTGTCTTAAGACTTTCTCCCCACCCTGTACTTGAAGTACATAGTGTTTCATCATCCTCAAGACATATAAGGATGACTCAAGTTTTCCTTCACCTGTCTTTCATCTCTGAGAAGCCTACAGAGAGGACTCTCCATCACATTTATGATATTACAAA
Source organism: Homo sapiens (assembly GCF_000001405.40). Classification (NCBI taxonomy): domain Eukaryota; kingdom Metazoa; phylum Chordata; class Mammalia; order Primates; family Hominidae; genus Homo; species Homo sapiens. Next base: position 145,801,510 of record NC_000005.10, read on the forward strand.
TTCAGGGTCATACTTACTCCTCGAAACCCAGTATCGTAACAATGTACATTCTATATCAGACATTGTATTACCTTCTGAGGTTGCTATGCTTTGAAAATTATTTTCTCTCTTTTATACAAGAAGAAACTATGGCAAAGAGATGTTAAATAACTTGCCCAAGGTCACATATCTTAATGTCATGAGGATTCATTAGCTATCACCTCAAAATCCTAGTCTTCCTCTGTTCTTAGTGAATGACACAACTGTTCTTCTAGTGCACGAGATTAGAAATCTTAGCAACATGTTAGATGGTCCCCTCTCTAGAATCAATCTAAACATCCAGTAAGTCACCTGATTGTGCTTATTTCGCTTGTAATGTCCCTCAACAATCCATGTTACTCTCTTCCTTGCTACTGCTACTGCCTGGGCTTGGCATAGAATTTTCTCTCTCCAGGACCATTGCAAAGTGCCTCCCAATGGGGTCCCTGTCTCCAGCATGAATTCCCTAAACTCCGTACTGACAAAAGTCAACTTCCTAAGCACACACTGATCATGTCACTGCCTATTAAGGCAGGGTGAATAATGCCCATGTGCTCAGTCTTATGTGTATAAGACTCATCCACAATGTTGCATGTAGTTGTTGTTTGTTCATTTTCATTGCTACATAGTGTTCTACTGATTGAAAACACTCCAAATTAACCACTCTACAGAAGATATTTAGAATGGACTCAGTTTATGGCTGTTATCAACAGTGCTGTTATGAAAATGCTTATAATGTAACCAGATATATATGTGCACAAGTATCTCTGGAGTATCCAGCAGTCAAGTACCTGGGCCATAGCACATGCACAGTTTCAACTTTAACAGATCAGGCCAAATGTTTTTCTAAATGGTTGTATCTATTTTTTCTTCATTGAATCCTCAATTTCAATTGCAAAGACTAGCGCACGGTAGGAAATCAATAATGCACTTAGGAAGGAAAGAATGAAGAGATGGAGGGAGTATAGGGAAGAGAAAGTGAAGAAGCAAAAGAAGGCAAGAAATATATAATACATCTCAATACTTGTGTCATGGAAAATGAACCAGATATCACAGGAGTTCCACTGGCTCAGGTCAACAGAAGACAACCTTCACCTGATTGTGGGATGAGCCACCTAAAAAATCTGAGAGTGAGGCTCACCCACTCAAGCAGTGCCTGTATCTGAGTCTCGTCTCTTGCTTTGTCCACTTAGTGGGTGTGATTCAAAACAAAACCCAATGGAACTGTGACAGAGAAAGCACAACTCAAATCCCAGAACACCTTTGTGAAAATGAAGGGCAGCTTATACAGTCATTTAAAAATTTGTTTTCTTCTGGATTTGAGAAAATAAAAAAGTTCAGGGGAAATATGGATCAGGAATTAATCCCCAGAGCACGCAGTCACCAGTGCTGAATCCTCAAAACGGCAGTTTCCGGGAAAGCAAAAGCTCTTAATGAGATCCTGTCCTTGAATTATTGACTGGTTAGGTATGGCAAATCTTGCCTAATTGTTTTCATGATGGGAATCTAATTAAAGTGTCTTTGAGGGGCAAAAAAAGCTTCCACAGATACTCTTGTTGTGATGACCTCAGTTCTAATCATGTTTTTAGCATTCTCCTGTAAGCACACAGAAATAAGGGTCCCAAAGGAAACACGGGGTCTTCAAGTCAGACTGCCCACTCACTCCTGACCAACTCCCTGGCTCTGCTGCTGCTGCAGAGACTTCTTGACTCACTGCTGCTCCAGGATGGCAGACTATGTAGTCTCTCCCATGCTGTCTGTCTGAACCCATTTACATAACTGCCTCCACAGAAAACCAATGCAATTTGCAGAGCTCTCAATACATGCTATGTAGTTTCAGCCTTAACATGAACATGTGTATTTATACGTGTAAAATCACACACACACACACTATATATACATATACATGCCTTTAAGACAGGGAACGAAGGCGCGGCTCCTGGAATTAGACCATTTACATTCACATCTTGTTTTAGCTTGCCTACCCACCCACGTAGTAAGTTCCTGAAGCTCTGTGAAGTTCGCTCTTCTCTAAAATGGGGTTAATAATACCTATTTCATGAGTTCTCACAAGGTTGAATAAGGCAATATGCGGAAAGCACTCAAAGTACTATGTGTAAGCACCCAACAAATGTGAGTAAACAGTACTAACATTAGTAATAATTATGCTGTTCTACTACAACCACCATTATTATTCCAATTTAAAGTAAAAAAAAAAAAAAAAAGCACAGTGGCTGAGAAGTCAAATAACCACTGTGAAAATCCAGCCCGAGGCAACTCCAAGACTCTGTAATTCATTAACTTCTAGGTGGAACTCAATCACCATAAACCACTTGGCAATGAAGGGAATGAACCCCTTCCCCACCCCAGTTTTAACATTCAAAGCTCTTGGAACAGAAGCCTCCCAACTTCCCAGACTCCTGTCCCACCCTGCTACCACACACTCTGCACTGTGAAACCAAACATTCTACCATCCTTCTCTGACCTCCTCTCCTAAGCGCTTTCCCTCTGAGCTGTTCTTCTAACCCATCCCAGAAACCAACAGGTTGTTACCTAAATTATTAACAATGAGCATCAACAGGGTATGCCATAACATTAAGAAATAAATTAAATGATAGAATCTCAGAGGCTCAGCAGGTTAGTACAAGTATACATTTCAGGACAGTCTGGCTCTGTCCCTTAAAACATGGTATTTAAGAATTGATTATTAATATACCTCACGCCTGAAATCCCAGCATTTTGGGAGGCTGAGGCAGGCATATCATGAGGTCAGGAGTTTGAGACCAGCCTGGCCAACATGATGAAACCCCATGTCTACCAAAAATATAAAAAATTAGCTGGGTGTGGTGGCATACACCTGTAAACCCAGCTACTCGGGAGGCTGAGGCAGGAGAATTGCTTGAACCCAGGAGGCGGAGGTTGTGGTGAGCCGAGATCACGCCATTGCACTCCAGTCTGGGCAGCAGAGCTAGACTCTGCCTCAAAAAAGAAAAGAATTGATTATTAATAATAACAGTTAACATATTTTCATAGCCTATTGTGGTAAAGCATTGTATTAAGTTTTTTATATACATGCCTTTCAGTTAATTCTCACAACAGCCTTATAAGGTATATAATATTAACCCGATTTTACAGATTAAAAAAACTGAGGTTCCAAGAGGCAAACTTACTTATGGTCATATAAAAATAAGTGACAGGGCCACTATTAACACAGTTAACCTCAGATCCCATGTCCCTTCCCACAACCCTATTACCTAGAAAAGTGTCTATTTAGTGAAAGCTTACGGGCATCCTGAGTTGATGGCGAAGCTTCAAATTACACAATGGTTTGTAAACTAGCTTAGGTGGAGGCTTGTCTTGGGATATCAGGCCCAACAGTGCATGCATCCCACTCACAGCTGGTGTTGATTGTCTGCCCAGTGGAGGAGGTAGACCCTGAGTCTAGATTGTCACCAGGTTCCTCTCTATTGTCTCGAGATCTTTAGGTTATTCTGCATTATCTCAATGCCTGGTTAATAAAGTATCATAATTTTTAATACCAAAATTCTTTATTTCCTATAGCTACAAAAGCTAACCAAACAAAAGAAAAAAATTTAACTGGCATCTGTGTTTCCTAAGAGCAGAAAATGCAATATAGTTTTGACACTAATCATACTTACTGAAGTCTCCCCTCCTCATCCCTTATTTCCATTGATCATTCTTCTTGCATAAATTCAGTAGAGCCTTCATATGAATTTTGACTTTTCAGCAGGTGTTTCCACTGAAAAGTGTTTAGCGTTTGCTAGATAGCCAGAATATTAACTGATCATGCTTTATAAGATTAACAAGAATTTTGCAAAAAATGAAGTTCCAAAAGGGCTGCCAGCTGTATGTATGCTTACCACTGGGACCATGGGATACTTACTATTTATCAGGGATTCCAAATCTAGCTACTCAACAGATTCATCAGGAGAACTTTAAAAATGTCGATTTTTCATGAGCCAGCCCAGGGATACAAAACTAGAATTACCAAGGTGAATCTACATTTTTAACTCCGCCCCTGAATCTTGGGCCAATATACAACTCAAAACAACTCAAAGGAAAAGGAGGATGAAAAACAATGTCAACAGGCATCCACTAAGATACAATTGTGTATCACCTAACAATGAAGATATGTTCTGAGAAATGCATTATTAGACAACTTCATCGTTGTGCAAACATCATAGAGTGTACTTGCATAAACCTAGATGGTATAGCTTACTACACACATAGGCTAGATGGTATAGCCTATTGTTCCTAGACTACAAAGCTGCACATCATGTTACTATACCGCATACTGTATGCAACTGCAACACAGTGGTATTTGTGTATCTAAACATATCTAGACATAGAAAAGGAACAGTAAAAGTGCAGTATAAAAGATATATACCATGTATATACCGTTTATACAAAATGAAACACACTTACCATGAATGATGGAGCCTGCAGTACCGAGGTCACTCTGCATAAGTCAGTGAGTGAGTGGTGAGTCAATGCAAAGGTCTAGGATATTACTGTACACTGCTGTAGACTTTATAAATACTGTACACCTAGGCTACACTAAATTTATTTTTAAAATTTTTCTTTTTTCAATAATAAATTAAACTTAGATTATTGTAACTTTTCTACTTTATAAACGTTTTCATTTTTAACTTTTTCACTCTTTTGCAATCACACTTAGCTTAAAACACAAACACATTGCATAACTGTACAAAAATATTGTCTTTTAAATTCTTATTCTATTAACTTTTTTCAATTTTTAATTTTTTACTTTTTAAATATTTTTGTTAAAAACACAAAAACACACACATTAGCCTAGGACTACACAGGGTCATGATCATCAATATCACTGTCTCCCACCTCCATATCTTATCCCACTGGAAAGTCTTCAGGGGCAATAACACACATGAAGCTGCCATCTCCTATGATAACAATGCTTTCCAGAATACCACTTAAAGTACCTGCCTAAGGCTGTTTAACAGTTAACTTTTTAAAATATTTTATAAGTTAGGAGTACACTTTAAAACAACAATAAATGGTATTGTAATTACATAAACCAGTAACACAGTCATTTATTACCATTTATATGGTTTGGCTCTGTGTCCCCACCAAATCTCATCTCAAATTGTAATTCCCATGTGTCAAGGGAGGGACCTGGTGGGAGCTGATTGGATCATGGGAGTGGTTTCCTCCATGCTGCTCTCCTGACAGTGAGAGAGTTCTCATGAGATCTGATGGTTTTAAAAGTGGCAGTTTCCCCTGCACTCTATCTCTCTCCCGCCACCTTGTGAAGAAGGTGCTTGCTTCTTCTTCACCTTCCACCATAATTGTAAGTTTCCTGAGGCCTCCCCAGCCATGTGGAACTGTGAGTCAACTAAACCTCTTTCCTTTATAAATTACCCTGTCTCAGTTATTTCTTGATAACAGTATGAAAATGGACTAATACACCATTATCAAGTATTATGTACTAATACATCATTATCAAGTATTATGTATTGTATACACTACACGTTTACACAACTGGCAGCACAGTAGGTTTGTTTACACTGCCATCACCACAAACACATGAGTAATGCATCACGCTATGATATTAAGATGACTATGACGTTACTAGCCAACAGGACTTTTTCAGCTCCAATACAATCTTATGGTACCACCTTAATATATGCGGTCTGCCATAGACTGAAATGTTGTAGGCAGTGTTGGACTGTATCTCAAAAGCTCCTACTTATGTCATCGAATGCTCTCTTAGCTAAACATGATTGTTTCTAGCTCAATTATCATTTCCCTTTTCAACAAAACAGCTTACTCTACTTTTCAAAATTAGTAACTTTAAACAGTCACCACACTTTGAAAACAACATTTAATCCCATTAGTTCTAACAACTTACATTTATTCGGTGCTTCATAAATGCGCAGAGCATGTCTATTTTTTATCTTATTAAGTCTTCACATCACTCTGTGAGGGAGCTCAGGCCAGCTTTATCCCTTTTCCCAGAGTCAAAGAGCACATAAAATGACCAAGCAGAAACAAGAAGAGAAGCTCCCATATTACTGGCTCAATGTAGAGATTCTCTCTACATGGCATTTCCTACCAAATCCTACTGGGCTTCCCCTGCACTTACCCTGCAGCAAATTCCTTCTCTTTTCCTTTCCTACCCACAACCCCCCGACCCTGCCATTCCCATTTCACCCCACAAGTACTGTCTGCATCCCCTTTAGCAGATTTTCATTCATCATTCATTAGACAGATGGTGATGAAGCATCTTCTGGGAGCCAAGCACTGTGCTACATACAGGGGATACAGTGGTAAACTGTGACCTCAGTGCACAGCCACCACAAAACAATTAGTACAGGATACAAAAACAGAGGAGACTCTGATTATATGAACACAAACATCAAATGGCAAATGAGTATCTTTTGGAGGGCAGTCTTATTAAGCCAAAAATAAAGCTCCAGCCCAGATCATTATATTTGTATAGAAAAGGCCTCACTGCTTGGCTCTTCATAATTGGTGGTGCTTTCTGCTAATTGTTTGATTATCCACTGGTGCACTGGAAATCAAGGTTAATATGAGCAGAGGGAGTCATGTTTTGGGACGAATACAGTAGTATTTATTTAGGCTATTAGTTAACTACACCCTCAAGCCCTTTAGCTCCAGGACTGGGCTTAGAAATAATTCCTAAGTCAGCAGAGCCAGAGTGTTTTAATACTTCAGTAAAAGCAGGTATGGAGGTCAATCAAAAATGCCAGTGCCAATCTTAAAAACACACAGAAGTCACCAGACTACCGAATTTACTCATGGAAAAAAAACCAAAAAGACTCTAGAGCAGGGTGAAAAAATGGGACACACCAAAAAATATGCCCAATTAGCCCTCAGCACATGCAAATTATACTATTTGTGATTTTTCAGATGAACACTTGAGACTTAGGATGTTTTAATCCAGAAATTCAAAAATAAAACATTTAAAAAGTTGTATCCATATCTATTAGAGAGTGAAGAATATTCATGAGTAATTTCAGTAGTAATGAAAATGTATTGACCCAACAATAGTGGCGGTCAGGCGCAGAGACTCACGCCAGGAATCCCAGCACTTTGGGAGGTCAAGGCAAGAGGGTCACTTGAGGCCAGGAGTTCAAGACCGGCTGGACAACACAGTGACACCCTGTCTCTACAAAAAAGAAAAAAAAATTAGCCAGGCATGGTAGCACACACCTATATCTCAGCTACTCAGAGGCTGAGGTGGCAGAATTGCTTGAGCCCCGAAGTTCAAGGCTGCAGTAAGCTGTGATTGTGTTACTGCACTCCAGCCTGGGCAACAGAGGGACCCTGTCTTACAAAAAAAAGGAAAAGAAAAAAAAAAGAACAGTTTCTCATCTCATTAATGTAATCTGTGTTTAAGTTTGATTTTGACTTGTTTTTTACTATATTCCACGAGGGATATATTCAAATTATTAACACACACTTCACTAGGCTGAGCTTTTTTTTTGCTTTTTTTTTTTTTTTTTTTTGAGACATGGTCTCTGTCACCCAGGCTGGAGTATGCAGTGGTGCGATCTGGGTTCACTGTAATCTCCGCCTCCCAGGCTCAAGCAATTCTTCCACCTCAGTCAGCCCCACCAAGTAGTTACGACCACAGGCACACACCACCACACCCAGCTAATTTTTGTATTTTTAGTAGAGACAGGGTTTCTCCATGTTGCCCAGGCTGGTCTGGAACTCCTGGGCTCAAGCAATCTGCCTGCCTTAGCCTCCCAAAGTGCCGGGATTACAGGCATGAGCCACCGTGCCCGGCCCCTTCATCAAGTCTTGACACACTGCCATGGCCCAGCTATGCCCGACCACTCTGCCCAGGAGAGGGTGGGCCAAATGGGGCCCTAAAATGGTTTTCATGTAATGAGGCTATAAGCACCTGGAGACAAAGAGCCAGCCTCCAACCTGGCCATGGGCCTATGCAGGGCCCTGGGAGAGCTTTTGCTTTTCCACCTTTCCCGGCCTCCCGTAGTGCTGGGATTACAGGCATGAGCCACTGTGCCCAGCCTGGCTGAGCATTTTTAATGTCAAAAATAAGCAGCAGAGGATAAGCAGAAGCTTTTAGACATAGAAAGCTGAAGACATGGCCATTGAGATGCTGTGCTGAGTGTAGAAGAATAATCTTGTTACTCAAATGCAGGAAAAACCCGGTTTGACAACATCGTGAATAGGTCTCCATTGATGGTAGTAACTTGAAGATACCAGAAAGTTTTTACTTAGCATAAAAACACATATGCTGGAAGAGTAAAGCTGAAGAAAATGCTTTTACTAGGTGATTATCTTCCAGAATTACATTGCAGTACTCGGATAAAGCAAATGTCAATTACTAAAACCAAATCAAATGCATGTCAATTATATTCCCACATGGCATAACAAATACCTATTAAGAGGAAAAGGGTAATAAATAAGAACCAGAAACTCACAAATACATATATTTTAAAGACCAGACACAAACACAAGAAATTAACAAACCTATCTCAGAACATAAGGTTTTGGAGGGTAAAAACCATGACTTTTTTCTTCCTTCTGAAAAGTCTAAAACAATACACTTCAGTCTCCATTTTCCAAAGTAAATGTGTGTGTCCTGCTCTACATAATAAAGCATATTCCCACAAAAGCTGACTTTAATTTTTTCCTCTTTTCAGATTAAGATTCACTTTTCTTTTTTCTGATTTGGCCCAAGTGTCTTAAGGCAAAATAGAGCATGAGCATGGCATCTCTCATTCTACACATTCAAGCAGTGCATCAGAGGACCCTATGTGATGCCCCTGAATCTACAACTGCCAAGATCACTGCATGAACCTAGAAGAAAACCAGAAATGTGAGCAGATTCAGTCCATGCCAATTGCTTGCATTGACCCTGAATACTATTCTTTCCAGAGCTTAAATTTCATTCCGAAACTAAAATACAAGTTTCCCAGTCCCATGCCTCTCAAATTGAGGCACTCATAGCCCCAAAGATGTGTACTGAGGGAATGCAAAACTCCAAAATGAACATATTTCTGCAGTGTAACAGTAAATCATTACAAACACTGTTTCTATATTAAATACATTCTGAGAATTAGAATCAAAAGTTATCAGAATTTTTATTATGAAAATAACAACTGTAAAAGTAATAATACAAAACACTAATATCTGCTGACCACTATGGGCTGGCACTATTTTAAGCTTTCTCTATGTACGACTTCATTTAATTCATACAACCACCCTCTGGGAAAGGGTTATCACTCCCATCATACAGATGAAGAAACCGAGGAGTAGAGAAGTGACACAAATTGTACAAGGGCACATAGTTACAGTTTCAGAGGCAGAATTCTTCTTTTTCCTCTTTTTTTGTTTGAGACAGAGGTTGTATTAGTCCATTTTCATGCTGCTGATAAAGACATACCTGAGACTGGGTAATTTATAAAGGAAAGCGGTTTAATGGACTCACAGTTCCACATGGCTGAGGAGGCCTCACAATCATGGTGGAAGGCAAAAGGCACGTCTTACATGGCAGCAGGCAAAAAAAAAAAAAAAAAAAAAAAAAAAAAAAAAAAAATTGTGCCAGGGAACCCCCCTTTATAAAACCATCAGATCTCGTGAAACTTATTCACTATCACAAGAACAGCATGGGAAAGACCTGCCCCCACGATTTAATTGCCTCCCACTGGGTCCTTCCCATGACATATGGGAATTGTGTGAGCTACAACTCAAGATGAGATTTGGGTGGGGACACAGCAAAACCATATCAGGGGTCTTGCTCTGTTGCCCAGGTTGGAATTCAATGGCAGGATCACAGCTCACCGTAACCTTGACCACCCAGGCTCAAGCGATCCCCCTACCTCAGCCTCCTGAGTAGCTGGACTACGGGCATGTGGCACCATGCTCGGCTAATTATTTTATTATTTGTAGAGACAAAGTCTTGGTATGTCACCAGGCTGGTCTCGAACTCCTGGCCACAAGATACTCCCACTTTGGCCTCCCAAAGTACGGGGATCATAGGTATTGAGCCATGCCTGGAGCAGAGGTAGGATTCTAAACGCAGATGCCTACTCAGTTACTGTGGCATAGGACATGAGAGGAGAGACCCTGTGCAGGCCTGGAGGGAGTCAGGTTGGCTGTGTAAATAAAGCAGATCTGTAAATTACTAGACAAAATAGCCAGACACAGAAAAATAAGAGACTATGAGGCTGCCTTAGGCCTTGCTGGCTTTCCAATTCCTGGTTCCTATCCCTTAGGAGGCCTGATCACTGGTACAGAAATATCCCTGTAATCATCTGCAGTAGTGAGTTTCCATTACTTCCAAAGCAAAATAAAGACAATGGGCAACATAGTGCCAAGAAAACATGAAGAGGAAAAAAGGTGTGCTGAGTCCCCTTCTACTATGTCCCAATTATTTCTGTTCAGGTGCCTACCCATCCCCCATGCAGCCCATGTGCTTCAGAGGGAGATGACCTCATCCCCAGCTCCAAGGGCAGATCTTGACTGGATCTGCCAATACACCTATATCATTCCTCTGAACACGCTGATTGGTCTGGGGGAGCAGGTGTTCTAAGTTGACTCAATCACCATCAGGTGAAGGGCTTTTTTCCTCATGGCTAGGAGACAGGTTCCCTCCTCTACATAGCTCTTTCTCTCATTAAATGTGGACAAATTAGTACGCTGATCCTAGATGATGTTGACAGTCATGAGGAATCCAAACTTGAAAAAAAAAAAGTGGACATACAGAGAAAGGTAGAGCCAAAAGAATAAGAGCTATGGAAATACTGCCCACTTGGCTATGAGATAATGCAGTTCCTTAGTGAGAGGAAGGGCAGTGTCACTGCCAACCGCTCAGATTCTAAAGCTAATCAGCCCATGTTTGAATCTGGTGCTGCCACTTACTGGCCATCTTACTTCATACAAGTCACTTGACATCTCTAGCCTCAGTCTGTAAAACAAAGATAATAGTTCCAACCTCACATGGTTATTATGAGGATTAAATATAGACACACATTTACACACACACATATACATACATACATCAAGCACTTAGAGCAGAGCCTGCACATAGTAAACACATGTAAGGGATGGCTGGTATTGTCTGAGTCAGGTTTCTGCTACTTGCAGCACAAGGCAGCCTAACTGATACAGGAGGAGGGATAAAGTAAGTACAGGAGGGCTTCCCTGAGGCATGGAGTGCCAATCTGGGTTCTGGGAGAGTCAGATGAGTGAGAAACAGGACATCACCCTATCTTCCCATACCTATTATGGAGAGAATAGAAATTCCATTCCATAAAAAACTACAGGAAGACAATGTCGGATAAAATCAGTGAAGGAAGAAAGCATATTAGAGCTATCCAGTTGTGTGACAGTACAGATGGGGGAAAGCCCAATGTAGTTCTCTCACCCAAGAAGATGCCACGACTGTAGAGATGTCAGTGGGAAGCCAAAATCAGATCTATGTAAAGAGGACATAGAGCAAGGCTTAGTTTCTAAAGGAAACTTATTCTGAGCCCATCTCTGAATTGAGCCAACAGGCCATGCACAGGGACAGAGTGACATCTGGTTTCTAGTCACACACCCACACCTGCTAACCAACACACAGCTTGAAAGTCTAATTTTACACTTAGTAGCCCTGACAGCTTTTTTATTCCCTTTAAAAAAACTTGTCCCTATTCTGGGTGCAGTGGCTAGCCATTACTCTCAGATTTCCTTAGCAAAGGGAAGAAATTAAAGTAATAATGAATCTTTCTTGGATGCCCCCACCCCATCCCATTACCCATTCATTTAGAATGTCTGCCTAAATGCCTTTCTAAATCCATGTCAAGAGCTAAGGAAACATAAGTTCTCTGGAATGTGGATCCCAGCTTTCAGCATATCAACCCCTAATCAGAAACCTTTTTGTGGCTGCTTGTTGCTGAAGGGACAAAACCCATTCTTCATACCTGGGATCCAAAGCACTCTACAGAACAAGATAAACCCATCCTTTGTAAATGTTCATATTCCTGCCTCACCACTGTGCTCAAGGTGGAGTCTACAATATCTGCATTCGTATCTTGGCTTAGCAATCTACTGACTGTATCACCTTGGGCAAGTTATTTAACCTAAGCCTCCAAAGAATACACATGAAGGATATAGCTTTGACCTTGACATAGTAGGCATCAATAAATGTTAGCCTGCTGTGTCAATGATAGAAAAGGCAGTGTTTTGGAGAGGACTGGAACATAACAAACCAAAGGAAGAAAAAAAAAAATTTAACTGGTCAAACCTTCTTATACAGAAGTCTGGTCATATGTACCAAAATATAAAATGCATACAACCTTTGACCATGAAATCTCACTTTGCTCAATCTACCTTAAATGGTAACAGAATAAGTGGGAAAATATGTAATCATAGAGACTTTCACCACAACACTGTTTGTAAGAGCAAAAACAAACAACCTAAGTTTCAATGAGGAACAGACCAAGAAAATCATGTAAACAAACAATATCTCCAGGTATGATTAATTTTCCTTTTTTTCTCAGAACTGGTTTTTTTACAAGACACATGCATTATTGTTTCTAGAATCAGAATGACTATTTTAAAATAATTTTTGAAAAACACTCAAAGGAAAATTGTTCCTAAAGGATGTCCTCCCTGGATTTTCAGAGCTAATTGTCATTTTATATATCACAGATGAAAGTTTAGTTCACCTTTTAAGACTAGCTAATAGCTCAAATATGTGCAAAAATTAAGGCTAACACGAAGTAGATGAAATGATTTTTTTGCACAAAATCAGCCAATTCCATCCTTTTGCTATTTCTACATACAAAGAAAGGAGCTCTATTCTCTGGCCACAGCCTTTACACTTAATCCCAAACATCTATGCCCTATGTGAAACTCTTATCATGAGAGAGACTAAGAAAGAAAAACTAGCGGGTGGTTCAGAGCAAGCCCACCTCTGATGCCAATAAGACATGGCTTCACACCCACTCAGCGGGCTGCTGCAGCATCCTAAAATTATCACTACAGGACCAAAGTTATGGAGAGCAGTAATGATCTGGACAAGGGTTTGGGCTTAAGAATGGATTTTAAATTTTCGGTTTATAGTTGTTTGGGCTTGAGGGCTTTACTATTTCCATAAAATGATAAGTATATAATAAAAAATTCAAACCACACAGAATAATAACAAAAAAAAACAGATAATTATCCAGTTCACAGCAACCACAGTTCACAGCAATAATCACTATTAACATTTAGTGCTTATATTTTACTTGTTTTTAAATGTATCTCAAAAAAATTAATCATTTTTCACCCATTATACTGGCAAAAGTTAAAAAGCATGTGAATAAGTGCTGACGCTGTTGTAAGGGAATGAACACGCTCATGCGCTGTTGATCAGTGTAAAATGTGCATATTAACACATTGGAAGGCAAAGTGACAGAATCTGTATGTTACGACTGCATGTCGGTGCCCTCCCCTGCCACCCCCAATTCATGTGCTGAAACTTTAACCTACAATGGGATGGTACTAGGAGACTGAGACTTTGGGAGGTAATTAGGTTTTCATGAGGTCATGAGTTAGAGACTGCATTTTGGGATTGGTGTCCTTATAAAAAGAAACCAAGACTAGAACTCACTCTATCCACCATGTGAGGCAATGATGAGGAGGCAGCATCTGCAAACCAAAAATATGGCCTTCACCAGACACTGGAAAGGCCAGTGCCTAGATGGTGGATTTCCCAGCCTCCAGGTCTGTGAGAAATTAATGTTTACTGTGTAAACCACACAGTCTATGGTATTCTTGTTATAGCAGGCAAACTAAAACACTATATAAACTAATAAAAGTATGCATGTCCTGAGAATCAGCTATATCGTTTTCTGTATTGAGATATAATTCACTTACCATAAAATTCACCCTTTTAAGGTACACAATTCAGTGAGGTTTAGTATATTCGCAGAGTTCTGCAACCATCAACACTAATTCCAGGACATTTTCATCACCCCAAAAAAGAAACTCCGTACCAACTGGCAGTCACTCATCACTCCCCTCTCCCCGTAACCCATGGAAACCAATAATCTACATTCTGTCACTATGGATTTACACATTCTGGACTTTTCAAATAAATGGACCCATACAATATGTGGCCTTTTGTAACTGCCTTCTTTCATTTAGCATATTTTCAAAATTTGTCCATGTTTAACCATGAATCAGCACTCCATTCCTTTTTGTAGCTAAATAATATTCCATTTTGTGGATACATTACATTGGGCTACATATTTATCAGTTGATGGACATTGGCTTGTTTCTACATTCTGGCTATTATAATGCTATGAAAGTTTTGTACAAGTTTTTGTGTGGACATATATTTTCTCATTTTTCTTGTAGTATCTAGGAGTGAAATTGCTGGGTCAAGTGGTAATTCTACGTTTAACTTTTTGAGGATCTGAAAAACTGTTCTCCAAAGCAGCTGCACCATTTTATATTCCCATAAGAAACATGTAAGGGTTCTAATTTATCCACATATCCACAACCAATCCTTGTTATTGTGTGTCTTTTTTTTTTTTTTTTTTTTTTTTTTGAGACAGTCTCGCTCTGTTGCCCAGGCTAGAGTGCCATGGTGCGATCTCGGCTCACTGAAACCTTCGTCTCCTGGGTTCAAGCTATTCTCGTGCCTCAGCCACCCATATAGTTGAAACCATAGGCATGCACCACCACACCCGGCTAATTGTTGTATTTTTAGTAGAGACGGGATTTTGCCATGTGACTAGGGTGGTCTCAAACTCCTGGACTCAAGTGATCACCCCGCCTTGGCCTCCCAAAGTGCTAGGATTACAGGCATGAGTCACCACGCCCAGCCTGTTTTTCACCTTCTTGACAGTGTCCCTTGAAACACAAAAGTTTCTAATTGATGACATCAATTTTATCTATTTTTAATTTTGCTGCTTAAATTTTTGCTATCATATCTAAGAAATTACTACCTAACCCAAGATGACAAAGATTTATACCCATGTTTATTTCTAAGTGTCTTATAGTTTTAACTCTTTCATTTAGGTATTTGATCTATTTTGAGTTAATTTTGTATTCTACATGAGGTAGGGATCTAAATTCATTCTTTCGTATGTGGATATCCAGTTATCTCAGCACCATTTGTTGAAAGAAATATTCTTTCCCCATTGATTGGTCTTGTAATATTAACTGTTTTAAATCTATCTAAAATGTTCTATAGTTTAATTGTGGCAGTGGTGGCACAACTATATATTTGTCAAAACTCAAAGAACTATACACTAAGAAAAGTAAGTTTTATTGTATGCAAATAATATCTCAATAAACCTGATATTAAAAAATTCTACTCTAGGCCAGGCACAGTGGATCACGCCTGGAATCCTAGCACTTTGGGAGGCTGATGTAGGAGAATCACTTGAGCCAGGAGTTTGAGACCAGCCTGGGCAACATAGTGAGACCCCGTATCTACGAAACAAATTTTTTAATTAACAAGGCATGGTGACACATGCCTGAAACCTTCATCTCCTGAGGCACATGCCTGTAGTCCCTGCTTCTCAGGAGGCTGAGGTGGGAGGATCACTTGAGCCCAGGAGGTTGAGGCTGCACCGAGCCATGATTACACCACTGCACTCCAGCCTAGGTGACAGAGCAAGACTGCATTTCAAAAAAAAATAAATAAATAAATAAAAAAAAATATATATATATATATACTTTAGATAAACAACTCATATAACATAAAGGATCATATACAAGGAAGATATGCTTCACAAATGTTGTAATATTGTTTGTAAAAAAGAACTTAGATACCATCTGTCTATCAAAAAAGTAGTAGCTACATAAAATGTCATATAGTCACAGGATTGAATTATATGCAATAAAGGAATAAGCTAGTTTTATATATATATATATATATATATATATCACATGGTTTAAGCTCAGAAACATTCCATTAAGTAAAAAAAAAAGAAGTGCACAATTTACAAACTAATTTATAACTTACAATACATGTTTTAAAATATATACAAAACCATACTATACAGGCTCTATGAGTATATATATAAGGATCTAAAGGTATCTCTTTAAGGTCTGGAAGAATATTCAGCAAACTGATAACACTCACTACTTCTCAAGAGGGTGAAAAAGACAACAGGATTGGGGGAGATGGTGAGACAGAAGGTGAACTCTATCATTTCCTGACCTCCCTTGCAAAAAATTCATTAATTACTGTGATTAAAAAATTAATAATGTGGAATTTGTATGAGTTATAAACAGTGGTCATAAGTATAGAACCATAGATTTTTAATGTATGTACTCATGTGTCCATCCCTGCAACCAAAACACACACACATATACACACGAGTCTTACCAATTTGGGTTTTCCATACTTTCCCGGAAGACAGACTCTTCCTTCATGGATGCATACTGTGTCCACGTAAGGCAGTGACTCCGTATGGCCATGTTTCTTTCCCGAGGATTGAGCCATGACTCCTCTTCTAATTGGATATTAGGTACTTTCAAAATGCTCACCTGTCCAACAGAAAGAAAATGGCTTTTTCAATTTAGGAAGAGCAGGCAACATAATGACTGCATCCAGAGTTACTCTCAGTCTTGGATAACCAAGAGGACAAGTAATCCTGATACATGGATGATGGCTCACCAGTGGCTGTACGTTTTTGATAATCAAACATACTATGACCTTACTAAGTGCTGGTGAGGACATGCAAATGACCCAGGATTTATGTAGGCTATACAGTCTCTGGCCTAATTTACCTAACTGCTAAACACTAAGCAAATTATCAGCCTCCTTCGCGTCTCCTCTAAGGCTGGTTATGGCCTTCTTAAATTGATGGATTCTAATCGAGCCCACTTACAAGCTCACATGCAGAACAATATCAGGTAAAATATTTTCTTCATTTTAAACTCTGTCCAATACCTAGAAATGTATGGTTTCCTAGGTGAAGACATGGAAAACTACAAAGGCAGAATTGTACAAGTCAGAGGTGTCCTTAAATTATTTAAGAATTGAGACACAAGACAAAGTTGAATGCCTTTTTAAATAATAGATTCAGAGTGAGTATATAGGGCAAAGGCAGGGTACACACTCTGGAAAAAGCCAGTAATAATTTGCTGCTACACTGCAACAAGTTTTACCATCTGGAAAATAAAAGAAAGTTCATTTTCATTGTCATATCAGCTTTATTACACTGAAGAATGTGACAGTCTTTTAATTCATGATAAGGAAGTGACGGAAGCTGCCATTTGTTCCACATACAGCACAGCAATTTAATTTGCAAGCTAATCGGCAGGAGCCAAGCTGGGTTCCACATCTGATATGGTTTGGCTGTGTCCCCTCCCAAATCTCATCTTGAATTGTAGCTCCCATAATCCCCACATGTCATGGGAGAGACTCAGTGGGAGGTAACTGAATCACGGGGGCGGGTTTTCCTGTGCTGTTCCCATGATAGTGAATAAGTCTCACCAGATCTGATGGTTTTATAAAGGGCAGTTCCCCTGCACACGCTCTCTTGCCTGCTGCCATGTAACATGTATCTGGGCTCCTCCTTCACCTTCCACCATGATTATGAGGCCTCCCCAGCCATGTGGAACTGTGAGTCCATTAAAACTCTTTTTATTTATAAATTACTCAGTCTCAGGTATGTCTTTATCAGTAGCCTGAGAATGGAGTAACACAACATCACACACAGAATCTCTCTTGGGTTGAAACTACCCTCTGAGACCTGTTTAAAGGGCATATCCAGATGCTTTCCTCTGACTTCCTCATAGCTCTAAAAGGACTCCCACTGAAAATCCCTCTATGGGTCAAGCAATGTGATTAAAAATTTCCACTCACCTTTTTCCAACAAAGAATCACCAGAGTGCTTAAGGACTTCAAAGAGAGAAAACAATTTGCTATCATGAAGATTTCATCATCAATGATATTACTTTAGAGAAATACACATAAAGACTTACAGAGGGTGTGGAGAACCTTATACTCTGGGAAATAACTGTTATCTCTGATAGTGAATTAGAAACTGAAGTTTTTCTCTTTCTTATTAAAGATGAGACTAAATATTTACATTCTTCCCATTTCTGATCATTCTCACCTAAGAGTAATTTCTAATCATGAACAGATTAGATAGTCACTTCATGCAAAATGCCAAAAGTATCTTTAAAGTAACTGCACAATATCTCTATGTCCATTAAGAGTTCTTCACAAGACAGAGAGACAAAGTATCTCCAGTGGCATCTGCTAAAAGTGAGGTTGGATAAGAAAGAGCTTTCTTCCTCAGAAGGTTCTGAGGTAAAAGGAGTAGGAAGTTTCTAACGCTCCTTTACATCAGAAAATGCTGTTCCTTTTCATGACTATTAAAAATTACTCAATGTTACAACTGTGATTACATTTTAAAATGAACTTACCTTCCTTAAAATTTCTGGAACCACGTTCTGACAGATTGCAATCCTCTTTCTGTAGATGACCCCTGTTGATTCATCTAAAAAAGAAATTTTTTTACACAAAAAAAAATTAAAGAAATGTGTTCTTTTCTTAGTGTCAATAAATCTTGCGGGGGTGGGGTTTTTTTGTTTTTTGTTTTTTGTTTTTTTTTTTTGAGACACCCAGGCTGGAGTGCAATGGCACGGTCTCGGCTCACTGCAACTTCTACCTCCTGGGTTCAAGGGATTCTCCTGCCTCAGCCTCCCGCAATGAATCTTTTAAAGTCAGTATCAATTTTCTATTTGCAAGATTCCTACAGAAAATGTTTAACTCAAAATTCAGTTTCCCTGACACTTTTCAGGGCCGAATCAGGTATTCCTTATCTGGGATGAAGGAATAAGGGTACAACAGTAACTCAGAATGCACACTCCAATGTCAAGGATGAAAGAATCACAACCGTTCGCTGCTCTGGACTATCCGTGTCAGTACTCCAATGACGATGACCAGTGGGACTCCTGCTCAACTCCAAAGAGAATGTTTCAACAAAAAGAGGGAGAACCTGATGCTGCTACCTTTTGTACCAAACTTTCAAGCACAGATTTCTGGCTGCAAAATTTAAACCCATAATTAATTATATTAGCCACATTTCTCTCTCATAAGGGAGTAGACTTCCTATTGTTACCGGCAGCAAACCTGTACGGTTCTGCAGCAACCTCAATTATGGTCTCCTCAGAAGAAGAAGGAATTCGACTGAGGGGCATAAGGCAGAAGGAGGGACCAAGACAAGTTTTAGAGCAGGAGTGAAAGTTTATTTAAAAAGAATAGGAAATGGCTATTCCTGTTCTTTTTATAAACTTTCCTAAACAGGAAAAAGCTATTCCGCTTCCTTTAGAATGGGAATGAAAGGAAGGAAAGTACCAGTTAGAAGACAGCCAAGCGGGCAACCTGAAAGGCAGGCGTGTGGTCTGACCTTTCGACTTGGGGTTTTACGCACGTTGGCATATATCCGGGGTCTTACATCACTTCTCCCAACTCCTGAGATCTTATCAGGAAGCTGCTGATCATCAGTTTCAGGTATTTTCTATCTATTAGAAGCGTGCCTTTGCCTGGTGCCAGCTGTGACCAATTATTACTTTAGAGAGACAGTTAACAACCGCCTGACCGTCACCTGATGGTCATCCAACTCTCCTGGGTGTGTGTGTGTGTGTGTGTGTGTGTGTGTAAGTCCTCTTCTGTGTGTGTGTGTGTAAGTCCTCTTCTGTGTGTGTGTATGTGTGTGTAAGCCCTCTTCTGTGTGTATGTGTGTGTAAGCCCTCTTCTGTGTGTTTAAGCTCTCTTCTGTGTGTGTGTATGTGTGTAAGCCCTCTTCTGTGTATGTGTGTGTAAGCCCTCGTGTTTGTGTGTGTGTGTGTAAGCCCTCTTCTGTCCTGCTCATACCTGACTAGCTACCTACTGTAACACTAGGACTGCAACCATTTTGTTCTGCGGTGAAGTTTCCAGAATTAAGCCAGGGATGTAAAAAACAATGTTAGTTAAGAAAAAGAAAGGCAGAGGCAGAGAAAAGAATAAATTCTGAAGTGCAGTCTTCTGCTTTGTGAATCACTGTGACTTAGCCATGCTGTTACAGGTTTTCTCAAAGCTCTGGCTATAGTAGTCCCAACCCTTGATGCAAAAACCCTGACTGCCCAGAAGCTGTTGATAGGGTGCAAACCCCTCTGCCCATTGGCCCTCCCTTTGGCCATCTCATCCAGTGTTTGCTGCACACATACTCGAAATGGATTAGCCACTCCCAAAGGCAAAGATGCCCCTGACGATGACAGAAATTATAATTAACATTTCAATTTAGAATATGCACAGTGTTCTCTCATTTGATCTTCCTAACAACCTAAAAACAAGATTATTTTCCCGTTTGACAGATGAAGAAACTGAGGCTCCAAAAAGTTGGGTCACCAAGGTAGTAATGAAATCAAGATTTGAAATCCAGTTTGTCTGATGACAAATAATAAGTTTCTCTCACACTGCAGGTACATGAGAAAATATTTTTAATATATCTATATGGTTATAGAATTACAGAAAATGCATATACAAGCAAAAGGCAGTTATGTTTACCAAGCACAGAGAGGGCTTCAGAGTCACACACAATGAACAGTAGCATCTCATGATTCCTAAGAAGGGTAAAGAGCATGCTGGACCTAGGCCCCAGTGTCCCCAAAGCTTTGTACATTGACTATGTGCATTGTCACAGCTTCCTGCATTGCCCAGTTCTCAAGTTTAAACACTGACACTAATAATGGTTTTTGCTGGAGATGGGGATAACACAGAACAGAAGAGATTCCTATGCTCTAGACCAGGAATCAGTAAACATTTTCTGCAAAGAATCAGGTGCTAAATAATTTAAGTTTTGTGGGCAATAAAGTCTCTGTGGCAACTGGTCAACTCTGCTGTTGTAGTGAGGAAGCAGTCGTAGATGACATGTAAACAAATGTGACTATGTTCCAGTCAAACTTTATTTACTAAAACAGGCAGCACAAGCCATAGCTTGTCAACTCCTGATTTAGTCAATGCTAAACCACACTGCCTAGTAGTTGTGATTCCATAAGCCATCACTTTATAGTCATATCTCGTATTTAATCATATGCATTTTGCCATCTACAAAATGATATAATAGGCTACAGCCATGTGACCTTGAGCAAGTCACTTAACTTCTCTGTATCCCAGTTTCTCCATTCATTAAATGAGTAGTCTAACACCTATTCCAAACATTGTTCTGAATATTAAATGAATTAATAAGAGTACCTGCCACATATTAAGTGCTCAAAAATGTTAGCAGTTACAATTATATATAGCTCAGTGTTGTCATCAATTATTAGTTAGAAAGTGACAAAAAGCATCAGCAGGCCTTTTACTATCACAAATCCTGGTGCTCTACCTGCCACACCTTTCTAAGTCACCTCAAGTACAGAAATATACCTGTTTAAAAACTAATAATGGAAGAAACTGCAGGTGAACAATTTTTTAAAAAAAACCTAATAGGCCACACACACACGTACACACATCTTTACAAAAATCACTATCATTTAATGATCATTACTGAAAAAACTGTACAGAGAACTTACCTCTTTTTTCCTCCATGATTTTTACTGAGATGACATTTTTATCCATGGGGTTGGGGTACTAAACAAAAATATATAAAAAAGAATTACCATTAATCTTCTACCAAGGTGAACTATTTAGAAGTAACCACAGCTGTCTGCAGGACTAGTAAATATTTTCCAAGAAACTTCTAAACAAAGCCCAGTTTTGAATCATGGATCTTAATTTTATAACTTGGGCCTAGATAAGTGAGATGCTATCATCATCTTGACTTACATGAAATCTGGGGAAAACCTTCTTTAGATCCAACTAGCCCTGAGGGGGATGAGGTTAAGCTAATCAGTAAATAATAATACTATTAATATTGAACCAGCCTAACATAAATCAAGAGTGTTCTTTGTGCTAGGCACTGTACTAAATGCTTTCCTTGCACAATCTTGTCTAAATCCAACAGCCTCTCTGTTATAACTGATTTATGTGATACCACCATCCCCATCTTTCAGATACGGAAACTGAATGAAGACTGGATTGCTTAGGGTCACCCAGCTGGCTCCTGGTGGAGCCAGGGAATTAAACCAGGCCTGTTTAATACAGAGTGGACCTCTTCACTGTGGTCTAATATCATTGTCTGGTGGCTGGGTTAGCATCACAGTAGCATAGTCATAGAAGTATGCTTTGCTAGGCACATAGTAAATACTCAATAAATATTTAACATGTTAATTTAATTCCCCTGAAAAGCAATTTGGCTGTGACAAGGTTGATAATAGCCACTGCTTTTGTCGTAGGCAATTTAAATACTTTAGATACATTAGCTCAGTTAATTCACAAAACCATTCTATAAGGTATGTGTTATTTTTTCCACTTCATATATGAAAAATAAGGCTTAGACAAATTAGATAATTTGCTCAAATTGTCCAGCTAATGAATAGTGTATCTGGGGGGTAACATAATTTACCCCCGATACTTTCTGCCAGCCTGCAAAGCCTGCCCACCTAACCTACCACCAAATCACCTAAGAGTTAAATTAACACAATCCTTTCCACTACTCAGATGTGAAAAGAGAGACACTGGGAGCAGAAGTGACCTCCTAGAAGCCACAGGACAAGGTAGCTGCTGACCAAAGCCTACTGAGCCCCCTTGGACTCTCTTCCCTGAGGTTTACCGACGTATCATGTGATCAAATCTGAAAAGAAAATTGGCAGGAAGTCTTATCCATGACATCACAAAGTGCTGAGCAGAAGGCAAAAGCAGCAGGCAGGCTGAGGGGAGAAAGAAGAAAGGCCCCTCACTTTGCAAACTTGAGCTTTAAGTTTTCCGAACCCTAGGAAGTGAAATACAAAACTCTGACTGTGGGTCTCCACCCACAGCAGGCGTGTGTGTGTGTGTGTGTGTGTGTGTGTGTGTGTGTGTGATATTGATTTATTAATGGATTTTTCAGGGAAAGGGGTTCATCATTTTAACACATTCTTAAAGATATCTGTGACCCAAAAAGACACTAGATTAGAACACAGGCTCTCTGAGGGCAGGAATACTGTCTATTTCAGTTACTCCTGTATCTCCAACAGCCAGCGTAATGCCTGGCACATAAAAAGCACTCAGTCAATATTTTCTGGATAAATAAAAAATTGGGAATATAAACCTCAATGACCTCAGGGATCAATTTGGAAAATGAGCCTGCCTTCAGTCAGAAACCAATCTATGAAGAGAGCAGTGGCTCAGCTTTCAGCAACCTCAATATCTCTTCATGTTTCATGTTGGTAAACTCTGTCATTCACACTTCCATCCTGGAAACTGAAATCTTGATAACTGATGAAAAACTTGGTTTTTAAAAATCTATTTATTTATATATTCATTCATTCACTCATTTTAGCCCTAGAAAAAAAAATGCTTGGCTGGGCATGGAGGTTCATGCCTGTAATCCCAGCACTTTGGGAGGCTGAGGCGGGTGGATCACTTGAGGTTAGGAGTTTGAGACCAGCCTGCCCAAAATAGTGAAACCCTGTCTCTACTAAAAATACAAAAATTAGCCAGATGTGGTGGTGCATGCCTGTAGTCCCAGCTACTCAGGATGCTGAGGCAGGAGAATTGCTTGAACCTGGGAGGCGGAGGTTGCAGTGAGCCGAGATCATGCCACTGCACTCCAGCCTCGGTGATAGAGTGAGACTCTGTCTCAAAAAAAAAAAAAAAAAAAAAAAAAAAAAAAAAAACTTGGAACTACAGTGATTGCTTTCTTGAAGTTCAGCCCTTCCGAGTTACATGCCCATGACAGAGGGTCAGGTTTAGATACTCTGCTCCTCAGGAAAGGAGACTTTCGCTTACACAGTACCCCTAAAGCAAGGGAGATATTTGAGACTCACACAGGTCCTCTGAATTGTGATTATATGTGTATAAATTATAACTTGTACACTAAAGTAAAATGTGCTTATCTCGTTTACTACAGTTCTAGTTTGTTCATTACATACCCATAAATATATATTGACTGAATATTACAAATTCAACATAAGTTGTAGAAAGATAACTAAACTATAAAAGACGTTGAAAATGTAAACACCAGGGAGACATGATGATCAAATTTTTCAAGTTCTGATTACTTCACTAAGCTATCAGAGAAATTCTTAAACATTATAAACTCAAATACTTCACACTTACATAATTTTTGGAGTTGAACAGCCAAGAGCCTCAAGTTTCCATAGAAGAACAGTAGAAGAAAGTAGGGGTTTATTTGCAATAGCTAACTACCATACTATGAAAGGCACATATTTCAACCTCTTTAAAGATTTATTGAACTGAGGCTCCCCCTACCTGGCATTACTTGAAATGATCTGACGCCATCTTGTGGTAACCTGAATATTCATGTTTTAATTCATGAAAATTTACCAAAACTCCCATGAGAAAAAGTTGAAAGAGGGAAGGCTTCTCAGAGGTCAATACCAGGAACACTTACCTGGGAAGACAGGAGGCAGATGGCCAGGTTTTTCTGGACACCTTTTCAAACACAATCCAGTATGACTGCAGAATTGATCAAGCTGAATCAGGATCACACCCATCAAAGACTTAACTGAGCAGCTACTGTGTTCACGCAGGGTGCTATCCTAGAGAAGCTGCCATGCGCATGATCTCATTCAGTCCTTCTCAAAGCGTGGAAACCTATCAAGTATTAATATACAGAGTATTTCTGCTATAAATATAATAGTGTAAAGCCCGCAGACAAGCAGGTTCACATGGGATTCTTCAATCCCCATTTCATACTAGAGACTCTCATGAAAGCAATGTGATCTGAAGACCCAGATATCTGCCAAAAGCCCTTGTCTTTCTTGATCCTGGCTTAGCTGATCACAAACTGCAGTGTGCAAGAGAACGATCCCACAGGCTGCATACATATGCCATGTATGCTATACTACTTTATGGATGATTTAAGGGATTTTTAAAGGTATATTTGACTTCATTTTGCATTTCCTTATAATTTTTAATTTCTTCACAGAACGTGTAAACTAACTCCTTTTCCTTTCCCGAAGACATGAAACTACTACAAATACCACTGTATATATCATATGTATGTAACAGTCTAACAAGGGTAAAATGTAGACGTGCCTAAAGCTGTTGTATCTGCTTGCTTTAGTTTTTACATATTAAAAGATAAGCCAAGAACTCCATAATATTGGGGGGGAATATGCATTAAAGCAAACACATATATATAAAAAGTTAGAGGCAAGAAACTGAATCCATCTAATTACAGAATATTCAATATGTTTCTGGGAGAAGCTTCATGAAGATATAACATTTTGCATTCATATTTGCCGAGGGAAAAAAAAACCCATAAGCTTTCAGAAAGCCTACTCTTAAAAGAGTTATTAAAATATGAACTTTCCAAAAAGCTCAAAAGCCAATGCCTTTTTTTAATAACATTTGCTTCCCCTCTCAGAAACAGTCAGTGACATCCAAAGGAGTCACTGTCTACCAATTTACAAATGAGGTTACCAGAGAGAGTACAAGGAAGCAGGTGACTGACAGATCTGTCTGAAGAGTCCTTCAAAGAAGGCAAAGAAGACCTACAGTAAGTCTGGTATATTAACATACCCGTGTTATAAGCATTAAGGGAATCTGTTATCTAGGCTGCTGCCAAACATGTACATGCAAAGAGATGGGGCTGCTGAAAAGAGATTTGGTGTTTAGCAGCAGAAAGAAATCACCATGAGCTATGCCAAATTCCTTTTATGAGCTCCACACCATAGTCTATCTCAGAAGAAAAGCAAAGTTGATTTTATACCAAGACGAAACGAGTTATAAATTAATCAAAATTTCAATGATCAAGGACAAAACGTACTTAAGTTGAAAAGTATTTGGAATGGCTGTTCATTGGTCTTTCAATAGGATGATGAAATAGAAAGAACAAAGGGCAACGAGCCAAGACATGCAGACTACAACGCTGCCATCTGTGAGGTCGGGGTGATGAACCACCAGGTGATCATCCAAGATCCTTCTGGCCAGGAAAAGCTATGGTTCCAAACAAAGGCCAACCAACAGCACATCAGCCTCTTTCTTTCAAAAATGACCCAATAATCAGCAACGGCATAGTGAAGGTTTTGAAAAGACAGTTTTTCATTGTAACACAGAGGAAAATCCTCTTATCACAACATCAAATGTATGCATAAACCCAGTGCAGCTAAAGATACACTACAAATAACTGCCCAGCACTCTTCAAAATCACCATGGTCCGGAAATGCAAGGAAAGACTGAGGAACCGTCCTACACTGCAGGACACTGGCAGCTAAATGCAATGTGGGGTCCTGAATTGGATGCTAGACTGGAAAAACGATACTAGTGGACAATTGACAAAATCTAAATAGGGTCTATAGGTTAGTTAATAGCATTGTATCAGTGTTAATTTCCTGGTTTTAAAAAGTATACTGTGGTTTGGGGAAGCTGGAAAAAAGTATGTGGGAATTCTTTGTTTCTGCAATATTGTTTTTGAAATGTTTTATAAGTCAAATTATTTATAAATGAAAAGAAATAAAAAACAAAATTAAAGACACGATGTTAGAAAACAGTGAATTTTAGAGCCCAAGAGATCTGAATTGGAATCCTATCTGTGAGAAGCTTGGACAAATCACTTTAATCTGCCCTAGTTTCTTCATCTGTAAAATGAGAATAAATACTTACCTCAAAGAGTTGTTATAAGAATTAAAGGAAACAATTTAATTACAGTATAATACCTAGCACTGTGCAAGTAGAAAATAAATGTAGCTGGTTTTGCTACTAACAAATGAATCAACACTTTTGAAGACTTAAAAAGTTTCAAGATTTTGGTTTTTATCTTGCAATTTACTGTGGTGTGGCATTAAATACATTGCTGGCATCTATCTGCAATCCAAAAATACTTACACAATGATTTTAAAATGATTAGAAGATAATATATCTGATTTTCCTAGACTAATAAAAAACTCAGAAGCTCGTGCTTTACCAGTTCGGAATTTGTGTAAGATACAAGGCCTCCCTGACACTTCACTCCACACTAGCATTAGGGAAAGGGCTGCACCAGAGAAGTAAGAGTGCTGGAGAGAATATTTACTTGTTTTTAAAAAGACAACTGTTTCTAAATAGTTTAAATGCTTTCATGGATTTATAATTAAAATATAAATCTTGCCCCATACTACAATGTAATGTCTGCCATATGCCCCCAAGAAAGCCTTTATCATGAAAATTAATATATCCTCCTCTGTCCCTTTTGACAGTGAACTCCTTGAAGACAGGTCCATGTACTTAGATAGTGAAAAAAATCTTTTTTTTTTTTTTTTTTTTTTTTGAGACTGGGTCTCACTTTGTCATCCACGCTGGAGTGCAGTGATGCAATTACAGCTCACTGCAACCTCTGCCTCCCGGCTCAAGCGATCCTCCTAACTCAGCCTCCCGAGTACCTGGGACTACAGGTGTGTGCCACCATGCCCCGGCTAATTTTGGGGGTTTTTTGTTTTTGTGTCTGTGTGGTTTGGGGTTTTGTTGTTGTTGGTGGTGGTGGTGGTGGTGGTGGTAGAGATGGGGTTTTTGCCCTGTTGCCCAGGCTGGTCTTGAACTCCTAGGCTCAAGTGATCAACCCAACTAGGCCTTGCAAAGTGCTTGGATTATAGGCATGAGCCACCATGCCTGGCCAATATCTTCTGTCTTTTATACACTGATTAAGCCACAATCTCCATTAGATAAGTTTCTAAGTATACTTTACAATTGTTCAAATGGCATTTAGAAAATATTCCTAATTCAAATGTGTACCTTTATTCATGCTCACTCTCTCCTTTATTACTCTAAGTTAGTAATGATTTCTGAGGCCACTTCTCTCAGCTTTTTATTTTCAGGTTCATGAAATAAATGCAACAAATTATTGTTGTTGTTATCATTATTCAACAAGTACTTTAAAGGAGCCTGCTGTGTGCTGAAATTAAGCTAGGTATATTACATATAACTGTAAGCATTATCCAATTTAATTTCTCCAACAACTCCAGAAGACAGTGATTATTATTCTCATTTTGCAGATGAGGAAATCGAGGCACAGAAAAATGAACTGACCTGTCCAAGCTCACAGGGCTAACAGCGCTCCATCCCTGTCTTCCCCACCCCATCCAATGTCAGAGCCCACATTCTGCACATCTGCACCATTCTCCTTTACATCATGCCTAATCTTCTAGTGGAACTGAGGACAGGAAGACAAAAGTGAAGAAAGACTAGTACAGCATGTGACAAAAGATAACATGTAAGTGTCAGATTTGCAAGGGAGAAAAGATAGGATCAGAAATGGAAACATTATTAATTACCCAATCAACTTTCTACTCTAAATGGAAATAGCCCTTCATAAATCCCCTTTATGAGCTTAAGAGTAAACATTCAAACCATTTTGTTCAGCACACCAGGCTCCCAGCCAAAATAAATAACACCCAGGGTCATTCTGTCAAAGCAAAGAAATTATCAATATTTTAATCTGTCCATTTTATTACAGTATCCAAAGTAAGGACATGTTTCTGAATCCCATACTGACTTCAATCTAAAATTGCACAGGGCTAATCCCCAAAAGAGTCAGTTCATTCATTCATTCAGCAAGGATTTGCTGAGTACCTACTATGTTCCAGGATCTCTTTGGGTAATTGGGATACATCAGAAACAAATGACAAAAATCACCACCTATGAAGGTGATATTCTATTCACTATGACTCCTTTGACCACAGCATAAAAAGAAAGTCAACCTTCTGAAGGTAAGAAAAATCTTTACTTCTCTGGCCTCATTTAGATATAAACAAGAAAATCCAGTCAATATAATAGCTCTCTGGATCCTTTTTAATGAGTTTAAATTTCAGGCAGATGAAATTTAAGAAGTTCTCTGAATCCAGCTCATGAAAGGCAAGCCCATTAAAAAGGTCTAAGTGAGATTCCAGAGAAGACCCACTTTCTACACTGCTACATTCATCTATGCAACTTTGTGTTCTCTTTGTAGATGATTTTAAGTAAAAGGAAGGAAACAGTGGTAAGTGATAAGAGCTAGAAAGCTAAGAATCACACAAAGAAAGAAACCAAAATACACTGTCAAGTGCATTGACACTATAGTTCTTGGAAAGTACATACAGTTCAGCATCCAATGAATAAACTATTTTGGGTTTCATAACATTCCTCCATGAAGAGTTTATTGAGAAATATTGTATTTTAGGAACAAAGAGTATCATATTGTTTGTTTTCACAGTGTCACTTAGCTTTGAAAGCATGCAGCTAATATTTTGCCTGTGGTATTCAACAGGCAGATGTAAGAAGAGCAAACATTCTTCAGGTTTTAAAAACCGTAGTATATTATAACTTGGAAGGCAACTCCTAACAAACCAAAAGCCATAGATCAGTAGATCTGATTTAAAATAGAACTTCCTCAGTGCTAAAGCAGCTTCAAACATACCATTGTGCAAAATCAGATTAAATGCTTCCCAGTGATCCTCATATGATTGTCGCTTCTGCCAAGTGCTTTCCTTTGAAAAAAAAATCATAAAGACTGAAAGAAAAATAAAAGTGTATTTTGCCAAAAAGATAATTCTTACTACCTTAGGCTTATAAAAAAGCTTATGCTTTTCAAACTGTTAACACATGTGACATCCTCACAACAACCCTGGAAGGTAGGTGGGGTAGGTGGCATTACCATTTTCACAGAGGAGAAACTAGGGCTTACACAGTTGTGATGCTGCTGACTGCACAAGGGCTCCTGGTCAAGTGGGCCTGTGGGCACAGGACTGCATCCACCTAAAGGAAGGAGTAACTTTTTCTAATTTGCATAAATAGTCTCATTTGCTTTCCCCTAGCCCTATGAACTGTGAGCTTATGGAGTGGACCCCTAAAAGATGCCTTTTCTAATTTGCACAAGGACACAGTATAGGATGGTGAAAATTGTTTCCCATGGCCACCCAACCTAACAGTGAAAGCATAATGATCAAGATCCAGGTCTACTGACTACCAGTTCATGGCTTTGAATAACATAAGGGGAAAATTCACCCAGCAAATGGGTTTACTGACATCTTAGAAATAGTCACATAGTTCCTCCCAAGGAATCTCTGAAGGATTCCTTTATGAATGAATAGAAAGAAAGGAAGTACAGTGACATGCATGATGTTAACACTGTCCCATCACTAGACCTTTAGTCTCCAAATGTTTGTCTCTCATTTCCCCAGTTCTGCCTTCCATTTCCCAGTTCTGACATCCCCAGTTCTGTTTCCCAGTTCTGCCCTTCCCAGTTCTGCCTTTTCATAGTACTTATTCACTATGTACCAGGTACTTTGCTAAATATTTTATAAGAATTACAACAGGTTCTAACTGAATACAGCTACATAAGTGACCTCAGCTATACCACACAGCACACAAAAATCAACCACATGAGTTTAGTCAACTCACAGAATTGTGAAAATTAAAAGCCTGTCATTGGTTTAAGTCGCTACGTTTTGGAGTGGTTTGTTACATACCAATAGATAACTTAAACATTCTGTGTTCTCACCCTAACACACATCAAAGTTATATCTTTATATCAGGGTCAACAGGTCCACTTAGCTGAGCAAACCCTGAGAGAAGACTGTGAACAAAAGAAAACACATTGAGCACAGCCAAGTTTTTTGGGTTTTTTTGTTTGTTTTTGTTTTTGAGATGAAGTCTTGCTCTGTCACCCAGGCTGGAGTGCAATGGCATGATCTCAGCTCACTGCAACCTCCATCTCTTGGGTTCAAGTGATTCTCATCTTAGCCTCCCGAGTAGCTGGGATTACAGGCATAGGGCACCACACCTGGCTAATTTTTTGTATTTTTGGTAGAGATGGTATTTCACCATGTTAGCCAGGCTGGTCTTGAACTCCTGACCTCAAGTGATCCGCCCGCCTCGGCCTCCCAAAGTGCTGGGATTACAGGAGTGAGCTGCCGTGCCCAGCCGGCAAAGTTGATTCTGAAACCCTGTATTACCTCAATAATCGTTGAAGTGCCTATTATATGCAATGCAGCACAGCCGGGTGGCTAAGGCTGTGAGTTTCGGATCCATGTGTTAAAATCCTGGCTGTCCTACCTGCTAGCTGTGGGAACTTGAGGAAGGCACTTGGACTTCTCTGGTCCTCAGTTTCTCTATATTGTAAAATGGAAATTAATCATAACTACTTCCTGAGGGTGCTGGCAGCAGTAAACATGATAAAGTATGGAAAGCACACATGAGCGCACATACACACACCACACCACACCACACACACCACACCACACACCACACACCCAGCCTTCCTAGGAAACTTCTATTCATGCTTCAGCCATCATTTCACCAGTGCCACTTCTTCAGGAAAGCCTTTCCTAAAGATCACCCTCTCTGACTTCAGCAGGCCTCCCTGCTATATTCAAGCACCATGTATTTTCCTTTCATAAGTACACATCATCAATTTGAATTTTGTGTTCATTTGCGCATCATTTATTTATGTTAATCTCCCCACTACACACCATCAGTTCCATGAGAACAGGGTCTGCGGTGACCTCCCACATTTTTCTAGCACTTAACACAAAGCTTGGCACACAGAAGATAAGTATTCAACAAAAGAAAAGCATTTACCAAAAGCTGACAATGCGCCAGGACCTCCGTAAATAAGAGTTTGGCATTGTGTTATGTGCTTCTGCAGGAGTGAGTCTCACCTTTAAAAACCTTAGAGTCTAACGGGAAACACAACACATACAGAAGTCACCATCTGACACTGCAGACGGTCAGCAACGCCTAGACAGAGTGCCCTGTGAGTTCTGAGAAGGTGGAGATCAACTGACTCTTGATGATGACAATCCAAAAAGACTTTACAAAGGAGCAGTGGCTTAAGGGTACCCAGACTCCAAAGTGCCAGTTCTAACAAAAAAATTGGGTGTTGGCTGTTACTTTTTGGGCCCAGAAGCCTGGCCTAAGGCAAAGTCTACAACAGGTCTGTAAATCATTCTTTCATTCATTTATTCATTGCTCAGGTTTTTATTAAATACCTAGTAGGTGCTAGGCACTAGTCTAGATACTGAAAATCAACGAACATATCAGCAAGCTGACATTCCTTCTAAAGAGGCCCCCTATAGCAACAAAGTGTTAACCAGTGTCCTCCTCACTCCTCTGTGACCAGGGCCACCGTGTCACCTCCTCTAACGGAGGCTACACCTTATCGTTTAACAAATGACCTTCATCTTCCCAGCATCTCCCTTAGTTTGGCTTCCGGGTTGCATATGGAGTTCAATGTCCCGTGGCTGCTAACCAAGGCAAATTGCAACTGTTGCAAATTTTGCTTATGAAAACCGAAGGGGACCTTCAAAGATCATCTGGTACAACCCCTTCATCTTATAGATGTGGAAACTAAGGCCTAGAGAAAAGACCCTCAGCCAAGGTCACCCAGAGAACTAACCACGCATAGAACCAGATCAGAGTCCAGGAGTCCTGCCTCCCAGGCCTGGGCGCTTTCGATTTTTCAAAGACATTTCCCATTTTCCTATTATCAGGACCCACAATCCTAGAAACAGTCTTTGGGATTCAGGGCTCCTCAGTATTGAGGAAGAGTTCATTATCTGTATTGAAATCGGTTGTAGTAATACAAACAACAATAACATTTTAGAGCCCTAACTAAACATCAGTAGCAGTGAGAAAAAGAAAAATAGCTCAGAGCAGATTGTGTGAGTTACAGTGAAATATGCAAAATCAATCAAGCCCAGAGAGACAAGAGTATAGGACTTTAGTGGTCCCCTCCTCACCCAACCCATTCCTGGGAGCAACTGGTTAAAGGCATTTTGTTCCTGACCAGCTGCCTTACCCATTATCTTCAAGTTCCTGGAATTTGTGATACAAAGAACAATGTACAGACAATCAATAGTTTATGTTATTTTAATATAAATTCTTGGTAAACAACTTAGGAAGTGCTTCTTATTCTCCTTTAAAAACCCACTTTCGACTTCTGCTCATCAGAATGTATACTCAGGGCACCTTCACTCCCAGGATGCAGCCCTCAAACTTGGCTCGAATGAACTCTCTTTTTATATTGATTTTGCCTCAGTTTCTTCATTTAGGTCACAACTGTGCTAAGCACTTTACACAAGTTACCTCATTTGGATCCTCACAACAACTCTA
Organism: Homo sapiens; assembly: GCF_000001405.40. Classification (NCBI taxonomy): domain Eukaryota; kingdom Metazoa; phylum Chordata; class Mammalia; order Primates; family Hominidae; genus Homo; species Homo sapiens. Next base: position 145,834,673 of record NC_000005.10, read on the forward strand.
TGAGTCGGTACTATTATTTTCCCCATTTTACAGATTAGCAAACTAAGGCACAAAGAGAGTAAGCAACCTGCACGATGTCCCACAGCTGTTTAATAAGGAGCAGCGGATGGGGCAGCAGAACCATCATGCTGAGTAAACCAGGATGACTGCCCAATGGCCTCCCCTCGCTTTTAAGGGGTCAGTGATGAACCGGAAAGCTCCACACGTCGGTCATCTGCAACTCCACGGAGCTCACGAGCTGGGATTCCCGGAGGCTCTTCCTAAAAGGAAAGCCTCTTCTTTCAGCTGGGGCAGGTGTGAACGTGATGCCAAGCACGGCCCCTTTTCCCGCTCCCTGTAAAGGGAGTCTTCGAGGAAATCCCTCTCGACCCACACATCCCTGAAGCAAAGCCCGCAGCTGGAAAGAGACACTGGCGGTGCCAGCTTCCGCGTGGATGAAGGAGAGGAGAGAGGGGCAAGCAGCGGAGGCAGCGCGGGATACGGAAGGTGGAAGCGGGGCGGTACCTTTCGGAGAAAGCTGGCGACCACCTGCTCGAAGGGGTACTTGTACACCTGGTGCACATCCACCGAGACCCCCATCCCCGCGCGCCGCGGGCCCCGCGCACCGGCCACGCCTCCGCGAGCTCAGAGCTGCCCAGGGCTCCGCAGAGGCCCGGAGGCGCCCACACTCGGACAGCCACATGGGCGTGGCCTTTTTCCTCCGCTTTTCAAACTTTCGAAACTTTATTGGCCACTCGGAGAAACGCGCAGTCGGCCACGCCCACGCCCCTACTGCCAGAGTCCGGGGCCTGGGGTTACAGAGCGCGGGAGGCGCTGGAGCGCTCCCAGAGCACCCGGGGCCCCGCGGTCTCCACGCTGGCGGCGCCAGAGCGGCCCTGGTGCCCTCCCGCGGCCGCGCCTGCCGAGAAAAGCTTCTCTGCCTGGGAGCCATCACGCCCCGCCCCAGGAAACCTGGACCTTGGGCTTATGCGTTTATGGTATCACCGCCTGGAGTCACAGAATAAGCCGTGGTTGGCAGCACGGGAAAAAAGTATTAATAAGGAAGGCCTGGTGTGACAAAGGCCAGCATTACTCATGCCACCAGGCAGCTGCCTCTGAGGCTTGGGTTTGGGCCTCGTGTAAGGTAAAGATTGCCTCGGGAATAAGAACCGCGTTTTAGTGCACCAAAACCTGCAGGTAAGTTCCTTTGCTCGCTAAGGTTAAACACCACGGAGCAAGGAACTAGAGGATACAAAAGAGTTGCGAGTATTATTATTTACTGCAACCAACAGATGTTAGGAGAACCAGCACGTTAATCCGTGTATTCAGCACGGTTCTGAGGCCTCCTATGCCCCAGCGCTGTAGTGGGCACTGCGGATTCCGCAGGGAGGAAACACCAGCTCTGCTGATGAGCCGGCTGATTTCACACCCAATCAACAAGCTGGGAAAATAAAAACAATAATCGGTTAAAGTGACACGGGCGCGGACATGATTTTAGTGAGGGTGATTATGGAGGGTCTCTGAGGTGATGACTTTTACGATTTTGCCATCTCGCTCGCCCCTGCCATACGCAGTCACACTGGTCTGGCAAAACCCTAGCCTTGTGTAAATCTAGGTCTCCTCTGACTGTCTCTACCCAAGCCACCAGAAGGGGCTGAAGGAAAATACACACCCACTGTGCATCTTTTAAGTTCATAACCACTAACCCTATGGCGCCTTTTAATGGTGCCAGACAAATACACTATGAAAGTACTGTATTTCTGGCTGGGTGCGGTGACTCACGCCTGTAATCCCAGCACTTTGGGAGGCCAAGGTGGGCGGATCGCCTGAGGTCCGGAGTTCCAGACCAGCCTGGCCAACATGGTGAAACCCTGTCCCTACTAAAAATACAAAAATTAGCCAGGCGTGATGGCGGGCGCCTGTAGTCCCAGCTACTCCGGAGGCTGAGGCAGGAGAATCGCTTGAACCCGGGAGACGGAGGTTGCAGTGAGCAGAGCTCGCCCATTGCACTCCAGCCTAGGCGACAAGAGCAAGACTCCATCTCAAAAAAAAAAAAAAAAGAGAGTACTGAATTTCTCTAATCCACTTACTCTCCCGCATTCCTCCACACCTCTGACACCTTTGTTCCCAGCCTTATACTCCAGTCATTACCTTACTTCCATTTTCACTTAGTCAATAGGTCACATCGCTCTGCCACCTCTCTACCCACCAGACCAAATGCCTTGCCTTCACTCTTGTTCCTGTGGGTGAACTGTCAGCACTTTGTTTTAGCACCAGTGTCTCCATTTGTCCACTGAATCCTGAGGTGAACTGAAAAATGTTTAACAAATAGCTGTCCTTTAAAGTATAAATCAAGCAAGGCCCTGATTTCCAAAGGTTGCTGATTCCTGTGGTGTAAATACTCCTACCATGTTTAAAGATGCCAACTCGATGTCACTAAACACAAGTTGGGGATTTAGCAACATGGAGTTGAGTGAGGAGTGGGAGTTGGGGAGGGAAGCACAGAAGCACACCATCACATAGTATTTCCACCACCCACATACGACAGCCATAAAGAACCAAAAACATAAATAATGGAAAATGTAGCAGGAAGGGATGAGTTTTCAATGTTTATTACTCTTTGGCCAGGCTCCTATGGTTCATGCCTGTAACCTCAGCACTTTGGGAGGCCAAGGCAGAAGGATCACTTGAGGCCAAGAGTTTGAGGCCAGTGTAGGCAACATAGTGAAACCCCATCTCTACAAAAAATAAAATAAAAAATTAGCCAGGTGTGGCAGTGCACACCTGTAGTCCTAGCTACTTGAGAGGCTAAGGCCAGAGGCTCTATTAAATCCGGAAGTTCAAGGCTGTAGTGAACTATGATCGTGCCATGCACTCCAGCCTGGGCCACAGAGTGAGACCCATCTCAAATAAATAAATATTTATTAATTTTTATATGTGATTGTAAATTTATATACTTTAATAATAGCTGTGTTGAATGGCCAGCTCTAGTACATCACTAAAAGTTCCTGTCCTCTTTCTTGTTCAAGGCCATCTCTCTAGCAATATCCCCCTTCCTTTCTGTATCATCAGCTTTTGTCTCTACTGGGCCATTCCAGCCAGCACAACAAGTACACTGTAATTTCTTCCATCTAAAAACAAAAACAGAAACAATACAAAAAAAACAACTCTTAACCCCCTATCTTCCTCCAGCTGTATTCCGAGTCTCTGGTCCACTGATGCTCCTCAAAAGAGCTGCCTGTAATCTCTTGAGCCCATTCCAATCAGTATTTGCCCCCACCACTTCACCGAAACGACTGTTGTCAAGGTCACCAATGACCAAATTGCTAAATCCAATAATTAATTCTTAATCCCCACCTTACTAAGCCTGTAAGCAGCATTTCCTTGAAATACAGAGGGAGGAGTGGAGAGGAGAATGAGATGCAAATGCTCTTACATGTGTTGGATGCATGTTTAAAAGCCACTCCACTATATCACCAATCCCTCCTTACAGGAAAACAAAAAGCAGTCTTCCAGGGAGACTACACAGGTCCACAAAGGAGAGATCAATTACCTGCAGAGTTTATGGTATTTTGTATCTGCCTCTTTTACCAGAGTAGCTGGAGACCAGATGTGACATACAAACCCCCTGCTAGCGTAGGTCCTGGGCCCTGTATCCTCAATCCACTCTGACCATCAGTTTCTCCCAGAGTGTATCTTTAAGCAGGACTTAATCTCCGGATTAAGTAACCATGAAAGGCCAATGGTGTGTCCTGAAAGATTAAAGGCCCCACCACCTGCAACCTCTACTTGGGGCTGGTTGGCTGAGTGACTTGTGTAAGAACAAATGTGACCTGCCCATTCCAAGGACGTTGGGGCTTTCTGAAACGTGTGCCAGACTTGACAACATGAGCCTATTATCTTGTAGCTCTGAATCACAGCCAGTTTGCACAACAGTAATCTTACTTGCTGGGTCCTCTGAGGGAGCGAGAAGAAACTGTGAAACAAATTTCCATCGCTTTGAAATTGGTTGGCTTAACTGGGCAGGGACTTGAGGGTGGAAATTTGCTGGCAAACCTTAGAAGTTCATGACCTTATTTGGTCTTTAAGATACCAAATATCTTACTAAAGAACTTTCATAAGATATCAAATACCTTTTGTATCTTCACAGGGAGGCACAATAGTTTAAACATGGTAGACATCCAATACATTTAGGTTGAATGAATGAATGAATGAATGATTGTAAATGCTGCAAGATTTAAGTGACACAGAACTCCAGCCCTGACCCTGTCTCTCTGCTTTTCTCACCTTCTTCATGTTGGTTCAATTCCCTCTTCTGACCATCCTGACCATCTCTCTATCACTGATTTTTTGTATCCAGTCTTATAATTATCTGTATATATAAATCACTGTTACTGTGACATTCTCAAGACTGGAGGAACTGCATATATTATTCACTCCTCTCTATCCAGTGCCTAGTAAAATGCTTGGCACCTAGTATATGTTGAATAAACTCACGAATGTACTTAATATAAAATATGACCTTGAACAAAATCCTTCCTGCCCCTGCAGCTCAGTTTTTCCGTCAACAAAAACTGAAATGCAGGGGCAGAAACTGAGTGGGCCAAGACTGTCTCTAAAATCCAGCAACCTGACATTTGAGATGTGAGCTAGAGACACAAGCCAAGGCAGGGAACAGGGATATAGTTATTGAAACCAGGGTACAGAATGAGAATTTGCAAGGAAAACAAAGCAAAGTATCAGAATAGATTCAAATATGTAAAATATCATGTATGATAAGTAAGCGTGGGTACTAAGGAGACAAAAACTGGAGAAGAAGGATGAGAAGTGATGGCAGGGCAGGGGAGAGAGGAGCAGTGTTAAAATTTTTTAAAAGAGCTAAGGAAGACCTCTCTGAGAAAATGACATTAAAGTAGAAAAGTTGCAAGAAGAGGAGGGCAAGTCATGCTCGTATTTGGAGGAGGATCATTCCACGTAGAAGGAATGGCAGGTTCCAAGACCTGAAACAGGCATTCTCCTGATACATTTCAGAGCTACAAGGAGGCCAGTATGGCTGTTGCAGAGTTCCTGAGATATAAGGTCAGAAAACATGAATCTAGGTCACATAGGGTCCTCCAGGCCATGGTAAAGATGTTGGCTTTATCTGTATGAGATGGGAGGCCATTGAGAGTTTTGAGCAGAGGAGAGACATGATCTCAACTGTATATTTTAACAGAATCATTCTGGCTACTTACAGTTTGGAGAAGTGACTATGGGGAGGCAAAGCAAAGAAAGAGACCAATTAAGAGGTATGATATTTTACATATATATATGTAAAATTTCCTCCCCAACTCCCACTCCTCACTAAACTCCACTCCTCCACGTATAAATATAGATTCATGGTTCCTGGCTGATAACTCCCATAGCCCTTGCTACAGTCTTTTGCTATAGTATTGGGACACTTTAGGCCTCAGAAGCAGGCTTTTCTCTCTCCGACCTTCTTCTGACTTCCCTTCACCTGCCCAAGGCAGGACTCTAATCTTTCCTGGCTTTTCTGATTGATTTCTCATTCCAGAGAGTGTCCCACCCCATACCCTGCAGGAAGAAATGCTGCACAGGAAGGCCAAGAAGAATCTAGACAGGCGGGCCTTACTAGGTTTCCTGACTCAGTCTGTTAGTATTATATCATATCCTTTTTTGCCTAATCGTATTTCTACCTGGTTATCTTCAATCATGTCTATCCAATGGAGTCTTGCTAAGAGACCCAAAAGAACAGGGTTCAGAGAGCTCCCAGCTAGCCAAACATATGGAGATTCCTGGAGGATGGTGCATCCAGGGAGGGCATGGAAGCTCCATGCCTCTTCCCCTATACCTTGCCCTATGCATCTCTTCAGCTACATCCTTTGTACTATCCTTTATAATAAACTGGTAAATGGAAGTAAGTGTTTCCCTGAGTTCTATGAGCTGCTCTAGTAAATTAACTGAATCCAAAGAGAGGATCATGGGAAGCCCATCTTGAAGTGGGTCAGTCAGAAGTTCTGGAGGCCAAGACTTGCAACTAACATCTGAATGGGGGACGGTGGGGACAGCGGAGTGATCTTGTGGGACTGAGTCCTCAACTTGTGGGTTCTGAATTATCTCCAGGTAGTGTCAGAATTGAATTGGAGGACACCTGGCTGGTGTCCACTGCAGACCTGAGTGCTTGCTTGCTGTGTGGGGAGAAACCACACACACATTTGTATGTGTGCTGGCAAACCTTAGAATTTCATGACCTTATTTGGTCTTTAAGATAGCAAATATCTTACAAAGATATTTCATCATACATGAGGGCCAAAAATTGCAGTTGTGATGGTACTGCAGATAACATTATTAATAATATTATGTATTAGTTTATTTGACTCTCACCACAATTGCCATTACTGAAGGAGGGCAGAGGAACTCAGGAGTTTCATACTGACCTAGGCAACATGGTGAAACCTGGTCTCTACAAAAAATAGAACGTCTTCTGTGTTGATGATTTTTGTAATGTGAGAGCACAGGAAAAAAACATGATTTGAGCTTGTTCTCCCCTCAAGAGGTGATTGCCATAATCTAGATAAGAGGAAATGATGGCTGAGACCACAGTGGTATCAGTGGTGATCAGTTTTTAGGTTCTGGATCCCTTGTGAAGGTAGAGCTGGAAAGGTGTGCTGAAAGATCAGAAGTGGGAAGAAGAAGAGCCAAGGCCCAGTCTGGCCACCATCTAGAGAAAGCCTGTCTGACTGTAGAGGGAAATAAAGCCAGATGTGTTCATTTTCAAAGTGCCACAAATGGATGGCTTGAAAAACATAAATTTATTGTCTCACAGCTTTGGATTCCAGAAGTCATAAATCAAGGTGTTGTTGGCAAGATGGATTCCTTCTGAGGGTTCAGAGGGAGAATCTGTCCCATGCCTCTCCCCTAGCTTCTAATAGCCCCAGGCATTTCTTAGCTTGTGGATGGTCTTCTTGTGACTTCACATTGTCTTCTCTCTACACTTGTCTGTTTTTGTGTCCAAATTTTTATAAGAACTTTAGATTAAGAGCCACCCTAATGACCTCAACTGTTATACACAAAATTGTGTCCCTAAAATTTATATGTTGAAGTGCTAACACCCTGTACCTCAGGATGTGACTGTATTCAAAGACAGGAGCTTTGAAAGGGTAACTAGGTAACTAACGTAAAATGAGGTCATACTGCTGGGCCCTAATAACCCATATGATTGGTGCCCTTATCAGAAGAAGAGCTTAGGACACAAACATGCACAGAGGGAAGACCATGTGAAGAAAGAGAGAGACGAAGGCCACCAACAAGGCAAGGAGAAATCAATCCTGCTGATGCCTTCATCTCAGACTTCTGGGCTCCAGAACTGTGAGGAAATGAATATCTGTTATTTAAGCCAAACAGTCTGTGGTACTTTGTTATGGAAGTCCTAGCAAGCTAATACATCATTTTAACTTGATCATCTGATAAAACTTTCTTTCCAAATGAGACCACATTCATAGGCACTGAGGGTTAGGACTTCAACATCTTTTTGAAGGACACAATTTAACCAATAATATCAGACACAAGCAGAGACAAAAGATGAAGAGAGATTCTGGAGGCACTGGACCTCCAGTTCTGGTCCCTGAATCCCATGAATTGCCATGTTTCCTGCAGCTCCTTCTTGGATTATCTGAGCTTGGTCAGGATCCTTCCAGGCAATCTCCTTTTGTGCTTAGCTTAATTTGAGTTGAGTTTTCTAGCACTTTGAACTGAGACTCCTATCTAGTATGACGTGGAAGAAAAATTTAGCTGCTGTGAGTTCATGTGCCCAAAGAAAAAGAAGAGAAAAGGAAAGAAAAAAGATTCTTTATTGCCCACTCTTTTTCCATCTCCAAATCAGCCCAGCTCTTGAGATCTTTGAAAGTTGAGCTGCCTTTTACATTGATGTTTTCAACTCTCCATATTTACCCTCTTCACCTTGATTGTTTAGAAATCCAATAAGAATTTTATTCATCTTGTTTGTTTGGTAAAATTGCATCCTTTAAGGCCAATTCGCCTCACCATATGAGTACAAAAGGGGAAATTTTCTTTGTAATAGCAGGTAGCAATTAGTGGCATGCATTTTATTTTATCTTAATGGCATGCATTTTATTTCTTTTTTTTTAAATTTCACTGACTTGAAGCTCATAATGGCATGCATTTTAAAAGCATCTATTTAAGATGCTTCTTATCTGGGAAGACCAATTTTTAAAAAATGATCTCACAATAGACTGAAGGCCAAAAATTACAGAAGGGCAGTTGTGGTACTGCAGATAATAATAATAATAGTAATAATAAAATCAAAGGCATACAGAGAGAATTTCAGATGACATATAACTTAGAAAGTTAAGGGATAACACATTGAAACTCCAATGTGAGTAAGTTTAACAAGTCCTTTCCTTTCCTACATATTTTTCCAGTGGGGGAGGCCATGAGCAGATACTGAAGGGTTGGAATGGGTAGGAGAAGGGGAAAGGAGAGAAGGGGCAGGGAAGGCGGCAGCCATGAAGGGCCCCAGGGCAAAGGAAGAGTAAACTAACAGAAAAATAGCAAACTTAACAACTTTCCTTGGGCTAGTTATTACATTATTTTTCCAAAGGACTATCTGATTGATGAGATAAGCAGAAATGGTAATGTTATCAATCAGTGAAGTACAACCCAAGAATAATGACAGCTATCAAATGATAAATTATTCCCAAACCCAAGTGCTGTCTGAAGGGCTTTATATAGACACTCAATCTTTACAACAATCTGAAGAAGCAGGTATTTGTCTCAGATTGGGTTCCTTCGAAACAGACTATGAGACAAGGATTTATATACAGGGATGAGGATGGGGGTACTTTAGAGCGATACACCCCTGAGGAAGTGAAGAATGGAGTGTTGGACAACAAGACAATCTGCTCCAAAATTTGGTGCCAGTTGAGTCCTCAACCAATCCTATAGAAATCCCTGGAGCTGGGTGGCCCCCAATGAGGTAAGGAGGCTGGGTGACAAGCCTCAGAAAGGAGCACAGCTTTGAGGAGGGTGGGGAGCACAGGCCCTAAAGAGGGGGCATTAGTGAAGCACTGCCACATTCATTACCATTATTATCCACAGTTCACAGATGAATAAACTGAAGCATGGAGGGGCTAATTAACTCATCCAAAGGGATAGACTCCCATTTCACTAAATTTTATTTGCAAAGATGTAAACTAATAGATTCAAAGTCAGTACATGAAAACTGGAATTATTTGAAACCACAACACACAAGAGTATCCAGATTAAAGACACTGATGTTTCCTTAAAAAAGAAAAGGCAGTCAGAAGAGGTGCTGGCCACTATGAAATAATGGGAAAATAACATTCAATAGGTAAACATGGATATTGGGGAAATTATACCTAGAAATAGAAGATTCAGGTAAGGACTTTCATTATTTTCCCATTGAAAAAAAAAATTATTTTCCTAAAATGGTCACATCAAGATTAATGAAGCCATTCTCATCTTAATCTGTTCCAGAATTAAAATAATAATAATAATAATAAAAGATTAACCAGGCGAGCTTGGTGGCTCACACCCATAATCCTAGCACTTTGGGAAACTGAGGAGGGCAGAGGAACTCGGGAGTTTCATACTGACCTAGGCAACATGGTGAAACCCGGTCTCTACAAAAAATAGAAAAATTAGCTAGATATAGTGGTGTGCACCTGTAGTCCCAGCTACTCAGGAGGTTGAAGTGGGAGGATCACCTGGGCCTGGAGAGGTCAAGGCTGCAGTGGCTGTGACTGTGCCACTGCACTCCAGCCTGGGCGACAGAGTGAGACCTTGTCTTAAAAAAAAAAAAAGATTGACCCATGCGGATGCGCCTTCAGAGCAGTAAAACAAGTAAGTGAATACATAAGATTAACCTCATTCATCGTTTGGAGCTTGAGATAAAACAAAATTTTTTAAAAAGATTTACCTCAAGCAACCGCCTGATTCCTGTCTTGGTCAGCTCACCAAACCAACTGTTCTTATCAATAAGAAAGTTGCTAACTGGTAATTGGTACAGTAGTAATGCCTCAGAATGAATAAAGTGGTTCCTGATTTTGCTTCAGCTTCCCAATATCCTGAATGGCTATTGTGTGTGATATTATGCATTGATTGTATGTACTTGGTTTTCCTGCATCTACTCCTAAGACATAGACCCTCTCTTAGAAGTGAGAAAAAACAGATGCTGAGCATGACAGTCGAAAGGTTAACTTCTGAGAAGTTACAACTTTCCTGTGTCAAATGCACCCTACCATTATCATCCTACCATGACCAGACATGACAAACTTGCTTTTCTTTACTATAGCTATTGCCATTGTGTTATATATGGTGACCAGGAGTCAGGCCAGCCTGTAGTTCTGCATGAAATAATATTACAGTGATGCTCTAAGAATCTCCCTGAGACAACTGCTTATTCAACTGTTAAAGGATAGGAGATCATTCTTAGTCCCCCTAAAATGCTAATTAGTCCATCAATAGCTGTTTCCCTAACCTCGGAGCTGGAATAAAGAGAAAGCTTAAATGCCAATTTTTCTGGGCACAAATCTTAAAAGATTCATTCATCTACTACAACATATGATACCAAGCAGCCAAAATGTGCCCCTTGACTTGGGAATGAATTACAAATATCACAGCTTATGATCAATCAACAAGGGGGACTCCAGAAGAAAAGGGCAATCCCAACTGCCCCTCCAGCACTCTTGGGACTAGATGGAGTCTACGGTCATGTTGCTGAGAGAGAGGGCACTTAAACAAGAAAAAAACTGGTAGTGCCAATTCCTAGGACAAATATTTCTGGGATTCAGAGACTTATGTAAGGTGGATAAATAATTCTTTGGTAGGTCTATTTACTCTCCACTCTTTCTGTAGTATTTATTAAGCATTTTCTGTACACTTGGCTCAGAACATGTTAGAACATAAAAGTAAGAGATCATTCTCCCCTCAAAGAGTAGACTGGGAATTGTTGATTATCTGGTCACCATTCATTCTGCCTTCAAGTTTTTATCGTAGCCCTAATAAGCACTAGCACAGGGACCTGAAAGGAGGTTGACTCACTCCCAGTTTCCAAAGTGGGCCTGATTGATCCAAGGATAATCTCCACTCCTAGGAACTGGCAATAGAACAGCCATATGGCACAGATTGGACCAATGAGACATGAAGAGAGGTTTACTGGGGGATTCTGGAAATTAGCTCCCCTCCCCTAGATATGAACAAGGAAATGCCCCAAGCTGAGGCTAGTAGACATCCTATGGGTAGATAGCCTTGGTTTGATGTCATCCCTGTGATGAGAGAAGCCAATAGCTGGGGAAAAGTTGGGCTTTCAGTGAACACTGTGGAGATCCTGGACCCACCATTCCTAAAAGACACACTCTTTCCATTGCCCCATACTAACAAGTCCACTTTGTTGTTTAAGCTACTTTGAGTTGGATTCTGTTACTTGCAACCTAAAGAATCCTAATTGGTAAAAATCTAGCAGTCTATATTTAGCTCCCCTGGAGATGTATTTTCTAAAATCAAGCCATAGCAGGAAATACTGTTGGAACTATGTTGCAAATTTCTGAAAGACGGAACTCGGTCTCATGTTTCTTTGTATATCTAGCACTCAACAAATACTAAATGCTTAACACCTCGTGCAATTCAGATAAGATAATGTGAAAGTAAGTGTTCTGGCAGTAGAAGCTGCTACTCAAATAAAATAATAAAGGAAATAAGCTCTTAATAATAACAGCTAAAATTTATTGGGCACTTAATATGTGGCAGGCACTATTATTTGTGTAATTGCTTTGAGTAATTTATGTGTATTAGTTCATTTAACTCTTACCACAATTGCCAGGTATAGTTATTATCCATAGTTTACAGGTTGGGAAGCTGAGGTACAACACATTTACTAAGATATAGAACAGTAGTTAGATAACTAATGACTTACAAAAATAGAATTTTAAAGTCTCATGCCTCAACCAGTAGGTCTTATTTAAGCCAGTTCAAAACAAGATTGTGTTTCATCTTCTAGACAAAATAAGAGGGTGAAAAATATAGATTTGCTTAGTTTTTTACAACATTTTAATATGTCATGTTGATTTATAGATTCTTGGAAACCTATTTTTTTCATTTTGCTGCAGTCTAAAGGTTATTGTAGAAGCATTTAATAATACATACTTTTATTAGCCGAATCTGTTATCTTTACTGTCTTACTAAAATTTATCTACTTGTTAACCTAGACATACTATGCCATGTATCTTTGAGCTAAAACCCCCAATATTCAAATCTGTATTAGTCAGGGTTCCCCAGAAAAACAGAATTAATAGGATATATAGAGAGATACATAACAGGGATTTATTTTAGGAATAGGCTCATATGGTTATGAAGGCCAAGACGCCCAATGACCTGCTATCTGCAGCTATGAGCATCTCTTAATCCATTTAAGTTGACACATAAAATTAACCATCACATGTTCCCATCTTTATCTTAAAACCAGTAGATATCCAAAATAGGTAGTATTTACTGTTGCTTCTTTCAATAAATATTTCCTGGGAGCCTACCCCATTCTAGGCATTTTTCTAGATGCTGAACAAACATCAATGAACAAAACAGGTAGAGTTATTGCCCTTAAGGAGCTTACCTTCTAGTGAGGGAAACAGACACTAAACAAATCATCACACAGGTAAATACAAAATTACATATTTTGCCTTGAAAGAAAAATAAAAGGAATGCTGAGAGAGAATAAAAGGTGTATCTAATTCAGTTTCCGTGTGTGCCCAAGGAAGACACCTGAAGAAGTGACACTAAACAGAGACTTGAAAAAAAAGACCCATAGATGTCTTGTGTTTTGTCTTATCCAACAGCCATTCACATTCTTCTATAACCATAGCCCAAGTCTTCCTGGAGAAAATACTCTACCACATTCTCAGCCTCAGTGTTTTGGAGCTATTTCTTCCATCTCTGGCTGCTAGGGTGGGGCCAAGACCTAGGCTCAGCCAATCAGTGTATTTCATCTCCCTAGCCACAGTAATGATTCCGTTGATTCAGGGATGACCATATGACCTCTGTTAGGCCAATAACAGCAGCAAGGTTCCATTTAGAATCTTTGATCTAATCTATCAGGGAAGCAGATTATCTTCTTCACTGCACTGAGTCTTGTAAAGATACAACCTTGACACTAAAAGAAAAGAATGACATGTAACTGAAGGACACCTTAGTCAAGAAATATATCCTCTTGCCATCATTTAAACTCTGATTTAAGTTCTGCCTGACCATATCCACCCATGAACTGTTCAGTCATGAGTCACCACACATTCCCTTATGCGTAAAGCGTGGTAGTCATTAGTGCTAGTCATTTTTTTTTTCTTCTGGTTCTGCTCCTCTGGACATATGGTAGGACTGCACTTCCTCAGTCCTTGAAGGTAGACGTGGGACTTGGTTTGGCCAATGAAATGTGAGCAGATGTAATATGTGTCACTTTGGGGCAGAAGCCTTTAAGAGCTGGGGCACACTCCACCATGTTTTCCACCCCTGCCATGGCAATCAAATAGATTCCAAATGGTGGGGATTCGGTCAACCTAAAGATCCTGACTGAGCGTGACATGGAGCAGAGTTCCCCATCAACCAAGATGCAGAAATGAAAGCACTGACATTTTAGAGTTGTTCTTTACCACAACATAACCTAGCTCATCCTGACTTATATTTACCAGTTTCAATTGTTTTTCTGCCTTTTGAAGCAGAAAAAGCCCTAACTCATATAATGAGTACAAGGAAAGTGGTGAAAAATAAAAGAGAAAGCATTCCAGTGAAGAACTTATGTGAAGGGAAGCAACTGAATTGGAGGAAGAAATGGAATTGGAGGTTGAAATGGAGAAGACCTGTTTTGAGGCTATTGCAGTGGTCCAGGTGGTGTTGATTATGTCTATAGTGTTAGGAAACATAGAAAAGAATAGATAGATTCAAATTTTATTTTAGAGAAAGAAAATGATAGGAAATTATTTTTCTCTGCCAAAACCCATTGTTTCTCACTTTGACTTTATGTTAAAAGGTCAGGGGGCAGAATGGAAAAGGCATAAGCTGTGAATAAGGAGACTCCAGTTCTGGGACTAAGTTGCTTAATAAGTAGGATGTGACCTTGGACAAGTCTTTTGCCTGCTCAGACCTTCACTTCTTCAGCTCTGTGAGCAAGGGGGAACTTACTCCCCCAACTTTAGAGGTGTCTCTCCTTTTCCTTTAAGCACTGACATTCTATGGAGGCTAATCATAGGAAGCTACCACATCAAAACAGTTGAATGGGATACATGTTCCTGACTCAATTAGGGAAATGCAGGAATGATAACCCACAAGACCTTGCCATAGTCTAGTCAATTTGTGAATGAAGAGAGTAAAATAACACTCACTGACATGAGGACTAGAAGCTTTTGATTATGATTTTGTAGTGGTGGTTTCTTTAACAAAAGCGTCTGGAAAATGGCCAAGATGGTATATGTGACACATTGTCAATGTGACTCACTCTGACTTGGATTCAGACAGACTCTTCTACATCAGATCTGTTCCTCTACATACAGCAATCTGAGATGCAGAAAAGGTAACCAACAATATTTGACAAGGTGAACTTCACAGGCACTTTATCATAGCACTGTTCACTATAGCAGAAATTCCCAAAAAGTATACTTGAGGTGTTTTGACACAATAAATGAACAAACATGTATTCTTGGTAGTTATTCCCTGATTTTGCATTTTAACTACTGGAATGTTCATTAGCTTAATGTCACACCTGCCCAGTTGGTGAGTTTGAAGGAATAACTAGATGTGGCCATCAGTGGATGAATAGATAAAGAAAATGTGGTATATGTACACAATGGAATACTATTCAGCCTTAAAAAAGAAGGAAATCCTGTCATTTGCAACAACATAAATGAAACTGGGGGACAATATATTAAGTGAAACAATCCAGGGATAGGAACATAAATGCTGCATGATCGCACTTACATGTGGAATCTAAAAAAGTTGAATTCATAGCAGAGTAGAATGGTGGCTAGCAGGGGCTAGGAGTGAAGGTAAGGATTAGGGAGATGTTGGTCAAAAAGTACAAAATTTGGCAACACAGTAAAACCCCATCTCTATAAAAAATTTTAAAAATTAGCCTGGCATGGTGGTGCATGGCTGTAGTCCCAGCTACTCGGGAGGCTGAGGCAAGAGGATCACTTGAGCCAAGAAACTCAAGGTTGTAGTGAGCCATGATCTCACCACTGTACTCCAGCCTTGGCAACAGAGTGAGATCCTGTCTCAATTTTTTTTAATGCAAAATTTTAGTTAAACAAGAGAAATAAGTTCAGGAGATCTATTGTACAACAAAGTGACTGTAGTTAATAACACTGTATTGTATACTTGAAAATTGCTGAGGATAGATTTTAAGTGTTCACCACCACAAATAAATGATAAATACACGAGGTAATACATATGTTAATTAGCTTGATTTAGCCATTCCACCACGTATGCATATTTCAAAATAACATATAGTACACCATAAATATATATCATTTTTATTTGACAAAATAAGTTAATTAATTGATAATAATAACAAAATTGAGTATAGTAGTCAGTCATTCACTCCTTGTACTTTTTGACTCTATCTCCTTCAGGAAGGACAAATTCCGCACTGTTCTTGGCTGTGAAATCAATAGCACTCCACTGCAGGGAAGACCTACGGGTGTACATGTCTGTCCACACCTGGGATTTACTCTTAAGGAGCCCATAATTGTCCAGCACCTAAGCCGCATCCCCCAATCCAACTTTCACTAGTAATGAAGCTACTATTTTGAGCTCCACCTTCCTGATTCTCATCTATCTGTCAGATGGTGCAGAACTTGAGTAAGGGAAAGTAACATTTATTGAATCTATTCAAATCTCAATACTTATATATTCATCTTAATGTGCACTGGAACAATATATGACCAGTTAATTAAACCCTGCAATTTCACAGAGATTATTGCTTAATAGGAAGCTAAGTATTTTAAGAGGTTCAATTTAGTTGATTAAATAAAAATATTAAGAAAACAACAATACAGGTGGTACAAAATTAGAAATTTGGCAAATATGGCAAAAAAATATGAATTATGTGAATGACAGAAGTTTATGAATTACTATACCAAAGAGGAGAATTGATAGAAGTCATGTCTTAGCTCAATCCAGGAGTTTCATCATACTGAAAAGATTGTCAATTCAGGAGAAAGATCTGTAGTTGATGAAACCTTATAAAGTGTAAAAAGTATGGAATAGCAACATAGTAAGTTAAATTGGAAATATCAGTGTGAAATAATAAGCTTAAGAAGAATTTTTTCAGCTCTGAGTGGCCTAACAGCCACATCAATAGCATTCTGGCTCAGCACACATTCTCATGTGCAACTCCCAGAGCCCAGCTCCTGGACTTTACAATTATTTCCTGCTAAAAGGAAAAAGAATTCCTTGGAGAATAGCTAATTTCATTATTTAAGATGGAAAGAAATCAGAACATTTCTTCAATCTTCTATTGTTGCCAAAAAGCAAGAATGTTTTCAAGAACATCAGGGACAATGGTTAAAGAATAAGGGAGCCAGCATACAGGGCCCCTCACTAACTATATGGTGACAATTTTTAAAAATAAAATTTTTATTATAAAAAAAAGCACATATGCCCCCAAAAAAGTCAAATGTAGGCCCAGGTCAAAAATATAGAACTTTGCTGCCCACCCCATAAGCCCCTTCCCTGAGCCTCATCCCAACCACATCCCCATTTCTTTCTGCATATCGTCACTCAAATAGTAATGACTTCATTGTCGTTTTTATAGTATTATCACCCAAATGTGCACTCCTAAACACTGTAGTTTAGTCTCTCCAATTTTTTAAAACAATAATATGCCTTTTAAGATTAAGTTACAACGTGAGCATCAAAATCACTATTCCCACCACCATCATCATTACCACCACTATCATCATCATGAATTATAGGAAAAAGGTGAGTCTTATCAAAGGCCATGAATTCAAAATAACTCAAAACAAAGATGTTAATATGAAGTCTGTGCAAAAGGTCATTGTAATAGAAAACAGTTAATATAATAGAGCATACTTATTTTCTTACTGATTTTAACAATGAAGAGGGCTTGATATTTCTTCCATTAATTTTATGTGTTTATGACACATAGTCATCTGTCTCTCTCTGTCTGTTTAAGGAGAATAAATGTTGGGAACTGTAAGCCAAAAAGACTATTCAGTTTGAGTGAACACTGACAATAACCCACCAGAAAGAAGGTTTTGCAGTGTTTGCCAATGTAATGAATTACCAGACGACCTCTAGAGGAAGGCTAACTACTCACTCAATCCTCAACTCCTAGGAGATTAAATCTCAGTGCTAATAAGGAAGGTGTCAGTTTTTAATGCTAAGAGACCAAATCGATATTTGATTATGACAGGAGAATCAGTTATGTAAGAACAGCCAAGTGATAATTACAAAAACAATTTCAGGGGTAGATAGTAGGTTGCAAAATTAAACCCTAGGCATAAGATAAGGCCTGAAATACTCTTGCTGACATAACAGATATCATTGAACTATAGAAAAGCTTACTATAAAAAGGTGGTTTAGGTTAGAATCACCTTGGGAGAAGCAACAAATGTAACCAAGAATTAATCAGTCAATAAACCAAGTCTTGCAATCTAGGCTGTTCTGATAAGATAATCTTTTCTTTGGGCCTTCTAACAATCGTGTGACCCCAGAAAGAAATAAAAATAACAGTACTGAAATCCTGAGGGTATATCAAAACAAGCATAGAAAAACAAGCACAGAAATAAGAAAAGCATCAAACCCACGATATTGATGCCCTAAAGTAGATTTCTGTGAAACTATAGCAATATATTCTGTAGTCTTTGTTTCTATAAGTTTGTGAATTACGGTTTTGAAGTGTTTAAAAGGGTTAGACATTCCAAATATATAATTGCAGTTTGTTTAAATTGTTTACAGTGGTTTGCTTAATAAATTTGTGATCAGTATTTAAAGGCCCCAAGAAAAATTGGTTGTTAGTTTTTGGTGTTAGATTTATGAGCTTAATAAATTGAGCATTAAACAAAGAACAAATGGTTGCTAGTATTCTTCTCCATGAGAAAAACCTTCAGATATATAAGGCTACATCAACAAAGACCTGGACAGAAGATGGTCTTACCTTGTACTGGTTATCTTTTCTTATGTAATAAATCATCCCAAAATTTATTGGCTCAAAACAGCATATATTATCTCACAGTTTTGTATCCCACAGGTCAGAGATTTGGGCACAGCTTAGCTGAATGGTTCTGACTCTAGGTCTCTGATGGGCTGCAATTAAGTTGTCAGCTGGGGTTGCAGTCATCTCAAGCTCAACTGGGAAAGACCCTGTTCCAAGCTCACTCACGTGGCTGTTGGCAGGATTCCCTTCCCAGCAGGCAGCTGACTGAGGGCCTCAGTTCCTTGCTGGCTGTTGGTTGGAAGCCACCTTCTGCTCCTTGCCACGTGGACCTCTCCATAAGGCACCTTGCAACATGGCAGTTGGCCTCAACAGGTGAGCAAGCAAAAAGCCAGAGAAAGAGTCATGATCTTTGACAACCTCATCTTTGAAGTGACATCGCATCACTTTTGCCATAGCCTATTGTTAAAAGTAAGTCACTTGGTCCAGTCCACACTCAAGGGGAAGGGATTACACAGGCCAGGAATACCAGGAGGTGGGGATCATTGGGAGGCATTTTAGAAGCTGCCCACTGGTGAAATTTTCACAAGGCATTGGCCCATGAGACAACAATACACTGAGGGCTCTGTATGTGCAATTAAGGGTCATGTCTCTGCAAACACCAAACCACCACATATTTATAGAACACCTTCTATGCACCAAGCACAGTGTAGATGCTGGGGATACAATGATGCATGGCCACAGTTCCTGCCCTCAAGAAGCTCAAAGCTGAATGAGGGAGACCAACAATGAAAGGAGAGTTAACCAATCTTTATCCTCTTCCCCTCCTATGGCATGTATTATTTTATTTTGCAAATGTTCGTTTAATTCTCTAACTCCCTGTGAGACCATGATGTCCTTGAGAGAAGATACTATGTCTCTTTCATCTGTGTGACTGCTTGTGACTTACACATGGCCTGACACATAGGAGGCCTTCAAAAATTATAACACTTTGAACCTAAGAAAGCAGACATGGTCAATTATCTATTAGTCATCTATACCTTAGTGTGAATTAATGGCCCTAATCTTCTGGGAAATAATCACTGATGGAGGAAAATGTGTCTGGGAGCTGGATAATAGGGATGCTAAGGGGACTATACACAGAGGAAACTCATAGTGTAAAAGGAGATAAACATAGATTTTCATTTTGTCAAGGTCTGATTTAACTGCCCCTTTCCTCCCTCCTTTCCCCAACTCTCAAGCAATAAGGAAGTTCTACTGTATTATGTTTCTAGGTCTTTTCTTCTCTTGGTTTTATGTGTTCTTTAACACACGCAGTAATTATATGCCATAATTCTGACACTGACATAACTCCATTTCTCTCTCACATAATTGCATGAATGTGACTCTCTATAATTACTGTGTTTAATTAGAAAATGAGGACATGCGACTAATGAGGACAGGTGATTAAAAAACAACTGCGAACATCTCTTTCAAATTTACCTTTAGCATAAAATTCACTCCACTTTAGCATAAAATTTAGCATAAGCTCTAGTGAACCACAGAATTTTTTTTATAAATGTTGCCAGCACTCATCTAAATGAATATATTACCAGAGCAATTTATATTTGTGGAAGAGTTAGACTAGGAAAATATCATCTTACCTATGAACTGAAGCTTAAATGATGTCTTTGGCCAGTTAAATTTGGAAAAGTAAAGTATGGATCACAAAGTAAATAGTTAACTCTGTTTTCAAAAATTTTAAATGTACTGTGCTCTCTTTAGCAGGGATCTTACCTGGAAACCAACATGAAAACAAGGAAGAAAAGGTAGAGTTGCTATAGGGGCAAAGGTTTAAGGCCTGTGGACTCTGCCCTTCCCGCTGCACAGAGCCCCTTAGACAGGTAGGGAGGGGAACATATTGCCATTTCAAACCACAAGTGTCCTTCAAGGAGGGTGGAGTCTGTGAAAAAGAAGCTTCCTGGTCTCTGCAGATCTTTGTGTGTGAAGAGTAGATAAGCCTTGAGGCTGAGCCACAGTTGGAAATAGGAGCCATAAAGATGAGTCACTCTGGCAACAGAGTAAGAAGAATAAGGGTCAGCTGGGATGGGAAGGCAGAGAGGGAAGGAGGAACCAGCAGAAGGGTGCTAAGTGGCTGGCACAGTCTGCAGAAGTCTTGTGAAGTCCTCTCATTACTATGATGCAGTGTCAGTCCCCTGGGTAGATCCCCAGTTTCAGTACAGTTTGTTGCACCCACAAAGGCCTAGTAAGGCAAGATGTTTGTGAGGATCACAGAAAGGGCCTGTGTATTTACTCTGGGTGAGCACGGCATGGAAAGGAACAGTATGAGTGAGACTAAGAGATGGTCAATAAACTGAATTAACTCAACTTTAAGACAATTTAGGAGCTGATTAAGTGTGAACTGCTTAGAGCAATGCCTTACGTGCAGTTAAGGCTAATATGTGCTTGTTAATTTAAATAAATGCATACATAACATTCTTTAACAAACACAGCCCCCAAACCAGGCCGATCTAACTTGACCTCAAGCAGACAAATGAAAGTTACTAGAGTAAGTAGCAAAGGGTAGCTATAGTGTCCTCCCCAAACTGTGGGCCGAAATTCAGTTACTATGTGAACTAGAGGCCCAAGACTGTAATTTCATTAACGATAAATACTAAATCCTTTTTCATCTTTGTCTTCTGAGGACCTAGTACGAATGTCCAGAACATAGCAGAAATCTAACAAAAAATTATTCAATGAATAAATGAATGGATGTTACATTTTTAAGACGTATTTATTAAAAACTTTTTTGAGCTTTCTAAGGATATAGTATTATTTTAATCACAGCATCATTATGATGATATTTTTTAACCTTCGTGTTTGTTTCTAGCTCTGAAGGGATTCTTGTAGTCTTAGTGGAGTACCAGTTGGTTAACCTTGTTTAAACTTATTCCTAACCCTGCCCAACCCACTGGCAAATACTTATAGTTCACAAATCAGGAAGTGGATGTTTTGGTGCAAACTTGTCTCCAGTAATAGGCAAAGAACTCAAGTATGTATGTTTTGCATACGAGGGGTCATAGCAATATTCCTGAGTTCAAAGGACGGTAAATAGAGCTTGTGGTTCTAGCTTCACAATATATCCATTGTCTGACCACTTTTTACCACATCCACTGATACCACACTGGCACTATTAGCTGCCACCAAGATTATTGCAATAGTCTCCTAGCTGGCCTCCCATTTCTGCCCTTGCCAGTGGTGTCTCCTCTCAACACAGCAGCCCGAGTGGCCTGTTAAAACATAAATCATCAGACCATGACCCTCCTCTGCTCCAGTCGGTGCCCAATCAAGAAAACAGAAACCATTCCAGGTATTTCCAAGAGAGGAAATATAGGGAATTGGTTACAAAGATTAGTGACTGCAGGTAGCCACTACCACCCCTAGGAAGGAGGAACAAAAGGGAAAATGGTGTTTCAGCGAGCCCACAACCAGAGCCAGTAAAGCAGCTACTGGTGGAAGCAAGCAGCCGGCCAGCATTCCTAGCTGCTGCTGCTGCTCCTGCAGCTGCCCTATGGGAAGGCCGCCGGGAACCCGATTCAAAAAAAGGAAGGCTCTTCCTCCCTCTCCTCTCCCAGTGTCCTGGCGCACCTAACAGGAAGCCAGCGGGCACGGGGGGTCCGGAAAGTGTAGTTTGCACGTCTCCTGCCCCAGCAGCAAGGGGGCGGGGGGTTGAAAGGGAGTGCGGAGGGCGGTAGCAGAAAGCAGGCTCTATCCACAGCAGGCCCTCACTCAGAGTAAAACCCGAGTTCTCATCGTGGCATCTGAGGGAGGCGCCCCCGCCGTGACACACAAGAACGAACTTTCCCTTCAGACGTCATCCCCGCTGCTGTCTTCATGCTCACCCAGACCAGCCACGCGGGCTCCTTCCCTGTTCTTCAAAGGTGCAGGCGCTCTTCTTCCCGACTCTAGCATTTGCTGTTTCCTCTGCCTGGGATAGTCTTACGCCAGACACCTTCCCAGCTCACTCCCTCAACTCCTTTAGGCCTTTCTTTAAATGACACCTTTTCTTATTTCTTATTTTTATTTTTAATTTATATTCCTAGACATCAGTCTCAAGCTGATAAATGGCACCTTGTCAAGGAGCCTCCCTGCAAGCTAATTTAAAAATTGCAACCTATTTTTTTTTTTTTACACGGAGTTTCGTTTTTGTTGCCCAGGCTGGAGTGCAGTGGCACAATCTTGGCTCACTGCAACCTCCACCTCCCGGGTTCAAGCGATTCTCCTGCCTCAGCCTCCCAAGTAGCTGGTATTGCAGGCATGTGCCACCACGTCTGGCTAATTTTTTGTATTTAGTAGAGAGGGGGGGTTTCACCATGCTGGTCAGGCTGGTCTTGATCTCCCGACCTTAGGTGATCCACCCGCCTCAGCCTCCCAAAGTGCTGGGATTACGGTGCGAGCCACCGCGCCCAGCCTTTTGTCCTTTTTAACACCACTATACGTTACATATATGTGTGTGTATATATGTAATGTATGTGTTATATATATAGCTTACTATATATAATTGTATATATTTTGTTCTATAGGCTATACTTATTGCATAAACATATATATTATTCCCATAAATCTATATATTTAGTTGTCTGTATTCCTTCACCAAAATTTAAGCTCGTAGGAGCATTTAGTTTGTTTTGTCTACTGATACATCCTCGGTGCTCCATAAATACTTGTAGATAGTCAACAATAACATACTGTACACTTAAAAGTTCATTAAGAGGGTAGTTCTCATGTTAAGTGTTCCTACCACAATAATAAATGAATACTTGTGAAATGAACACAATAAATATGATCATTAGTAGGTTATTTATTATGTGATGAAAAACATTAAAGGCTCTTTACAGAAGCTGAGGTTGCTCACACTTCTTCCTCTGGGCAACCTGCATAACCCCACTAAGGCTTAAATTAGATGCCCCTTCTGCATGCTCCAAATGCTCCCTGTAATTATCCTATCCCAGCACTTGTCACAGTGCATTGCAATTATCCATTTATGTATCTATCTCCTCCTCTAAAACTAAGTTCCATGAGATACCAAAGGGATGATGCCTCTCTGGGTAACATGATACATCAAGCACTTTGGAATACTGTCCTGTATGCAGCGGGGCTCAAACAATATTTGTGACGGAATATTCCTGTCGAAAAGCAGAATAGAGCCAGGCGCGGTGGCTCATGCCTGTAATCCCAGCACTTTGGGAGGCCGAGATGGGCGGATCACCTGAGGTCAGGAGTTGGAGACCAGCCTGGCCAACATGACGAAACCCCGTCTCTACTAAAAATACAAAAATTAGCTGGGAGTGGTGGCATGTGCCTGTGATCCCAGCTACTCAGGAGGCGGAGGCAGGAGAATCGCTGGAAGCCGGGAGGCAGAGGTTGCAATGAACAAAGATTGCACCACTGCACTCCAGCCTGAGCAACAGAGCGGACTCTGTCTCCCACAAAAAAAAAAAAAAAAAGCAGAATACACTCTCAACATCCCTCCTTCCTCTAGTATTCTGAAAAGTCAGAAGAGCCAACAGCTGTGAGAAAACATAAACAGAGGCAGGAGGTATAACAGTTAAGGACAGAAGCAAAGAAAGCTGGTGAGCAATATGGTAACTCCTGAGTATGAAAGGACAGGCAAAACTATCAAGGCTTCAAAAATATTTTAGTCTTTTTTATTAGAATTATTTATATTGCCTGAAAAGCATTCCATTGTTAAATTATGTTAAACGCTGAATATTAGAGAATAACAAACAAATCTTGAGAAATTATTAAGTTATGAAATCAAAATTATTATCACAGAATGCAGCAGGTCTCAAGAGATAAATTTTGCAGTGTTATTCTTAAGGGGCTTGGGGAGTGGGTGTTAGAGCTATAAAAGTTCATTAACAAAAGTATGTTCTAATTTTATAACCAACCTCAAGAGGAAAGAATCATCCTTACTATGCATATTCATGGATAGTAGAAACATTACTGCTAAAAATCAGCCTTGGTTAATTTTTTTCTTTTAGAGATTTCCAGTAGGTAATCTATAAAATACCTGCAGTCCTTTATGAAGAGATCATGGCTAGGTTCTAGACTTAAAGTGGATTTATTTATTTGGTAGTAATTCAGGGGCTCGAAGAAGTTATATCATACACACATATTTGAGCACCAAATTTATCATAAATAACTTTGACTTGGCTTATAACCTCAGTAGTTAGAGGCACACAAAAATGTCTTATCTCATCTTGACTTAAGAAATAGTATTGCTCACTGTCTGCATAAATATTATCCAAACACACCACATGGAAGAGGTTCAGGACTTTGAAAGGGAAGGCTCCTTGGCTTGCCTGTCTCCACAGTGAACATCCCATTTTGCTTGCTGTGGCCTGCTAGTGCGTTCAGCGTTGGCTGTCCGTTTCCTCTTCTGCTTAATCAGAAATTCAGTTTGACTAATAATCACATGAGATGCATTATAAGCAACAAGAAATCAGTTCATCAGAAACCTGCCTTTTTTACTCCTTTCTCACCACATAATTTTGCAAAATAACTCCCAACCTGATGCCTGAAGTGTACATGTATTTGCTCACTGAAGCAAGAAGAAAACTGAGCTAAGTCAAGTGAGATACACTCACACCATCCTGGAAGGATAATTTTAGAACCAGTTTCAAAGCAGACTATAATTCAGAAATGCCCCTGCCACTTAGACCCACAGAGAGATGTTACCGGCCTCACAAAATGTCATCAGATAATTGAGTTTTGCCAGCAGTGGGAGTGACTGCAGCCACTGTGGCCTCCTTGTTGGGAGAGGCAGGAGGAGGAGAAGGGGGCGGTTTATTAGAAATAACTTTAGGGAGGGTAAGATAACAGTGGACATGCAAAAGCCACGGGCTATTGATTGCAAATCTGGCAAGGCTGTAGGCCATTCTCATTGCAGGCAGGGCACCTCAGGGCCCGATAGGACTCCTTAAATCTGTTGGCCAGCATCGAGAACTTGCTGCCGTGGCACAGAGAGCAGGTGGCACTGCCCGACCCTCGGCAGTGAAAACAGCTGTCCTCGGGAATATCCCCTTCCTGCAAGAGACAGGTTAGGGTTTAGTTAAAGCAGCAGTTCAAGTCCGTTGTTCACATGCAGGTCAAAACAGCACTAGACTACAGCAAAGGCTGGGGCAGAATAGAGGAAAATGCTTCCCACGAATGTCAGTGAGAGAATCATCTGGGACCCAGAATAGTTACAGCAATTTTATCAGAGAGGATTCCCCTGGTGGACACCTCTAAGACAGCATCCTGTGCCACCACACTTTGCATTCCAAGACTTCATGATCTTCATTGCCCTTGTCACTATCTCTGACCTGTTTTTTCTGTAAGCTCCATAAAGGGCAAGGACTTTATTTTCCTTATTGCCAAATACTACAAGTGAACCCTTGTAGCATGCCTGATAGGTGCCAGGTGCTGTTCTAAGTGCTTCCTATATATCATCCATCTAATCCTCACAAAATCCCAGTGAGATAGTGTAAGTATTATTATCCTTGTGTTGCAGATGGGAAAATGAGATACTGAGAAGTTGTTTGCCAATGGTCACACACACAGCTTGAAAAAGGAAGAGGTGGGCTCTCATCTCAGCGATTTGAGCACCAGAATTCATGCTCCTAATGCCTATGTGCACAGCCCCTCATTGTAGTTGTCCATAGTAAATGCCCAAGACTGTTCTGTGTGACTGAGAGACTGAGTGGAGAAATGAATGAATCGATAAATGTTACAATCCTTCAAAGCTTAGCTCTGTATGCTTGCAGTACTTATATCTTTATTCTCTTTGAGAGCTAAGGCCCAGTGATTAAGAGCTCTGTACTTTGGAGTTAATAGACTAGGACTGAGGCTATTGTCTGCCATCAGCTGTGCAACTTGAATAGTTCCCTTAGCCTCTCCCAATCTGTTTCTTTATTTATAGAATTGAATAATAATGCTTACCCTTCTGAGTAGCTGGAACATTAAATGAGAGAATATAT
Source organism: Homo sapiens (assembly GCF_000001405.40). NCBI lineage: Eukaryota > Metazoa > Chordata > Mammalia > Primates > Hominidae > Homo > Homo sapiens. The sequence continues at coordinate 145,860,848 of NC_000005.10, forward strand.
GTAATGCAATATTATCTGTCAGATCATAGGTGCACCTTCTCCTAAGCCTTGCTAACAAATCTCCAGTTCTTGACTCCCACTCTTCAGAAAATGTTCCTTGGCTATTGTCTTGCTCTCCCCCTTAAAGCTATCTTAAGGAAATTGGTGATCTTGGTACTCCTTATAGACTATGAACCTTCCCAGAAATAAGGGGAGATACTAGATCGAAACCTGCTAAATTCAGTACCAAGTCCTGGCCATTTCAGCTTCTGAAAATCTCAAATCCATCCTGCTTTCTTCATCCCACAACTACAATCCCAGCCCAATTGCCCACTGACTCTGGCATGAACTGAGTGTGGACCCATGCCTCTGGTCTTGTGGTATGTTCTTCCCACTGATGCCAAGCTTATTAAGTTGCCTGCAGTAGTGATTGTCACATAGAAAGCAATCAGGAAACCTTTTTAATGAACACTTGCCCTCCAGATAAAACCTCAGGATAAAACCCAGTCTCCTTAGCCGATTTAAATTTTTTGTCACTTCTTTCATCAGGATCTTGTTCATGGGCCTCTCTGTACTTGGTCTCCAGGGACCTTTCCCCAATCCCAACGCAGCCAACTCCTGCTTGTCCCCAGAAGTCAGCTTAGCAGCTCTTCCTCCAAGAAGGCTTGCCCACCCACAGCTCTGGACCAGGAGTTCCCCCACCCCCATGGCCACCTGTACTGCCCCTCGCATGACAGGTATCCCATACTCCAGTGAAAGTTCCTGTTGATTAGACAGGGAGCTCTCTGGACTTGTACCATTTCATGATCACTTCCCAAACATCTAGTGCAGTGCCTGGCATGCTACTTATGTCAAATGAATAAACAAATGAACAATAATATCTGGAGAACCCTTCCTGTTCTTAAATTCTAGGGACCAACAAGACAGCAGGAGTCCGCTGGGTAGCTCTGCCCAACTCATTCAGCTTTCTTTTATAACCTAAGAATAAAAATAATCCCTGAAAAGGGAGGCATACGTTTTGAAAATAGCTCCATCATGCTGCAAATTGCCTAAGAAGATACTAAATTTTATTTATTCTAGATTTAAGGAATGAAAGTAATTACCCAATTGACAAAAACTCAAATCAGGTCTATGTACCCTTTCGTTAATATTTTATTGATTGCTACCATATTTTAGTATATTAACAATGGAGAATTTGTTTTCTTAAAGTATTCAAAATAATACATATTTGCAAAAATATTCTTAAAGCAAGTTGCCACGATTCATTTCCTGCCAAATCCATTAGGTTTTATGTTTTGTACTTCATCCCAGTGAGATTTTAATAACATAAGTCCACACTGTGAGGGAAAGTACAGTAAAATCCTAACATAATGCTATACATGTGATCCAAAAATTCATTTGCATAAAACGCCAGATCAGATATTGAAAGATTAATGAAATGACCTAGTAAGCCTTCTGTAGAGAATAAGAACACGTCTTCCATCAAATTATATCTAATGTCATATAGTTCTAGGGTGCACTACATTATTAGAAGTTTCACTGGAGTTTCCATTCTTATTCTGGGTTACCACTCTCTGACCACTTACCCTCAACATGCTCTTTTTAATCATTCAACTAATTCAGCAAGTATTTAATAAGCACCACTCTATACAAGGCTTGTATACTATAAGCCTCTTTCTTCCTTTCTCTGTATCTTTTAAAATTATTCTCAGAAAATATTTAGTAGGATATAGAACATAGTTGCACAGCATAGCTTAGGTTCTAGAACCCAACAGACCCACCAATCCACCTCTACTAGCTCCATGACCAAGAAGAGGGGCCTGATCTTTTACTGCAGACTCCAAGGCTTGTAGAGCCCTGAAGATGGTAACCAGTGCCAATTGAGACTGCATAATAGGGTTATTATGGTCAAGAGACTGTTCAACAAATGGACCTAGATTTGACTACTGGCTCTAATGATCTCTGGCAAGTTACTTAACCTGATCCTCAGTTTCCCTAGCTGCAGAATGTGACTATTAATAATATCTACCTCACAGGGTTCTTGAAAAAGTTAAATGAACTGTTGCATGGAGCATTGGTCATGGTGCCTGGCTATCATGAGTCCTCAATAAATGGCAGCTATTATGATTATGATTATGATGAGATGATTATTGCTATTATTTCAAAGTGAGATCACATAAAGCATAAAGAAGCCCAGATGATTTATGGCCTCAAATTCACTGAGCACAAAGCCAAATTTTTCCCTTTCCACCTTTTGCTGTGGCTCGATTCAATTATTCCTATCCACTTCTTTGATAGTTAATACAGAAGCTCAAACCTGGCCGGGCTTTCAGCCTTGCCCTACTCTTTCATCAGATTCTCACTGCTGCCCCGTTCCATCTAACAGAACAAAGAGGCTCTTGGTCAGAAGGGGCTCCTTGATGTTCTTTGACCTTCTCTTTTAAAATAAAACTTGTCTGGGCATTTACTGCATGAGGGATTGGGCAAACAAATAGCAATTTAAAACAGAGTTTAAAGGACAGGCAAGTGAAGTATAACCTTTCACAGCAAACTTCTGCTGCACACCTCTGTCCTAGTTTATAGCATTACAGCTAAAAAACACAGATCTCTCCAAATTGAACTTAAAAGTAATTGTCATATCAGGCTTACTCTTGCTTTTTTATTCAGGCCTGCAGTATGACCTGCCTTTTATCATTTCTGGTCCTCTTCTGAAAATACATGCTCCTACAACTTACAATATAGTATGATAGATAATAGAATTAAAAAATTTTATAGTGGGAAGGTAGCGCTTTGGATCAACATGTTCGGTCATCTGCCTGCTGCCAGGTTAGGTTCTTTTTTAAAAATTTTTTTGTAAAGACAGGTCTCATTATGTTGCCCAGGCTAGTTTCGAGCTCCTGGGCTCAAGGGATCTTCCCTCCTCTGCCTGGGATTACAAGCATGAACTACCACACCCGGCCCAGGCTAGGTTCTTAATAGTTCTGTGTAGAACATGAGAGAAGGTAATGGCCAAAGACTTCTTACCAGCTGGCACTTTGGTCTCAAATTCCAGTATTCTTTCCACAAACAGTTAACTAATATTCACTGATTACCTGTTATATGCCAGGCTGTATTTTTCTGATACTGGAACTACAATGTTGCACCCAGCATAAACATGGCCAGGCCTGCCCTCATGGAGACCTAATTGGTAAGAGCAAACACCAACCAAATAATCACACAAACTAAAGTAAGATTGCAACTCTGATGAGGGGTGTAAGGTGCCCTGACAGGTCAATCCTAGAGGATTTTTTTCCTCATGGAAGCCAGGGAAGATCCCTCTGAGGAAGTGATGCCTCCTCTGAGATCTCAGAAGCTGAAGGCAGGGTGGTGGGAGTCTGGGGACATTCCAGGCAGAGGGGATTGGCCTCTGGTAGGAAAGAGAAAATAATATATGAGGGATGGAGATGGGGAGATGGGCAGTGTGTCTGGGGCCAAGAGCATGAGAAAAGATGTGTAAGAGATGATGCTGGAGGGGCCAGCAGAGGCCAGGCTACACAGAGCTTTCTGGGACAAGTAAGGAGTTTGCGGTTTTATCCCAAGCAATGAAAAGACACTGAAAGCTTAGAGGGGGTGACTGATATGGTTTGGCTCTGTGTCCCTACCCAAATCTCATCTTGAATTGTAATCTCCATGTGTCAAGGGGGGAACCTGGTGGAAGGTGATTGGATCATGGGGGCAGTTTCCCTCATGCTGTTCTCGTGATAAGTGAGTTCTCACCAGAGCTGGTGGTTTTAAAGCATGGCACTTTCTCAAGCTCTCTCTCTCTCTTTCTCTCCCCTGCTGCCATGTAAGATGTGCCTTGCTTCCCCTTCACCTTCCACCAAGATTGTAAGTTTCCTGAGGCCTCCCCAGCCATTTGGAACTGTGAGTCAATTAAACCTCCTTTGTTTATGTATTACTCAGTCTCAAGTACTATCTTTAGAGCAGTGTGAAAACGGACTAATACAGTGACAAAGGGGGTGACCTAATCAGATTACATTTAAAAATATCTTTTTGAGTGTGGGGGCAGGTTGGAAAGGTACCTGAATGGATGTGAGTGGAACTTTCAGAACCTTTTGCTAGAGTCCCAGTTGCTTATGCTCTAGGGGAAGGGAAGGAGAGGTAGAAAGGAAGAGAGAAAAAAGTAGATTTTAGAGAAATTGTGGAGAGGTAGATAGACTTATGATATGGGAGAAATGAGATAAGAAGGAGCCTTTGGTGCCTCTTGTCTAAGGCCATTACTCAAAGCCCAGTCATGACCTTCTTGTTCTCATCATCTGAACCCTCCCAGAGTAGAGACATCACTCAAGTTCCAGAAAGCCCCTGACCAATTTTTTCATAGCAATCCCAGGAGATTACAGTGAATCCCACAGAAAACATCAAGTCCCAGGAGATGGAATCTAAGAGAGAGAAAATTCATTCATCCAGCTACCCAAGCTTTTAATCTTTCGGCTTAAATGCATCAAAATTGCTTCCTCCACCCCCAACCTCACACTGTGAATGAACGAATATCAGCCCTCCTCCCCCTGGTCTGAGCATGTCTGAGCTATGGTTTCCAAGGTGGTGCGTGCACACTTCTAAGGGGTATGAGAGGAAAACATTGGAATATTCATATTTACTTTTTATCTACAATTAGGCAGATATTAAGCTTTATTAACATTTTTAAAAGAATTTTTATACTAACTTTTAATAAACTTGTGGACACTGACAGCCATATTAGGTCAGGCAGTCACTAGACAAGTGTGGTACCCAAGGGACCCTGGAGTAAGAGTGATGTTCAAATGTTGCTGACAGTAGCGTCCAGCTCACTTGTTCACTTTCAGCACATTGCAACATGTTGCAGTTTACTTGTGCCTGGTCTAGTGGATTTACAAAGGATACTCCTTAGTTTTAGCTAAACTAATCTGCCAAATGGAATCATGACTTTACATGATGTCTTCCAGGAGACTATGGATCAAGGATAACACCAATAATAGAAGAACAAGTGAACCCATAAGAAAAGATAGGGCCAGGCCAGGCACGGTGGCTCATGCTTGTAATCCCAGCACTTTGGGAGGCCGAGGCAGATGGAACACTTGAAGACAGGAGTTCGGGACCAGCCTGGACAACATGGTGAAACCCCATCTCTATTAAAAATAAAAAAAAATTAGGCATGGTGGTGGGTGCCTGAAATCCCAGCTACTCAGGAGGCTGAGGCAGGAGAATCACTTATCCAGGAGACAGAGGTTGCAGTGAGCAAAGATCACGCCATTGAGATCCTGCCCAGGCAAAAAGAGTGAAACTCCTTCTCAAAAAAAAAAAAAAAAAGAAAGAAAGAAAAAAGAAAATATAGGGCTGATATATTTTTCCACCTCTAGAACCAGCTGTTCATAAACCACACTGCACAGTGAAAACAATAAATATTTAATCAGATCTAAAAAGAAGTCAGCCAAAAAATTAAAAATTTAGAGTATCTGAAATATGGACTTATAACTGCTATTGCTAACAATGTACCATTAAAATATAACAAATGTTAAAATTCCTCATATCTTCAAGTTTAGGTATCTTAAGTATTCATATTCAAAAGGTTTTACTTAAGCAGTGCACAATCAAGCCAGCTTGGAGACCATTGCTGTAGGGCCAGCTCCGAGCAGGACAGTCAAGCTCCCCAACGCACCTGTGTATACCGGTTTTGGGGTAATGTGCTTTCTGCCTCCACCAAAGGTCTATCGTGCTGGTCCCTGCCTCCATAGCTTTCTTCTTTGTTCATCAGAGACTCTTCCTCAGCCTCCTCTTCCTTCTGGAGAATTTTCCTCACAAAATCTCTCTTGTCCATTGGGGTTCGAATGATTTTCAGGTTATTAGTGTAGATGATTATCTTTCCAAAATCTATAATAGGTAGGGGCTAGAGAAATGGAGAATGAGCATGGAAACTTTACCACCAATCACCAAGTAGAGGGCTGCAGAACCTGTCCAACATACCAGGAAACAGCAGAGAAGGAACTTCTACCACCCAGCATTTTTGATCCCATCAGACCCCAAAGTCACAGTTCATTCCCTGGTCTGTTTGCTCTCTCTAAAAGCCATGAAAGCCAGTTTCCTTCTTCCTGTTGATGGTGACCAATCAAAGCTGAACTACTCAGAGTATGAGAGTCTGGAGGGCAGGGGCTAGAGCTTCTATTTGTACTGCATACCCCAACAGCCAATGCAGGGCTGGGTACAATGAGTGTTTAATAAATACAGAGGGACACTTTTTCATTTTATATAAATATCTCTCCAATTTTTTACCAGCATAAATAATAATATTAGTAGATACCATTTACTGAGCACTATTTGTGTCTCAGGCATCATGCTAAGCATTTTACCAACATTGCCTCAGTTTCTCCCCAAACATCCCTATGAGGCAGATGCTATAGTTTCCACATTTTAAGGTGAGGAGACTGAGACTCAGTGGGGTTAAGTGCCCCACCAAGGTGACAGAGTTACTCGGGCACTGTAACTAGAATTGGAACCCAAGTCTGTCACCCTAAAGCCCATATTTTTACCACCTATATCACACTATTTAAAAGTATTTCCCCCCCAAAAAATACGATCATAATATATACTCTGTTGCAACCTATTTTTTCATTAGCTATATAATATGAAAATCATCTATGCCAATAAATAGACTTCTAAAGCATCATTATTAATAGCTTTTGTTCTCTTGCATGGATTTGTCATGTGTTACTTAATCATTTGCTCAGGAATAAACCTGGACAATATCACAATGCAGTAGAGAGGACTGGAGGGTAACTGTTTAGAAATTACTTTAAATAGAAGACTGCCTGACTGCAGCATCTAAACAGATTTGGTTTATACAGTTCTGTAAGCAGGGAAGAGTATTTCATGCTGAGATATTTAGTTGTGTAGTGTGATTGTGACATACGGGAAAGTCATGTAACCTCTCAACTTCAGTTTGCTAATTTGCAAAGGGGCTGATATCCAGCTGGTAGGCATCACCACAATCAAGCTAGTGATTAAAATACAGAAATGCTTCCATACTGAGTGGTAAACATGTGTTGTCCTGAGACTCCTGAGTGCCCTCCAATTACCCCAGCCTCCCTTCAGGGAGCCTCTAACATCCCTAAACCTAGTGATGTAAGAGTTAATACTTAGGGACCCAAGTCTCAGTACTCTTCTCCAACACTCTATTGGCTTCTCTGCTGATTGAGCAATGTTCCTGTGGTTAAATATGTTTACTTTCATCCCTGAGGCTAATTATATCAACTTCTGGGGGTGGGAGGTACCACGAAAAACATATAAAATAGTGTTTTTATTTTATATGTTGATTGTCACAATCTGCACAATATGCAGATTGTGAGAACTGTTGCCATTGTTATTATTTAAAATTATTCTTCTGTAGTGCATGCACAATCATACTACACAACTCAATACCTCAGCATGAAGTATTCTGCCCTGCTTATAGGACTGTATAAACCAAATCTATTTATACGCTAAAGTTAAGCAGTCTTGTATTTAAAAGATATTCAGCCAAAACCTGGCTTGAGCAAGACTTCAATATTCAGGCTCTCTTTCTTGAAACACCCATGGAGTTTTCAATAATTATTTATTAAGCCACAAGCTTCCTATCTGGCCCGATTTTCTCTCCCTTTCTTCAAGGGATCGTGTAGCAGCTTCCATTTCCTATTGTTTTATGCAGGCTGGATTCTTATTTCACACTCTGGACTATCAGTTTCTGAATATCAGAAGATAAGGATGGTGGTACTTTTCGAAGGTTCCATTTCTACTTCCAGTAATAGCCAATGAGGTTCAGTTACTAGGAAGCTTTTCATCTCTAGAGCTGATTTTTTTCAAGACAAAACTCTCAATACGCTAAAAGAATCTGAGATCACCTACTCCAAACCCCTGTTTCTGAGCTGCTCAATGTCTGAGACACCCAAGATAGCAAGTTTATTTTTTGATGTACCCCAAAGATGGAGGGTCTCAAGTCACTTTTAAGGTGTGTTTAAGTTTTAGTTACCCTGATAGGCAAATTCTTCCTTGTGTCTAAGGAAACTCTATGGTTGTAATGAAAGTTCACGTTACGTGGTTACATCAAATGTCAATGGGGAACACCCAGTCCTACATGATAGAGGGCCAGGAAAAAGCCAAGAATTTTTCATTTCCTTACTAGTGCACAGAATGGCAACCTGTGTGATTGAGCACTTGTAAATACTCTTTTGTCTGTGGCAACATAACTAGAGATTATTGATCAGGCACTATTAAATCTTTCCACTGCTCTGTTTTTAAATGCAGAAAGCCTTATTGGGTACTAGAAATTCAGTGGGCTTTGGAGATAGACAGACCTGAGTTCAGATTGTATTAAAATGTTGTTTGACAACTGTATGAGGTTTGCAAGTTAGTTAATCCTTATGAACTTCCGTTTTTCCAATCTGTAAAACACTCATAGAAATGTTGTGAAGATGAAATTATGCAATATGTATAAAGTAGGTGTTCAGTAAATGTTACCTCCCTTCCTTTTCCCTTCCATTTTCTTTGAACCTTATAAACTTCAGTTTTAATTGCTTAAAATATTTTTATTATTTATAACCTTTTTCTCTACCCATCACATAAAATTTAAAAGACTCAACATTTCTTTGATAAGAACCTGCTCGTTATTACAATGGTGGGTAACATTCGCTAAGCACATAAAATGTGCCAGGCACAATGCTAAGAGCTTCTTTCTCTCTCTCTCTCTTTTTTTTTTTTTTTTGAGACGGAGTCTTGCTCTGTCACCCAGGCTGGAGTGCAGTGGTGCAATCTCGGCTCACTGCAAGCTCCGCCTCACGGGTTCACACCATTCTCCTGCCTCAGCCTCCCGAGTAGCTGGGACTACAGGCGCCCGCCACCACACCTGGCTAATTTTTTGTATTTTTAGTAGAGACAGGGTTTCACCATGTTAGCCAGGATGGTCTCCATCTCCTGACCTCGTGATCTGCCCTCCTCAGTCTCCCCAAGTGCTGGGATTACAGGTGTGGGCCACCGTGCCTGGCCTGAGCTTCTTATGTGTTATCTTTTAAAATCATCACAACAACTCTTAAGCAACTCCTTTGATTACCCTCATATCACAATGACGTTGAAGGTCAACAGGGTTAACTAGCTTGTTCGAGCTTACCCAGTAAATGGGTAGGACTGAACATCAAGCTCAGGTTTGACAGGTATCAAAGTCCTTGTTTTTTAAAAAGATATATATATATATTATCATGGTAATCTGTACATAACATAGAATTTACCATTTTAACCCTTTCTAAGTGTACAACTCAGTGACATTAAGTGCATTCACATTACTGTGCAGCCATGACCACCATTCATCTCCAGAACGTTTTCTTCTTCCCAAATTGAAACTCTGTATCCATTAAACAATGACTCTTCTTCTCCCCTGCCCCCAGCCCCTGCCAACCACCATTCTACTTGCTGTCTGTATGATTTTGACTACTCTAGGTACCTCAAATAAGTGCAATCATACAGTATTTGTGTTTTTGTGACTGGCTTATTTCATTTAGTATAACGTCTTCAAGGGTCAACCACATTGTGCATGTGTCAAAATGGCCTTCCTTTTCAAGACTGAATAATATTGTGTTGTATGTACATACCGCATCTTGTTTATCCATTCATCAGTCTATGGACATTTGGGTTCTTTCCACCTTTAGGCAATTGAGAATAATGCTGCTATGAACAATGTTGTACATATATCTGTTTGAGTTCAGAGCCCTTGCTTTGAATTATTGCACTTAATTGCTACCCAATGTGGTCTCATAGCCAATATTTACTAGGAAGTGTTTTACATTTGGATTCGTTATTGAAAAGTCATGACATTAGCTCTCATTTTCTTCTTTTTCATAAATACCACATTGACAAATGATTCCAGGGTGTGCAGCTACATGAATCCATCCTGGTCACTCTCATGCTCAGAATCTGGCTATGATTGGGATGGGGCACTTGATCAGGAAACAAAGAAAACAGAGATAATGAGGCCAAGCAGGAATCAGACCTTCAACATGGCCTCTAAAACACATAGAGTACTGTGTTTTAACCAACTGAGCCATGCTGCCATGAAGACTCATTTACCTAGATTTATAAATTCTATAGTCCTAGCTACCAGAGAGGCTGAGGCAGGAGGATCCCTTGAGCCCAGGAGTTTGAGATTGCTGTGAGTTATGATCATACCACTGCACTCCAGCCTGGTTGACAGATGAGACCCTGTCTCTAAAAAAGAAAAAAAAAATTATACATTTTCATAAATGCTAAATTTAGCACATGACTTATGAAGATCAAGCAACCCAAAATTTATCTACTGTGGCCTTGCATAAGGTTTGCATGAACTGTGACTTTGTAAATTCTAAATCTACAAATAAGACATAGTTAAAAAGAAATAGTATAAGTACAAGACTAGCCAAGTGCCTAGGACCTAATAAGCACTCAACAAATGGTAGCTATTATTATTATGTAATAATATGGTTCTCTAAAAAAAGGAACATGCCCTAAAGCAAAACATTTGTAGCATCAGAAGATCTGGATTCTTATTCTGACTCTGTACCCAATGACCCTGTAGTATCAGATGGATCCCTTAACAACTTGGCACTCAATTTTTCTCTTCTGCAAAATGGGAATGACCATACTTTGGCCTTTCTCCCCAAGGTTATAGTAAAGACCCAATGCCATAGATATAGACAGAGATAGTACATGATGACACTTTGTACTGCATACGTCACCCCATTAAGATAAGAGGTCATTCATTTCAGCCCCTTTTAATATCAAAAACAAGCCTAGTGTTATCTTCGGTAATTGTGAACATGCCCATAATTATACTTTTACCAATGCCAGTAAAGCCAGTAATACATTTGTCTGCAATAGATGTGTTATCTATTCCCTTAGGAAACTAACAATAAAAATAATTCAAGAGTAATTATCTGGCTTTCACACTTTAAAGATGAGAACACATCCTGGTGTGCTATTCATTAATAACGTGGATACATTATATAATTGTATTTTATCTTTTTTAAGAAGTCATTCATGGTCCCACTGACAGCATATATACATCTCCTATGAATTTTTGGATACCAGTGTATGTTTTCCAGGTTCTACCTTAAAAGAAAATCATGTATGGACTTTTGATTATCCATGGTACTGGGAAGTAATTGAAATTCATAGATTAAACACATTCTTCAATCGAACCATTAGCTCAAACTTCTTCCTCACATAACATATCCTCTGGCTGATTTGCGTTTCACCATCCCTTCCCAGGACTCCAACTACCCAGAGCTTATGCTAAGGAGCAATGGAAAGGAAAAATAAATAGACAAAGCAGGCAGTATGAGGAAGGCAATAGGGGTAAAAAACAAGACATGGATAAACTGCAAGCTGAGTAATTGGCTGGAGTAAAATGAGCACTTTCAAATACTCAGCTCTTTCAGGAAACAAAATGACTGCATAATTGTCTAAAACCGCAGTCTGACAACCTGAAAACCACTGCACCTCTATTTAATTTACATTCCAGGAAAACTCAGTCAAAGATCCAATTACAATGTATTACCTTGGATGGAATTTGAATACTATATATGCTCATTGCACTTTCCAATTAGTAGTCAACAAGCATGTTATTTTTACCCCAGAAATATTCGTCTAATAACAACTTCCCATTTGGTGCACCAACAGTTCTGGTTGGTACCGGAGGGGGAGCAAGACACAAATCTGAACCATTTAGGAGTTTCTCTAAACACGTTTTAGGAAGCCCTACCCTTAAAGCCTATATGCCATGCACAATACCAACCTTATGGTCATTCGCCTTGTAATCGTTGAACCGAGGCTGGCCGCCTGCCAAGGTGTAGGCATTACCCTCTCTAAACACACTGATCCTCTGAGCAGTCAGCTTAGGGGAGCACATCTGGGGCCTGGGGACTTCCCCAGACCCATAAACACCATCCATTGTTTCAAGAGACTCTTGCAGAAAACTGTGAGGGTATTCCTCCTTTGGTGACTCTAATTCCTGCCCATCCTCAAAGACCTGCTTCAATACTCGACCGCTGTAGGAGGAGGAGATTTTAAATCGTACTTTCCGGGGTTTGCCATCACTCTTCTGATTCAGCTTTTTCTCAGGGTCCTCCATCAGCAGAAAGTTGACCCTGTGGTCTCCAGCCTTCCGTGCAGCCGGTGAAACTTGGGCCTCTGAGAAAAAGGCATTTTATTTTCTCTCCTCCTGCATATAATTAATTCAAGTTGTTGCTGGGGTATGGTCAGTTTACAGCAACTGACACCCATACATTAAATATTGATAGACCCTCATGAAAAGGCAGGTGATTCTGGTTTGATGGAGTGGATGGAATATAAGACAAGATTGATTCTTCTCATAATCCCAAGCTCACCATGACTTCACCCCAACCCTAACCTTTCTTAACCTGAGGATGAAGAAGTTTATTTAGACTGAACATGTGCCAATTCAATAAGGATCAGACACTCAATTAGTTAACAAGTGTCTTCTTATTGTTAGCAATGACAATTAAAATCTAGTGAGCATTTCATAAGTACCAGAGATTGTTACATGCATTATTTTATTTCATCCTCACGATAACCCTACAAAGAAAATCTTACCTTTGTTTTACACAGGGGAAAGTGAGGCTTAGAGCCACTTGTCATTTATCTTCATCATTTGTCTGCTCTATTACACCTAAGTAAGTGACAGAGCAGGGATTTGAACCCAGATCTATCTGACTCCAAAACCCAAGATCAGCCCACACAACCAGAAGTTTTCCAGTTCTGGTTCTAGAAGAGGGAATGACGTCCTAGATACAGTGGAGGTTCTTGGAGGCTGCTGCTAAGAACAGGAGAAGGCCGAGGGTCCTGGATTCTGGGCCTTCTCCCCCTACGCTAACCAGAGCACCTCCACTTGGTATGTATTTTACATTTAAGATTTCATTTGCAATCACAGCACAAGTCCCCATTGCCTGTTGGACTTCGTAAATGCCTGACACTGAACTAGTGGCTGGAGTGAATAGCACAGAAGCATGTGACCTGGGCCTGAGAACAGTCCTACAATCCCATACAGACCTCACACAGGTGAAATAATAACCTCATGCTTAGAGAGCAAACTGCCCACAGCTGAATCCCAGAATAGCCACTCTGGGAAGGAAGTGGTCTCTAAGGAGACAAGGATGGAAGAAGGTTTGTAAAGAAAAGGGCCCTTGGGCTGGGTAGAAAATGGTAGGTTGGATGTGAGGAGCTGAAAGTGGAGTAAAGCCTTTCTCCCTGTCTTTGCTACCAGCATCACCATTTACTGAGTTACCCAAATTGACCCCTCCTATTCCCCTACAGCCATTCGCTTGGATTCTTTTTTTTTATTATTTTATTTTATTTTTTTTTTTTTGAGACGGAGTCTCACTCTGTTGCCAGGCTGGAGTGCAGTGGTACGATCTCGGCTCACTGCAACCTCCACCTCCTGAGTTCGAGCAATTCTCATGCCTCAGCCTCCCGAGTAGCTGGGACTACAGGCACACGCCACCATGCCCAGCTAATTTTTGTATTTTTAGTAGAGATGGAGTTTCACCATGTTGGCCAGGATGGTCTCAATCTCTTGACCTCGTGATCCGCCTGCCTTGACCTCCCAAAGTGCTGGGACTACAGGCATGAGCCACCGCACCCAGCCCATTCACATGGATTCTTTCACCACTGCCTTCTTTCATCTACCCCTATCACCCTGGCCCTAGGGCAAACCCTCATCACTTTGATTTTTAAAGTTGCAGCTGTCTCCCAAGGACTTCCCTACTCACCCCCAATTCCATTCTCCATATTGATGTGAGAGCAATAGTCCAAAACAACAAATCCACAGGTGTCAGTCTCTTGCTGAAAAATCTTTTCTAGTGCATCAGGGCTTAAGTCTTAACTGTTCCATGTGACAAGCAAAGCCCCTCAAAAACCAGCCTCACCTTCCTTCCTTTCCAGCCTTGCCCTCTGTCACTCTTCCAGGGGCTGCCTGGGATTGGTGTTCCAGTTACACCAACAAGCTTACCCATTTCTCAAACCCACAAGTTTCTGTCTCTTATCCAGTACTCTGTCTCCTGATTTAGAGTGTCAAATTTCCATTCCTCCTTCAAGTCACACCTCAAATGTCACTGCTTCTGGGCAGCCTTCCCACCTTCCCCAGGGAGAGTGCCATGGGACTTTCGGACCTACCGCCATTCAGATGCTTCTCACTTTCCCTTGCCCTTCCTATTTTTCCCTCCATTCAACTGTGAACATCTTGCAGTCAGAAGTTGTCCTTACTATCTGTCTATTCCCAGTGTTTATCAAAGTGCCCAGTACATAATAGAACTCAGTAATTGTTAAATGAATGACTTCAAGTGAGAGAAACCAAATACACAAAGCTTTTCAAAAAGGAATTGAGCATATTTTGTATAGAATAGTGAAGAGGTGGCTGGGCGCGGTGGCTCACGCCTGTAATCCCAGCACTTTGGAAGGGCCGAGGCAGGTGGATCACGAGGTCAAGAGATTAAGACCATCCTGGCCAACATAGTGAAACCTCATCTCTACCAAAAATACAAAAATTAGCAGGGTGTGGTGGCAGGCACTTATAGTCCCAGCTACTCGGGAGGCTAGAGCAGGAGAATCACTTGAAGCCAGGAGGCAGAGGTTGCAGTGAGCCAGGATTGCACCACTGCACTCCAGCCTGGTGACAGAGCGAGACTCCATCAAAAAAAAATAAATAAAGAATAGTGAAGAGGTAGGATCAGAAGATTTTTTTTTTAATCTACCTTTCTACTAAGGAGAGGTGTCACAGTTGTAAATTCCCTGTGTAACTGGTACAGAAATAGGTGGGAGAGAAGAACTAGGGAAACAATGTTTAAAGAAAAAGAAAGATACACTTTTCATAACATTGTAACTCCCCCAGGATGCAGAGTTGTCTGGGACACACCATCAATGAATCACAGGAGACTGAGACCTTGAACTCTCAGCCCTCATGGCAGCCAGGTGTCCCCCAGGACTACATTAGCCTTATTCATTTACTTCACTGTATAGAACAATATCAAGCTGGGCATGGTGGCCCACATCTGTAATCCCAGCTACTCAGGAGGCTGAGGCAGGAGGGTTGCTTGAGCCAAAGAGTTTGAGACCAGCCTGGGCAACAAAATGAGACTTTGTCTCTACAAAAAGTTTTTTAAAAATTATCTGGGCATGGTGGTGCTTGTCTGTAGTCCCAGCTACTCAGGAGGCTGAGGCAAGAGGATTGCTTGAGCCCAGGAGTTTGAGGCTAAAGCCAGCTACAATTATGCCACTGCACTCCAGCCTGGTTGACAAAGTGAGACCCTATCTCTTAAAAAATTGTATGTGTGTGTGTGTATATATATATATATATATATATATACACACACACACACATACCCACACACACAAACACACACATATAAATGTAACAATTATTATTTTCCTTTTTTTTTTTTTGAGACAGGGTCTTGCTCTGTCGCCCAGGTTGGAGTGCAGGGGTGCAACCTTAGCTCACTGCAACCTCTGCCTCCTGGGCTCAAGCAATCCTCCCTCCTCAGCCTCCTGAGTAGCTGAGACCAAGGCATGCAACAATTATTATTTTCTATGTGTGCCATGCCATGAAAAAGATTGGGAACTCCTAACTAGAAGAATATTTTCTTCTATCTCTCCCAGGAAACAAATATTAATAAATAACCAATAGCCTATCTTCATCTAGAAAAACCAGTGAGCTGACTTCCACAACTACTTGTCAAGTAAACATTTTCAATTGCCCCAAAATGAATGTCAGTAACAACAACAAAAACAAAGCTGGAGGTGAGTTTTCCAAGTAACATTTCTTCAACACTTTTTTATGCCATTTCCCATGTTCACAGACAGATTTTCAGTGAGCCAACCTAAAATCATGGGAAGTTTTGAAACAACCATGTTCATCTGAAAATTTTCAGACGTTGGTGTTTCCAGAATAGTCACAAATACACTTCAAGAAGAAGAACAAATTGATAAATCGAAAGCAGTTTTGGCAGTATTATCAAAAGCCTTAAAAATATTTATATCCTTGAAACCTCCTAAGAAAGAAAATACTGTAGCTCCATATATCCAAAGAAATCATGGCAAAATGCTAGTATCAGTTGACTCTGGCAACTGGGTGGAGGATTTTGAGTGTTTTTTTTTCTTTCCCAGTTTAATCATATTTTACTTGTCTGTGATAAGTTTGTCTTACTTTGATAAGCAAGAATAAAATAAATGAAAAAAATCCATTGCTTTCTACCCAATTATTTCTCTTCAGAAAATCATTTTAAAGAAAGAAAGATATTTATTTAAAGATACTCCCCTAAATATTATTCATACTGGGAAAAAAATTGAAAACAACTTAAATGTTCAACAATAGCAATGACACAATATGAAAAATTATGTAGACATTTTTAAAAGGTTAACAAAAAAAAGGAGAGGAGACACTTGTCCTTAGTAGAAAGGTCGATTAAAAAAAAAATCTTCTGATACTACCTCTTCACTATTCTTTTTTTTTTTTTTCAGACAGAGTCTCACCCTGTTGCCAGGCTGGAATGCAGTGGTGCAATCTTGGCTCACTGCAACCTCTGCCTCCCAGGTTAAAGTGATTCTCCTGCCTCATATGGAAATAATAAGAAAATAATATGGAAACAGATTTATGATACAAATTAAGTAGGAAAAGATATAACAGATTTTATGTTCTGTGACATAGAATTTATATTATAAAACTGTATAGAAGAGATCTGTTCCAAGATGGCCGAATAGGAACAGCTCCAGTCTGCAGCTCCCAAAGTGATCAACGCAGAAGACATGTGATTTCTGCATTTCAAACTGAGGTACCTGGTTCATCTCATTGAGACTGGTTGGACAGTGGGTGCAGCCCATGGAGGGTGAGCCAAAGCAGGGCGGGGCATTCCCAGTAGGGGCCGACAGACACCTCATATAGGTGGGTGCCCCTCTGGGATGAAGCTTCCAGAGGAAGGATGAGGCAGCAATATTTGCTGTTCTGCAATCTTTGCTGTTCTGCAGCATCTGCTGGTGATACCCAGGCAAACAGGGTCTGGAGTGGACCTCCAGCAAACTCCAACAGACCTGCAGCTGAGAGACCTGACTGTTAGAAGGAAAACTAACAAACAGAAAGAAATAGCACCAACATCAACAAAAAGGACATCTACACCAAAACCCCATCTGTAGGTCACGAACATCAAAGACCAAAGGTAGATAAAACCACAAAGATGGGGAGAAACCAGAGCAGAAAAGCTGAAAATTCTAAAAACCACAGTGCTCTTCTCCTCCAAAGGATCACACCTTCTCACCAGCAACGGATCAAAGCTGGATGGAGAATGACTTTGATGAGTTGACAGAAGTAGGCTTCAGAAGGCTGGTAATAACAAACTTCTCCGAGCTAAAGGAACATGCTCAAACCCATTGCAAGGAAGATAAAAACCTTGAAAAAAGGTTAGACGAATGGTTAACTAGAATAAACAGTGTAGAGAAGACCTTAAATGACCTGATGGAGCTGAAAACCATGGCATGAGAACTTCATGACACATGCACAAGCTTCAATACTTGATTCAATCAAGTGGAGGAAAGGGTATCAGTGATTGAAGATCAAATTAATGAAATGAAGTGACAAGACAAGGTTAGAGAAAAAAGAGTAGAAAGAAATGAACAAAGCCTCCGAGAAATATGGGACTATGTGAAAAGACCAAATCGACATTTGATAGGTGTACCTGAAATTGATGGGGAGAATAGAACCAAGTTGGAAAACACTCTGCAGGATATCATCCAGGAGAACTTCCCCAACCTAGCAAGGCAGGCCAACATTCAAATTCAGGAAATACAGAGAATAACACAAAGATACTCCTCGAGAAGAGCAACCTCAAAACACATAATTGTCAGATACACCAAGGCAGAAATGAAGGAAAGAATGGTAAGGGCAGCCAGACAGAAAGGTCAGGTTACCCATAAAGGGAAGCCCATCAGACAAACAGTGGATCTCTTGGCAGAAACCCTACAAGCCAGAAGAGAGTGGGGGCCAATATTCAACATTCTTAAAGAAAATTTTCAACCCAGAATTTCATATCCAGCCAAACTAAGCTTCAAAAGTGAAGGAGAAATAAAATCTTTACAGACAAGCAAATGCTGAGAGATTTTGTCACTACCAAGCCTGCCTTACAAGAACTCCAGAAGGAAGCACTAAACATGGAAAGAAATAACCAGTACCAGCCCCTGCAAAAACATGCCAAATTGTAAAGACCATCAATGCTATGAAGAAACTGCATCAATTAACAGGCAAAATAGCCAGCTAACATCATAATGACAGGATCAAATTCACACAAAACAATATCAACCTTAAATGTAAATAGGCTAAATGCTCAAATTAAAAGACACAGACTGGCAAATTGGATAAAGAGTCAAGACCCATCAGTGTGCTGTATTCAGGAGACCCATCTCACGTGCAGAGACACACATAGGCTCAAAATAAAGGGATGGAGGAAGATCTACCAAGCAAATGCACAGCAAAAAAAAAAAAAAAAGCAGGGGTTGTAATCCTAGTCTCTGATAAAATAGACTTTAAACCTACAAAGATCAAAAGAGACAAAGAAGGCCATTACATAATGGTAAAGGGATCAATTCAACAAGAAGAGCTAACTATCCTAAATATATATGCACCCAATACAGGAACAACCAGATTGATAAAGCAAGTCCTTAGAGACGGACAAAGAGACTTAGATTCCCACACAATAATAATGGGAGATTTTAACACCCCACTGTCAATATTAGACAGATTAATGAGACAGAAGGTTAACAAGGATATCCAGGACTTGAACTCAGCTCTGCACCAAGCGGGCCTAATAGACATCTACAGAACTCTCTACCCCAAATCAACAGAATATACATTCTTCTCAGCACCACATTGCACTTATTCTAAAATTGACCACATAACTAAAGCACTCCTCAGCAAACATAAAAGAACAGAAATCACAAACTGTCTCTCAGATCACAGTGCAATCAAATTTGAACTCAGGATTAAGAAACTCACTCAAAACCGCACAACTACATGGAAACTGAACAACCTGCTCCTGAACAACTACTGGGTAAATAACGAAATGAAGGCAGAAATAAAGATGTTCTTTGAAATCAATGAGAGCAAAGACACAACGTACCAGAATCTCTGGGACACATTTAAAGCAGTGTGTAGAGGGAAATTTATAGCACTAAATGCCCACAAGAGAAAGCAGGAAAGATCTAAAATCAACACCCTAACATCACAATTGAAAGAACTAGAGAAGAAAGAGCAAACAAATTCAAAAGCTACCAGAAGGCAAGAAATAACTAAGATCAGAGCAGAACTGAGAGAGATAGAGACACAAAAAAAACCCTTCAAAAAATCAATGAATCCAGGAGCTGTTTTTTCGAAAAGATCAACAAAATTGATAGACCGCTAGCAAGACTAATAAAGAAGAAAAGAGAGAAGAATCAAATAGATGCAATAAAAAATGATAAAAGGGATGTCACCACCAATCCCACAGAAATACAAGCTATCATCAGAAAATACCATAAACACGTCTATGCAAATAAACTAGAAAATCTAGAAGAAATGGATAAATTCCTGGACACATTCACCCTCCCAAGACAGAAGAATCTCTGAATAGACCAATAACAGACTCTGAAATTGAGGCAATAATTAATAGCCTACCAACCAAAAAAAGTCCAGGACCTGAAGGATTCACAGCCGAATTCTACCAGAGGTACAAGCAGGAGCTGGTACCATTCCTTCTGAAACTATTCCAATGAATAGAAAAAGAGGGAATCCTCCCTAACTTTATTAGGCCAGCATCATCCTGATACCAAAGGCTGGCAGAGACACAACAAGAAAAGAGAATTTTAGACGAATATCCCTGATGAACATGAGTGCGAAAATTCTCAATAACATACTGGCAAACCAAATCCAGTAGCACCTCAAAAATCTTATCCACCATGATCAAGTCGGCTTCATCCCTGGGATACAAGACTGGTTGAACATATGCAAATCAATAAATGTAATCCATCACATAAACAGAACCAATGACAAAAGATACATGATTATCTCAATAGATGCAGAAAAGGCCTTTGACAAAATTCAACAGCACTTCATGCTAAAAACTCTCAATAAACTAGGTATGGATTGAATGTATCTCAAAATAATAAGAGCTATTTATGACAAACCCACAGCCAATATCATACTGAATGGGCAAAAGCTGGAAGCATTCCCTTTGAATACTGGCACAAGCCAAGAATGCCCTCTCTCACCACTCCTATTTAACATAGTGTTGGAAGTTCTGGCCAGGGCAATCAGACAAGAGAAAGAAATAAAGGGTATTCAATTAGGAAAAGAGGAGGTCAAATTGTCCCTGTTTGCAGATGATGTGATTGTATATTTAGAAAACCCTATTGTCTCAGCCCAAAATCTCCTTAAGCTGATAAGCAACTTCAGCAAAGTCTCAGGATACAAAATCAATATGCAAAAATCACAAGCATTCTTATACACCAATAACAGACAGAGAGCCAAATCATGAGTGAACTCCCATTCACAATTCCTACAAAGAGAATAAA
The DNA here is from genome assembly GCF_000001405.40 of Homo sapiens. Taxonomy (NCBI): domain Eukaryota; kingdom Metazoa; phylum Chordata; class Mammalia; order Primates; family Hominidae; genus Homo; species Homo sapiens. The sequence goes on from NC_000005.10 coordinate 145,881,446, forward strand.
ATACCTAGGAATCCAACTTACAAGGGATGTGAAGGACCTCTTCAAGGAGAACTACAAACCACTGCTCAACGAAATAAAAGAGGATACAAACAAATGGAAGAACATCCCATGCTCATGGATAGGAAGAATCAATATTGTGAAAATGGCCATGCTGTCCAAGGTAATTTATAGATTCAATGCCATCCGCTACCAATGACCTTCTTCACAGAATTGGAAAAAACTACTTTAAAGTTCATATGGAACCAAAAAAGACCCCACATTGTCAAGACAATCGTAAGCAAAAAGAACAAAACTGGAGGCATCATGCTACCTGACTTCAAACTATACTACAAGGCTGCAGTAACCAAAACAGCATGGTACTGGTACCTAAACAGATATATAGACCAATGGAACAGAACAGAGGCCTCAGAAATAACACCACACATCTACAACCATCTGATCTTTGACAAACTTGACAAAAACAAGAAGTGGGGAAAGGATTCCCTATTTCATAAATGGTGCTGAGGAAACTGGCTAGCCATATGTAGAAAACTGAAACTGGATCCCTTCCTTACACTTTATACAAAAATTAATTCAAGTTGGATTAAAGACTTAAATGTTAGACTTAAAACCATAAAACCCCTAGAAGAAAACCCAGGCAATACCATTCAGGACATAGGCATGGGCAAGGACTTCATGACTAAAACACCAAAAGCAATGACAACGAAAGCCAAAATAGACAAACGGGATCTATTTAAACTAAAGAGCTCCTGCACGGCAAAAGAAACTACCGTCAGAGTGAACAGGCAACCTACAGAATGGGAGAAAATTTTTGCAATCTACGCATCTGACAAAGGGCTAATATCCAGAATCTACAATGAACTCAAACAAATGTACAAGAAAAAAACAAACAACCCCATCAAAAAGTGGGCTAAGGATATGAACAGACACTTCTCAAAAGAAGACATTTATGCAGCCAACAGACACATGAAAGAATGCTCATCATCACTGGTCATCGGAGAAATGCAAATCAAAACCACAATGAGATACCATCTCACACCAATTAGAATGGCGATAACTAAAAAGTCAGGAAACAACAGATGCTGGAGAGGATGTGGAGAAATAGGAACACTTTTTACACTGTTGGTGGGACTGTAAACTAGTTCAACCATTGTGGAAGACAGTGTGGCGATTCCTCAAGGATCTAGAACTAGAATTACCATTTGACCCAGCCATCCCATTACTGGGTATATACCCAAAGGATTATAAATCATGCTGCTGTAAAGACACATGCACACGTATGTTTATTGTGGCACTATTCACAATAGCTAAGACTTGGAACCAACCCAAATGTCCATCAGTGATAGACTGGATTAAGAAAATGTGGCACATATACACCATGTAATACTATGCAGCCATAAAAAGGGATGAGTCCATGTCCTTTGCAGGGACATGGATGAAGCTGGAAACCATCATTCTCAGCAAACTATCACAAAGACAGAAAACCAAACACCATATGTTCTCACTCATAGTTGGGAATTGAACAATGAGAACATTTGGACACAGGGCGGGGAACATCACACACCAGGGCCTGTTGTGGGGTGGGGGGAGGGGGGAGGGATAGCATTAGGAGAGATACCTAGTGTAAATGACGAGTTAATGGGTGCAGCAAACCAACATGGCACATGTATACATATGTATCAAACCTGCATGTTGTGCACTTGTCCCCTAGAACTTAAAGTATAATTAAAAAAAAGAAAAAGAAAAAAACCTGTATAGAAAAGAGACTAAAAGTAAATATACTGAAGTGCTAACAGTGGTTCTATTTAAAAGGGAGATTAAGGGTGATTTTTATGCTTTCTCACATTTTTCTGTATTTTTCTAAATTTTCCATAATGAGCAAGTACTAATTTTAATATTAAAATAATGGTTTTTGTTAAGTAAACTGTACCTAAAACTTATGCAATTGGTGGGAAATACTTAAATCCTCAACATTTTGCATTTTTACTTTGGCTAAATTCAATAATAGGAAATCATGTAATTTTATTGTAAAAGATATATTTTGGGTGCCATTTTAATGCGAAAAGAAATGACTTTAACTTAAGCCAAACTCATAGAGGAACTGATTACTCAGGATTGTACCCAGCTGCAAAAAAATTCAATGGGTTATTGAAAGTAGAGGTGACAGCCAGGCACAGTGGCTCATGCCTGTAATCCTAGCACTTTGGGAGGCCGAGGCAGGTGGCTCGCTTGAGCCCAGGAGTTCAAGACCAGCCTGGGCAAGTTGGTAAAACCCCATCTCTATGCAAAATATAAAAATTAGCCTATCATGCCTGTAGTCCCAGCTATTCAGGGGGCTGAGGTGGAGTGAAAGGATCACCTGAGCCCAGGAGGTCACAGCTGTAGTCAGCCGAGATCGCACCACTGCACTCCAGCCTGGGCGACAGAGTGAGACCCAAAGTTGGCTTATGTAGTAGTAAAATCCCTCATCACAAAATCTCAGTATGGAGCACAATACTTTTGTAAAACTCTGATGGACATTTAAGCAAGTGATTAAACTTGACATCACTAATGGTGGGACAAACGTATTATGTCTCCTGATGTGATGCTTCATTTACAAACACATAAAAATCTTGATGGTGAGAGGGGTGCTATTTACAATTACAGCAGGACAGGAAGCAAAGTGGAATAAACCCCACCTATGAAGTATTCTGGACAAAAATCTTCAATATTTAAGCAAGCTTAGGTTTTGGTTTACAAGAAGTACAGAGAATAGAGGAATGGTTAAGTGGCCCAGAAGGAAGCAACCACACAAAACCGCTCTGTGGGACATCCTACAAGACACAGGTCTCATCAAAAAGTCAATATATCAACGAAAAAATGTTGCAGATAGAAGAAGCATTCTAGATTTAAAGAGAATAAGGAAACATAACCACGTGCAGTATATCAACCTAGATTTCTTCCTGGGGAAATTTTACTCTAGGGTTGGTATTAATATCAGAAGGAACTAGAGAATTATTGTTAGTTTTCTTAGGCAAGATAATGTTATGTAATTATATGGGAGACTGTCCTTTTGTAGGACATACATGCTGAAATATTTAAGGTGAAATATCTATGTCTGTAATTTATTATTAAAAAGTTTATCCCCTCAATATATATGCCTATATAATAAGGTATGCATATATGGTACACAAAGTAAAAATGAAAAAAAAAATGTTCACAATGCTTGATGGCTGCTTATTTGACTATTCCTCCAATTTTTGTATGTTTGAAATGTTTATAATAAAAATTGAAGAGAAATTATGCTCTTTTAAAAAATTTACATTCCAAGCACTTGGGAGTTGGGAAAAAAAATATTCACAGACACCTAGGTTTGCTTTTTTGCATTTTCACTTAGACCCTAGTGTATCCTGAATCTTTTTAGGAGTAGAATTTATATCCTATCTGTCTGATGTCATTTACTGGACGTTATTTTTATGTGTATTTTGGGATTTAGGAGATTATATTAGATATGTGTCTTGATGAAAGAAATGTGCAATTATTGCAAATTGAGTATGAACATTATCCTTTAGCGATCTTTCCACATCTAACATTTCTAATCAGAGTAGGGCTTATAAATTAAACATATCTTTTTAATCTGCTCATACATTATCATGCAGCATGTGTGTGTGTCTGTGTGTGTGTGTGTGTGTGTGTGTCTGTCTGTCTGTCTGTCTGTGTGTATTTAAACTCCAGCATGGCATTTTTCTTTGAAATACTGCTACGGCAGAAGGTTATTATAGTTATTGATCATTTGTAGAGAGCTGTAAGAGTTCATAGGACTTTATTAAAATATGAAGAACAAAATCTAAGTTTATAGTCTGCCTCTATTCCACCACCACCACTTAGAAATTTCTAGGGCAACGTTTCAAGAGACTATTATATTTCACCACCACTTTTTTTTTCTCCCAAGGTTGTCTAAGCTCCCTCCAGAGTGGGCGTTTCATTGTGGTCCTGGGTGTCATGGGAGAGAGTCTGCTGGCTTGTTCCACGTTTCTCCCTCTGATGAGGAGTCCAGCCCATCTAAAGTGTAGGATCAAGGGGCTCTGCTTAGAAAGTAAGATATTTTCTCAAAGTACAACTTACAGAGCTAGTAGTTATTTTGGGGTGAAAATGCTAATAATATAAGTTTGGAAAATGCTGAGTTAAGCCACATTAAACTGGTTTCTTTACTGCAGGACTTCTTAGAATGTTTAAGATACTAATATACTTTGTCAATCTCCACTGAGGAATACACCATTTCCAAAATGCAGTGCACATAAAACTTTTCTTCTTTTTGGAATTTGATTTCATGAGGTCAGTATTCCGAGGAAAATAGTCTAGGAGATGCTGTTCTGAAAGGCTTCCCTCTTTAAAAATTCCCTCCACCTCCCATTCATACCCCTTCATAATGAAAAACAGCTACTGCTTACTGGGCATGTTCTACATAAGAAAAAGGTAGTTCACAGTCGGGAAAACTGAAAACCGAAGTGCAGAGAGGTTAAGTTATCTGCCAGGCATCCCACAGTCATGAAATGTCAGTCATCTGAGCCCAAAGTTCATGCTTCTCATCATTAATGCTTCTATCTCACATCATGAAATTGACCACTTGGAAAACAAAAGATAATTCTTTTAAAATGAGGCAGAAAATGATTTTAACTAGTCTCATCATATTCTAGAATCCATAACAGGCTTCTGAATATACGATCAGTGCAGCCTCTTGGTGGCTGGGTGTCACTTAGCTACCTATGGTGTTGGTTCTCTAAGCTCTGCCTCAAGGGATATCCCATAGTTTGCTTTGAAAGGTAGCACCTGGAATATCTGTAAATCTCCAGAATGGAGAGATAGGCCAGTTTCCTTGTACTTTGAAATGCCTTTTCCTCACTGCCTCTGAGCAGAGCTGGCAGGGGTCTTTGCATCACAGGCCAAACTCCCCACGTCAGAATGTAAAGGGAAGGTTACCAGAGGACCCAGTAGACGAGGAGTGTGGTGGAAAAACATCCACCCTGCCAGAAACCACAGGCCAAAATCTGGGACTTCATTAAAAAATAATCATCACTTGAGATTATTCTACTATTCAAAAACCCTGTCCTGGGGGCCCCTGGTTTGCCCACTAGAGAACAAGGGACAAATTTTTCTAACTCCTCCTTCATTTCTAACTTACCATGCATTCCTATCACACAGAAAAGCAAAAAGAGATCTCAGAGGCTGAAAAATGGCCCTGAGTTTTCTCTATTCCAGCACTCTCCAATAATATTATAATGTAAGCCACATACATATTTTTAGATTTTCCAGTAGTAACATTGAGAAAGCAAAAATATACAGATGAAATTAATTTTATTAATATTTACTTAATCCACTATATCCAAAATGTTATCAATGCAACATGTAATCCAGTATAAGATATTCATTAGCTATTTTAGGTTCTTTTTTTCCTACTAAACCCTTTAATTCCTATGTGTATTTTACTTAGCATCTCAGTTCGTTTACTAGACTTTCTGTTAGAAGTATTTGATCTCTATTCAGATTTCATAAAATTTATATTGACACAGTAGAATCACATACCCAAGTTGTTCCAATCATATTTAAAAGTTTTTCAATAACTGAACTGATCATCAATTTTAAAATTTATATGTAAATCAAATCAAAATTTTATTTTAATTTTTTCTTTGAGACAGGATCTCACTCTGTTGTCCAGGCTGGAGTGCAGTAGCACGATCGTAGCTCACTTGCAGCTCTGAACTCCTAGGCTCAAGCAATCCTCCTGCTTCAGCCTCTTGAGGAGATGGGACCACAGGTGTTTGCCACCAAACCTGGCTATTTTTAAAATTTTTTTATAGACATAGTGTCTCCCTGTTGTCCAGGTTTAAATTAAAATTCTAGTTATTTAGTCCCACTAGCTACATTTCAAGGCCAGTAGTCGCTTATTACTTGTCGCTACCCTATTAGACAGCTAGTCAAAGGTTCTTGATGAGGCCAGTAGTGCTCCCTAGAGGACATTATGGAACTTTGTGGAAACATTTATTTTTTAGTACTGTACTCAAAATGAATGAACACCACAGACATTTCGTGGGTGAGAGGCTAGGGATGTTAGACATTCTCCAATATGAAGAGCAATCCTACACAACAAAAATTGTCCCTCACCTCAGACTTCTGAGAAGATGAAACACCTGTTTATAATTATCTGTGCCTAGAACATAGCTGTTTCTCTATTTATTTTATTTTATTAGTGGGAGTGGGGAGCTTAGCTTTGATATACAGCACATTTGGGGGAACTGAAAATGCACATAAATTAAAGACATTTTGTACTTTGTCTTGTTCAGTTCTACCAAGAGTTGTCCACCATTTTGTAAAAGTATTTCACTGGTTGAAATATCATAACTGTTTCAGAAAGCGTTTGTAGCCATCCCAATCACAGGGATCCTAGACATACACAGAGTGCCTATTTTACAATAACTTCTAGGGAAATCACATCCAAGCATTTGTTTTTAAAATATGTAGTATTTTATATCAATTACTTTCCTTTTATTTCTCTTTATATTAGAGCAAGGGCATTATATTGGTTTTTTAAAGTTATATTTGCAGGTAATTGTTTAATTTATTAATTTTATTCCAGAATAGTGCAGAGGGTTAGGAAGTGTTACTGAAAGCATGCATTATGTCTGATGGATTAAGAGCCACTGCTCTAGTAAGCATGGCTAGTTAAAGCTGATGAAGACTCTGCCACCTGCAGGGAGGAGAGGGAACTCAGGCTGCATCACGGAATGCACTAGGAAAGGATGTGATTGTGTGGCTCCAGAGGACAGGAAAGAGCTATTTCAATTAAACAAATACATACTTTGTATCTACTAAGTCTAAAGCATGGGGTCCTGGAAGACAGGGCTACAGCAGCAACCCAAACAATGTAAGCCTTCTCCCAAGGTGCTCACGGTGGAGCGTAGAAAAATATGTGGGTCTGGGGAAGTAGGGATCGGGCCAAGTGGGCAAGAACAATCCACTGGTCAGAGACCCCCGATCCATTTCAAACCTCTCTGCTAACAACCTGTGCAGGTTACTTGATCTAGGAGAATGTAACAAGGATGCCAAGGTTTTGGCACATATGCTTAATTTTTTTCAAAATTTACACCAGCTTAGAAAATCTACATAAAAATATAAAAGTAATACACGAATACAGTGTTTTGTATAAATTCAAAAACTAGAGATGCAGGTAAAGAACAAAAAAGTCTTCATTTTTCCTAAAAAATAACTATTACTATAAATCTAGAATATGTCCTTCTCAACATTTTATGCATTTATATACATATGTATGCAAGATACAAATAATTTTAATGGGTTTTTCTTAAAAACATAAGTGAAGTTATACACTCTGTGTGTGTATAGCTTTACAACTTCATTTTTCCTTTTATTGAAAAATAGGTCTTGGCACAAAGGCATAAGAATGACACAATGGGCCGGGTGCAGTGGCTCACGCCTGTAATCCCAGCACTTTGGGAGGCCGAGGTGGGCAGGTCACTTGAGGCCAGGAGTTTGAGACCAGCCTAGCCAACATGGTGAAACCCTGTCTCTACTAAAAATATAAAAACTAGCCGGGCGTGGTGGCAGGCGCCTGTAATCCTGAGGCAGGAGAATCGCCTGAACCTGGAAGCTGGAGGCAGAGGTTGCAGTGAGCCGAGATCGCACCACTGCACTCCAGCTTGAGCTGGGTGACAGACCGAGACTCTGTCTCAAAAAAAGAAAGAAAGAAAGAAAGAAAGAAAGAAAGAAAGAAAGAAAGAAAGAAAGAAAGAAAGAAAGAAAGAAAGAATTATGCAATGGACTCTGGGGACTTGGGGGGAAGTGTTGGGGTTGGGAGGCAAGGGATAAAAGACTACAAATAGGGTACAATGTATACTGCTTGGGTGATGGGTGCACTAAAATCTCACAAATCACCACTAAAGAACTTACTCATGTAACCAAATACCACCTGTGCCCCAATAACCTATGCAAATACAGTACATAAATAAAAATAAAAATATGTCTTAGAACTCCCAGCTGTCATCTGCTGTTGCATCTCCAAGCTTTTGGGAACTTCTGGGCATGTTTTGCTCTCCACATCACTCACTTTTTGAAGGAAAGAAAGAAGAGGAAAAAATCTACCCATAGAAAAATAAATACAAAAATTAGAAGTACCGGTGTCTCCAGATGAGAAGGAACTGGCACAAGAATTCTGCCACCATGAAAAATCTGAATGTGGCAATACCACCAAAGCATTGCATTAGCTTTCTAGCAATGGTCCCTACACAAAATGGAAACTCGGAAATGACAGGTAAAGAATTCAAAGCATGGATTGCAAGAAAGCTCACTGAGATCCAAGACAAGGTTGAAAATCAACAGAAAGAAACTTCCAAAGCAGTCCAGAAAATGAAGGAAGAGATAAACATCTTAAAAAGACAGCAAAGCAGTCCAGAAAATGAAGGAAGAGATAAACATCTTAAAAAGAAAGCAATCTGAGCTTCTGGAATTAAAATACTCATGTAAGGAGTTTCAAAATACAATTGAAAGCTTTGTCAATAGACTGGACTAAGCAGAAGAAATAATTTCAGAGATTAAAGACCAGACTTTTGAACTAAACCAATCTGACAAAAATAAAGACAAAAGTTTTTGTTTTGTTTGTTTGTTTTTTAAAAAGACAGCATCTTCTTCTGTTGCCAGGCTGGAGTGCAGTGACATAACTGTGGCTCACTACAACCTCTGCCTCCCAGGTTCAAGCATTTCTCCTGCCCTCAACCTCCTGAATACCTGGGATTACAGGCATGTGCCACCATGCCTAGCTAATTTTTGTATTTTTAGTAGAGAAGGAGTTTCATCATGTTGGCCAGGCTGGTCTTGAACTTCTGACCTCAAGTAATCTGCCCACCTCAGCCTCCCAAAGTGCTGAGATTACAGGTGTGAGCCACTGCACCTGGCAGGAATTTTTTTAAATGAGCAAAGACTTCGAGAAATATGGGATTATGTGAAGTCACCAAATCTATAAATTACTGGCATTCCTGAGAGAGAAGCAGAAAAAGCAAACAACCTGGAAAGTATATTTGAAAAAATAATTCAAGAGAACTGAAGGAGAAATAAAATATTTTCCAGTCAAGCAAGCACTGAGGGAATTTGTTACCACTAGACCAGTCTTATAAGAGACCTTTAAGGGAGTTTTAAACATGGAAGCAAAAGAATGATACCTGTTACCACAAAAACACAGCTAAACACATAGCCTGCAGACCCTGTAGAGCAAAAACACCATAGAAATACAAAGCAGACAACTAACAACTTCATGATATGCTCAAAATTTCACATGTTAATATTAATTTTGAATGCAGATGGTCTAAACACCCCGTTTAAAAGTCACAGAAGGGCAAGTTGAATTAAAAAAAAAAAAAGACTCATTGACCTGCTGTCTTCAAAAGACCTGTCTCACACATAATGACACCCATAGGCTCAAAATAAAGGGCTGAGAAAAGATCTGCCACACAAATAGAAATCAAGAAAAAGCAGGAGTCACTATTCTTATATCAGATAAAAGAGACTTTAAACCAACAACAGTAAAACAGGACAATGGGTAAATGACAAAGGGTTCAATTCAACAAGAAGACTTAATTACCATAAATATATACACACCCAACATTAGAGCACCCAGATTCATAAAACAAGTACTTCCAGACCTATGAAAAGACTTAAGGGGGAGGAGCCAACATGGCCGAATAGGAACAGCTCCAGTCTACAGCTCCCAGCTTGAGCGATGCAGAAGATGGGTGATTTCTGCATTTCCAACTGAGGTACCAGGTTCAACTCACTGGGGAATGTCAGACAGTGGGTGCAGGACAGTGGGTTCAGCACACCGAGCATGAGCCAAAGCAGGGTGAGGCATCACCTCACCCAGGAAGTGCAAGGAGTCAGGGAATTCCCTTTCCTAGTCAAAGAAAGGGGTGACAGACAGCACCTGGAAAATTGGGTCACTCCCACCCTAATACTGTACTTTTCCAACAATCTTAGCAAACGGCACACCAGGAGATTATATCCTGTGCCTGGCTCGGAGGGTCCTACGCCCACGGAGCCTTGCTCACTGCTAGCACAGCAGTCTGAGATCAAACTGCAAGGCAGCAGCGAGGCTGGGGGAGGGGCGCCCGCCATTGCTGAGGTTTGAGTAGGTAAACAAAGCGGCCAGGAAGCTCGAACTCGGTGGAGCCCACTGCAGCTCAAGGAGGCCTGCCTGCCTCTGTAGACTCCACCTCTGGGGGCAGGGCATAGCCAAACAAAAGGCAGTAGACACCTCTGCAGAATTAAATGTCCCTGTCTGACAGCTTTGAAGAGAGTGGTGGTTCTCCCAGCATGCAGCTGGATATCTGAAAAAGGACAGACTGCCTCCTCAAGTTGGTCCCTGACCCCCGAGCAGCCTAACTGGGAGACATCCCCCAGTAGGGGCAGATTGACACCTCACACGGCCGGGTACTCCTCTGAGACAAAACTTCCAGAGGAACGATCAGGCAGCAACATTTGCTGTTCACCAATATCCACTGTTCTGCAGCCTCCACTGCTGATACCCAGGCAAACAGGGTCTGGAGTGGACCTCCAGCAAACTCCAACAGACCTGCAGCTGAGGGTCCTGACTGTTAGAAGGAAAACTAACAAACAGAAAGGACATCCACACCAAAACCCCATCTGTACGTCACCATCATCAAAGACCAAAGGTAGATAAAACCACAAAGATAGGGAAAAAACAGAGCAGAAAAACTGGAAACTCTAAAAATCAGAGCGCCTCTCCTCCTCCAAAGGAACGCAGCTCCTCACCAGCAACAGAACAAAGCTAGATGGAGAATGACTTTAACCAGTGGAGAGAAGAAGGCTTCAGATGATCAAACTACTCTGAGCTAAAGAAGGAAGTTCGAACCCATGGCAAAGAAGTTAAAGACCTTGAAAAAAAATTAGATGAATGGCTAACTAGAATAACCAATGCAGAGAAGTCCTTAAAGGACCTGATGGAGCTGAAAACCATGGCACGAGAACTACATGACGAATGCACAAGTCTCAGTAGCCAATTCAATTAACTGGAAGAAAGGGTATCAGTGATGGAAGAACAATGAATGAAATGAAGCGAGAAGAGAAGTTTAGAGAAAAAAGAATAAAAAGAAATGAACAAAGCCTCCAAGAAATATGGGACTATGTAAAAAGACCAAATCTACGTCTGACTGGTGTACCTGAAAGTGATGGGGAGAATGGAACCAAGTTGGAAAACACTCTGCAGGATATTATCCAGGAAAACTTCCCCAATCTAGCAAGGCAGGCCAACATTCAAATTCAGGAAGTACAAAGAATGCCACAAAGATACTCCTCGAGAAGAGCAACTCCAAGACACATAATTGTCAGATTCACCGAAGTTAAAATGAAGGAAAAAATGTTAAGGGCAGCCAGAGAGAAAGGTTGGCTTACCCACAAAGGGAAGCGCATCAGACTAACAGTAGATCTCTCAGCAGAAACTCTACAAGCCAGAAGAGAGTGGGGGCCAATATTCAACATTCTTAAAGAAAAGAATTTTCAACCCACAATTTCATATCCAGCCAAACTAAGCTTCATAAGTGAAGGAGAAATAAAATACTTTACAGACAAGCAAATGCTGAGAGATTTTGTCACCACCAGGCCTGCCTTACAAGAGCTCCTGAAGGAAGCACTAAATATGGAAAGGAACAACCGGTACCAGCCACTGCAAAAACATGCCAAATTGTAAAGACCATCAAGGCTAGGAAGAAACTGCATCAATTAACAGGCAAAATAACCAGCTAACATCATAATGACAGGATCAGATTCACACATAACAATATTAATCTTAAATGTAAATGGGCTAAATGCTCCAATTAAAAGACACAGAATGGCAAATCGGATAAAGAGTCAAGACCCATCAGTGTGTTGTATTCAGGAAACCCATCTCACGTGCAGAGACACACATAGGCTCAAAATAAAGGGATGGAGGAAGAACTACCAAGCAAATGGAAAACAAAAAAAGGCAGGGGTTGCAATCCTAGTCTCTGATGAAACAGACTTTAAACCAACAAAGGTCAAAAGAGACAAAGAAGGCCATTATATAATGGTGAATGGATCAATTCAACAAGAAGAGCTAACTATCCTAAATATATATGCACCCAATACAGGAGCACCCAGATTCATAAAGCAAGTCCTGAGTGACCTACAAAGAGACTTAGACTCCCACACAATAATAATGGGAGACTTTAACACCCCACTGTCAACATTAGACAGATCAACAAGACATAAATTTAACAAGGATATCCAGGAATTGAACTCAGCTCTGCACCAAGCGGACCTAACAGACATCTATAGAACTCTCCACCCCAAATCAAGAGAACATGCATTCTTTTCAGCACCACACCATACCTATTCCAAAATTGACCACATAGTTGGAAGTAAAGCACTCCTCAGCAAATGTAAAAGAACAGAAATTATAACAAACTGTCTCTCAGACCACAGTGCAATCAAACTAGAACTCAGGATTAAGAAACTCACTCAAAACCGCTCAACTACATGGAAACTGAACAATCTGCTCCTGAATGACCACTGGGTGCATAATGAAATGAAGGCAGAAATAAAGATGTTCTTTGAAACCAACGAGAACAAAGACACAACATACCAGAATCTCTGGGACACATTCAAAGCAGTGTGTGGAGGGAAATTTATAGCACTCAATGCCCACAAGAGAAAGCAGGAAAGATCTAAAATTGACACCCTAACATCACAATTAAAAGAACTAGAGAAGCAAGAGCAAACACATTCAAAAGCTAGCAGAAGGCAAGAAATAACTAAGATCAGAGCAGAAGTGAAGGAAATAGAGACACAAAAACCCTTCAAAAAATCAATGAATCCAGGAGCTGGTTTTTTGAAAAGATCAACAAAATTGATAGACCGCTAGCAAGACTAACAAAGAAGAAAAGAGAGAAGAATCAAATAGACGCAATGAAAAATGATAAAGGGGATATCACCACTGATCCCACAGAAATACAAACTACCATCAGAGAATACTATAAACACTTCTATGCAAATAAACTAGAAAATCTAGAAGAAATGCATAAATTCCTGGACACATACACCCTCCCAAGAATAAACCAGGAAGAAGTTCAATCTCTGAATAGACCAATAACAGGCTCTGAAATTGAGGCAATAGTTAATAGCTTACCAACCAAAAAAAGTCCAGGACCGGATGGATTCACAGCCGAATTCTACCAGAAATACAAGGAGGAGCTGGTACCATTCCTTCTGAAACTATTCCAATCAATAGAAAAAGAGGGAATCCTCCCTAACTCATTTTATGAGGACAGCATCATCCTCATACCAAAGCCTGGCAGAGACCCAATTAAAAAAAAGAGAACTTTAGACCAATATCCCTGATGAACATCGATGCAAAAATCCTCAATAAAATACTGGCAAACCAAATCCAGCAGCCCACCAAAAAGCTTATTCACCATGATCAAGTCGTCTTCATCCCTGGGATGCAAGGCTGGTTCAACATACGCAAATCAATAAACGTAATCCAGCATATAAACAGAACCAACGACAAAAACCACATGACTACCTCAACAGATGCAGAAAAACCTTTGACAAAATTCAACAACGCTTCATGCTAAAAACTCTCAATAAATTAGTTATTGATGGGACGTATCTCAAAATCATAAGAGCTATCTATGACAAACCCACAGCCAATATCATACTGAATGGGCAAAAACTGGAAGCATTCCCTTTGAAAAGTGGCACAAGACAGGGATGCCCTCTCTCACCACTCCTATTCAACATAGTGTTGGAAGTTCTGGCCAGGGCAATCAAGCAGGAGAAGGAAATAAAGAGTATTCGACTAGGAAAAAAGGAAGTCAAATTGTCCCTGTTTGCAGATGACATGATTGTATATGTAGAAAACCCCATTGTCTCAGCCCAAAATCTCCTTAAGCTGATAGGCAACTTTAGCAAAGTCTCAGGATACAAAATCAATATGCAAAAATCACAAGCATTCTTATACACCAATAACAGACAGAGAGCCAAATCATGAGTGAACTCCCATTTACTATTGCTTCAAAGAGAATAAAATACCTAGGAATCCAACTCACAAGGGATGTGAAGGACCTCTTCAAGGAGAACTACAAACCACTGCTCAATGAAATAAAAGAGGATAAAAACAAATGGAATAACATTCCCTGCTCATGGGTAGGAAGAATCAGTATCGTGAAAATGGCCATACTGCCCAAGCTAATTTATAGATTCAATGCCATCCCCATCAAGCTACCAATGACTTTCTTCACAGAATTGGAAAAAACTACTTTAAAGTTCGTATGGAACCAAAAAAGAGCCTGCATTGCCAAGTCAATCCTAAGCCAAAAGAACAAAGCTGGAGGCATCACACTACCTGACTTCAAACTATACTACAAGGCTACAGTAACCAAAACAGCATGGTACTGGTACCAATACAGAGATATAGAACAATGGAACAGAACAGAGCCCTCAGAAATAATGTCGCATATCTACAACCATCTGATCTTTGACAAACCTGACAAAAACAAGAAATGGGGAAAGGATTCCCTATTTAATAAATGGTGCTGGGAAAACTGGCTAGCCATATGTAGAAAGCTGAAACTGGATCCCTTCCTTATACCTTATACAAAAATTAATTCAAGATGGATTAAAGACTTAAATGTTAGACCTAAAACCATAAAAACCCTAGAAGAAAACCTAGGCATTACCATTCAGGACATAGGCATGGGCAAGGACTTCATGTCTAAAACACCAAAAGCAATGGCAACAAAAGCCAAAATTGACAAACGGGATGTAACTAAACTGAAGAGCTTCTGCACAGCAAAGGAAACTACCATCAGAGTGCACAGGCAACCTACAGAATGGGAGAAAATTTTTGCAATCTACTCATCTGACAAAGGGCTAATATCCAGAATCTACAATGAACTCAAAAAAATGTACAAGAAAAAAACAAACAACCCCATCAGAAAATGGGTGAAGGATATGAACAGACACTTCTCAAAAGAAGACATTCATGCAGCCAAAAGGCACATGAAAAAATGCTCATCATCACTGGTCATCAGAGAAATGCAAATCAAAACCACAATGAGATACCATCTCACACCAGTTAGAATGGCAAACATTAAAAAAGTCAGGAAACAACAGGTGCTGGAGAGGATGTGGAGAAATAGGAACACTTTTATACTGTTGGTGGGACTGTAAACTAGTTCAACCCTTGTGGAAGTCAGTGTGGCGATTCCTCAGGGATCTAGAACTAGAAATACCATTTGACCCAGCAATCCCATTACTGGGTATATACCCAAAGGATTATGAATCATGCTGCTATAAAGACACATGCACACGTATGTTTATTGCGGCACTATTCACAATAGCAAAGACTTGGAACCAAGCCAAATGTCCAAGAATGATAGACTGGATTAAGAAAATGTGGCACATATACACCATGGAATACTATGCAGCCATAAAAAAGGATGAGTTCATGTCCTTTGTAGGGACATGGATGAAGCTGGAAACCATCATTCTCAGCAAACTATCGCAAGGACAAAAAACCAAACACCACATGTTCTCACTCATAGGTGGGAATTGAACAATGAGAACACATGGACACAGGAAGGGGAACATCATACACTGGGACCTGTTGTGGGGTGGGGGGAGGGACAGCATTAGGAGATACACCTAATGTTAAATGATGAGTTAATGGGTGCAGCACACCAACATGGCTCATGTATACGTATGTAACAAACCTGTTGTTTGTTACATACATACATACATACATACATACATACATACATACAAACGTTGTGCACATATACCCTAAAACTTAAAGTATAATAAAAAAAAAAACTAAAAGACTTAAACAGCCACACTTAATAGTGGAGAACTTTAACACACCACTGACAGCATTAGACAGATAATGAAGGCAAAAAACTAACAAAGAAATTCTGGACTTAAGCTCAACACTTGACCAACTGGACCCAATAGATATCTGCAGAATACTTCACCCATTAATCACAGAATATACATTCTTCTAATCTGTACATGGAACATACTTCAAGATTGACCATATTCTCAGCCATAAAGCAAGTCTCAATCAATTCCAAAAAAAATCACAATTATACTAACCATACACTCAGACCACAGTGGAATAAAAATACAAATCAATACCAAGAAGATATCTCAAAACCACATAATAATATGGAAATTAAACAACTTGCTAGTAAATTACTTTTGGTAAGCAACAAAATCAAGGCAGAAATCAAAAAATTATTTGAAATAACTGAAAACAGAGACACAACATACCAAAATCTCTGGGATGCAGCAAAGGCAGTGTTAAGAAGAAAGTTTATAGCACTAAATGCCTACTCAAAAAGTTAGAAAAATCTCAAATTAACAATCTAACATCACACCTAGAGGAATTAGAAAAACAAGATAAAACTAACCCCAAAGGTAGAGGAAGAAAAAACTAAAATCAGAGCAGAACTGAATGAAATTGAGACCCAAACATTCTTACAAAGAATCAAGGAAACCAAAAGTTTGCTTTTTGAAAGGATAAACAAGACTGATAGACACTACTAGCTAGGTTGACAGAGAGAAAGAGAGAGAATATCCAAATAAGCACAATCAGAAATGGCAAAGGTGACATTACAACTGATCTCACAGAAATATAAAAGATCCTCAGAGACTATTATGAACACCTCTACACACATAAACTAGAAAATGTAGAGCAAAGGGATAAATTCCTGGAAACACACAATCTCCCAAGATTGAATCAGTTCTGAAATTGAATCAGTAATTAAAAAAAAAAAAGCCTACCAACCAAGAAAAGCCCTGGACCAGATGGATTCACAGCCAAATCTACCAAATGTTCAAGGAAAAGCTGGCACCACATCAATTCTACTGAAACTATTTCAAAACATCAAGTAGAAGGGACTCTTCCCTAATGCATTCTACAAAGCCAGCATCACCCTGATACAAAAACCTGACAGACAAAATAAAACTATAGGCCAATATCCCTGATGAATATACATACAAAAATCCTTTAAAAAATACTAGCAAACTAAATTCATCAACATGTTAAAAAGTTAATCCACCATGATCAAATAGGCTTCATTCCTGGGATGCAAGGTTGGTTCAACATACACAAGTAATAAATGTAATTCACCACATAAAAAATTAAAAACAAAAACCATATTATCTCAATAGACAGGAAGGACAATAAAATTCAACATCTTTTCATGGTAAAAACTCTCAAGAAACTAGGCATCATAGGAACATACCTCAAAATAATAAGAGCCATCTATGACAAACTCACAGCCAATATCATACTAAATAGGCAGAAACTGGAAGCATTCCCCTTGAACTTGAAGATGTCCACACTCACAACTCCTATTCAACACAGTACTGGAAGTCCTAGCCAGAGAAATCAGACGAAAGAAAGAGATAAAAGGCATCGAAATAGGAAGACAGAAAGTCAAATTATCTCTTTTTGTGGACAATACAATTCTAGACCTTGAAAATCCTAAAGACACCACCAAAAGGCTCTTGCAACTGACTTCAGCAAAGTTTCAGGATACAAAATCAATGTACAAAAGTCAGTACTATGCATTTCTATGCACCAGTAATGTTCATGCTGAGAGCCAAATTAAGAACACAATCCCATTTACAATAGCCACACAAAAAATAAAACACCTAGGAATACATCTAACCTAGGAGGTAAAAGACCTCTACAAAAAGAACTAAAAACACTGCCAAGAGAAATCATAAATGACACAAACAAGTGTAAAAACATTCCATACTCATGGATTGAAAAAATCAATATCACTAAAACAACCTTATTGCCCAAAGCAATCTACAGATTCAACACTATTTATAACAAACTACCAACATAATTTTTCACAGAATTGGAAAAAAACTATTCTAAAATTCATATGGAATAAAAAAAGAGCTCAAATAGCCAAAGCAATTCTAAGCAAAAAGAACAAAGCCAGAGGCATCACATCACCTGACTTCAAACTATACTATAAGGCTGCAGTAACCAAAACAGTATGGTACTGATACAAAAACAGATACATAAACCTATGGAACAAAATAAAGAGCCCAGAAATAAAGCAGCACGTCTACAGCCATCTAATAATCTTCAACAAAGTTGACAAAAATAAGCAACATGAAAAAGACTCCCTATTCAATAAATAGTGCTGGGAGAGCTTGCTAGCCATGTGCAGAAGAATGAAATTGGACCTTTACCTTTTACCATATACAAAAATTAACTCAAGATGAAGACTTAAATGTAAAACCTCAAACTATAAGAATCCTAGAAGAACACCTAGGAAACACCATTCTGGACATGGGCCTTGGGAAAGAATTTATGACTAAATCCTCAAAAGCAATTGCAACAAAAACAAAAACTGATAAATGGGACCTAATTAAATTAAACAGCTCTGAACAGCCAAAGAACCTATCAATAGAGTAAACAGACAGCCCCACAGAATGGGAGGAAATATTCACAAACTCTGCATCCGACAAAGTTTTAACAACCAGAATCTATAAGAAACTTAAACAATGGAGCAAGCAAAAAACAACCCCATTAAAAATGGGCAACAGATATTGATATGGTTTGGGTTTGTGTCCCTGCCCTAATCTCATGTTGAATTGTAATCCCCAATGTTGGAGGAGGGGGTCTGGTGGGAGGTGATTGGATCATGGGGGCGGATTTCCCTCTTGCTGTTCTCCTGATAGTGAGTTCTTACGAGATCTGGTTGATTAAAAGTGTGTAGCACTTCCCCCTTCACTCTCTTCCTCCTGTTCTGGCCATGTAAGATGTGCCTGCTTCCTCTTTGCCTTCCACCATGATTGTAAGTTTCCTGAGGTCTCCCCAGTCATGCTTTCTGTACAGCCTGAGGAACTGTGAGCCAATTAAACCTCTTTTCTTTATAAATTACCCAATCTCAGGTAGTTCTTTACAGCAATGTGAAAACAGACTAATACAGATACAAACAGACACTTCCCAAAAGAAGACATACAAGCAGCAAGCAAACATGTGAAAAAATGCTCATTCTCACTAATCATGAGAGAAATGCAAATCAAAACCACAGTGAGATGCCATCTCACACCAGTCAGAATGGCAATTATTAAAAAGTCAAATAACAACAGATATTGGCAAGGCTGCAGAGAAAAGGGAATGCTTATACACTGTTGGTGGGAATGTAAATGAGTTCAGCCACTGTGGAAAGCAGTTTGGAGATTTCTCAAAGAACTTAAATCAGAGCTGCCATTGGACCTGGCAATCCCATCACTGGGTATATATCTAAAAGAAAACAAATCATTCTACCAAAAGACACATGCACTTCATCACACTCAATGCAGGGCTATTCACAATAACAAAGTCATGGATTCAACCTAGGTGCCCATCAGTGGTGGATTGTATTTTTTAAAGGTGGTACATATATACTGTGGAACACTATGCAGCCATAAAAAAGAACCAAAGCATGTCCTTTGCAGCAATATGGATGCAGCTGGTGGCCATTATCCTAAGCAAATTAACACAGAAACAGAAACAGAAAACCAAATCCCACATGTTTTCACTTGTAAGTGGAAGGTAAATATCAGATATTCATGGGCATAAACATGGCAACAACAGACACTGGGGACTACTAGAGGGGGGAAGGAGGGAGGGGGGCAAGAGTTGAAAAAATAACTATTGCATACTATGTTCAGTACCTGGGTGACAGGATCATTTATACCCCTGACCTCAGCATCATATAATATACCCAAGTATATTATGCACATGTACTCACTGAATCTAAAAAAGTTGAAATGAAAAAAAAAAGTCTTGAAGAGTTTTCCATGTTAATATATATAGAACTCCTTCATTGATTTTAAGGTTTGTTTACTAACCCATTATAAAGAATTCATTCATTTATTTATACTTTTAGAAAATATTTATTAGGTACCTACTATGTGCTTGACACAATGGTAGGTGTTAGGAATACAGCACTAAACAACAAAAGCAGAGGTAAAAATGCAGAGATTCTTGAATTTGTGGAGCTTATATTCTAGTGGAGGGAAACACAATATGTTAAATAAATCATAAAAACAGAGCAGGGTAAAGGGGATTGGGAGTACTAAACTCAGAGTGGGGTAAATTGCAACTAAAAATGAGGTGGATAGAGCAGGTCTCACTGAGAAGCACCCTTGAGTAGATGAGGGAGGGATCTAGGAGAACATGGAGGGAAGAATGTTTCAGGCAGCAGGAACAGTAAGAACAAAGGCCCTGTAGCGGGAATGTAACTAATAGGTTCATGGAACAGCAAGGATGCCACTGTAGCTGGAAGGGGCAAGAGTGGATACAGGGGAACCAGGTGGAAGATGATTGCAAACATCTGCTGCAGAAACGACAGTGTCTCAAGATCAGGAAGGGAGCTGTGGAGGTAATGAGAAGTAGGCAGATTCCAAACATATTTTGCAGGTAGTCAACAAGATTTACTCATGGTATTCATGGAGGGAGTGAGAAAAGAAAAGACTTGAAGATGATTCGGAGGTTTTTGTCCTAACAGTGGAAAGCACTGTGCTGCATTACTGAGATACACCATAGCTGATATAACCAGTCTTCTTTTTTTTTAGAGAGATGGGGTCTTGCTCTGTCACTCAGGCTGGAGTGCAGTGCTGTGATTATAGCTCTCTGCAGCCTTGAACTCTGACTCAAGCAATCCTCCCACCTCAGCCTCCCAAGTAGCTAGGACTACAGGCGCATGCCACCATACCTGTCTAATTTTTATTTATTCATTATTTTTTGTAGATACAGTGTCTCACTATGTTTTCCAGGCTGGTCTCAAACTCCTGGCCTCAAGTGATTCTCCTGCCTTGATTTCCCAAAGTGCTGAGATTATAGAATGTGATCCAATGTGCCCGGCCAAACTAGTTCTTTATAAACTAACATATAGATGACCTCTGGGTTTTCTCTACTATGACTAATTCTGCAAAAACTATACTCTTATATGCATCTTTGTGCACATCTGATTGGGTTTCCCACTAAACAATTTCACCTGTCTCTCTCCTCTGGAATGAATGAACTGAGCTGATCTAATCAAACCAACCAGAGGGGGTAGATGTGTGCTCAAGACATGCAAAGGAATCAGTGAGTGACGCCAAGTTAAACATGAAGAAGAGGTTGTCTTTTCTCTTTTACATTTTCCCTTCCTGATTCATCCTGCTCACCAATTACACTGTGCATTACAAAATCAAATAACAGCAAACATTTTTGAGCATTTAAGTGTCAGGCATGATGTTCAGTGATTTGTAAGCATTATCTCCCTTTTACCCTCATGACCACACTATAAGGCATATGCTAAAATTATGTCCATTGTATAGATAAGAAGTAAAAGGAGACCTTGGAGGGGTTTGAGTGCGCCCCCAAGGTCACAAAGGCATAAGCGACTGAACTTGGATTTGCACTTAGACAGTCTAACCTTATAGAGCTCACATCCTCAACCAGATGCATTATGCAGCTTTTAAATAAAAATCAACTCCTACATATCCCTATGATTTTTTGCCTTAGAACAAATAAGCACTGACTAAATACTTTCAGTTGCATTGACAGCAAAGATTGTGCCTAGCCCCCTAAAAGACAGTACAGGGTAATGCAAAGGTCACAGGCTTTGAAATCAACTTTTAGCTGTGTGATCTTGGGTAACGTGCTTAACCTCTCTGAATCTCAGAGACACATATCAGGGCCCTGAGAAAATGAGACATAGCACGGCTAGTTTCCTATGGAGACTTGTTTAAAAACTTCTTCAAGATGTCATATCCAAGTGTCCTGCTAGTGGCTGAAGACAGGTAGTGCAGTCCCCAGTCTCTATTGGAGAAATCTAGATCATTCTCTTCACTCTCTGGGGCCACCCTGCTAAGAGGCAGTTTCCTCTGAAACTCAGTTGCTTCCCTATCTGTCTTCCCCAAAACTTACTCCCTATCCTTCATCAGAGCTGCCACTGAAGTCACCAAAACATTGCAGCGCTGTGGAAAGAAGATTTGATTCAGAGTCAAAAAAAAAAAAAGAGCTCAGATCCCAACTTAGTTCATGAGAATTACTGTGTGACTAAAACAAACCTCTAGCCATCTCTGGGCCTCTGTTTCTTCATCTCTAAAATCATGGGTTTGAGTAAATAAACTCTGAATTCTGTATCAGGATGAACATCCTACAACTCTAACTGTGGAGGTTATGGGAAGGAAGAGAACGATGGATACAGTGAAGACAAAGAATCTGGCCTCTACCAATATTTATTGATGTGTCAGAGGCCACAATTGATTGTCTTTTTCTGGAGCAGGCACACAACTGTTGCTGATGCAGTGAAAGTCATTTTTTGCCTGAGGAAACAAAATGTTCTGGGAAATTTCACAAAAATTGCTTTTGAATTATCTAAAGAGCCACAAATTCACACCAAGCAGGGTGTTACATGAAGCCTGAGGTCCCAAATGTTGACTGTAAATACTCCTCTCTGATGAAAATTTCACAACACTTTAGAGACATGCCCTGAAGTGGTTTAACAATCAGTTGTGTCGGGAAAGGCTGAGGAGGACTCCTAACTGGAGCTGAGTGGGGTCTGACTAACCCCAGATTTGTGTGTGAATGTGGATCTCTGCCCAGAAGGGAGTGAAAACAGAGCTCTGGGAGGATGACATCCCTCACGCCAAGGATCCTCAATCCCACCCCAGGGCAGACACTAGGAAACACACAAATGTTCACACACGTACATCCTCACACCCCACCTCCACCCTCTCCTGAGAACCAGCATCGCTGAGGAAACATGGGATGGTAGATCCAGAGTAGGGCCCACAGTAACCCGGATCTGGCCTGATGGTTGATGGGATCTTGCCCCTGGAAATGGTTTTCCCTAGGCCTTAATTTTACTATCTGTAAAATGAAAGACTTGGACTTGAAGTTTTTAACCTCTGACAATCTACGGTTCCTTAATGAGATGAACACCTTCCTAACCCACTGAGGAGGTAGGTTGCCTTCCTGCAGCCTGGACTTGGCTCTGGAGCCACCAGTTTTATTTGTCACACACAAATCCTCATACCCCTTCCTTGAGAATCTCTTCCCCTGCTCCGTGTGGTCCTGGCAGGAGCCAGAAGACCCCACAGTCACAGCCACAGTGATTGGTTCGGGGTTGGACAGAGTAAGTCAGATGCTGGCCTGATGTTTCTGTTACCTATTTTTGAGTATCACACTGCTCTAAAACCTAATGACTTTAAATGACAATCATTGTATTCCCTCTCATGGTTCTGCAGCTGGAGTTTCAGCCATCTAGAGGCTGGACCAGTTGCCTCCAGATGGGATGAGCCTCACATGCTCTGTTGGTGCTGGTAGCAGCTGAGGACTTAACTGGGGCTCTTGAAGGGCGCATGGTTCTTCTCCCCTCCGTGGCTTGGGCTTTTTAGGGTGTAACAGCTAGGTCCAAAAGGAAGCAGTCCAAACAAGCAAGTCCGCATGCACCGTGACTTATCCAGCTTCTGCTTACATCATGCTGGCTAAAGTCCTACTGGTCAAAACAAGTCACACATCCATGCTCAGAGCCACTGAGGGAGGGAACGACCCAAGAGAGTGATTACCAAAAAGCATGGTTCTTTGACTACCACCAATCAACCAATAAATTACTTTTTGTACTTACACAGTCACCAAAATACCCTTGACTGATATAGAGTCAATATTGGATCTGAATTCAATTCTTATCCTTACCACTTATCAGCTATGCAGCCCAAAAGTTGCCTAGCTTATCAGAGATTCTGTTTCTTTATCCTTAAAATAGAGATAATACCCAGTAATACTGTTCTGAAAAGTAAATAACATGTAAGGCCTGAAAACACTTTATAAATCCAAATGTGTGCTATACAAATAAACATACCACAGTGACGAAGAGAGAAACTGTAAGTTTAAGGCAATTTGGTTTGTTATTCATTCATTTTTATTAGAGATGTACTATGTACACAATATATTTTAACTGCCTGTATGGTGTAGAGGGGATGCCTAAGCCCTCAAAGAATTTAGAGTCCAATAGAGGAAATTGGTATTTACATATATAACATTAAACCAAGGCACCTTCAAAAATGCTGCTTCAAGAGAGGAAATAAAGTATTATGGAGAGAGATGGAGGGAATAAATAATTCCGAGTTGCATGGACGGGGTAGGAGAGGAATGAGGACATCTTCAAGAATGTGGCACTTAACCTGAGACATAAAGAGTGTGTTGGCTTTTATATGCATAGAGGAGGCAAAATGCATTCAGGAGAGCAGTCACTAAATGAACAAAGGCTGGGAGGCATATAGTAAGTGCTTAATAAGTGTTATAGATGTATGAATAAATAAATAAATGAATGAACAAATAGTGGTCCAAGAATAGCACATGGTCCAGCGTTTCCATAGCAAAGAGAATGTGGGAGTGCTTGGTGAGAGAGAAAACCAGAGGAATAGATTGGGGCTACATTATGATGAGTTTTGAATGCCAGACCAAGAATTTCAGCATTTATTTTAATCGGGAGCCATTGAGGATTCTGGGGCATAATAGTCACAAGATCATAACCATATTTTACAGAAATCACTCTGTTGGTAATGCAGGATGAGCCTGGTAATGGCACCTATGTATGTTTCTCCCTACAGAGGCACCCCTCCTTCCCTTCTCAGTCTGTGGAGTGTGGGTGGGCCTGATACCCCCACTCTCTCACTCTCCTCTGGGGATGATCAGATGATTCGACTGGCCAAGGGGAGTATTTCATTCCTCTGCATCACAGGGATTGGTCCAGGGATGGGCACCTGACTTGAGCCAGGCCAGTGAGATGGTGTCCTTGGACTTTAGGGGAAAATGTTAAAAAAAAAAAGGGGGGTGCTTATCTTCCCTCACTGGCATTGCTTATCCGATAGCATGTATGTCTGAAGTTGATGGGGACAATAAAAACCTGCCTGAGAATGAAGCTAACAGGAAAGAAATTAGAGACAGCAGAGAAAGGAAGTCCCTGACTGATGGCTTCATTTGAGTTCCTGGATAGAGCTGCCCTGAAAATAACATTTCCCTGAATTTCCAACAGCACTGGAAGTAATCCAATCACATTCCTTTCTGGCTTGAATTGCTTTTCTGCCTTTTTGTCATGGAATGATTCCTGATTAGATAGAGTTGGGCACTGTGTTAATCCCTAAACAGTCATTCACTCACCTAATAAATATGTTTCAGTGTCTGCCAGCTGCCAGCTACTCTTCCGGGCACTGGAAATAGAGTGCAAAAATAGACAAAAGTTCCTTCCCTCATGGAGCTTACATTTTAGTTGAAGTTGTGGGGGACAGACAATAAACAAAATCAGTGAGTTAAATGTATAGTATGCAAGATAGTGATCCGAAATGAAACAGGGGAGGGAACATGGAAGCAAGTTTGCAATTTTATATAAAGTTATCATGGGAGGCTTGGCTGAGAAGGGACTTGCAGTTGGTGAGGGGGTCAGCCTTGTGGAGAGGAAAAGCTTTCCAGCAAAGGGAACTTCTGTTGCCAAGGCAGGACCGTGCCTGGAAGGTCCGTGGAGCAGCAAGGAGGCCGGGGTGGCTAAGGCATAGAGGACAGGGGGTAGGTCAGATGAGATTAGAGTGATAATAGGGGAAGGTGGGGATCTTGGAAGCCTTTTTAAGAATTTGCCTTTCATCCTGAGAGACAGAAGCTATTGGGGAGTTTTGAGCAGAGGAGGGGCATGTACTGATGCAGATTTAAAACGATTGCCCTGGCGGAATGCAGTGGTTCACACCTGTAATCCCAGCACTTTGGGAGGCCAAGGCAGGAGGATCTTTTGAGGTCAGGAGTTTGAGACCAGCCTGGCCAACATGGGGAAACCCCATCTCTACTAAAAATACAAAAATTAGCCAGGCATGGTGGCGGGCAACTGTAAGCCCAGCTGCTTGGGAGGCCAAAGCAGGAGAATCGCTGGAACCCAGGAGGCGGAGGTTGCAGTGAGCTGAGATCGTGCCACTGCACTCCAGTCTGAGCGATGGAGTGAGACTCCCTCTCAAAAAAAAAAAAGTAATAATAATAATAAAATGATCGCTCTGGCTGCCACATCGAGTATAAAGAAGGGAGACCACAGAAACCAAGAGAGAGGGTGGTGACTCGGCCTGTGGTGGGAGAGATGGTCAGCCTCTGGATCTGTTTTGAAGGTAAAAGCCAATAGGAGTTCCTGGTGAATCCGACACGGGGTCCTGGAAGAAAGAGAGAAGTGTTGGGGAAGAAGAATAGGTATTGGGGACAGAGTGGTGGAGGAGCTAGGCATTTTTTACTTGAGCAACATTTTTGCTTGAGTGCCTCAAAGGATAGAGTTGTTATTAGCAGATGTGGGGAAGACAGACAGGAGCAAATTTAAGGATGAAGTTCCGGTGTTTGTTTCTATCATGTTAGATTTGAGGTGCCTGCTAGACTTCTAAGTGGAGACACGGAGTAGGTGGTTGAATATCAGAGTCTCACATTAAAAGAAAAGGTCTGGACTGCAGCTGTAAGTCTGCACCAACCTCAGAGAAAGATCAGAGGAAGCTCCAGCCTTACCAGTTCTATGAGGAAGATGCTCTAGCTGTTTTACCTCCCCAATGTCATGTCTTCTTTGTCCTATTTCCAACTGTAATTGCCTTGTAAGACAATGAGATGAGATGCACTGTCCTCCAATCTCAGAAGTCGATTCTAAATTCCGACAATCCTAACCAAAAAGACTATTTTTAAAAAACAGTTTTCAAGTTTAAAGTTCAGCTCTAGGAATCCAAGAGAACAGGAATGACCATGTACAAGAAAATAAAAGCAAACTCCCCAGGAACAAAGAGTCCTACCTATGAAGCCTCAAGAAAATCTGGAAATTCCTAGGATGTACACAAGGAGGAGCAAGGCAGGCAAAGAGAGTGATGCTGGGGCTGACAGGTGGCAGATGAGGTGTTGATTCAGAATCCTGGTGGGTTTCATCAGCTGATGAATACTGAAAGGCTCTGACAATTTTATTTCTGGCTTAAAATAGGAACTATGAATATGGAGGGATCTTTTAAATGTTAATAGAAGCAGTATTAAGGAAGAAAATTGGACCTATTGTTTTGCAAACAGCTGGATCTACTGAAGCAAATTCAGTGTGTATTTCTGAGGATTCCTTTCAAAATATGCTCAATTATAATAAGCAAAAACTCCAGGGATGCTCACTGTAGGAAAAGGACCCTGGGGATTTGGAATCAGAAGATCTGGCTTCCAGCTCCAGTTCTTTGGCAATCATTGACTTCTGAATGTCACATTCTAAAATGCAGATTCCAAGATTACTCAAGGCTGCTGGGAGGTAGAAGAAAGGCAATGTACGTAGTAATGACAGAGCTAAAAGCATTGAGGGCTACCACTGCAGGCACCGGGCTAGGTAACTGATGGGCACTGACCCAAGACTTCTGCATCTGGAAGATGCGGGTTAAGGTTGAGGACTTTGGAAGAAGATCTGGGTTCAAATCCCATCTCTGCCACTCATTTGCTGGGTGAGCTTAAGCAAATTATTCATCCTCTCTGTACTCAATCACCTCATCCACAAAATGGGGATGATAACACTTCTTGTCTTATTAAGGACATTATCAAAAAAATAAATGAGCTATTATATGTGAAGCACTTAACATAGTACACAGCACATCATACTCAACAACTATTGGCATTTATTGCTATTATATGTAATTCATAACAGGCTATGAGGCGCGCAGTCATTACTACTGCCATATTATAGCTGTTGAGTTAGAATGATCAAATAACTTGTCCCAAGCACTTAGCTGGTAAATAATAAACATCACTAGTAAATAGTAAAGAATGTAGAAGTGGTAATTATTTGTATTTTTGTATTTAGAAGGATTCGTCTATTTTCAGCTTCTGCTCATTCTGTTTCTCAGCTGAGATGCTATTAACTTCCATCTCTCTGCAGTTGCCTCTATCCAAGTATCCAGTTATCACTCACATGTCACACTTTCAGAGAAGACTTTCCTGACCATCAAACTAAAGCAGTCTCTATTGCCCCCCTCAGTGTAACTGCCTGTAATGTTACCCTGTTTTATATTCTTTACAGAAGGTATCCATTAGCTTGCTTGTTTGGTTGTGGTCTGTCTCCTCTCGCCAGAATATAAGCATGGACTTTGGCTTCTTCATCAATGCCTAGAATAGTGCCTGGCACATAGTAGATGCTCAATAATAGAATGATTACTGACTAGTAACAATTCTCTCACCACCTGTCTGAGCCTTCTGACCATGACCTCATTTTACTTCTCTTATAAATCCTTTTTAATCAATTAGTCTTTCTTCAGATCCATCAGAAAACAATCAAAAAGTTGGGATAAATATTGCTGATCTCTTGATTTATATATTCTACCCCCCGCCCTCACCCCTCGCTTCCCAATTCCTCTCTCCTGCACATTTACAAGGCTAACAGGACAGTACGATCAGACACGATTTCTCCTCTCCTGAAGGCTGGTGCTAAACTGTAAGGCTTAACGAGATTCCCATTGCTCTTACTCATTGGAACTGTCACGCTGTGGCTGAACCAATATTGGGAGTCATATTGTACATCGAAGTTCATTTTGTTCCCACGCTATTGTACCTGCAAGTGGAGTCTCTGTCACGTTTGTTTTAATACCAGGGTTCCAGAGGGAAAATGCCAACTGAATTCATTACTAAAATAAATTGAAACTACATGAGTAGGCTGAAATGGAAGAGATTTCTAAGACACTTTAACTTCTGAAACTCGGGGTCCAGTCATAAACGACAACCTCTGAAACACATGCCACCTCTCATTGGAAGCTAAGAGTCTCTTGGCCAGGACCAGAGACCAGTCTGACCTTTGCGAATCTGCATTACCCTTCCCCATTAACCAACAAAAAGGGACCTTCTTGCCCAGAGACTTTCTTTTTCCTTCTTCCCAGTAATTTCCCCACTGTTCATAAAAATAATGAGAGCATTAATAGTAATATAATTATATACCAACTGTTAACCTTTTAAAATGATTCATAATTATAATGAATAAGTATATACTTATAATAGTATAAGTATAGCTACTTCTACTTTGTATATACTTTCGTAGTACATATGATTACATACTATCCACTATTTCAATGTCTGAGATACAGTAGTGACACATAGCTGTACCTCCTATCTGCACTGTCATGGGGAAGACAACATAAAAGATATATAAATCAATGAATTATACATTGTGGTAAGTGCTATGAAGAAAACTCATACAGGGTTGAGACTGAAGGAGGAAATCTACTTTAGATGAAGCAGATAAGATTTAAGCTAAAATCAAAGGGTAGATAAGAAGGGGAACTATGTGAAGTGTGTGTGTGTGTGTGTGTGTACCCGTGCATGCACACACATGTGTGTACAACTACAGGCACATCCCCACTCTGTGGATGAGGACGCCAAGGCCCTGAAAAGTTAAATTTCTTGCCCAAGATCACTCCCATGTTATGAGGCAGGGCTTCTTTTGTATTTTTTTTTTTGGAAGCAAATTTAAATGTGTCATTTACTTTTATTTTCATTTTTAAAAAGGGGTTATATTATTTTTATTGAAAATACTTAATTGGCGAATTAAAATTTTATATGTTCAAGGTGTACAGCGTGATGATTTGGTATATGTTGTGTACTGATCACCACAAATTAATGAACACATCTATCAGCACCTCGAGTTAACATTTTAGGAACTAGTTTGGTCAAACTCTGAATTACACACCCTTTCCACAGTTCTATGCTGTTTCTTGCTTAAATCAGAGAAGATAGAGGACTGGTGCTTAGTCGGAGAAAGAGGTCAGGTGTCACGGTCTGGCGTCCCCTGTGCATTGCAGTGATGGCTGAGCAAGGTTCCCAGGGCAGCTGCAGTTGCAGCTATGGGTCTGCAGAGTGGAAAAGGCTCTTGCTCTGCCACAGAGGGAGAAGGGGTGAAAGGTACTGAAATGAAAGGAAAGCATCAAAGCCGAGAACACTACTTGTAGAAAATGTGGCTGACAAGTGGTCCAAGAAAATATCTAGGAGATGAAAACTTTGGAAGAACTGACCCGAAGCCAAGACAGATGAACTTGAGTCCCCAAATTCACACTTCCTTTGGGTCCACTGAGCAGGTGGAACTCAGATATTGGTCAAAGTCCATTTCTGAAATCCCCTTCAGATCCCATAGCCAGATTACTTTTCCCATTTCCTCCTTTAATTCGTTCAGAAGGGACACATAGAATGTATTCTACTCCTGGCACTGACAGCACAAAGAGAATGAAGTGGCCAGTGACTGGCCTCCTCTAAATAGGTTCATCTGACCAGGCGCTGTGGCTCACACCTGTAATCCCAACAGTTTGGGAAGCCAATTTGGAAGGATCACTTGAGTCTAGAAGTTCGAGACTAGCCTGGGAAACATAGTGAGACCCCATCTGTACAAAAAATACAACAACAAAAAAATTAGCCCAGTATGGTGGCACACACCTGTGGTCACAGCTACTCAGGTAGCTGAGGTGAGAGGATTACATGAGCCCAGGAGATCGAAGCTGCAGTGAGCTGTGATTGTGCCACTGCACTCCATCCTGAGAGACAGAGTGAGACCCTATCTCAAAAATAGGGTGTCACCTGACACCCAGAAGGCAATCAGCCCTGATGAGTTCCCAGGCACTGAGTGCCAGCTTTGCTCCAGGTGTTCTGCCAGTGCTGGGCGGACAAAGGTCATAATATCATTTCACCCCACAGAGCCCAGAGTCCAGTGGAGAATACAGTGGGTCAATCAGCAGTTACAGCTTGTGGGGCAGGAGCTGTGGGAGAGGGAGGTTCGGGAGGCCATGAGAGCTAAAAAGGGGGTTCTTAGCCCTGACCAGAGATCAGGAAGGCTTCCTGGATGAAATGACCCCTCTTTCATTCATTCAGCAAATAACTACAGTACCCCTGTTATATGCCAGCCACTGCTCTGGGTGCTGGAGTTACAGCAATGAGCAACAAAACCCCTGCCCTCGTGGAGCTGACATCCCAGGGGCAGGGGAAAGACCACACACAGATACGTAATAAGCAAATAAATAGTGTAAACAATTTGATAGATGGTGGTAAGTGTTTTGAAGAACACAAAACAAAGCGAAGGAGAGTGACAGACAGAGCAGGAGAGCTACTGTGGAGTGGGTGGGCAGTGGAGACGCCACAGAAGAGCTCTAAATAGCAAGATGAGGCCTATGAAGAGGAGGTATGAGGCGGAGTCCTGTGGAAAGGCCTAAGGTGGCACCAGCCTGGCCTTGTCAACTGTAGGAAGGCCAGTGTGACCTGAGTAAAGTGACCAGTCACTCACCAAGGGCAGCTTGGACAAGCAGAGATGAACTCAGAGACAGAAGTAGGGCCAGCTCATGCGGGCCTGGTATAGGTTTTGGATTTAATCCACAGTGCAATGGAAATCCATTGAAAGGTTTTAAGGAGGATATGGAAACGCTCTGATTTACATTTTTAAACAGTAACCCTGGTCAAATGGATTGTTGAGTGCATAGATTGTTAGCATCTATCCTTTTTAAACAAATTTTTATTTCAGAGTAATTTTAGATTTACAGAAAAGTGACAAAAGTAGTACAGTAGAGACTTCCCATGCCCCTCACCCAATTCCTGCCATCGTTAACATCTACATGGTACATTCATCATAACTGCAACATTAATGTGGGTAGATTACCACCAACCAAAAGACAAACTGTGGACTTCACCTGTTTTTCTACTAATGTCCTTTTTTGGTTCCAGGATCCAACTCAGGATAGCACATTGCATTTAGACCCATGGTCTTCCAAATAGTTTTTCTATATTTAAGGAAAGGCCTGCATCATCTAGGATCCACTTCTCTTTCTTGTAACTAAAAGTCCTGATAGATAAGGGGGAAAGAGTGGGCTCAGGAACTAGGCAAGAGATGAGAGGGCCCACTCAAAAAAACGGGGTGGGAAGTCAATTTAGTTTATACAGTCACATCAATTACTATAAAATAAAGGTATTTTAATACCCCAAATTAGAAAGAACAGCCCCAAAATAGAAGTCTTTTATGCTGGATAAATTTAGCTTTATGAAAAACTTAATACATTGCCGGAAATTTTCTCCTTTTTCTGAGAAGAATGAAAATTTATATGAACTTACATTGGTCCAGCCCACAGAAGCTTTTCTGGGGACAAAGATCTTTTCATTTAATTTTTAAAAATTTTTTAAATAAATAGAGACACCGTTTCATCATGTCGCCCAGGCTGGTTTGGAACTCCTGGGCTCAAGTGATCCGTCTGCTTCAGCTTCCCAAAGTGCTGGGATTACAGGCAGGCATGAGACCATGCCTAGCTGGGGACAATAATCTTTAAAAAAATAAAATAAAATAAAAAGTGGATTCGCAGAATTACAACTGCTTAATCAGCAAATACTGACTGAGCACCTTCTATGTGTCAAACGCTATGAAACACACTCAGGCGTTTTGATTTTAGAATCATGCTGCAGACCAAAGAAAATCAAATGTCTAATAGCAGAGGAGATTTGTTACAAAGCTGGTGGAGCTGGTGAGTAAAGGCAACTCAACATTTCTGTGTTGGCTGTAAGATGAGCGCAGCAACTAAGGAGTGCTGCACAGGAGATCATCCCTGGGATGGGACGGCTGGCCACTCCTCTTCTTATTGAAAAAAAGCCTCCTATCAAAGTTGGGGCTTCCAGTATAATTTAGTCAGAGGAAACCAAGTTTCAGGGCAACTTCAGTTGTGTCTACACTTCAACAAGCAGCTGTCTTTATGGTAGTATCTCTTCCCTACTTCTTCCTTATCATTTCACTTGGTCTAAGTTGGGATCCTTTGGTAGGAAATCTTAGGGCAAATGATACAAATCTTGATCCTCATTAAGAAGATTTAAAAAAAATAACAAATCTGGCGAGGCATGGTACCTCACGTCTGTAATCTCAGCACTTTGGGAAGCCGAGGCAGGTGGATCACCTGAGGTCAGGAGTTTGAGACCAGCCTGACCAACATGGTGAAACTCTGGCTCTACTAAAAATACAAAAATTAACCAGGCGTGGTGGTGTGCGCTTATAATCTCAGCTACTCAGGAGGCAGAGACAGGAGAATCACTTGAACCCTGGAGGTGAAGGTTGCAGTGAGCCGAGATGGTGTCATAGCACTCCAGCCTGGGTGATCGAACAAGACTCCATCTCAAAAAAAAAAAAAAAAAAAAAAAAAAATCTGATTGAGTTTCTACAATAAGCACAGCAGATAAAGATGGGCAGTACCTCCACTGCCTTCTCACCAGCAGCAGAGTGGTCAAGAAAAAAGGCCACTGCAATTGAGTGGTGCTGGGGTTGTGGAATTATGTCCTTGGGCATCTGTGAGAGACTGCCAGAGGCAAAGTCAGGCCACCCGACAATGGAGCTTTTTACTTCCTTTTCCTAATGCTATAGTCTTAGAAGCAGAGGTTACTTTCAAAGAGAGGCGTGGGGACTTGCATTAGGATCACCAGAGGTTCTTGGTAAGAATGAAAAATCCTGGATCTCTCTTCCAGGCATCCTCAAGTGGAATTTCCAGCATCTGTATTTTGAGTAAGTCCCTTAAGTGATCTTAACCTACCTGAAACCTTGAGATCTGCTGTCCCACAGGCTCCCCACCCATCTATGGATGGCTGTGGTGAGAGTGAAGGGTGGGGAATATGCAAATGATCTGGGAGGAGGTTCTACAGAAGGTGAAGGATGGAGCAGGTGCAGGGGGCCATGTCCTATTAGGCCATTCCTGTGCACTCATTACAGGTAGAGAATGGTTATTTTTGGGTAGTGTTAATCAGTCTGTGGATGTTTTGCAAACCCTTCTAGTTATTGTTCCTGCTTGGCCTGACCTTTCCTGAGGCTATTGTCCACCTTGATTCTGTAGGGCCCTTTGGGCTGAGAACTTCAAAAACCAGAGATTATTCTCCACATTCTCCAACTTTCATGTGGTAGATTCCAGAACAACCTCAAGCCACTGAATCCTGCTGGTTACAAACGTAGGCTCAGGCCGGGCACAGTGGCTCACACCTGTAATCCTAACACTTTGGGAGGCCGAGGTGGGTGGATCACTTGAGGTCAGATGTTCGAGACCAGCCTGGCCAATATGGTGAAACCCCGACTCTACTAAAAATACAAAAATTACCTTGAAATCACTTGAACCCAGGAGGTGGAGGTTGCAGTGAGCCCAGATCATACCACTGCATTCCAGCCTGGGTGACAGAGCAACACTTCATCTCAAAAAAAAAAAAAGGAAGAAGAAGGTAGGCTCTAGGATCTACACATTAGAAGGCTGTGTGTCTTTGGACATTTCCTTGTGCCTCAGTTTTTCTCATCTGCACAGTGGGTTCACCTCTAAGAGTCAGCTCATGGGTACCAAATGAGATAACCTATTCAGAGCTTTCAGCACGGGCCTGGAACAGAATTAATGCATGGTAAATATTAGCTCAAATGCACAACTGGTCAACAATGCAGGGTACCCATGCACACCCAGCTGACACAGAGTCACCATGCGGGGAGGGAAGAAAAGAAAGACAAGCTTATTCATGGGGAAGCAGATGATGCTCTGCAGAGAATTCAAAGAGCTGTGCATGGTTGTGTGGGAGGCGAGGAGGTGGAGGAAGCGGGGGGCGCTGCTCAGAGCCCCTGCTTCTGCTGGGGCAGAAATCATGTGTGACGAGAAAGAAAAAGAAAAGAAGGGAAGTGACAAACTGACTGTACGTGTGTCTGTCATCGTGGATGAGCAATAAAGATGATAAGAATCCTCAAGACAAGGCTGCATCATTAGATGAGGAATAAAAAAGCTTATTATTAGGGGAAATTGATGCTCTGTGGAACCAGAGCTTTTAGAACAAAGAGCATCAAACTGACATTTTTCCAGGCTGGGGAAGTGTTATTTCATTCATGATCAGTTACAGGCATTAGGATCTGTTGCTTTCTTTTGTTTTATTGTTCTGTTGCCCCATTTTCTCCACCAGGCCCCAGGCTGAACCCTGAGGGGAGTCTATGAAAAAGCTCTTGAAGGAAGGCATTGGGAAGGGAAAGTCCTCCTTGTCACAGAGGGCAATTTGTATTTTGAAGAGTTTCATTTGAATTGCCTAGAAAATACTTCAGAGACAGATCTATATAATCTCATCATAAATTCAACCTTATACTTTTCAAAGGAGGCAAAGAAGGATATAGACATAGCTATCAGGCCTGGGTTCAAACAAGGTTCAAATTAAGGTGACTTCCTATATTAACTTGAGGAAATCACTGAACCCTCAAAACCTTAGTCTCTCAATCTGTAAAGTAAAATTGAGATTATGACCAACCTTAGAGGGTCATTGTGAGATAGGGAACAAGCATGAATGGTGGTCTAGAGCAAGCCCTTGACCACTGTCATCACCTTTTTTGTCATTGTCATTGTTGTCACACAGCTAAGAGGTTATAGGAGCAAGCGTGGAAACTAACTTAAAATCAAGAAGCTCCCTGACTTAAAATCATAGCCACATACAGAAAACATACAAATCATGCATTTCAACCCTAATAACAATGGGAGCCATTGCCAGATTTATTTCCTAAGCATCTTTTTTTTTTTTTTTGAAAAGCAGTTATTTCCAGGGTGGGAAACCTCCAGAATCCACATCTCCTTTTAAGATACAAAACAGCATTATGTCAAGATGGACACGTTCTCCACAGTATTTGCCTGTTACTCCCACTCGCCCCCCGAGATTAATTTGCAAGTCTTCTTTCTTCCCCAAAGTGGATTCCAAAGGCACACACGGCTCAGAAAGGAAAGCAATTCTTGTTCTTCTTTCTCAGGCTTTCCTGTGTTTTAGACCCAAATATATGAACTTTCATGTTCTGGTCTCCCCACAGTTGGAGATCAGTGTAAGGACATTTCAGAAATAGAAGAGGTGTGAGAATGAGAGTAAGTGTGCAGAATATAGACAAGGACCATGATCCAAAAAAAGAAAACACACCCTCCCACTCACTGAATCATTCTGTAAACACCATCAGAATGTCTGCTGAGTGCCAGGTCCTGTGCTCAGTGCTGGACAACAAGGAGAAGAGAATGCAGACCTTCATCTAGAAGTTCACAGCCTGGAAGACAGTGAGGAATGACCCCAGAGGTGTGGAGCAGGGAGCAGCACCTGTCACATCCTCAAGATTGTCCCACTGACAGCTTCTAATGAGATTATTAGGTTCAGGTGCCATGGACTAGCCTCAAGAGTAGGTGGTGAACATCCAGGAATAACCCAAATACCTCCCCACCACTCACCTGTCTCCATGGCTGAACTCTGTTTTGTTTTGTTCTGTTTTGAGATGGAGTCTCACTTTGTCACCAGGCTGGAGGGCAGTAGTGCAATCTTGGCTCACTGCAACCTCCGCCTCCTGGGTTCAAGTGATTCTCCTGCCTCAGCCTCCCAAGTAGCTGGGACTACAGGTGCCCACCACCATGCACAGCTAATTTTTGTATTTCTAGTAGAGACGGGGCTTCACCATGTTGGCCAGGATGGTCTTGATCTCCTGACCTCGTGATCTGCCCACCTCGGCCTCCCAAAGTGGTGGGATTATAGGCGTGAGCCACTGTGCTCGGCCGGCTGAACTCATTAGTCCTCATTACTTCAGAAGAAGGGAATGCCAGTTCCCGTGATTGCCACTTTTCAGTTGAATGCTGGTATTCCTAGAAGACCTCGTTATTAGCCATGACAAACTCCCTTTCCCTAACTCCTTTAACAGAACTTTACAACTTACAAAACATTTTCATGTTTATGATCTGGTAGTAGGGCAGGCAATTTCATTCCCACTTTACGGAGGAGGAAGCTAAATAATTAGCCTGTGGTCTCACAGCTCAAAGGCAAAATAGCTGGGAGGTGAACGGGGTCTGTTGACTCCAAGTCTACAGCTCAGCAAAGCCAGCCAAAGATCATTGCTATCCCCTAGTAACTTAGACGTAAGTTACTCTTTCCTCTTAAAAGTAAATATTTTGTAGTTCCACAGAAGGAAGGACTGAGAGTTCTCACAACCTTCGATACTCACAGCAGAGACTGCCCAGTCCTGTGGGCATGGGGAAAGGTCAAAGTGTCCAGGAAAAGCTGGTAATTATGACCAGTTCCTGGGTGCTTCCCATATGCCCAGCACTGTGCTGCAAGCAGGCTTCAGCTGTGTCACCTGAATGTCCCTGACTTCACCTGCTCCCACCTGTGTAACTGTAGTCCCTCCCACCCCATTACTTAGGGATTTCCCCCCATCTAGAGGAAGAAGCTCAGGAACAAGCCCCCTCATGCTCTCCATTAATATTTACTGCCCATTTACAAGTCCTTATGGGAATTACCTTGGCATCCCTGTGATACAATGGCCTCCATTAAAACACTACCTTCGTGCCTGGGACCTCACACCCTGGAAAAGCCAAACAGACTTGGTTCCCTTCTGTGCTTAGTGCATGCCTAGTGCTGTGTGTGAGCCCCTCCCCAAATGCTGCATTGTATTTTGTCCACTTGGACTCTGAGCTACTAAGTTTCCCGCATCACCTGGGGAGAACAGATCCTCCAGTTTACGGCTTCTGCTTCACAGGGACTGAGCATCTGTTCTTGCGGTCAAGTCGGGGCAGACTCCTCATTAGAGCTTGCACTGTCCCTGTCTCCTCATTTCTTCCCCCAGGTCCCACTCCAAATCCTCCTCCTTTCTCCTTCAGTCCAAAGTCACATAGACAAATCAGGGAAAGTGGAGAATCTGGACCCCCAAAACCAACCGAACATTGCTGGATAATTCTGGAAAAGTGACAGCCCTGGGAGGGCATGCAGAAGAGGATCCCAATGAGGAACTCTTAAAAATCCTCCATAGAAACCACAATTGTTATTTATGGAGACCTTGCATGCATATCTAATTAACCCTCACAAGAACGCTGTGATGCAAGTAGCCTTACTTCTTTCAATTTACATAAGAAAATGGTAGCCTCATTCTCCAAGCTAACAAGTGAGGAGATGACCCCAGCCCCTCCATTCTTAACCCCAGTGCAATGCTGAGTCCCACTCCCTGAGTTGCAAGGGTTTGCAGATCCAGGTGGTATTTCTCGCGAATCAATTGCTCGGAGAAACAATGACAAAGAAGGGTTTAAGTATTGGGTAGGCGGGTGGGTAGGAGGGAGGAGGAGAAGCTGTTAATTTTAGATGTGTAATTCAGACTGATCATTAGGTGACAGAGGTGTCACCGTGCCCCTTATCTTTGTCATCCGCCTTCTAAAATAAGGGTCAGGGCCTGTGATTTCCTCAGGGGGAAGATCCATCCTTTGCATGCTTAAAACCCCTGGGGAGGGCAGGACCAAAGAAGACAACAGAGAAGAAGACTCTGGGCTGTGGAAGTCACTTGTTTTCTGCCCCAACCTCCCCAAAACATGTCCTCAACACATAGTACAGGGTCTTGTGAGGTAGGAGAATGTTCCAGAAATTTGTTTTTTAGTCTGTTCTGGGCTGACAAAACTACATTGAAACCGAGGCACCCAGGGCCCTGATTCCTGTACTTGGGTCACTTGGATGTGCGGCAGCGATGACTTGTGGATCCTAACCCCCTAGAACACTGAGTCTCTCCTCCTCACTGTTTAGAGTAGTGCTACAAAAATTGAAAATCAAGCAATTATTGATGTAGTCAAAATAAGGACCCTAAAATTAGAATTGCAGCCGGGTGGGGGTGTCTACACTATTACTCCTGCTCCAAAATATAAAAGTGATAGTAACTCACATCTGCCTGGTGTTTACTGTTGCCAGGCACTGTCCTCAACGTGTGGTCCTGGATCCACATCAGCATCGCCTGAAAGCTAGTTAGAGATGCATAGGCCCTGCCCAGATTGAACTAGAAACCGTGGGGATGGGCCCAGCAATCTGTGTCTTAACCAGACCTTCAGGTGATTCTGATGCTCTCTAAAGTTTGAGCACCCTTGCCTTACTTCACTGAATCCTCACAATGACTGTGGAAGGTATGGAAATTATTGGGCATTATTGTTTTCATTTTATAGAGAAGGAACCTGAGTCTCAAAAATATTGAGTGATGGTCTGAAATGAGTACTTATACCAGGATTGGAATGCAGGTCATTCTGCCACTCAAGTTCCCTCTTCCCCAAACATGTTTCCTTACTGATGAAAACCAAGCATGACAGAGGGTGGGGGTGACAAACAATCGTTCCTATGGAAACCAGAAAAGGTAGCTTCAGTTCCAGGTCAGGAAAGACATGCTGAACATCAGTTACAGGTTAGTCACCATGTGCTATGGTCTGAATGTTTCTGTCTCCTTAAAACTGATATGTAGCAATACTAACCCCCAAGGTGATGTTATTAGGAGGCAGGGCCTTTGGGAAGCCATTAGGCCATGAGGGCAGAGACCTTATAAAAAAGGCCCAAGAAAAACCCTTCACCTTTCTCATCATGTGAGGACACAAGGTAAAGATGCCATCTATGAACCAGAGAGCAGGCCCTCACCAGACACCAAATCTGTCAGCCCACTGATCTTGGACTTCCCAGCCTCCAGAACTATGAGCAATAAATTTCTGTTGTTTATAAGCCACCCAGTGTTGGGGATTTGTTATAGCATCCCAAACAGACTAAGACACTAAACATAAATATCTTATCTCATTTAATTCTCAACAAAAACCCATGTCAGGTAGGCATTCTGAAATCACATATCAGGTAGGTAAGCAATTTTTCTAAGCTGTCAACACTCAGTAAGTTGCAGGGAAGTATTTAAATCCTGTTTAGTCTGTCTTTAAAGACCTCACAGCCTCTCTGGGGCACACTTACACATTCATTAGATATATATGTGCTCATGGCAAAAAGGCCAGGAAACCAAGGGTGAATGCACATGTAGCAGCAAATGAGGTCACCCTGCTCCAGGGCTGAAAATCCACCTCTACAGCAATTGTGGGACTTTGACAGCATCACCAGTCACCCCAGTCTGCTCCACCCTCCCCTCCTTCCTTCCCTCTTGAAAAACCACTGACTTTTCCCTTTCTCCCTGTGAGATAAAGGAAGACAAGTTCTTACCAAACTGAACACGTTGATTCAATTCCTATTAACTGAGTATTCACCCAACTTTCCGGAGAAGCAAAGCCCTTAGTGGGTAATGATGCCAGGAATGGGATGCATTGCCAGTTGGAGACCTAGCAACATTCAATGAGGATTATAATAATGTTATGAATGGCTTTAACCAGCTCCTCACCCAAAATACATACACACCCTTGAAACTGGCTTGGGATTTACCAGGAACCTTCCAAATCAATAGCTTAATTAACCCACAAGCTGTGTATGACATGTCATGAAACATCTCTAAAACCAAGTAGCAAAGGAAAGTACAAAACTTAAATCCATGTTTGTATTAAGTTTCCCAGCCATCATTTTGTAGATTTTATTTTTTTAAATAAGTTGCTATTTATTTTCACTTAAAGGCATGGTATTTTTAAATCTTAATTTATAGATTCAAGGAGACATAAAATGATAAATGAAAAACTCTGGGTGAAAACATTTGTTGTCAAAAATATATAAACAGCCCCCAAATCTAAAGGGAATCTCTGTCACTCCCTAAGTTACAGCTTGCCATTGGCTCTCTCAGTTGCTTTTTGGATGGAGCCCAGGCATCCCAGACTGCTTTGCCAAGCATTTTGTGATCATGCGGCTGCCCATACTCCAGCCCCAAAGCCTGACACTCCTGCCACACACCCTCTGCCCAGGTTAGGCAGAGTACAGGCATTTCCCAGAAAGTCCTGGGTCCTCCCACCCTTTGTGTCTCTGTATCTGTTTGGCTCTCAGCCTGGAATATCCCCTCCCTTTCTTTACCAAGCTGACTCCTCCTCATCTCTTCTGCTCCTGCTCATCTCTCAAACCTCAGCCAGGTGCCACCTCTTCAGGAAAGTCTTCCCTCATGTCCAGTGGGGATTTCCAAGGCACCATGTGCTGACCGTCATTACATTATTTTTAACACTGGTTCATGATGGTCTATTTACTTCTGTGTCACCTCCTAAGCTGGGAGCTCCCTGAAGGTATTTCAGTGTCATCAGGCTTAGCACAATGCCAGGCACATAGTAAGAACTCACAACATCGTTGTTGAATGAATGAGTGAATGAATCAAAGAATGAATAGTTATCACCTAGGTATTTATTTTCCCCACAGGCTCCAGGTATACCATGGAAATGAGAGATGTAATTTTTCTCTCTCAACACCCTTAAAAAGCTGTTTCTACACCCAGGGACTCATATGGTCCAGTATAGCCAGAAGCATTTCAAGGCTACAGAAACCTTAGTCTAAAACATAGTCTAGCTGAGCCCAGAAGACTGGTAACAAAACCAAAGCTAGGCCAAACTCCCAGAACTAGCCCTAGTCTGTAATGGTCTGGAAACTCACTTTAGTTACGACCTTCCTAATGTAAGGCCAGTGTAAGTATGTCCCATGTACCAGTGGGGTTTGCAATTATAAAAGCGGTGCAAGCATTGCAGGTCCTTCAAACATAAAGCAATGTATAAAATAGACAGTTCTCAAAAGGTGGCCCTGGATCACCACATCAGTGCCACCCGGAAACTAGTTGAAAATGCATAAGCCCCACTCAATCTCAAATTTTAGAATGCATCAGAATCACCTGAAGTACTTGGGGAAACACAGATTGCTGGTGCCATCTCCAGGGTTTCTGATTCAATAAGTCTGGATGGGGCCTATGCACTTCTAACTGGTTTCCAGGTACACTGATATGGTGGTCCGGGACTACACTTGAGAACTGTCTACTTTACATATAATAAGTGTCATACCCTGATATTGGCCTATAATATGATTCTCCAGAGATAGCCCTTGCTAAGAGTATTTTAGGGGGTGATAAGCAATGAGCCTGCAAGAAAAAATGCAGCTAACAGATGACTGTATGCAATATATTTCTAAAGTATTTTTATTTGTTGTCTCGAAATGAAAATCAAGCGGTTTCACATGACTGGAATACTTTCATGGAGCTCCCAGCTTTGGAAGTGACAGAGAAGTAAATAGATGCCACAAAACAGCATAAAAAGTACTCTGACTCCCAGCTTTTCTTGGAAAATCCAAAGACCTGCCACCAGGTTAGCAATGATTTGCTGAAATTGAGTGGTGCTAGTTGCTTAATATGAGGCATGCTCTCAAGGTTGTCACAGTCCCACTCACTAAGCCAAAATCTGATTCCCTGCATGCACTTAAGTTTCTGTATCACTGGTATGTATCCTTACAAAATCCTTCTATAATGTTATGAGTATTATGAGCACTGCTTACCATCTTCTTTTTTCCATTATATCCATATCGATATATACTAATTTACCTAGGTATTCCTCTGTATGATTACCTTATAGTATATATAACCAATCCCTTCCTGGTGGATATTTAAGTTAGTGCTATTTATTCTCCATTACAAACAACAAAACAGTGAATGTCCTTGTATATATCCCTTTGCATACTTTGTGAGCGTTTCTCTTGAATGAACTTCTAGATGTAGAATTACTGAGTGAAATGGAATGATACTTACAATTTTGATAGATAATGCCAAAATGCTGAAGTTAGTTAGGATACAAGCCATGTTTAGTACCAAGCAGGGGGCAAGGAATGGTTGAGTTTGGAGAGTGGCATGGAGAGATGAACTGCCCATGATCTGAGCCTCTTCTTCAGCAACCACACTCCTGTACTCCTAGTGTACCTACAGTTGATTGCCACAAAGGCAATATCTCAAATGGCAGAGCTAGATCTAGCAAGGCAAATCTATTTTAGAATCCTAGTTGAACAGTTAATTAATCATAATAAATTGAGCATAAAAACGAAATGAGATAATTCTGGTTATATTACAAAAGTCTCCATTTGTTACTGAAAACCAAAGGGATTTTTATCGAAATGTTTATGTCTGGTTTGTTGACATTTCTCTCACTATTTTATCTCAATAATAATACTAATTCCCCCTATGCTCTCTCCCTTTCTGTTTCAGGCTTATCTCCCTTTGTGTTTCTTGGAGATTAACCTGATGTTACTCTGAGAAGGCTCTGTATGTTGCCAAGTTTTGAACTCTACTGAACGGAACCAAAAATAAAAGTCTAAGACCAAAGTTGCAATAAAGTATTGACGTTTTTATTTAATAAATGTGGCAAATGGGATGACACGAAGATTAAGAGCACAGCCTGCCTGAGTGTAAGTTCCGAGTTCCTCAAGCACTGGCTGGGATAATACATAACCTCTCTCACCCTCTGTTTCCTCATCTGTAAGATGGGGGTAATTAAAGGGCTATGGTTCTTTGCACAGAATCTTGCACAAAACAATGTTAATTGTTATTATTTATTCTAGCACAGTAGCCAATCCCACCCCCTCTTAAAAGTTTTACAGGGTGTAGCAATGCCCAGACCACATAAACCTTCAGGCAGCCATTCTGTGAGTTGACAGTCATGAAATGGCCAAATCAGAATAAATAACTGCTTCAGGAAGAGAAGCCAGCAGTTGGGCTCAATTTTAAACTGTGCTTTAGATGCAACACAATAGATAAGAGGCCTGATAAGGAGAAAATGGCTAACCTTTACTGAGCACTTACTCCTGTCACACTCTTTGGAGCATTTACAAGCATCTTCTCAGTGTGTGCTCACAATAATCCTATGGAGCAAGTGCTATTATTACCATTCCG
Source organism: Homo sapiens (assembly GCF_000001405.40). Classification (NCBI taxonomy): domain Eukaryota; kingdom Metazoa; phylum Chordata; class Mammalia; order Primates; family Hominidae; genus Homo; species Homo sapiens. The sequence continues at coordinate 145,925,134 of NC_000005.10, forward strand.
GTCTCACAGATGAGAAAACCAAGCACAGCATGTTTAAGTAATTTGCTGTAGGTCACACTCTTATTTAATAAGATGGCACCAGCCATCTGACTCCAGAGTGTATGTTCATAACTACCATAAGTTAGAAATGATGCCAGAAAAAGATAAACTATAGCTAAAACAGAAAGAATTCAGATATTGTCAATTAATATCTATATCTTTTGAGCACTTTCTATGGACCAGACATTGTTTTACCAACATGTATTAGGAAATTTATTCCTTATGACAAGCCTGGGAAGTACTTGTTACTGATTGCATTTTTATGGATGGGGCCTAGAGCTTTTGAACACAAAGGGTCACAGAGCTGTTACTGGTGAAGCTAAGTTTCTAAAGCATGTCTCCAGATTCCAAGTCGCAAGCTTTCTCCCTAGGAATGCAATAAGAATTCCAAACACAAATGAGTCATCCTCATCACTCAGCAAATATTTTTTAAGCACCTACTTGTGTCAGACACAAATTAATGACACAGACATGGTTCCTGCACCATGGGATGTAGATTGTGTGAAAGAGAGACACAATTTATAAGAACAAGTGAGTAAATAATGAATATCATATAACTAATACATAATTAACACCATCACATGGCACCCTAAAAAATGTCTAATTGCTTTGACAGATGTTATTTACAGTCAGTTATAGAAAATCATTCTAATTCTTTTTTAATAAGGGAAAAAAATTTGTTTCTCCTGTATTTCACATTATCCTGGAAGGCCTACTCATAAAAAGAGACATCTTGCACTAATCAGAGCACTTGGGGAATTACTGAATTTTGCAACTTTCTCACTTGTGTGACAAAAAAAAAACAAGATTGTGGTTACCCAATTGTCTGAGCAAACTGTCAGCTTTTGCACAGACTTGCCCTGAGTTTAATAAGAATTAAGGTTGCATCCTGCTCCTGGTTTTGAATCAAAACATTTACTGATTTCATCAGAAAGGAAACAGTGAAAGAAAGGGAGAAAGACAGGTTAGGAGTGAAATGATTTATCACTTACTTTTCTTTAGTAAGGCACAGTATCTGTCATGGATTAACGTCTAATTACAGCAGTTTCAGAGCTGTGAAGTTTATTATTTTTTTAATGGCTATCTTATCAACTGTAATGCATAAGCTATTAGGGTTATAGGATTTAACTCCCCCTGTTGCAGATGTTTTAGTAAATCTGTAATGATTTAAGCATTTTTAATATCTTTTAAAAATGTATTACACTTTAATCCATCTTGAATTAATTTTTGTATAAGGCGTAAGGAAGGGATCCAGTTTCAGCTTTCTACATATGGCTAGCCAGTTTTCCCAGTACCATTTATTAAATAGGGAATTGTTTCCCCATTTCTTGTCTTTGTCAGGTTTGTCAAAGATCAGATGGTTTTAGAAATGCGGCATTATTTCTGAGGGCTCTGTTCTGTTCCATTGGTCTATATCTCTGTGTTGGTACCAGTACCATGCTGTTTTGGTTACTGTAGCCTTGTAGTATAGTTTGAAGTCAGGTAGTGTGATGCCTCCAGCTTTGTTCTTTTGGCTTACGATTGACTTGGCAATGCAGGCTCTTTTTTGGTTCCATATGAACTTCAAAGTAGTTTTTAGCAATTCTGTGAAGAAAGTCATTGGTAGCTTGATGGGGATGCCATTGAATCTATAAATTACCTTGGGCAGTATGGCCATTTTCACAATATTGATTCTTCCTACCCATGAGCATGGAATATTCTTCCATTTGTTTGTATCCTCTTTTATTTCCTTGAGCAGTGGTTTGTAGTTCTCATTGAAGAGGTCCTTCACATCCCTTGTAAGTTGGATTCCTAGGTATTTTATTCTCTTTGAAGCAATTGTGAGTGGGAGTTCACTCATGATTTAGCTCTCTGTTTGTCTGTTATTGGTGTATAAGAATGCTTGTGATTTTTGCACATTGATTTCGTATCCCAAGACTTTGCTGAAGTTGCCTATCAGCTTAAGGAGATTTTGAGCTGAGACGATGGGGTTTTCTACATATACAATCATGTCATCTGCAAACAGGGACAATTTGACTTCCTCTTTTCCTAATTGAATACCCTTTATTTCCTTCTCCTGCCTAATTGCCCTGGCGAGAACTTTCAACACTATGTTGAATAGGAGTGGTGAGAGAGGGCATCCCTGTCTTGTGCCAGTTTTCAAAGGGAATGCTTCCTGTTTTTGCCCATTCAGTATGATATTGGCTGTGGGTTTGTCATAAATAGCTCTTATTATTTTGAGATATGTCCCATCAATAACTAATTTATTGAGAGTTTTTAGCATGAAGCGTTGTTGAATTGTGTCAAAGGCCTTTTCTGCATCTATTGAGATAATCATATGGTTTTTGTCATTGGTTCTGTTTATATGCTGGATTACGTTTATTGATTTGCGTATGTTGAACCAGCCTTGCATCCCAGGGATGAAGCCCGCTTGATCATGGTAGATAAGCTTTTTGATGTGCTGTTGGATTCGGTTTGGCAGTATTTTATTGAGGATTTTTGCATTGATGTTCATCAGGGATATTGGTCTAAAATTCTCTTTTTTTGTTGTGTCTCTGCCAGGCTTTGGTATCAGGATGATGCTGGCCTCATAAAATGAGTTAGGGAGGATTCCCTCTTAAATGTTAGACCTAAAACCATAAACACCCTAGAAGAAAACCTAGGCAATAACATTCAGGACATAGGCATGGGGAAGCACTTCATGTCTAAAACACCAAAAGCAATGGCAACAAAAGCCAAAATTGACAAATGGGATCTAACTAAACTAAAGAGCTTCTGCACAGCAAAAGAAACTACCATCAGAGTAAACAGGCAACCTACAGAATGGGAGAAAATTTTTGCAATCTACTCATCTGACAAAGGGCTAATATCCAGAATCTACAATGAACTCAAACAAATTTACAAGAAAAAAACAAACAACCCCATCAAAAAGTGGGCAAAGGATATGAACAGACACTTCTCAAAAGAAGACATTTATGCAGCCAACAGACACATGAAAAAATGCTCATCATCACTGGCCATCAGAGAAATGCAAATCAAAACCACAATGAGATACCATCTCACACCAGTTAGAATGGCAATCATTAAAAAGTCAGGAAACAACAGGTGCTGGAGAGGATGTGGACAAATAGGAACACTTTTACACTGTTGGTGAGACTGTAAACTAGTTCAACCACTGTGGAAGTCAGTGTGGCGATTCCTCAGGGATCTAGAACTAGAAATACCATTTGACCCAGCAATCCCATTACTGGGTATATACCCAAAGGATTATAAATCATGCTGCTATAAAGACACATGCACACGTATGTTTATTGCGGCACTATTCACAATAGCAAAGACTTGGAACCAAGTCAAATGTCCAAAAATGATAGACTGGATTAAGAAAATGTGGCACATATACACTGTGGAATACTATGCAGCCATAAACAATGATGAGTTCATGTCCTTTGTAGGACACGGATGAAGCTGGAAACCATCATTCTTAGCAAACTATCGCAAGGACAAAAAACCAAACACCACATGTTCTCACTCATAGGTGGGAATTGAACAATGAGAACACATGGACACAGGAAGGGGAACATCACACACCAGGGCCTGTTGTGGGGTGGGGGGAGGGGGGAAGGATAGCATTAGGAGATATACCTAGTGTTAAATGACAAGTTAATGGGTGCAGCACACCAACATGGCACATGTATACATATATAACTAACCTGCACATGTTGTGCACATGTACCCTAAAACTTAAAGTATAATAAAAAAAAAGTATTACACTAGAATATACATTCATTATAGAACAATTACAAACATACATGAGCAAAATTTTTAAAAATAAAAATCAACTAATAAGCCCAGTGGCTAGAAATAACCATTGCTAACATTTTGGCATGCATTCTCCTAGTCTTTATATTATATATATGTATATGTGTGTATCATTTTTAAATAACCTGAACTCATATAACTTAAGTTTCAATATTAATTGTGAATGATCCTTCACATCATTAAATATGCATCTCCTTATCATTTTTAATAGTTGTATAATATTCCCCCCTATATATATATATATATATATATATCACCATTTATTTACCCACTCCCCTATTTTTGGACATCAGGCTGTTTAACTTTTCACTTTTATAAGTAATGCTATAAGGAACACACTTGGATACATATCTGTTATGTTACATAAATTTATAGAAGTGGTATTTTAGGATCAAAAGGTGAGAAGTGAGACCATATTTTTAAGACTTTAGACTTAAACTTTTTTTTACTTTTCATTTTGAAATAATTACAGACTCATAAGACATTGCAAAAATGTTACAGAGAAGTCCATTGTACCCGTCACACAACTTCCCCCAATCATAAGTTTTCATATAACCATAATAGATTATAAAAACTAGGAAACTGGCTTTGGCACAATACAATTAACTAGAATACAGTTACAGTTTTACCAATTACTTGGATTTTACCAATTACTTGGATTTTACCAGCAGAATTATTTTCTAGTAATAATAGAATGGAAAGATGCATTCTTACTTTCCTACTTTCTCCTCTCACAAATCTGCCTTTAGAACTTCCTTCTAATCTGTAGAGGAAAGAATACAAACATGCTTGGTAGACTATTCTTTTTTATTGACAATCAAGAGGAAGAAATGCACTTAAGAATCTCTCACCAGATGTAGAGTGGGTAAATCCCCATTTATGGCACAGAAATGGGGAGATTTCTGTCTTTTGGTTCTTCACAATCACTTCCGTTTCTTTATGATACACTAGATCAGAGTCTCCTATAGCCTGGGGTACCCTAACCCAAAAGGAATAACACTGAATCACACCAGGAGAAAGTTATTCTCTTTTCATTTTTCCTTCACTTTTCTGATAACACCAAGGAGAAAGCCTCAGTTTTGGGCTAGTCTTTATTTATTTATTTATTTATTATTTAAAAACAATTTTTTTTGAGACAGAGTCTTGCTTTGTCACCCAGGCTGGAGTGCAGTGGTGCAATCTCAGCTCACTGCAGCCTCTGCCTCCCAGATTCAACTGATTCTCCTGCCTCAGCCTCCCAAGTAGCTGGGATTACAGGCATGTGCCACCACACCCAGCTAATCTTTGTATTTTTAGTAGAGATGAGGTTTTGCCACGTTGCCCAGGCTGGTCTCAAACTCCCGGCCTCAAGTGATTCGCCCACCTCGGCCTCCCAAAGTGCTAGGATTATAAGCATGAGCCACTACTCTCTTTTTAACACAAATTGCTCAGGTCTCAAGTTCAGATCTAGGCAGGCAATAGCATTTAACTGGGATTCAGTGATATTTTATTATTTTATTCAAATGTGCCTTTACTTTCACCTTCAAATTGCAGCAAATGAAACTGGTTTCCCATTTATAGTAGTATTTTTTAAATTTCCCTTTAAAATAAATTATTTCAATTAAAAACTGATTCGACATTTTAAAAAAGTACATGATTATGGCAAAAGGCATAAAGATAAAATGCAAATGATGGAGGTTAGGGATACATTGTGTAAGAGCATTTTGATCAATAAAGAACTGAGCAATCACATGGCCTAGCATGTTTTTCTTTGGATTAGTCTGCGTTAGAATGAGAACCATCTGGCATCTGGTTCTTTTATGAGATCTACTTACAGAAAAAGAAGAAAGAAGATAAGAAGCCTACATCTATTAAGCACTATTATATACATCATCTCAACTGACTCTTCAGAACATCTCAATGAAGTAGGTGCTACTAGCATCCTCACTTTATCCATGAGGAATCCAAGGAACAGAGGAAGAGAGTAATTCGCCTAAGTGATCTATCTGTCTATCTAGCAACTGGCAGAGCTGAGATTCAAACCGGGTCTGTTAGACTCCAAAACCATAGGGCTTTTTGTCTGTTTGTTTTGTTTTGTTTTAGACAGGGTCTCACTTTGTCACCCAGGCTGGAGTGCAGTGGTGCGATCTCAGTTCACTGCAGCCTCAACCTCCTGGGCTCAAGTGATCCTCCCACCTCAGCCTCCCTAGTAGCTGGGACTATAGGCATGTGCCACCATACTCAGTTAATTTTTGTATTTTTTGTAGAGACAGGATTTTGCCATGTTGCCCAGGCTGGTCTTGAACCCCTGAACTCAAGCCATCCGCCTGCCTTAGCCTCCCAAAGCGCTGGAATTACAGGCATGAGCCACTGCACCTGGCCCAAAACCATGCTCTTGACTGCTGGTTCCAACTGTTTCCTATTAAATTTAAGAACAATAAGTCACCTCCAGAAAATGTATAATGCCTCTTTGTCCTGGCCAGCAGTCTGGGTCACTTTACTGTGGGCCTGGTGATTGCATGAGAATATTTTAAAGTACACTCCTCACCTGCAAACATACCCTCAATTGGAGAGGAAATCTCACATCTGACTTCATCCTGGGTCTGTATCCTTTAAAGAAAGAGTGTTAATAGCCACTCAACCCTGTCAGTCTGATTTTCTTCACATTTCTGCTGTTGTCCTCCAGTCATTCCTCCTCTTGAATTGTCCCAAAGGTTTCTCAGTATCACTAGAAAAATCAAATCATATGAGCAAGGTCAACATCACAGAAACAGATAACATAGGTCTATTTAAATATTTAAAACATATCTAGATTTATACTAGGTACTAATCGAAGAGAGCAAAGATGTACAAAACATGGCCTTCAGCAACAAGGGTCCAGTGATGGTCAAGAGAGGTTTCATGACCCTGCAGCTCTAAAACTTTAGATTTCCAAATACCTCAACTCCTTTGATGGATTTAAGGAGTGCCTTACAAATGAGTAACTTTATGGCAGAGAGCCTGCGACCAAGTGGCTAAGAGCCAGTCAAATGAAAATAGTACACCTCTAAAATCATAATTCCAATAAGTAAATTTGATTGACAAAACTTACCTAAACACTTGTTTGTGATTTAATTTTTAATTGGAAAGAAACTGTCTTAGCCTGAGACAAAGGCTTGCTTCCTTGAAAGTGATTTATTTGGGAGCAGGAGTTAGGATAGAGGAGTGAAACGGAATGAGAGAAAGCTAGCACAAAGATGCATTATTGTGTTAGCCCCCTATGGATGAAAGGTACTCATCCCACAAGACCTTCTGAAGAACTTTATGACATCTCAAGACTGCCTTCCCAGAGGATAAAAGGGGAAAATGTATCCACAGACTTTCCATTAGTCAAAGACGGTCCACACTTCTGGATCATGTACATGTGTGTGTGAAGCAAGTTCTCATGTGTGTCCCATGCTGCAACATCAGAGAAGCTCCAAGGCAGTAGGCAAGAAGTATGTGGCTAGATCTTGAGGATAGACACTGCCAAGTAGAATCTCTGCATGTGGCCTGAATCTGGGAAAACTTCTTAGCTTAAATAAGAGGTGTGGTTGAGAACATTCAAAGTGACACTCAAGAGGTGTCTAATATAAAACCATTATCAACCATTTGGGGTACACCTGCTCAAACACAAATTTTTAAAAACATCATTCATTCATGTAGTCATCAATAAACCCATTCAACATTTATTGAGTATCAACCACATGCCAGCCACTGTGTTAGATACAGGGGAACAGAAGAGCAACAAGACACATAAGGTCCTTCCTCTCTTGGAGTTTACAGTCTATTTGCGGGAGTTGGGCATTAAATAAATCATTATAAAATAATTACTGAGTTACAGCTGTGATAGCTGTTATAAAGGAGAAGTGTAGGATGACAAACTTTCTACTCATGAAAATCAAAGAAGTCTTCCTGGAGGAACTGACATTTTTTAAAGCTCAAATTTGCAGAGAAGGGCATTAAAAAAGCAAAGCAGGGAGGAAGAGAGTAACTAGGAAGAGAGGAAGGGGAAGAGGGTGTGTTGAAGACAGAAAGAAGAGCATGAACAAATACTTGATGACAAAAACGCTATCCTAAGAGTGAAGAGAAACCCAGTGGGTCAAGAGTGTGCTGAGTGAGGGGGTGATGGGGGTATAAGTTGAAGCAGGAGAGGTGGGCATGAGCCAGATCACGCAGGGCCTGACAGCGCGGAAGAAGGATTTGATGTTATCCTAAGGTTATGGAAACCTACTGAAGAGTTTTGACTAGGGAAACAATAAGACCAGGTTTGCTTGTTTGTGTGTTTTATATACATAAATCTAAATGTACTCATAAATATGCACAGCAGAAGGTCAGACATATCATACAGATTTTTTAAAAGAATGCAGCCAATCATCACCCCATAACTATACAGATAGAAACAGGAGTGTTGGTGGGGTGGGAACAGCGGGAGAAGGGAGGTGGCCTGGAGTCTGAAGAGGTATGCATAGTTCACCTTTTTGTTTGTTTTTAAAGACTACATGTTCATCTGATTTGATGCCAAGGTAGTATTTGGGTAAGCCAGAACAAATCCCCATTTAAAACTCTCGCCCTTCTTTAAAAGTTTCAAGAAATTTTCTCTTCAAGACTAACCTCATGTGGGTGGTGTTGGGGACCACCTACAGGGCGTCGTTTGAGAGGTGCTGAAAGATGACCCCTCGCTTCAGTGTACCTTTTCTCTGTCCTCCATTAGAACCTAAAATTCTACCATCACGATTCTACTTGGCTGGATTTTCAATTGCCAGATTTGCTACAAGAGTAACCCACTGGATCTAGTCTGCCTTCCTGGGACTGAGCTGGTTTGACTGCATTTTCTCAGGGATGGGAAGGTTTGAAGCTTTTAAGACCATTGACCATACAGGGGTGTGGAGGGGCCATGAGATGGGTAGACTACAACCCAGAGGGGCCCAATCTCCTTTTCTGACATCAATATTTTGTCTTGGGTTGGCTCTGAGATCAGCTGGTGTGTACAATATGGGTATATGTGTAACCATGTGCAGATTTAAATAGTAAAGATACATGGGTGTACTTATGATATGTACATGATTTTATAAAATGAAAAGAAACACAGGCCCCGGGATTAGACCAACCTGAGTTCAGATCACAAGGTTTGTAACCCTGGGAAAGTTACAGTATCTTACGGGGTGGTTGGGAGAATTCAATGAGATAATATGTTTAAAATCTTAGCATTGGTCAGTGGCATACAGCAAGTGCTCCATAGGTGTTACTATTATTAAGATTATGTATGTGTGCACCCTTACACAAGTGTATGCATGCATCTGCATATAGGTGCAGATATGAGTATGTAAGGGAGATAGAGTGTGTTTAAGAACAAGAGAAAGAATAATGAAAAATATCGCCAATCTCTGCAACAGGAGTTCCAGCATAGGAGTGGCCCTTTTTACGGAGTGAGACCACTGCAGGGCACAAAGGAAACTGACTCAGCTTTACTAAGTGGGAAACAGAGTAAGAGGACAGTAAACCTCAAGAGCTTCCTTAGTGGCACAGACTCAAGAGTAGAAATTAATAGAAGGAGACAGGCAAGCAGAATGGGATGTGATGTTATCAAAGCTCAAAAGTGACGTTAAAAAAGTAATAGTTGAAAGTGGTCTCTGAAATTGTCCTACATCAAAATTAGGCCTCCGTGCTCAGAAAATAGATAACCATCGGCTCCATCCTAAAGTTCTGGGCCACATGCATGTTTGATGTTTTGGAACTAACATGAAAGAACGTGGAAAAATATGTAAACAATGTTTTCAGACCTCCTGGTCTCCTCTTAAGATTTTCCCATTGAGCTGTGTCTGAACACTCTCTGCATAATAAATAATTGTCATCCTTACGTCTAGAGAGAAGATATAGTAATAACAATAATTTTAAAAAGAACACCCAGTTTCTTTCTCTTTTTTTTTTTTTTTTTTTTTGAGACGGAGTCTTAGTCGCCCAGGCTGGAGTGCAATGGCACAATCTCAGCTCACTGCAGCCTCCACCTCCCAGGTTCAAGTGATTCTTGTGCTTCAGCCTCCCAAGCACTCCCAGCCAACACACCCAGCTAATTTTTGCATTTTTAGTAGAGATCGGGCTTCACCATGTTGGCCAGGCTGGTCTCAAACTCCTGACCTCAAGCAATCCACCCACACCTCAGCCTTCCAAAGTGCTGGGATTACAGGCATGAGTCACCGCGCCTGGCCTCAAACACCTAGTTTCTAGTCCCAATTCTGCCCCTAACTCACTGGACAACTTCAAAGAATCCCTTGATCTTTCTGGGCACAGCTGCCTCATCTGTAAGAGAAAGTGAGTAGCCAGTTTTGTCCATTATCTTTTGACCTCTTGCCCTCTTAGGGGAGGCTTAGCTCCCTTGAACCACCTCTTCACCTCTTTTTTTTTTTTTTTTTTTTTGTCGCCCTGGCTGGAGTGCAGTGGCACGATCTCAGCTCACTCCAGCCTCCGCCTCCCAGGTTCAAGCGATTCTCCTGCCTCAGCCTCCTGAGTAGCTGGGACTTCAGGTGCGCACCACCATGCCCAGCTAATTTTTGTATTTTTAGTAGAAATGAGGTTTCACCATGTTGGTCAGGATGGTCTTGATCTCCTGACCTTGTGATCTGCCCACGTCGGCCTCCCAAAGTGTTGGGATTACAGGCATGAGCCACTGCGCCTGGCCAGCCTCTTAAAGTTATATCACTCCATGACATTGTTAAGAGCACAGCCCACTTGCCTTCTGCTAGCTGTGACTCCCGAGATGAGTTATTTATCCTCTCTGTGTCTCAAGTTCCCTCATCTGCAAGATGAAAGTAAAGAATAGTTTAGTGTCTCCTTGGGTTGTTAAGGGGTTAAAGGGCTAACACAGGTAAGGTATTTAGAACAGTGGTTGACACAGATAAGGACTACCCTGGCATTAAGATTGTTATTATTCACTTAATCGGATACCTTTGTAATTTTACATGAAATGTATTATCGATAAATCAAAAAATAGAAATATAGGCATAATCTGAGGATATGAAAAGACTACAGTGGATAACAGGCAGGAGGAGAGCTTGGAGGCCACTGCTTTTCCTTTTTTGAAAAAGCTTCTCTGTGCTTTGATTTTTCACGTATGTGTATATACGTGACACTAGTTTTTTAATTTAAACAGATTGAGCAAAAAGATCACTAAAGTCCCTCTTATCTCTAAATTCAGAGATTGACTATGATTTTCAAAGAGCAATATTTTCTAGGTGTCCGACTTATCCTTGTTTTCATAGCTTGACCATTTTTACTTTTGACCTTCCCAGGAAATCCTTATGAAGATTTAAAATAAACACAATCACTTTGGTATGTTTATAATGGAGCAGGTTCTGACTCCTTGGATACTACAGAAAACGGGAAAGGTGAAAATATGAACTTTGTAAATACTTGGCCTTAGGGACTGGCTTATATTTTACCTCTTACAATCTTTTCCCAGAAGCAATTCAGTAAACTGAAGGAAAGATCATAAAGTTAACAACTGCAACAACAAAAGCGTGGTAAGTAGGCAGCGCCCTGGCAGTGAAAGCGTTAACAGGGCTGGGTAAGGCGATCCCTTGAAATGAGTAAGACTGAGTGGTTAAAGTTTTCAAAGCGGTTGGCAGCAGCGGCGCTTGGAGGAAAGGAAGCCGGTTGGAGGGCGCAGCGCACCCCTGCTGCGCGGAGGAGGGGGCTGAGCTGAACTCAGCAGAAGTTACATGCACAAGGTTAGTGGCCCCCACACGCCTCCCCAGCCCGCTGCCGCGCTGACATCTTTGGAGAGGAGGCTTAGGAAGGCGAGGCGCCATCGCTCATTCTCGGTCGTGTCTGTCCTGCTTACTAGTCGCTAGTGGGGCCACTGGCCTTCTCGCCAAACCTCTGGGCTCGGTGCTTACCGAAGCCCTGGCACTTGTGAGGGACAGCTGACTTCTTCCAGACTTTTCTAAACTGGAGGCTTCTTTTCATACATCCAAAAGGAAACTTGTTTCTGGAACAAGTACTGTTTTCAGAGTACACACACACACGACCCCTACCTGTATATGCTGCCCCAGTACGGTTTTTACAGGTCGTGACCACAATCCAGAATTCCTATCTGCTTCATTTGAAATTGAGAACAATGTCAAAGTAACTAAACAGGCTGCACTACTTTACCTTGTGGGAGGAACATTGTCTCTGAGCCTAAGGTAATCGGGATGAGGAGAGAAAAAAAAAAAAAGATGAAAAAAGAAAAGAAACAAAGCTTCCAAGCACCCTGACCTGTGGTTAAGGCAAAACAATTTTTGGAAATGGGTTTCTAGTGGAAATTTTTCTTGTACATTGCTAGAATCATGTGGGAAGGTATATTGTGAAGGAAATAATTCTACATCTGCATGAGATTCAGATAAACTTACCCACCTAAACTAATCTGCATGTGGTGCAGATAATAGATACATTTAGATTTAGGGGAAGGAGGAGGAGGAGATAGCTTCACAGAAATTGCGTTCGGAGGGGGCTTTGTTGTAAGAATTGAGACTGTCCAGGAGCTTTCCCCGGGCAGGGGGTAAAGGACCTCTTCCCGCCCTGGCTGGTAGAGAGGGGTTGGGGGGCCACTTCAGCAGGCCAGTTTATCTCCCTGCTTTCCTGTCCACATAGGCAATAAGCAGTCAGTCTTGTGCTGAATGTTCCCTCTGATCCTCACAGCAAGCACGAGTTGAGTCTTATACCTGCTAGCATTGAATCAGAATGAGTCATTTGAAACTTGGGTGCCGGAACAAAGTACTTGCAAACTGCCTTATGAGACACTGCCTCAATGTAGGTGGGATATACCTCTCGGAGCAGTCACATTTTTTTTTCTCTCCTCTCCCTCCTTCAAGCAGGCAAAAATTCTGACGTTCTCAAGAGACCAGCTCTGCCCCCGTGGCTCAACTGACCCTACCATGTGGACGCTGCTCCTCCAGGTGGGAACTGGAGTTTTGAAATAAAATGGATGATTTGACGTTACTTGATCTTCTGGAGTGCCCTGTGTGCTTTGAGAAGCTCGATGTCACAGCCAAAGTCCTCCCTTGCCAGCACACCTTCTGCAAACCATGTCTACAGAGGGTTTTCAAGGCCCACAAAGAGCTGCGGTGCCCCGAATGCAGGACGCCTGTGTTTTCCAACATTGAGGCGCTGCCGGCCAACCTGCTGCTCGTGCGCCTTCTGGATGGAGTGCGCTCAGGGCAGAGCTCCGGGAGAGGGGGCTCCTTCCGCAGGCCTGGCACGATGACCTTGCAGGATGGCAGGAAAAGCAGGACCAACCCCAGACGTCTGCAGGCCAGTCCTTTCCGGCTAGTGCCTAATGTCAGAATCCACATGGATGGGGTAAGAGAGATCTTATTTGCTAATATCATGTCCACATAGAGGTTGGATTTGTGTATACAAGGAGCTAGAGATTATCTTCTTTTAGTTACATTCCAGAGTGCTGCTGTTGATTTCCCAGTGATAAGTTTCTGTGGGCAGTGATCATTTTACTCAAATACAATGAAAACCTGAGCCTATCTAATCCATCTAAGAATTCTCTTTAGAACTATTAAAGCTTCCTAGGTTCTCCTTTCCTCTAGTCCAGAAAGTAGTAGAACAAGGAAAGCCTTTTAGATTATATTTTTGGTGTTTCACTTCTGCTGTTCTGAGGCCAAACTAGTGCCTGGGAAATGCACGGAGGGTGGGGAGAAACAAAAGAGAGAAAACAAATCCAACTGCTTGTTGCTTTTGAGATCTCTCAGAAATTTCCAAATGTCAGGTTTTGTTTGAATTTTACCCAAATCCATCTTCCCACCCCTAGTCATAAAGTGCTATTATGGCAATACTCATTCATAATCTGTTCCAAGCTATCAAGATACTTGACGCGGGAGATAGTGCAGGAGGGAAGCATCTATGTGGGTGGACTGATTGATAGCAAAGGCTGGGCTGTGAAGTGCTTCAGCTGTGTATAGGAGCTCTGCAGATGTGTCTCATTTTGCAAAATGAATGAAATACAGAGAAGATACACAGCAGGGGCTGCAATTAAAAAACCAAACAGACCCAGTTACGCCTCACAGGAGATTAATGCTTTTCATGTTTGGATAATGGGAATCGCTCTGTCCAGCGCTGAAAGCACACCCCGAGGACTTTATCTGACCTGGCTATGAACCTTGTTGTGGGATAATGTGTAAGGGCACATCTGGAAAGAAGGACATGGTCCTTGTGAGTCCAGCAGAATTATTTGCACTGTCACCCCTGGAGTCAGTGTAAAAAAGTGGACACGGAAAGCTGTGGCTTGGGCCATTGGCATACTTAGAAAATCAAAGCTACATTCCTTGAAGTCTTACCTAGAGCAAGCATTAGAGTCTAAATGCTGGCAGCAGTGTCCCACATCTCCCTGCTCTGAAGAGGAATAACGTGTGGGAGGGTCTTGCAGGACTGCTTCCTTACTCAGGAGTGAGGAGTGGCTTGTGATACGCATTTGGAACAACTTTCCGAAATTTTCCTTCTAAGAGCTACCACTTCCTGGGTTCACTGCATCTTTAAACCACCCATGGCGCATGTGTAAACATTCAACAATGAGGGTGGGAAGAAGCAGGACATTTTTTCACTGTACACCCTTGATTTCTTCACTGTAGGCTTTTTATTGCCATTGTGCTTGTAAGTGACACATTCCAGAAAAGGGTTTGGAACTCTTTTTAAGTCCCTCCACTACCCCTGGTCTAGTCATCAATCAGAATCCACAGGTCTGGAAATGGCGAAGTAGGGGTGGGGAAGCAAATTGTTCTCAAACATGCCTTGTTTGTAGAGAAAAGAGCTCTATCTCTGGGTCAGCAAATCCCCCTTGAATTCCTAAGACCTAGCAACCTCTTCCCTTCCCCACCTTGCAGAAGTCTGACCTGCCTTTCAGCGGAGTATCATCACTTACTCAGGAAACGGTGTCACACTGGGAGGAGGCAGTTCCCTTATCAGCTTGGAATATTTTTGTTGTGGTTTACATCTTTCTCAATGTGACTGTGTTGCAAAGGACAGGTAGCGATGAATGGATCCACAGCTACCAAGTTTTTGAACTATAGAGGATTCTCAGGGCCCTTCTGGCACAGGGAATTGAGGTGAGAGCTGGTTGTACATAAGAGACAGCCATTAAGATACTGGGTCTCTCTGGAATTCTTTTGCAGGGACTTATAACATCAGACTATCGTCTGTGCCCACCCTCCAAGCTGCTCTGGACCAAGTCCTGTGGTGAGGCTGAAACTCAAGGGCTCCTGTGTTCAGGCAGGACCTGGGCTAGAAAGATGCTCTGCAAGAGAGCAGAGCTGGCACCCCCACTTCCCAATTCCTTTATGTCCTAACTATCCTTTCTTGAAGTGACTCCTCTCATTCCTTTTGCCTTCCTCAGTGGGGATATGAACAAACCTATTTCTGGATGTCAATATGGCTGCTGTTCTGCAACGTGCCTCTGCTCCCAAAAATATTACCTATCTTTTTTGCAACCATGAAAGCAACCATGCATCCCACAGTTAAGAGAACTGAGGGTTGTCTGGATGCCACAGTCTGTTTAGAGAGTCAGAGGAATGGACTTACATCCTCGGTCAAATCCTCCTGAGTTCCTTGCCCTCTCTGCCACAGTTCAGCCAATCTAGTCAAAAGCTACTTGCTACCCACCTTCCTCCAGGATAGTGTGAAAATTATCTTTGCAACATACTTTTACTGCCTTAGAAAACATCTGCTATGTAAATGCAAAGCATCATCATTAAGATTCATTTAGACATGCTGTATGACTTTGGGCAAGCCACTTATGTTTGCTGGGTCTCAATTTAAAATTCTGTAAAATGGGAAGATGTCATGTATAAAAACAGACAGCTACTGTGAGGTTTAACTAATTAGTATCTCCAAAACACTTTGAGAGCCTTAGATGAAAGACATTTGGAAGATCATTATCACAGTGAACATTATTATTGACTGTTTATTGTGCCCTGCCACACATGAGGCATGCTACAAAATGTAGAAGGAGTTACAGCCCTTGCAGGAGAGTGTAATAGGTATTATTATTGAACTTGATTCTATGATGAGCTCAGGCCAGGATAATACTAAGTATAAAGTACTCCACTCAGAGAGCATAAATAACCTGTTGTCACAGGGCACCATTTTGTAAAACACCTCTTTCAAAGGACTTGCCGATAACCTGGCACCCTGAAAAAGTTCGTTTAACTTTCTGTCCATGAGCTTTTGAAGCCCAAAGTCTGTTCTGCTCACCTAGACTCATCTAAAAAACAAGCTCATCAAGCTCTTTTTGTTGGCTCAAAGAGGCCTGATGCTTCCTGTGCCAACCAGTGTTCTAGGGTGGAACCAATAGTCACACCTCATGGTGCCAGCCCATAGAGAGAAAAAAATTGCCTATTGTGCCTACATGTCTAAAACCCTCCCTAGATGATTGTGTAAAAAGAAAACTTGAGAAACAGCTGTAGGTTTCTGCAGTGTGCATTTATTTCAAACCAACAGGCAAGATCACCAGACTCCTCCAGGAAGAGGTCCTGGTGGTGCAAATTCCACTGGTTCTTCTTATTCCTTCCCTAATACAGTTAAAGCAAAGGAACTTGGCAAGCCTTCAAAAGGATTGTAGGTTCCTGAATAGCTGATCTCTCTTCTTCCTCATTCTGCTACACTTTAGTAATATTTCTGATTTAGGATAGGTGGTAAAGCAGAGAAGTTATGAATCTGTGGACTTGGGTTTGAGAAATACCCAAATTCAAATCCTGACTCTGCCCCTCAACAGTTCTGCACTTTGGGTGAGTCACTTAAACCTCAGGTCCTCCAATTCCCCATCTGTAAATTGGAGATAATGGTAGTACCTACCTCAGAGGGTTGTTGTGAGAAATAAGTGAGATGATTCATGTCACTTAGCTCTTAGCACAGAGACTGGCTCATATTAAGTGCTCAGTAAATGTTAGCTGTGGTTGTTGTTGAAGTGACTCAATACTTTCTACTCTAAATTACACACACCCTTTCAGCCCCTTATTAAGCAAGTGCCATCCAGAGACGGTCCTTGGTACCCTGATTTTTGCATTGTTTTGTTTGCCTCCACATGATCCGTGGCCATGATTCAGATGTGTGATTCTTCCCAGCATGTGCTGGCTTCGCAGCTCACTTCCAGAACCCTTAAGGCACTATGATCCATTCTAGGAGAAAACTCCCTAACTAACTTCACTTTCCCCAAACAGCACCTTCAAAGGAAAACCATACACAGGGCAAGAACCTGGTCTACTTCCTCCGCATCATCAATTCTTTATTAACATTTTTATCTTTCGTTTTTTCCTGCTTCTCACTCTATTCCCCAACACAAATATTGCCATGGGTTCTGTAGGGATGGACTTTCTCCCTACCTTGCTAGCATCATGCCAGTCACACACGTTTCTGTCTTACTTGCCCCTTATCAGCAAGAACACACCTGCCACCTCCAGCACACAGACCAGGTGGCTTTGTCCTAGAAACTTTTCAGCTGGTGTTGCAAGCAACTGATGGGGAAAAAAAATGAGGTCAGAAAACATATCAGGGAATGAGGCTGGGTAGAAACCAGAAGGTGGACTAGCCCCTTTCCTGAGTCTCAGAGGTTGTGTCCTGTAATAGAGCTGTGATACAGACAGTGGGGTTTTTGCTAAATTTGCAAGGGGATTAAAATCATCCCAGGCCCCTGAAAACAGCAGATAGGTGCCATCTGGGACAGCAAGGACCATATGTAGTAGGTGGAGGAAGACATAAAGGTAGGGGCTAAGGTTGAGAAGTCAAGAGACCCAGATGGTTCTCCAGCTTCACACACATTTACAAACATTTTTAATAACCACATGGCCCCACACTGGCACTGCCTTCAATCTCTCTCAGTGTACCTCTTTTCTAGTTAGTCTCCTCTCTTTTATTGCTTACTGTAGCATTTAAGGATTTATGGTGAAGTGGGCTGTATTTGTGCCAGGATTCAATTGTTTGTTAGCTGTGTGGCCTTAGGCAAGTCACTTAACCTCTCTGATCCTCAGTTTCTAGACTTATATAATAGGAATAATAAAGGCATACTTATATCATACAGCTATTGTGAGATTAAAATGATTAAAATGAGATTAAAATGATATACATATATATAATATATATAAAGAGCTTAGCACAAGTGCCTGGCATATAACAGAAGCTAATAAATGTTAGCAACAGTAAATAACAAAAGAGTAACAATGGAAGAGAAAGTCAGCTGGCACTAGAGTTCTTTGCACACACACAGAAACATGCAGGGATCTCCATTAAAAAAAAAAAAGGAACCAAAGAGTACTGCAAAAGGAAAGGGAGTTCTCAAAAAGACAAAACTGTAGTGATGAGAAATAGGTCAGTGGTAGCCAGGGGTTATGGACTGGGGGAGGATGGGACCAAAAAGGGGCAGAATGAGGTGATAGAACTGTTACATATCCTGATTGTGGTAGTAATTAAATGAAACTATGTATGTGTTAAAATTTATACAAATAAATGCCAAGAGACAAAAGTCGATTTTACCGTATGACAATATTTTAAGAAAGGAAAGTAAGTTCTTGCACATTTCTTTTAGCCTCTGCCTGATATTCACCTGACCCACTCTGATTTCCTTTCATTTCTATGTGTATTGGATCAATGCTATTTCTGAGAAAAACTTCACTATCACTTAAGTGATCAGGGTAATCCCTGCAGTGGGTTCCTCCGTGTTGTAGACAGCCATTCCATTACCTACTTCAGTTTTTTGTTTTTGTTTTTGTTTTTGTTTTTGTTTTATCAGTTAAAGGTGTCTGGCCAAGCAGTGGACAAACCCAATAAACAGCTCACTCCCCACAGGATGGCCTAAGCTCTGAGGCAATGGGTGGGGCATAAGGTTTTTCTTACTCAACCTCAATTATTTGCCGTGTGCATTAGGGACATGTTACCTAAGGGATTAGCCAATATATATTTTTGTGTTGTTTCATTTCCCCTTAGGAAAAGTTGCCTGCCCACCTGTCCGTTCATGCTATAAAAAGTCTCAGGAGAGAAGAAATGTGCCTATTCAGCCCTTGACTCTTGAAGAGCATTCTCATCTGGCCCATTGCCAGCACTGTTACATCACTTTGGCTTAGCTGGGACCAGCTCAGATATAGGTTGTGCAGCCCTAATTTGAAAATCTGACATCCAAAATGCTCCAAAATCCAACACTTTTTGAGTGCTGACATGAGGCTTAAAGGAAGTGTTCATCAAAGCATTTTGAATTTCAGATTTTAGATTTTTCAATTTGGGATGCTCAACTAGTATGTATTCTGCAAATATTCCAAAATCCAAAAAAAATCTGAAATCTGAAACTCTTCTGGTCCCAAGGGATACTCAACCTGGACAACTTTACTCAATTTCTTTTCCCTTTTTTTTTTTTTTTTTTAAATTATGCTTTAGAGACAGGGTCTCATTCCGTCACAGTGCAGTGCAGTGCAGTGGCCCAATTATAGCTTGCTGCAGCCTCGAACTCCTGGGCTCAAGCAATCCTGCCTCAGCTTCCTGAGCAGCTACAACTACAGGCACACACCACACCTGACTCTCCCTTCCTTTCTCCTTCTATTTATTCATGCTTGTACTTTAGACCAGCCTTTCACATGGTGAATTCTGTAATGGGTGTGCCACACAGTGCCAGGGTCAAACAAACCTGAGATTAAAGTAAAACTAAACATTTTCCCTTTGCTGCAGGACTTTTTGCACGTTTTACCATGCTGATGAATTGTAAATTTCTAAGTGAGAGCTTAATAAGAAACATTTCCCACATTTCTATGGCACTGACACCCCTTTCTTCTCCCTTTTCTTGTATTAGCCTCTTAGTAATATTAATTGTCCATGGAACAAAATTTGAGAAACGCTGTCTCAGAGTTCACATGCTCAGTCATAATGCAAAAGATATTTTTAGGAAACTGTTGGAAACTCACTATTGCCACCCTCTGCAGTATTTATTTAGTTCCTACCAGTTTTCAGCTATAGGCACTATGGTAACCTGCACAGCAAAGCAAAGATTCTCACCTCCTCAGTGCAGAAACCAGTCAAGACTAATTGGTAAACCAACTAGTCAGTATACCTGTATACAAAGATACATATATAGAGACATACATGTATCAAAATTAGGGATATTGATATTGATTTTAAGGTATTCATTATAAGATGTATTGTCTATTTAGTTATAGTTCTTAGAGGGAAAGAGAAACACTACTATGTTACATGCTCACTGTAGGATGCATCCAATTTTAGAAATGTTAAGATGTGAAAAAAGAAGTGTCTTACCAAAGAGTACATACTGTCTTATTCCACTTATGTAAAATTGTAGAAAAGACAAAACCATAAACTATAGTGATTTTTTGCATAATGAAAATGTTTTATGCAATGGTATATAGTTTTACGAAAACATCAAAGTAGACACTTAAACTGGGTACATTTTTGTATGTAAATTATAACCCCATAAACTTGATTAAGACAAAGAATTCTTAGACTCAAGAAATGATGGTTTATGAAAATATCAGGTGGCAAGGCAATTCAGTTTGAACAAAATGAAGCTTGATTGATAAAAAGAAACTTCCTAGAAAAACAAAAAGATGTTTTAAAAGTCAGGAAGTGTATGGTCAAGGGAAGAAAAGGCAGGGTCTGTTCTGGGCATGTGGACCTAGAAAAGGCAGGATAGGGCAGGGATATCTTGAATGAGAATTGAAGCTGAAAGAGAAGGGAAGGAAACAGATAGAGGAGAGGCAGAGTGACTAGATACTTGCCTTCCTATCAGGGTGACTAGATACCACCAGGAAGACGCATGTCAAGCATTCTCTGTAATAAAGTCTCTCCAGCAGCCCTCATGCCAGACTTGTTGCCTGCCATTGTGAGGACTATCAGCTGTATCTACAGCAACTTCTTGGATTCAGTGCAGCCAAACAAGAAGTTATCTCTACTCCAAGCAGGTGACCGAGCTTACTGGGTAACTGAGGAGCAGTCTCCATGTCCTTGGCAGACAAAGCCAGTCTTTTCCATTGAAATGGTCAGGTTACCTGAAACCCCTAGCACACATGAACACCAGCAAGAACATCCAAAGCAAGTGATATAACATGAGCAGGGAAAGATAAATCTGTTCACCATGAGCTGCTTCCTGCATCTGGGGCCTGTGCCAGTCCCCAGGGTCACACTGCCCCAGATCCCCAGCTCAGAAGCCAGAGCATTCAACAAACTGTTCCTAAGTGCCTGCTATGTACCAGGCTCTGTCTTGAAAGCTCACACCAGGGACACTCATGAGCTCAGACTCCAGGACTCAAATAGTAGCTGAGTTCATCTCAGATCTCTGTCATTTCTTCGATCTTTTTTCCGAGTACAAACAAAACAGGCAACTCATCTTATCTCTGAATACTGTGCTCAGAGCACCCAGCCCACAGCTTGGCCCATATTAGGAATTTTTTTTAATGGAAGAGTAAATAAATAAACACAATCATGCCTGTGGTAGACCTCATGGGATCATGAAATAACTCCTCATTATGCAGAAATGAACCCTTTATGAATTGAGCCATTACAGAGCTATTTGAGAAACAAGTGGCACACTATATTAGGCATAAAGTCATGTGGTGACTGAAACATTCTTGCTGTGAATCACCTTATTAAATACCTTTTTGGGTGATGAACATCATTCTCGGGAAAATACAGTGGGCCAGCTTCAAGATCTCTTAGCTCATGAGTCGCTAACCCTAAGAAGATAGGCAGTGCCACTCTGCATATGACTAAACTCTTACATCATACACCACAAATTTCATGTGCTCTTTGATCTTGAGAGAAACACTTCATCTTAACTGACACTTAGTCATAGGGATACCAGTGACAGAAAGGAAGAGGCTCTGAAAGAATTTGCCACTGAGTTTATGAGTTGAACTGACCTGGCCTCCAATATGAAGGGAAGACAGTGTTTCCAGTAGAAACATGGCCCCTGTACTTGTGCTGCCAAAGCCCTAATTTTATCAGTTTTTTCAACAATTATATTTTTTATTGTGGTAAAATACACATAACATAAAATCTACCATGTTAGCCTTTGCTAAGTGTTCAGTTCAGCAGCATTAAGTACATTGATCTTGTTATGCAAGTGTCACCACTATCCATCTTCAGAACTTTTTCATCACCCCATACTGAAACTCTGTACCCATTGAACAATAACTTTCCATTCTGTCCTCTCCCATATATATATATATATATTTAAAATAAAATTATATATATTTAAATTATTTCTGAATAATAGGAATAGGTATTTAGTATTATTTTTAAAATATGTATTCCAATTTTCTGCTGCTTCTGACCTTAGACATCTGATGATACAAGTAAACAAGACAATGTTTGCTTAATGTTTACAAGACAATGCTGTCCATTCATGAGTACTGCCTGTGTGTTTCTGGGCAAGTTACTTAGTGACTCTGATCATTGTTACTATGAAATAGAAATAGTAAGGCTCACCTCATATGGTTATTGGGAGGATTTAATGAGATGATGCCTATAAAGTGCTTAGCACAGGGCCTGGCACCAAATAAGCTCCCAGTATGATTAGCTATCTCCTTGTACTCCTCCAGGTAGGTTTCTCTTTTCACATGCTATCATGCCCACCACAGTTGGACTGCTATTTCCCTGTGCTATAGACCTGGGGATAATAAAAATCATGGCATCACTTGGAGGATATATCAAGATAATTCTTATAAAGCTCATAGCACAGGGCCTGACTCATAGTAAGCTCAGTGGCAATCAATGTCAGGCATTGTTATTATTAATATTTCCCAGGTCTCACTTGTTCAACAGACACATATAAGATGTCTTTGATGGGTAAAGTCCCTTTGCTTGGGCTCCAAAAGTGAGAGAGACAGGATCCATGTCCTCAATAGCTTGTGGTCTTTTATGTAAACCACATACTACTTAAAATATTACCAAATAGCTTGTGGTCTTTTATGTAAACCACATACCACTTAAACTTTATTTTCAAGTTATTTTAAGATTTATTAACTGCATCTTACTTATTATGCATGATGCAGTTAATAAATCTTAAAATAAAGGGTGTTCACATGTGTTACGAGAGCACAGATGAAGAACTGGTCAACTCTACAAACAGAGTACATGTATGGAGGACTTACTATGTGTCATTCACTGGGCTCTACCTACAGAATCTCATTTAACTCTACATACAACCCACTGAGAATGGTGCTACTGGTATCTCCACTTTATACAAGAGGTTTGTGTTCTGTAAGTGTAAATATTAATAAAACAAAATAGGAAAATATGATTACACATCAAAATTTATCATCCCTCTAGTTGTGGGAATGTTTAGGGAAGATTTTGAGGTTGTACTTTTTAAAACTAGGCATCAACAGAAACCCATGACACTGAGGATTGCAAACCTCAGAATGCATTGCGGGGCACATAAGTTGTTGGGTGGTGAGTCCTGGCCTCATGGCCCCAACACCGCTCGCTTTGGAAAATGTGCCTCTCAGGTGCCACTTGCATGCACAGCATAGAGGGACCAAGAGTAGATGTAAGAGAACGTGGATCATTCACTGTCACCCTTTCCTGAAAGCCTATTAGGAAAACATTAGCCTGGAGACAGGAGAAATAAGGCAAATAATCCCAGGGTGTCTGAAGAAGACCACCTAGCTGAGGGCATCAGACAAACTGCCAGTGTTAGAGAAGGCAGGAATAAAACTGTCCAGCTACTTGGGAAATTCGCCATGTGGCTGATGGCAACCCACCCTCAGGTACCAGTGTAGCCTCTGTTCCTCCGGAAGTCAGCCCTCTGTCCCAAACCCAGGTTGGTCTTAGGTTCCTCCGCAGGTTCCCAGTCTCCAGTGCTATCCTCCAGCCTCCACAGCATGTAACAGACTGTACAGTGCTGTCTGTTCATG
This sequence comes from Homo sapiens, assembly GCF_000001405.40. NCBI lineage: Eukaryota > Metazoa > Chordata > Mammalia > Primates > Hominidae > Homo > Homo sapiens. The sequence goes on from NC_000005.10 coordinate 145,948,857, forward strand.
TCTCTTTTCTACTAGACTATAAGCTCCATGGGTAAGGAGGTGTCTTGTCCTCCTTTGTACCTAACACAGGGCCTGAAATGCAATCAGCATTCATTAAATACTTAATTATTGAATGCATAATGTTTGCCATATTGCAAGAAACTGCGGTTAGATTAGCCAGCCTCGTGGCTGAGCTCCTGGTATCTTCCCTTGAGGCTAAACGAAAGGAGACATATCAGCCATTTTGTCCTCAGGATCTCTTCCAGCCCCTGCCTTGTTGATGAGGGTGTTGCTTGACTTGAGGCCAGGTGTGTTAGGAATGACACGTAGGTGCTTGCAGGGGATTCGGAGGTAATTGGGAGGTGAAAAAAGAAGTCAAACCAGAATGCAGCCAGATACCAGGGAGAACACCAACTGACTGGCATGCCAAAGCCTTCTGAGCAGGTCACCCTGGTTTTTGCAGAATTAAGAATGATATCGCTGTACACATTAAAGTATTTTAATTGGTTGCCAAGGCGATACGGCAGAATCACAGGGCACAGAGCAGGAATAGAACTCTGCAGGTCTGTGTTCAGGAAAGGTGTTCGTCTGTGATATTAACGAGCTGCCTGGATATGAGAAAGGCAAAGTGGCAGTAAATCTTATCTGGGACTTTTGCTTAATAAACAGGAATGGCAGAGAAATGGAGGGGCAGAAGAGAAAACTTCCCTTCCCAGCTCTCTGGAGAAGCAGGAGAGGTAATCTTCTGGATTCCAAATTTCTCCTCAGAGTGGTGAATTCCCACAGCTGAGAGAAAGCCGAGTAGATTGGTTTGATGCATAAGGGAAGGAGGAACAGAGGGAGAGAACAATGGAAGAAGACAGCAGTGTTCTTTTCCTATTGAGAGGTGATTAAAAAGGATCCAGGATGCAGGAGGCTGCATTTTTAACAGGGGAAAAAGAAACATTTACCATCTCCCTCTTTTACTTCTCTTTGTATTCGAAAGAAAAATAATTTGCAGTTAAACATATTTCTTTTTATTGTTTTGTTCTTGTTTTCTGCAGCTTTTCAAACACTAAGATTTTTTTCACAACAGAAAGTTTTGTAGCTGAGATATTCCTGGGATTCCTACCTTCCCATTCCAGTTGCTATCCCAAAGCCTGGAGAATCAAGCCAACACAACCAAGTGGAATGATTGTTCTCACTGATTGGGCATGCAGGGAGGGACCAGGAAAGAAAGGAGCCAAAGAAAGGTGGATATAGTTGCTAATCATCACCTTCATAACTACTACCATCATGTAGCTCACACCATGTGCCCAGAACTGAGCCAAAGAAACATGTCTTCTTTAATCCTCTCAACTGTCCTTGGAGGTCTGTGGTATTTTCCCACTTTACAGATGAGGAAACTCTCAGGAAGTGCAGAGTCAGAACTTGAACCAGGTCTGCCTGAATCCAAGGGCTGGGTTCTAACCAAGGTGACAAAGACCGGTATGTTGTTCCCTTTTGCAACCTCATGGAGCCCTGCACTAGCTGCCATTGCTGGTTGAATCCTTTGGCACCAACATTACCATTCTAATGTTGTTGATGAGCTTCTGGAGCATGATTTAATCCCTAGCCAATCTAACTCCATGTTAATTATATGCTGTGTCTTCACTGGGTACTTCTTGGTCAGAAATTTAAGAATGTAAGTAATAAAAATCAGTGTAGGTAAATAGAGAGGGAAACAGGAGAAGGGGAAATTCAGTGAGAGAAAAGAGGGAGCTAGAGAAGAAAAAAGGCAGAAAAGGTACACATGTGATCTGGACAATAGAAATAAAAACCGGAGAAGAAGGAGGAGAAAAGGGAGGGAAGCCAATCAGAAATCAAATGTGCAAGGGAGGGATATTTGGAAGAGAGATTTTATCTCGAATATGACAAGCTCTGGTCCAGAACTGATCTGCTTTTCCTGAAATGTAAACAGATTCAGGACAAAATATATTTCATTCCTAACAGAAACCCATTATGTGCACAGGCAAAATAGTTCATTGTAGGTGAGGAAAAATAGAGCCTGAAATTCAGGAAACTCTGCTTCCAATCCTGTCTTAGCTGAAAACCAACCATGTGACATGAAATGTATCTGAGTACTTAATAAATCTTAGCCTTACTATGGTTATGGAAAAAGTTTCAAATTCTCTGAGTCTCAATATTCCAGCAACCCAAATTTAAAATTTTCTCTTTTCATATTTTATAGAGTATGCAGAAGATACGGAAACTTTGCATTTATGTTTTTAAGAAAAAATTATAAATTTAAAAGTTTTCAGAAAGATGGCTAACATTTTTTAATGCTTACCATCTTCAAGAGCCTGTGCTAAATCCTTTACCCGCAAAAGCTTATTTAATCCACAGAGCAACACTTGTTTACAGATAAGAGGCTCGGGAGTACTTTGGGCAAGCTACCCATGTAGACTGACTCTAAGCACACATTCTTGACTGTCACTTATGCTGGCTCATCTTGCAGCACAGTAGCTCTGCCTCCCTCATGCAAGGAGTATGCATAGCACATATCTTTTTTGTTTATTAACATGGCATTAGTAAATTTCTCCCAAGTCATGTTACCAGTTTACATCTTGGTTCTCTGAAACTACATAGTACCAGCCACATACGTAGGGACTCAGTGAGTCTTCTAATTCCTTTGCATTCTAAAATCTCGCATCTGCAAGACATCTTGAAGGTCCTCCAAGCCACCCCTCCTATGCTTCAGTCCTCTCACTGACTTCCCACTGAGAGGCCCACACAACCAGTCCATTTGAATTTCCAGTTTGGGGAAGTTTTCTGTGTCTGAGGCACATACTATTTCCTCCACCTCTGAACAGCAATATTAGAAAAGTCTCCCTGAAATTAAGCCACATGAAACACATCTGCCCACTCTTCCATGGGCATCTGCCACTCTTTGAAGGCAACTCAGGAGGGTTGCATCTTATTTTAACACCTTATTTTCAGTCTTATTTTCTCCGGGCTGGACTACCTCGCTTAGTTCTCCTATTGAACTGGTTTTAAGTATTCCTAACCTGGGGGACAAGATAGAGCACTAGGTAAGAACAGGGGCTCTGAAGTTATAATAGCTAGTTTCAAATCTCAGTTCTACCTTTTGATAGCTGTATGACTTTGGATAAGTCAACCTCCCTGAGCCCCAATCTCTTAATCAAGAATGGGAATAATTTGTAACCTACCACCTACATTGGTTCTGAGATTAACAAATACACTTGAGGACTGGCCCATAAATGCACTTAGCACATGTTAATTATTTTTGCTATTATTTAATATTATTATTGCCACTCTCTCTGCATAAGTATCCATCTTATTCCACTGAGGGTCCCTGGTCCAGGGTTCAGTTGCTCTCTTTAAACCACCTGTAAATAAGCATAATGGGGTTTTGTTGCCTAAAACATCTCTAAAGTATCCACATGCTGGGGTTTCAGGTCATACCAGGAAGAATTGCCACAATCCTAGAGAATCTTTCTTGGGATTCCTTCTCATAAAGAGCCTCTAACCATAACAAACCTTGCTAAAACAATATCTTAATAGTAGTGCTACTTTTAACAGCACTATAGAAAAAAAAACAACTTTTGTTCCTCTAAGTTCTGCCGGGCACATCTCACATTCTGTGGGGGATATGGTAAGCTACTGGTGTAACACAACTCAGTGAAAGGAAGAAATTCTACATTTCAATAATAATAACCACTAATATTCACTGACTACACAAATGTATATTGAGTGCTCACTATGTGTCAGACACTAAACTAAGCTCTAGGATATAACCATGAACAAGACAGACGTGTAATGTATACTCTAATGGGATAGATAAAAGGAACAAAAATGTTTATAATCTTAGCTGGGTTCCCCTCAGAAGCAGATCCTGAGATGAGGATTGAATGCTTATAGATTATCTGGGAGGCGTAAGGACATTGGCAGGGGAGTGATGGCATCATATAGGGAAGAGAGGGCGGCCAAGAAAGCTGTGTTATGAGGCCAGCTACTGCAGTGGGCAGTAAAGCTTAATCTTTTGAGGAAACTCTGGGAAACAGTATAAAACCCAGACCTTAGAACTGTGCTGGCCAAGAGATGAGAGATCTGGGTTATTTATACCCTCATACCTGTCATTGGTTAAGAGCTGCCCCCAAAGGCAAAGTACATTCTAGAATCTCAATAGAAGGCATTCAACAAAATCATAGGTGCCAGCTATTGGAAGTGAAGCTGAATTGCACAGAAATGGTAAAGGCTCTGAAGAAATATAGGCAGAACACCAACAGTCTCTCTCTCTCTCTCTCTGTCACACACACACACACACACACACAAATAATAAAAATAATTGCAAATTGCAATGTGTCTGCTATATAAACTAAATATAGACAAGGGTATGAAATGGAGGATAAAAGGAAAGATATTTTATTAGGGTGGTCAAAAAAAGACCTCTCTAAGGGAGGCATTTATGCTGATACCTGAAGGATGAGAGGAAGGCAGGGAAGTGGGTTCCAATGAGGGAGAACATCCTGACCCTGTTCTCAAAGAGTGGAGAGGACTTGGCAAGATCTGAGTTCTGGAAACTGAGAGAAAACCCACGTGGCTGAGGGGTGGTAAGCACTGAGGCGAGTGGCATGAGATAAGCTGCAGGGGAAGATGCAGAGGGACAAAGAAACCATGGTAATTGTGTTAGGCCATTCTTGCATTGCTATAAATACCTGAGACTGGGTAATTTATTTACTTGTTTAACTTTTATTTTAGGTTCAGGGGTACATGTGAAGGTTTGTTATACAGGTAAGCACATGTCACAGGGGTTTGTTGTACAGGTTATTTCATCACCCAGGAATTAAGCCTAGTACCCAAAAGTTACTTTTTCTGCTCCTCTCCCTCCTCCTATCCTCCACCTTCGAGTAGACCCCAGTGTCTTTTGTTCCCTTCTTTGTGTCCATGTGTTCTCATCATTTAGCTCCCACTTAAAAGTGAGAACATGCCGTATTTGGTTTATTGTTCCTGCATTAGTTTGCTAAGGACAATGGCCTTCAGCTCCATCCATGTTCCCTCAAAAGACACGATCTCATTCTTTTTATGGTTGCATAGTATTTCACGGTGTATATATATCACATTTTCTTTATCCAATCTGTCATTGATGGGCATTTAGATTGATTCTATGCCTTTGCTATTGTGAACAGTGCTGCAATGAACATTCATGTGCATGTGTCTTTGTGGTAGATGCTTTATATTTCTCTGGGTATATACCCAGTAATGGGATTACTGAGTGGAATGGTACTTCTGCTTTTAGCTCTTTGAGGAATCGCCATATGGCTTTCCACAATGGTTGAACTCATTTACACTCCCACCAACAGTGTATAAGGATTCCCTTTTCTCCGCAACCTCGCAAGCATCTGTTATTTTTTGACTTTTTGATAATAGCTCTTCTGACTAGTGTGAGATGGTATCTCACTGTGGTTTTGATTTGCATTTCTCTAATGATCAGCGATATTGAGCTTTTTTTATATGCTTGTTGGATGCATTATGTCATCTTTTGAAAAGTGTCTGTTCATGTTCCTTGCCCACTTTTTAATAGGGTTGTTTGTTTTTCTCTTATAAATTTAAGTTCCTTATAGATGCCAAATATTAGACCTTTGTCAGATGCATAGTTTGCAAATATTTTCTCCCATTCTGTAGGTTGTCTGTTTACTCTGTTGACAGTTTCCTTTGCAGTGCAGAAGCTCTTAAGTTTAATTAGATTCCATTTGTCAATTTTTGCTTTTGTTGCAATTGCTTTTAGTGTCTTTGTCATGAAATCTTTGCCCGTTCCTATGTTCCAGGATGCTATTACCTAGGTTGTCTTCCAGGATTTTTATAGTTTGGGATTTTACATTTAGAGAATGGATAATTTATAAGAAAAGAGGTTTAATTGGCTCATGGTTCTGCAGGCTGTCCAGGCAGCATAGCTCCAACATCAGCTTTGGGGAGACCTCAGGAAGCTTACAATCATGGCAGAAGGCAAAGTAGGAACAGACATGTCACATAGTGAAAGCAGGAGCAAGGAGCGAGAGAGAGAGAGAGAGGGAGAGAGTGGAGAGGAGAGGGTCGGGGAGTTGCCACACACTTTTAAATGACCAGAGGTGGGGGGAAGTGCCACACACTTTTAAATGATTGGATCTCATGAGGACAGCACCAAGGGATGGTGCAAACCATTCATAAGAAATCCACCCCCATGATCCAATCGCCTCCCACTAGGTCCCACCTCCAGTACTGGTGATTATGATTCAACATTAGATGTGGGTGGGGACAAATATACAAACTATATCAGTAACGAAGGGGGTTGGGTACTAGATGTAATGAGAAAGATTAAAGCAGGGAATAACCTGATCTGATTTTCAGTTCAAAAACTGACCTGATTTTCAGTTGGGGAACAAAATCATGTCCTTTGCAGTAACATAGATGCAGCTGGAGGCCATCATCCTAAGTGAATTATTCCAGGAACCGAAAACCAAATACTGCACGTTCTCACCTGTAAGTGGGAGCTAAACATTGGGTACTCATGGTCATAAAGATGGCAACAATAGACACTGGGGACTACTAGGTGGGGAAGGAAAAGAGGGGGATAAGGATTGAAAAACTATCTATTGGGTACTATGCTCAGTACCTGGGTGACAGGATCATTCGCGCCCTAAACCTCAGCATCCCACAATATACTCAGGTAACAAACCTGCACATGGACAGGAATCTAAAATAAAAGTTGAAGAGAAAAAGGAAGATCAGGGTATTAGAAAGGTGGGAAGAACATAAAATGAGCTTCCAGTACCAAAACTTGTCAGAGAAGTAGAGCAAAATTTTCCCACTCTCCCTGTCTTTGTCCTGTCGGAAGGGCATTAAGGATTGAGGTACCTGACCATGCAGAGCTATGTTTTATCTACCATAGATGAACATAAGCATATATGGTCAGCCATACATGTCTATAATTCAATGTCATATAAAATGTTACTTTGTGTGATCATATCATATAGTCTAAAAGAAGAGAATTGGAAAGAAACACAGGGTAGGTTTAGTTATGGGGAGATCAAGGAAGCTGTAGTCTGATAAAAAGGCCATTCAAACTTTATAACTTGGAATAAAGTTTATCTTTGGGAGACAGGATAGGGAGAAAATTGAGGCCAGATTCCAAAAGGGTAAGTTAAGATAAAGGAGTGTGGAAGCATGCATGGAATAGACCAGAACTTCCCAAAATTTAATAAATTAGCTGAGGACCCTGTTAAAAATGTACATTCTGATTCAGCAGATCTGGGAGTCTGAATTTCTCATAAGTTCTCAGGTAATGCCTTTGCTGCTGGTCCTCGAACCACGCCCAGAGTAGCAAGGGTATAGATGTCATAGAGAAAGCTGGAAGAATAGTCACTAAATAGCAGTTCAAGATGTAACAGGATTGACAGAAAGCATTCTTTTGCTTTTTTATTTTTATTTATTTTTTTATTTTTGAGACAGAGTGAGACTGTCACCCAGGCCTGACTGCAGTGGCCCAATCTCAGCTCGCTGCAACCTCCACCTCCCAGGTTCAAGCAATTCTCCTGCCTCAGGCCTCCGAGTAGCTGGGATTACAGGTGTGCGCCACCACACCCAGCTAATTTTTGTATTTTTAGTAGAGACAGGATTTCACCATGTTGGCCAGGCTGGTCTCAAACTCCTGACCTCAAGTGATCCACCTGCCTCAGCCCCCCAAAGTGCTGGGATTACAGGCATGAGACACTGCGCCTGGCCATCTTTTGCTTTAGTGTCTAAGCATGTTTCTAGGTAGAGGGGAAGAAGCAAAGGGGTTAAGATATAGAAATTATAGACGTATACTACTGTTAAATTAAAAGGAAAGAAGTGATGGGAATAATCCATAAAAAGCTTGTAGAAGGGGAAGGATCAAGACCACAAATCTAGAGGTTTCTTCTGTAAAGAAAGGATTGTGAAGGGGCAAGGAAGGAAGAAAGAAATAAGTTACCTAGGTAATTTGGGAGTTAAAGACAAGGAAATGTGACAGAGCTTACTTCAGATGGCTTCAGTATATCTGCTCTCAAACAAAAGATTGGGTTATTCCTGCTCCAGATCTTACTGGAGAAGAAGGTTGTGCTAGAATTGGTATAAACTGTAGCAACTCATGTCTCCTCTTCATAACTATCAGGCAGCAAAGATAGAAGTTTTGTTGTATGAGTTAATCAAATGAAATTAAGTTGATTAAGAAAGCTTTGGCTGTCTTTTTCTTTTGAGACAGCCAATTCTTTTATATAACAGCTGTTTCATAAAAGTCCTTTACAGAGCAACATGATATACCAAACCAAACTAATTTTAGAAACAATCATTTTATAAAATTTATTCCCTAAATACCAAAGTTGTTACTTTCAACAGATATTGCATTGATCTTGAATTACAAAATATTGTTAATATATAAAAACAAACAAGCAAACAAAAAAACACTACTTTGGCTCCTGTGCGGGAAATGAATTTCTGCAAACAATAATGACAGTAGAAGACCAATTCTGGTCTTCTGGGTGGGTGGCCTGGACTAAAATAGTAGCTGTAATGCAGAGAAGCGGATGAATTTAAGAGTAAATTGAAAGTGGAAGAGTAAATTTGCAGTAGAACTTGCTGCAAATTGGACATGCACATTGAACCCTTTACCTATCGCTAACCTTATTGAAAACCCAGCATGCTAAGCACTTCTGTTTAACTATTGCAGCCCCTATGTGAGGTGGGTACTATTATCTCTATTCCCATTTTACAGATAAGGACACTGAGGCTCAGAAAGATTAACCTGCTCAAAGGCACACAGAGAGCAAGAGACAAACCTGGATTTGGCCAAAGCTAATGCTCTGAAGGTGCTATACTATAACATTAAAAAAAACGTGGAGTGGGGGTCTGCCTAATGTCACCTTCTCTGAATGAGCACCTCACTGTTCACTTCAACAATGTTCACCTGCAGGATGTTTTCAGGCAGGGGAAACATCACAGGCATTAAAACCAAAAGACCAGCCAGGCACAGCGGCTCACGCCTGTAATCCCAATACTTTGAGAGGCCAAGGTGGGCAGATCATTTTAGGGCAGGAGTTTGAGACCAGCCTGGCCAACATGGTGAAACCCCGTCTCTACCAAAAATACAAAAATTAGCTAGGCATGGTGGCGCATGCCTGTAATCCCAGCTACTTGGGAGGCTGAGGCAGGAGAATCACTTGAATCCAGGAGGCGGAGGTTGCAGTGAGCCAAGATCATGCCACTACACTCCAGCCTGGGCAACAAGAGCAAAACTCCATCTCAAAAAAAAAAACAAAAAAACAAAACAAAACAAAAAAACCTGTGTTTGAATCCAGGTCTGTCACATGCTCGATGTCACTAGAACTCTTGGAGCCTCAGTTTCCTCCTCTGTAAAACCGTAACATCTACTTCAGATGGTTGTTCTCAAGACTAGGCGGAACCCTGTAAGGCTGAATCATTAGTTGTTCCAGAGTCAACTCAGACCACCTCCCTGAATGGCCCCAGCTGGGAGCAGAATTGAGGTGCAGTCAGGCCAATATTCTTAGGAGTTGGTTCAGGGGACTCAGCTCTAAGCACTCAGTGACAGGTTTTCATCCCAGGGGAATGCATTCAAGCAAATTCTTCTCATGACTCTGCTTGAGGCCTGATCTGGATTGGGTATTACAGCAAAGGCACTCCTAAACCAAGTTTATCACAGGTTTTCTTTTAAAATGCCTCCGTATAAGGAATCATAAAACATAGGTGCTGAGAGATTTAAAGGGCCATAAAACACATCTGGTCCGATATCTTCTTATACAAATGTGCAGCGTAGGCCTAACGAGAAAAATGGAACTTTCCAAGGTCACCCAGTTTGCAAGGAACACACACAAGGACCAAACTCCAGGTTTCCTGACTCTCGGTCCATGCACTTCATATTTCACCAAACTGCTTTGCTTCTTGCCCGGGCCATTGTAATCAGTTTGCTGGGCTTGGGTCAGAAGCCTCCACACCAGGCTGCAGCATAAAGAATTCCATTGGAAACACGAACACATCCAAGATCATGTGTGGTGTTTTACAGCGTGGCCTGTTTAGGGCACTTTCAGACCTCTGGTGCTCAACAGCAATTTGGTCTGAAAAGCAAATAAGCATTTACATGGTCTCACAGTTTATGGCCATTTTGAGCCTCAAAAAGCAGTTTCCAAAGACTCCAGGTAGAGAAGCAGGGAAAAGCTGTCCAGAGAGACACAGAATAAAACTAAGACAGCAATGAAAATGTCTCCAAAAGGTAACATGAAAGGGATGAAAAAGGCGACCATGGAATTGGCAGCAAGTACCTCCAGCTTTGTGGATATTGTCATCTAAAGGCACTTTTTATGCAACCATTTGCCCAATCCCATCAATTATTTTGGTTTTGTTTTTTAACATTTTTAATTATTTCCAAAGAATAGAAAAATGATTATCAGGTCAAAGGGATGAACATTCTTGAGACTCCTGATATGTAATATTAATTTGCTTTCATCTGTGTTTGCCAGAACTCTTTTAGTTGCAAGTGACAGAAACCACCTCAAACTAGCTCAAACAAAACTGGGTATTTGATAGCTCATAGGCTGGAAAATTTAGAGTAAGAGCCAGACTAAGAGCCTATAAGGACCCAGATAGCTCTGGCAGATTCACCCCCCTCTGCCTTAACTCCCCTTGTTTATATGAATTGACCTCATTCTCTCCATTTGCAAAGGGCACTCTCCATGACTTAGATCCCCAGCCTTCTTAGTTGCAAACAATAAAATCTACTGCTATATATATATGTGTGTGTGTGTGTGTGTGTGTGTGTGTGTGTATGTGTGTGTGTGTATACATATATATATATATATCAGCAGAGGCAGGATAATAAAAAGAATATTAGGTTGTTCACAGAACCTCTAGGAGGGCTGAAGGACTGGTTTGAGGCCACCTTGCAGGAACAATGCCCCAAATGACTAAGTGTGACTTCCAGGTCTGCCTTTGTCCCCCTTCTATTGCTGTAGTTGGAGGTCAACCTGCGTTAGCCTCCACCAGCATCACACGGAGGTGGAGAGGAGTCTTCCCAGGTCCTCTCTTTGGGTCACTAACTCCCAATTCAAAATTCAAGTCAGGTACATGTAATTAACAAAACCTAGATCCCTGGCTGAAAGCAACGCTATTAAAGCCGGCATTTTCAACTATTCTGGGCATGTATGTATGTATGCATGTATGTATGTATGTATGTATTTAATTTTGTTTTAGAGACAGGGTCTCATTCTGTCACCCAGGCTGAAGTGCAGTAGTGATCATTGCCCGCTGCAGCCTCCAGCTCCTGGGCTGAATCAAACCTCCTGCCTCAGCCTCCTGAGTAGCTGAGACTATAGGAATGTGCCACTATGCCCAGCTGTTCAACTTCTAAATTTTGAAGCAAGTTCTGCCACCTACCTAAACTTATAAGCTGGATGAATTCCCAAACATGGAAAAGGGATTCAGATGTGGGACATTCAAAAGAATCACAAATATTTACTACAAAAAACTATTGCAACAGATAGCTCAGACTTACATACTCCACCAGCCCAGAAAAGAAGCTCTACCGGCCTAGAAAAGAAGGAAAGTTTCTTTCAATATCATGTAGTTCAATGCCTGGCCCTTAATCAACATATTTTGGACTTAAATGATCCAGAAGCTTTCCAAAAAAGGCCTGATTCTAACTCCTAAGACTCCTTTGTATCTAATACTGACAAAACTAAGATGGAACTAAAGTGCTGTGCCCCCTGGTTTCCTAGTGTCTGAAATATTTCTTCCCTGAACTTTTGTTTAAAAGGGGTAGGCTGACCTGCCTCACTTGTGTTTAACTCCTATGGCTGTCTAATTTCTTTCTGTGGTGGGTGGAAAAGGATATAATATTTCTGAAAAATGGAAACTTGGCATTTTTACCCATGGAAGTCTACAGAGATAGAAAATGAGATTCTTACCTAGGAAGAATATTAACAGGATGTAAAATTGCTATTGGCACATAAAGACACATTAGCAGGGTCAAAACTGGGATCAAAAAGAACCCAACAGGCAAGACAGCTAGCAAACAGAAATCTCAGTTTCATTGAAAAACAGAGCAGGAAGTTAAAATGCAATTCCTCAAAGAGCTTTCACAGGTAGTGTGATATCTGATAGCAGCAAGCAGCTGATGGAAATTTTTTATACATATGCTGAAACTAGTTTTGCTAACACATACTCCTACAGTGAACACCACCCAGCCTTGACTCTTGAAAAGTTGCCCATGGAGATAAAATAAAGAGGGCAAATTGATAACGTTCTTGAAGACAGTGGGATTTTTTCAGGAGCTGCTGCATTCCTGCATCCTCCTTTTTTTTTTTTTTTTTTTTTTTTGCCTCATGTCAACTCCAAAGAGTTTGTAGTGGGGGAAAGTTCTGAGGGGTCATCTTCAGTTGTCACTTATGACAATCTCCCTTATTTGGTAATAGAAATGAGAATGTGGTGACTAATTAGAATTTTCTTCCTTCTCGGGAAGGTACATTCTTTAACATTTCTCTTCTCTAAGAACCACTGTTTCTTTCTGTCCTGAGGGAAGGGAGAGAGCTGAGGAGAGAGATAATATTTCAGATATGAATAAAGTGACTAACACTCATAGGATTCTTGGTACAGATAGGAAACGATTTCAGGATTCTTTGGGATGAAAGGACCCAAATGCCTAAAATACAGGACATAATCATGGCGAATAGTTGTTAAAAGGATTGATCTGAAAAACAGTAGTCTGGGCAGCCACCTGGCCATGTTCTATAACCACAGTGGTGTTTTATCATTTTAACTGAAGTCGTGAATAGAGGCCATCAATTCAGCAAGAAAGATAAGTTGATCAGGGCAGATGTGAGCCTGAGGCATGGATTTTTATTAATACTGATCAGACTAACTTATCCAGGAAAATTATTTCCCTTCTGTCAATACAGTTTATCTGCTCTATTGTAGGAAGACCTTCTCAGTTGTAATTTGCAAAATTCCTCTTCCAACTGGCTTAAGAAATAAAAAAGCAGGAGAGTTAGTTTCATGGGGATTTGGAGGCTAGACCTCAGACCCAGCAGGATCCATGGGCTCACAGTCACCTGGATTCTGTATCTTTCATCATCTCTCAGCTCTACCTACCGCTTTCTTCATTCCCAGGCAAGTTCTTTCCAGGAGTGATATACTGACAGCCAAAGCCTACATCATTCTTTAAGCTCTTAATCTTAGAGAAATTATGGGTGTTTTTCATGACAGCTTTGCCAAGGAGACTCCAATTAGCTTACCTGGGGTTCTGCATGCATCTCAGAGCAATTGCTGTACCAAAGGTATAAGGAATAGTCTGATTGGTTGGACCTCGGTCATGTGGCCACCCCTAAAGCCAGAGGTCTGGGCAGAATCAGCCATCCTGCACCACATGGCCTGAGCAAAACTACCAGGGAGTAAAGGAGAGATGGCTCACAAAAGGAAGAGATCCTGTGCGACAAATATCTCAGTAAGAAAACATTTAAGTCCTAAGTGCATTTTTAGGATTACAAACATTTTACACATGAGTGTTAAAAGCAAAAAGAAACCAAAATTCAAAGTACTTCCCAATGCCTTATTAATTCTCTTAACCCTTTGAGTTTTTATCCAACCTCTTCATTATTCGACAAACCAATCTCTCAAAATCCTGTCCACAGTTATTAGTGTTGGGCTCAAATGCTGCCTCTTTGGAAAATCTTCTCAGTTGGTCTCTGATTCTGTCCCCCTCTTCAGTTCCTGCAGCAGGACTTCCCTGGCACCTACCTCATCCTCCCCTTCTATATCTTATGTATGCATGGTTTTGCCTTAGGCCGTCCTTCTTTCCCACCCCTCCACCAGATTAAAAGCTCAGAAAATTCTTAAAGAGAGTAAGGGAGCAAGAGAAGGAAGAAGTGAAGGAGCTGTCTGAGTCAAGACACCCTTAGGACTTCATACCTCCTCCATTGTAACACCTATCTCCCTTTAATGGCATCTATTTCTTATCTGTTTCTCCTTCTGAATTCAGAGTTCTTTAAGGGCAATCACTGTATTATTCCACTTTTTTTTTTTTTTTTTTTTTTTTTTAGAGACGGAGTCTCGCTCTGTCGCCCAGGCTGGAGTGCAGTGGCGCAATCTTGGCTCACTGCAAGCTCTGCCTCCTGGGTTCACACCATTCTCCTGTCTCAGCCACCCGAGTAGCTGGGACTACATGCAGCTGCCACCACACCCGGCTAATTTTTTGTATTTTTAGTAGAGATGGAGTTTCACCATGTTCGCCTGGATGGTCTCGATCTCCTGACCTCATAATCCACCCACCTCGGCCTCCCAAAGTGCTGGGATTACAGGTACAAGCCACCACACCCAGCCTTATTCCACTTTTTTTTAATAGCTTGCACAAAATAAATACTGGATGAATGGATGGATGGATGGATGGATGGATGGATGGATGGATGGATGGATTAATAACTATACATTTATAGAGGTAGTTGTAGTTTCTGACATAAACCTTCCCCTTGACCAGCCAGGACTCTGGGAGGCCAAGGCCAAAGGATCTCTTGTGCCCAGGGTTCAAGATCAGCCTGGGCAATATAGTGAGACTCCACCTCATTTTATTTAAACAATAACAGTAACAAAACCTTCCTCTTGTCCCAATAAGTAAGAGTTCCAAAGAATGAAGGGATTAGGATTAGCTGAGTGAGGGATGAAAAATTTTATACTGGAAGGTATCATAACCATATTGAAAACAGATGGAACACAGTACATTTAAACTATTGCACAAGAAAGTTTGTTTTAATATAAAAAATTACTCTCCTGTCAGGCTGATTAGACACCCAAATTCCTCCCATCATCATTTATAACTGGTTTCCAAGTCCCTTGGAGACAGAGACTGGAATTAAATGGCATCAGGTAACTTTCTGCAACCCTGTCCCTCAGCCCCAGCTCTTTGATTTCTTGGAGTTTCCCTTAATAGTTTTTCTTTCTTTCTTTCTTTCTTTTTTGTTTTTTTTTTTTTTCTTTTTTGAGATGGAGTCTCGCTCTGTCGCCCAGGCTGGAGTGCAGTGCCGCAATCTCGGCTCACTGCAAACTCCGCCTCCCGGATTCACGCCATTCTCCTGCCTCAGCCTCCCCAGTAGTTGGGACTACAGGCGCCCGCCACCGCGCCCGGCTAATTTTTTGTATTTTTAGTAGAGACGGGGTTTCACCGTGTTAGACAGGATGGTCTCGATCTCCTGACCTCGTGATCTACCCACCTCGGCCTCCCAAAGTGCTTGGATTACAGGTGTAAGCCACCGTGCCCGGCCTCTTCCTTTCTTTCCTTCCTTCCTTCTTTTCTTTTTTTCTTTCTTTCTTTTTCTTTCTTCTTTCTTTTCCTTCCTTCCTTCCTCCCTTCCTTCTTTCTTTTCTTTCTTTCTTCTTTCTCTTTCTTTCTTCTTTCCCTTCTTTTCCTTCCTTCCTTCCTTCCTTCCTTCCTTCCTTTCTTTCTTTTTTTTTTTTTTGACAGAGTCTTGCTCTGTTGCCCAAGCTGGAGTGCAGTGGCGCCATCTCAGCTCGCTGCAACCTCCACCTCCTGGATTCAAGTGATTCTCCTGCTTCAGGCTCCCAAGTAGCTGAGATCACAGACGCGCCCCACCACGCCCCGCTAATTTTTGTATTTTTGGTAGAGACAGGGTTTCGCCATGTTGACCAGGCTGGTCTCAAACTCCTGACCTCAGATGACCCACCCATCTTGGCCTCCCAAAGTGTTGGGATTACGGGCGTGAGCCACCATGCTCGGCCAGTTTTGGTTTTTTTATTGCTGCATCACCATACTACCAGAAAGTCCATAAACTGCAGTTATAATTAAGTTACATTTACAGCAAAAATGAGAGGTGAGCAGGCTGTAGAGATTTGCCCTGTGTCCATTTTGACTGTGGATCATTAAACAATCCACCACAGGGCTCCCTTTGGTGCTCACAAAGCACGCTCCAGCAGAAAATCATTTTCTCATATGTCCTGAGATTAATTAAATGAAGTGGCAAACTCATTTCGTAGGCTTTTGTTATTTCTGACAAGGCTGTTCAAAAAGCAAAAACTAGTAACTGTAGGCCAGGCATGGTGGTCTCCTGTAATCTCAGCACTTTGGGAGGCCGAGGCAGGTGGATTGCCTGAGCTCAGGAGTTCGAGACTAGCCTGCGCAACACGGTGAAACCCCGTCTCTACTAAAACATAAAAAATTAGCCAGGCATGGCAGCATGCACCTGTAATCCCAGCTACTCGGGAGGCTGAGGCAGGAGAATTGCTTGAACCCAGGAGGCAGAGGTTGCAATGAGCTGAGATCGCGCCACTGCACTCCAGCCTGGGTGACAGAGCAAGACTCTGTCTCAAAAAAAAATTAAAATTAAGAAAAAAAAAACCTAGAACTGTATTTCAGTCACCCACTGCAATTTTTTGTTTTTTCTCCCAGAAATGGCACGGCCTGTTTTGTCAATGGTGTTGACCCTCAGGCAATGTCTGATTGTGTAGGTAGTCACTAAGTGAAGAGTCTTGGGAGTTCACTTGGTTATCTGGGGCTTTATTAGGCCCAGAGTAATTGATAAGCTGTGTTACAAATCCTCCTAAATCTGTTCGGAGCCATCATCTTTTTTTTGCCATCTAGAGCCATCATTGTTTTGGACTAGGGTGGGGCAATTTCCTGTTAAACTAAGAGGGAAAAAAAAGTTGAAGTTCAGTTATATTCATTTCAACGAACACTGCCTTTTGCACAGAGAGTATTAGAGTAGGTATTATGAGGTTTTGAAAGTGGAAAAGAACGGAGGTAATTGGTGTTTACACTCACTACTTGAAGCATCATTCATCCTTTCAACAAATATTTATTTATTAACACCAGCCACCATATGCCAGCCAGCCAGACGACTAGGCCATTGGGTATATAGTGCAGAAAACTGTAGGCACTCTCATAGAATGTGCGGTCTCATCAGAGAGATGTTAAGAAGTAAAACACACAAATAAATATTTAAAGTGTGGTTGGTAATAATAAGAAAAAATCCTGAAAGCTCTGACCTATTTGAGGAAAGAGACTTCATTAAAATGAGAAGCATTTTATCAGAAAAAGCTACTCCCTAAAAGAGTGAAGGATGAGTCTGAACGAGCCAACCAAAGAGTTGGGCAAGAGTATTTGAGGCAAAGGGAACAGTAGCTTGTGCAGAAGCGGGAGGAGGGAGGTGGAGCTGTTAGAAGCCATGACCTCACTCCTGTGCAGAAAGGGTAAGGAGACACGGGGGAGGCGTGAGGGAGGCAAGGACACATTAGGTTCTTTACACAATAGGAAACCTCTAGGAAGATGAAACCAGGAGCAGTCTGATCAATTTATATTTTCTAAAGATCAAAGATCATTCTGGCTGCCTTGGTGAGAAGGATTGGGTGAGGACAAAGTGGAAATGGGAAAACCTACCCAGAGAACATGGCAAAGAGGGATGACAGTGGCAGCAGAGACAGAGTGAAATGACTAATTTGAGATAGATTCTGGAGACTCAATTTCTTCACTGATGTAGGTGAAATCAATAACACCTACATCCTGGGGTTGTGAGAATAAAGGGAGACAAACAATGAATATAATTAGTTTGTTACAATGCTTGACATGCTGTAAATACTCAATAAATGTTCGCTATTGTTGTTTTTATTATTTTCAGGCCAATGGGAATCATTTGAATAAAAACTCACTTCTTTTCTGTTATTGAGAACTGCCAAGACAGGGGTTCTAGTTCACGAGAATTAAAATACACATTCTATATCCAGCACTGCACCAAATGCTGTGGGGGAAAACAAGAGAAAGACCTCTTTGTCCCTCAGAACAATCCAAATTTTGTGGGTGGAAAGAAAGAGATGATAAGAAGAATACTCAGGGAAAAAATAGATATAATTACTTTATAAGGCTGGGCGTGGTGATTCATGCCTGTAATCCCAGCATTTTGGGAGGCCAAAGCAGGTGGATCATTTGAGTCCAGCAGTTTGAGACCAGTCTGGGTAACATGTTGAAATCCTGTCTCTACAAAAAATACAAAAATTAGCTGGGCATGGTGGTGCACTCCTGTAGTCCCAGCTACTAGGGAGGCTGAGGTGGGAGCATCGCTTGAGCCCAGGAGTAGAGGCTGCAGTGAGCTAAGATCACACCACTGCACTCCAACCTGGGTGACAGGATGAGACTCTGTCTCAAACTTTAGAAAAGAAAAAGAAATAATTACTTTATAAGTAGGGACCCAGAGACCCTTCAAAGGAATAAGAACTCTTTGGCTTTTATAATTTAGGTGAAAATCATCCTATTGAAACAATGATATTAGAACAGAAATCCTAGTATGAGTTGGAGGCTGTTTAAAGTTACCGTTTGGGCAACTGCTTCAAAATGATAGCTTTGTGTGAAGAAATGGCTGCAAATGTTTAAGTAAACTCTCTATCTAGATATCAAGCGACTCCTCTAATTGGCCCATTTATGAATCCTGCCCTAGTCAGTCTCTGACTATTGGCTAAGCACTGAAAGCATCCTGTTAACTGTAAGATACCTCAAGAAAAAAAAAATCCCACAGAAGTGGTGAAAAGAAAGCAGTATTTATTCAGTACCTGCCATATGCCAGATCCCATGAGTAGGTATTATGCCTCCATTTCATGGAGGAGGAATCTGAGGCATGTTGAGTTTCAGGTAAATCCCTGTGATTACAAAGATTAGAATGTGAACCCAGGTCTGCCTAATGCTTGGTGCAGGTTCTTGACCACAACGTGGGACTGTCTCTATCTTTTCTAGCCAACAATTAGAACACTCCGAAGCTGAATTTATGGTGAGTTATTTCTTTTTTTCTTTCTTTCTTTTTTTTCTGAGACAGAGTCTCACTCTGTTGTCCAGGCTGGAGTTGCAGTGGTACAATCTCGGCTCACTGCAACCTCCGCCTCCCAGGTTCAAGTAATCCTCTTGCCTCAGCATCCTGAGTAGCTGGGACCACAGGCATGCAGCACCACACCCGGCGAAGTTTTATATTTTTAGTAGAGACAGGGTTTCACCATGTTGGCCAGGCTGGTCTCAAACTCCTGACCTCAAGTGATCCACCCACCTTGGCCTCCCAAAGTGCTGGGATTACAGGCATGAGCCACCACGCCCAGCCCTACGGTGAGTTATTTCTCTAGAAAAGATCTCTTAACTTTGCTTTTAGGATATCCATGAATTCCTGACACTGTAAAAAACTGTATGGATATTTGCCTATGTATATTTGCCTATGTATAGTTTCCTGGGAGAAGCTGTAGCCTTCATCAGATTCTCCAGAGGGTCCATGATACCCAAATGTTAAAAAGTTTGCCTAATCTATCAAAATGTACAATGTATGCACTTATTGATTTAATAATGTCACTGTGAAATACTAGTAGAGTGGCTAACAATATTTATGCCCAGATGCTCAAACATTGCAGTATTGTTTATAGCAAAAAATATTGGAAAGAACCCCAAATCTCATGAATAGAGACTTAATTAAATAAACAATGATATATCTCTACGGCAGAATATTATAGTCATTTTTTAAAATGAGTTAGCTCTAAATATTCTAATAAAATATGTCCCAAAAGTACAGCTAAGTGAGGAAAGCAAGTGGCAGAACCTATCTACATATTTTTGTTAACAATTATGTCTATATGTGTTTGTGCATGTATGTGGGTTTATATATGCATAGAAAAAAATCCAGAACATTATTCTACAATAGATATATGATGTGAGTCACATATGTAATTTTAAATTTTGAGTAGCCACATTAAAAAAAGTAAAAAGAAAGGTGAAATTAATTTTAATAACTCACTTAATCCATCAACATATTATTTCAACATGTAATCAATACAAAAACTATTGAGATATTTTACATTTTTTATAGTAAGTCTTCAAACTCCAGTGTGTATTTTTCAGTTACAGCACATTACAATTCTGACTAGTCACATTTTAAATGCTCAATAGCCACATAGAACTAGTGACTACCATATTGGACAGTGTGATCTAGAAGTATATGCCTCAAACTATGGACACAGGTTGTCTTCACTAGGGAGTGGAATTAGAAGAGAAAGGAAATGAGATATGCATATTTTCTTTATACATTCTATAGTGTCTAGATCTCTGTATAGAGAACATATAATTCTTTTTTACTTTTTAATTATATACATTTTTTTTAAAGAACTCTTAGGAACAACCTGTAAGTATCTGAATTTGCTTCTCAGGTCCCACCAGATAATTCACTCAGGCTAGAACTTACTTGCTATCAGGGACTCATGGCCAAGGGTGTGCAAATATTTACATGCTGTTGCCAAACAGACAAGCCAAGCCAACAAGTGTTTATTAAAAGTTTACAACGTGAGCTGCACCCTATAGAGGCTATGAAAAGGAATGAAGCACAATTCCTGCACTTGAGTTTAGAATTTTACTGGAAGAAAAGACTTATTTATGAAACATTTAAAGAAAAAAACTCTCAAGTCTAAATGTCATCACCAAATAGACAGTGTAGAGTTGATAGTGCAATCAGAATTAAAAAGAAGGGGAGTTGGTGGGAAGTAAGAAGAAAGGTGAGGAGGAAAGAAGACAACAAAAGATGTTCACTATCAGCATATTGGAGCAGGCAGGTCCCAGATACCCCTGCATCACTGAGTGGTGATGGAAAAGAGGCAGAGGGCAGATTCCAACAGCCCCTGATTGTCTGCTTGGTTTATGTAACAGCTACAGACATTAGAGGGCAAAACATGTTAGAGGAAAAAGAGATCCAGCCGTGCGTGGTGGTACGTGCCTGTTATCCCAGCTACTTAGGAGACTGAGGCTGGAGGATTGCTTGAGCCCAGGAGTTCAAGGCTGCAGTGAACTGTAATTGTACCACTGCACTCCAGCCTAGATGACAGAGCGAGACACTCTTTCTAAAAAAAAAAAAATAAAGTGTACAAACAAATAAATCATTATTTTTGAAAAGGGGATCCAAGCCATGAGTTGGCAAAGAATACCAGATAAATTGAGATGAGGGTGATCAATATACACTGTAGTGCCAGCATGTGGTTCCTTGGCCTGCTGGTGACCTTGCTTATGAGGTAGCCTTGAACATGAGTACATTTTCCCTGGGCTCTGCATTATTCCCTTCCCACTCCCTTAATCTGAAAATTCTCTACATTCTCAAGAAAGAAGAGATTCGGGTGCAAAATAAACCTACTCATATTGCCTAATAATGATGATGGCTAACTGTGACAAGCCCTTTACTCATGTTAGCTTTACATGTATTAACTCATTTAATCTTCACAGATTATTGTTCCATTTTATTTTTTTTTTCAATCGTTTTTGGAGAACAGGTGATTTTTGTTAATTGGATAATTTCTTTAGTGGTGATTCCTGAGATTTTGGTGCACCCATCACCCAAGCAGTGTATACTGTACCCAATTTGTAGTTTTTTATCCTTCACCTCCCCCTGCCACCCTTCCCCCAGAGTCCCCAAAGACCATTATATCATTCTTATGTCTTTGCATCCTCATAGTTTAGCTCCCACTTATAAGTGAGAACATACAATATTTGGTTTTCCATTCCTGAGTTACTTCACTTAGAATCAGGGTCTCCAACTCCATCCAGGTTGCTGAGAATGCCATTTTTCATTCCTCTTTATGGATGAGTAGTATTCCATGGTACATATATACCACATTTTCTTTATCCAGTCATTGGTTGATGGGCATTTAGGCTGGTTCTATATTTTTACAATTGCAAATTGTGCTGCTATAAACATGCATGTGATGCCTTCTACCATGTTATGATGCAACAAAAAGGCCCTTAACATTGTATTTCCTACCCTCCAGAACCATGAGCCAATAAACTTCTATCATTTATAAATTATCCAGCCTGTAGTATTCTGTTATAGCAGCACAAAATAGACTAAGACACCTAGTAAACTGAAAAGACAGTTTAAAAGACACTGAAAACTACATGAGTTTAGAGCTGTGATACTTTTTTTTAAGAAGGAAGTTAACCTTATAGAATTGGTGTATATCAGAAGAGGTTCTGATAATTTATGAACATGTAATTTTCACTGATACGGCCACAAATGCAATTTGATCTCTACATTATTCTCAAAGCAATTGAAAAAAATGGAGTAAAGCAACCTCTTTATGAAACTTTGAGTCATTTGGGGGTCATAAGTAATATTAATGGGAACCTCATTCCAAAGCCTTCCAAATCTAAGAAGTCTCTAGTCTTGAGGCATCCTTTGCATTGGGCTGGGTCTTCCCTGATCAGGGCTCCACTTTACCCTGCAAGAACTTAGAAATCCTGCCCAAAGCAACCAGTGAATATTACCTGCATGGCTGCCTCTGAACTTGAGAACTCTGCAAGGACCGATGTCTGTTATATTTAAAACTGAGCCCTTGGGCTTGGAAACTCTTCCTACCTGACTAAAGCTGAGCAGCTGGCTGTATTGGTTTGTAAGGAAATGATGCAACAAGCCAATAACAGTAGTCTGCCTCTCTCCCTTCCCTCTGGATCCAGCCCCTGGCAGATGCCTGTTCTGGTTACTGGAGCTAGTTGAGGAAAAAAGAGAAGGGACCAGAGCATGTGGGGCTCCCTACCTGTGGGCATTTCACCTCCAGAATGGCTCTGTACGGTGTCAGGATTATTATTTTCACTTGGCAAATGTGGAAACTGAAGCTTAGAACAAACAGGTTATTTTTCTAATGCCTTCAAGCTGGCAAATGGCACCAAATACAGTGTTTATTCCTCAACACATACTGTGCTGCTTTCTAGGATGGGAAAGGCCCAGCAGAAATATAAAGCATGCAGGCCAAGGTAGGAATGAATGAAGTTCAGTCATTCTATCAGTCAGTCCACAAGGATTGACCAGCTGTGGCCTGCATGTGCTAACTGCTATGGCAGGTGCCGAAGAAGAAAATGTCACAGTCCTAGCTAACCCTAGCAGAGTATTGGTAAACAAAGCTACCACCTCTGGAATAACTAAGATGAAGCCCCAAGGTTAAAGCATAAGGTGAAACATGAGGCTTGGAATAGCCAAGAAATAATAGTGATAATGATGATGATGATGATGATGATGATGATGATGATGATGGCTAACAATTTGTAAGCATTTACCTAGTTCTAAGCATGGTACATGGACCATTTCATTTAGCCCCACAACAACTGTATGAGATTGATGTTATTATCATTCCCATTTCAAAGAAGAGACTGGGCCAAGGTCAGCAGCTTTAAGTGGAAAAGCTGGGATGTGAATCCAGATCTTTTTCTCTTCAAAAAATATGCTTCTTGGAATGCAGAACAAATATAGTTTGTTCAAATCCGTACTGTACTACTCACTATCTGATAATCTTAGGCATGTTATTTAACTTAACAGCATTAATTCATCTGGAAAATAAAATAAATCTTTGATAAAAAATTGAAAAAAAAATTAAAGAAAGAAAAGGAAGGTCATGCCCTTAACTACAATAGGTGAAGAGGATGGGGAATATTCCAGCATCCCATCAGAATAGCAAAGGCTCTGTTTCTACTCTTCAGAACAGATGGGTTTGCCACCTCCTAAGGGAGCAAGTGCAGAAGCAAAGGCATTTGAAGAATGTGCTCCACCACTACCGTCACCACCAGAACTGCTAACACCACCACCACTACCACCACCACCACCACCCACTTGCCCACTCGTAGTACTTGCTCTGCTCCCCATAGATCAGGCTCCAGGGTGCCATTCACACGGCAATCATCAGTGACGGCCCAGAGCCAGAGGAGAGGCAATGGGCTAGATGTGATATCTCCTCTTAAACTGAACACTGACTCAAGAGTTGAGTGTCACAGGAAGAGCAAGTGTCTGCTGGGCCCATCACCCCAGAGGTGATTGCTCCTTTATCCTTTATGCCTTTCCAGGAGATACAGAGTCTGCATAAATTATCTTTAATCCTAATGATTTGGCATCATGGAAAGTCATATGGCTTATTTGGTAAAAGGACCTTGAGGGTAAATAGGGCCTTGTAGAGCTGGGCTGGCAGCGTGCAATACCCTGATCCTAGTTTGAGCTCCATGAGGGAAGTACTTTGTTCTATTTGCTGTTGCAGTCACAGTACCAGGCCCACAAGTAGATAATAGAGCTACAAGAAGAACCAAGGTATGAACCTTGCCTTTAAGGTCTACTGGAGTGAGACAGACATGTAAACAGTCAATTTAAATGCAGTGTAATGAAGCCTACGACTGGGGAAAGAAAGGGAAAGACACCTGACCCGTGCTTGGGACTCAGGAAAGGCATTCTAGAGTAAATGACACCTCAACTGGGACTTTAAATGATTAAGAATTAGCCAGTTGAAAAAATAAAAGTGGTTTCAGAGCAGAGGAACAGCATGTGCAAAGGCTCTAAGGTAAGACAGAACTCAGAAATCAGAGGCAGAAAGGGAAACAATGAATCTGAAGAAGTTGGCAATGACCCTTAAGCCAAATTAAGGGATCTGGACTTTATCTTGGGGACAGTAGGGAGACTGCTAAAGAGTTCTGTATGGGAAAATGATATGATCATTTCAGAACTGGGCATTTTCAACGGTATCTTCCACACCACCCAAGAAAAACAGTGGGTCAGAAACCAATTGAACTTCTCTCAAAATTAAGTCTTTTGAGGCTCTTTCACTCTTTCAAGTTCTGAGTCATTTATGCAGTGGATATTGAAATGTCCCAAAACAGGTTTATCCTTTTAAGAAGGATGAGAAGTCATTGAATTCTCTGTTGGCCCATATAGGAAGAAAGAGATAGTGCTTCTATTATGCCATAAAAATGACTGCAGCTTCCCTATGTCTTTCTCCAAGGATTCTTGAGCCCATTCAACCAAACTCAATTCTGTTCTTTGTGGTTTTTTTGTTTATTTTTGTTTTTGACCTTAAGACAAAATCATTTTCTCCTAAATAATTCAGTAAGCAATATATGGAAGTCGTTCTACTGCATTTTCTACTTAGACATATAATTTGATTATGGAATTAGTGAATTAGTTGAAAGGGGTGAGGAAGAATTATGAAAGTTGTGAATGAGTAAAAAGGGGTGAGGGAGAATTGGAAAAGAAGGGACATTCATTTTCTATGCTGTGTAACAAATCATCACAAATTTAGAGGCATAAAACAACACACACTTATTATCTCACAGGTTCTGTGGGTCAGGAGTCTGACACAGCCCAGCTGAATCCTCTGCCATCAAGAGGTTGGTCAGGGTAGGATTCTTATCAGGAGGCTCGACTGAGGAAGGGTTCACTTCCAGGCTTGCTCAGGTTGTAGTCAGAACATTTCCTTGTGGCTGTAAAACTGAGAACCCAGGCTTCTTGCCTGCTGTTGGCTGGAAGCTTCCTTCAGCTCCTAGAGATTGTCCTCAGCTCTTTGCCATATGACCTCCTAACACAGCCACTTCTTCAAAGCCAGCAAGGGAGAGAGTGTCGAGCAAGACGGAATCTTATATAACATGAATTAATCATAGGGTAGTGATATCTCATCACCTTTTTTATGTTCCATTGATTAGAAACAAGCCACAGATCCCACCTATATTCAAGGAGAAGGAATTTCATGGGGGTAGGAGCACCTTTGGTCATGGTAGGAATCATGGGGGCCACCTTAGAGTCTGTGTTCCAAAGATGGATAGGAAAGGAAGGAAAAGAAGAGAGCAAGAAGAAAAGAAAAATGGAGGAGAAGAATGTATCTATGTATATATAGCATTTATTAACCATATATTATGAGCAAGGTACTGTGCCAGTTATCTTCACATGCATTTTATTATGTAATCTTTCTCCAAACCCCATGTGGTAGGTGTTAACTATTGTAACGACTTACAAAAGAAAACTAGAATTCAGAGACGTGAAGCAAGTTTCCTGAGGTCGTACAGTGCAAAAAGTAAAACTAGGAGTCACACTTGTTTCTGCTACACTCTATAGCCCAAGCTTTACCTACTACCCTGTAGTTTAAGAGAGGTGGGAGAAGGAGGAGAAAAGGAAAGAGATGGAGAAATGAGAGATAACAGAGCTTCCAAACATATGCAAAGTTGTTCCTAAAAGAGATGACAATCAATAAGGAAATCTGTAGGTCTACAATATATTGAATCGGTTTTCCCAAGAACCACCCAATTAAAAAAATAGAATCTAGAACTGAAGCCTGTGGGATCACAGATGAGTCTCATGTGTCTGAACTCTTTTCTGGCCCACCTGAGTTTCAGAACCTGGAACCAAACACTACAGCCAAGCTATGTCCAGAACCTTGGAGACACCTGGCTCATCCAGGCAGTGCCCTACACGCATGTTCTGCCAAGCTTCTGTGGGAGAACATCTGGGCCCAGGCAGCCAGGCCAGGGCCTGAGTTTGTTTTTCATGGCTCGTTTGCAATGTCCTGTTCTATTTCTGGACACTCCGTCCTTCCCAACTGACACTGGAGCTCAGTTTCCCAATAGCCAGTTTAACAAAATGGCTCCAAAAGTGCCACTCAGCACTAGTCATTGGAAACCAGAATTTTCCATCATTTACTCTAAGAAGGCTGGCTGAACATGGCACATCCCTGACTCCTGTCTTAGTTGGCCAAGTCTCTCATCTTAGAGGGGCAGCTGCAGACATCACAGGAAGCCTCCTCATGCAGACACAAGGTGACTCACAGCAGTGAGAGGAAAGAAAGGTATTTGGATATCAGATCCCCCTTCCACCAAGTGAGGGAAGGCAGGTGTGCTAGTCCTAGCTCCCACCCCAGCTGTCTGCACTCTTTGACTTGATAACAGCCCCAGCTGGTTCCCTCTGTGCACTTCTGTCCATCTTTCCAGAGTGGGAGATGAGCAAGAATATCTGTGATCTTGGTGGTTCACAGTCAGCCCTGCTAGAGTCTAACCAAGCAATGAACCGTGTTGAGTTCAAACTTAACACAGGACCACTGGACCCTTGGCAGAGAGCCAAAGGAAACAGAAGATGTTGAATCATTCCCCTACTGGGGCAGTGCCTAGCTGTGGAGCTGTAGGGCTGCAGACAAATCCCTGCTCTGTGCCTCACATCCCTTATCTGTAAACTGGAGATAATTAGAGGCCCTGCCTCGTGGATTGTTGTAAGGCTTAGATGAGATAGTACATTAAGACATGGTATCAATTGACCAATAAATGTTACTTACAGTAGGCACTCAATAAGAGATCAATGGTGTTGCCTCAAATACATCATTATACAGCTTGCATAAGATAATGACAGGTCACATACACACCAGTGAAGAACCTTCTTTTGTAACGAGGTGGGTTTTTAGTAAATATTTGTGGAACATTAATCGACTTAGAATATTGAACAACTACAATAGAGAAGCCACTTCACATAATGCTACATAAAGAGGAATAATTAACAAATGCAGGATATTGCAGGGGAAAGAGGCCAGGATTCGCCCTCAGACCCCACCACTTACATATCAGCTGTGTGACCTTAGGCAGGTTAGTTCACCTCCCTGAGCTTCCAGTTCTTCACCTGTAAAATGGTTGTAATACCTGCCTCATCAGCTGGTTGTAAGGATTGAGTGAGATACTGTATCTAAATGCACTTTAGCCCAGTTCTGGACCCACAACAAACTCAATAAATGATGACTTTTATTAGCTATTTTGCAGACTAATGGAATTAAGAAGGAAAAAAAAAAAAAGGTGGGGGGCGGGTTTTGGAAACGCACTTGCCTAAAGGCTAAAACACTGACTGCTTGGAAACCACCACGTAGTTTCACTCCCTAAATTGAAAGAAAGAATGCCTCATTCAAGTGCCTGATTAGGAATTTGAATAATCTAGTTCTAACTAGAAAAGTCAAGAAAAACGGAAGGTATTAGTCATTGACTGATAGAATATCTGAGCTGGATAGAATCCTAGACCATATTGACCAGAAGTGACTTAGCCACTGTCACATAGTTAGCCCAGGCAAGACTAAAACATGATACAAAATCTTGCATGCCTAAGCCATCGATTAATAGCTGGGCTTACTAGCCAGTTATCCCCATGGTTCTCAGTTAAAGGTCATTTGACACCATATAGAGGTCACCCACTGTGTGGGCAAGTCCTGTTGTTTCGGTTAGAGCCTGTATAATAAGGCATGTTGGAAGAGGAAGTCCTTCTAAGACTTACTCATAAAGTACCCCCTTCCCAGAGTCTGGCTCATGCCCTTATTTGTCTATACACACTCTAGGCAAAGTAAGAAATTGTTGCAGTGAAATGCACTCATGTGCTCATGCCAGCTCATGACCTCAGCCAGTCCACACCTTCATCTCATTTACAGATGGGAAAACTGAGGCTTGGAGAAGGTTGCCTCGGCAGAGGCCAAGCAAGGGGAAACTGGGGCAAGAGCAATATCTTCTGATTCCTAGTCCAGGGCTCTTTTTCTTAGGCCCGACTACCTCCTGCACATGCTAAAACAAAAGACAAGACAAGGTAAGCTATTGTCGCTTATCATCTACACTTTGTTCTGACATATATGGTTACTATTTTTCCACAGACCATGAGGAAGGGAACTAACAGTCACTGAACACCAATCATATACTATTGATGCCTTGCTTACATTAATTCTCATCACATACAGTAATAAAAGCTAGTACCTATTGAGTACTTACTGTATGCCAGGCACAGTTCTAGGGGCTTTACATATATCTGTACAAGGTACCCAGCCAAGGAGATACTCTGTAGGCTGAATTCAGCCTCTGCTTACCAAGCTCTGAAATGGGACCACATTAGCCCCATGGTAAGAGTGCCTTTTCATGTAACTCCTGTGCCCAAAAAGATGCCCTTTCCAAATGTACACAAAGACAGGTATGGACATGTGGTGGGGGTCTTACAGTATCCCCATATGGCTGGTCCTATTACTATCAGCTTGCTGAGATGTCACAGCTAGTTTGTGGTAGAGGCAGGACTTGAACCCAGGATTTGGCCCTTAGCTCACATTTAGCCTTCCCAAGAAGCAGCTTGAGATAGGCTCTAATGCTACATACACATATACCTCAAGAACAGACATTCTGACTGCCTTGTTCCCTAACGTAGCTCCTGTATCTAGAACAGTTTTGGCACACACAGGCACTCAGTAAATTTTGTGGACTGATTGACCCCTGTTTCACAGATGCAGAAACTATGTGTCAAAGAAGTTAAATGACTTGCTTAAGGTCACACAGATAGAAAGTTTAGATGGGATTTGAAAGCAAATCACTGACTCTAAAACCCTTATTCTTTCCAAATTAACATCCTGTCATTCATAAGCATTTATTGAGATTCTTACACACTAATTCTGTGCTCTGGAACATAGGGCCAGAAAGATTTGTAAGATTTGGTTCCTACTCTCAAGAAACTGGGATTCCGATTATCTGCAAAAAATCATATTCCTGAAATCAGATTCCCTAAATGAAAGCAAGTCCATATGGTATAAGCCCTTGGTACATTTTAAGCCGAGGATACCTTTCCTACCTCCCAAACCTAAGATTATAAGAGTGGCCACCAGAGCCCTCACCCTGGTCTATTTCCTTCTACAACACTGGCCAGCACATTCATAGAACCTGGTTGCAGAGATAAGTCAAATCACTGCAAACTTGGGATGGCCAACGCCCCATCCTAGCTTCTCTAGATTCCTTTGCAGGGATGTCCACAGGGTGCTTTTATATATGTCTTCATGCCCTCCTGCTTCGTCTACTCTTCATGCCCCATCTAAGTGTTTTTGAAAAATGAAATACTTAAGTTAGAAAACCAGACTTAGCAAGTTGTACTTCCAAAAGCAGCAATCATTTCAGTAAATAAACATTTTCTGATTGAGAACATTAATTCAGGGTTTACCTCATTTTCCTTCCTGGTTTTGTTTTCTACAATATTTAGGAGGCAGGAGTTAGTTAGGAGGGTGGTTTTAAGGAAAAAAAAAAAAAGAAAAAAAACACCTCTAAATTCATTAGTTGAATTCCACCAGACTGTGTGAACAATCTCATAATAATCCTACATCAATACGAGAGAAGTTGTAACTAGTTCACTTAGGGTAATTATAGGGCAGGTTTCTGCCAGGTTTTAAAGATAGACTTTGAAATCTTCCTTTTTTTCATTTGCCTCCTGCTGTGTGTGGGGAGAGGCCCTGGCTCCTGGGATATCTGCCAGAGCTAAATGGGGGCCAACTGGAGAAACAGGCACCAAGATTGGGTTCCTGTTTTCCTGTGCTCATACTTCTGGGAACACAGATATCCTACCAAATGGTCACCTGTGAAAAACTCAGGGCCTAGAATCTAAATTCTGTTGGAAAAGAACTGATTAAAGTCCTGGCCCTAAGTAAGATTATGGCAAGGTTTATAGCACAAAATTTCTGATTTTGCGCTAGAACAATAGTTCCCAAAGTGTGGTCCCCAGACCAGCAGGATTACCATCACCTGGGGGAACTGGCTAGAAACACAAATTCTTGGGCCCCACCCCAGACCTACTACAGAAGAAACTCTTGGGGTAGGGCCCAGCAATTTATTGCAACAAGCCCTCCAAGTGATTCCAATGCACCCTAAAAATCTGAGAATCAGTGTCAAGGGACATGATGTTAAACAGCCTTTCCAGGAGATAAGAGTTACTTTTAAAGAGGGATTTGTTCAAACAAAGCATATCTACAAATATCCAAACAAGACCTTTGGAATTAGCTAGAACTAGGCTCTGCCACTCACCAGCCATGGGGCCTCAGATAAGTTATCTTACTGCTCTAAGTAGTGGTGTGCTGGTAAATGTTTAACAAGCAGCTCTGTGGGGGAAATGGGTTCGCTCATTTTCATGGCAGAAATACCCCATCATGGCTACTTTCAAACTATCAACATGATGTCGGCCAACTCAAAAAACTTTTGAAAATTTAACAATTGGCTTTCACAAGCCCATGGAAGCTGGCTCCAGCACACCATTGTCTCTAAGACTCAATTTCCTTATCTGTCAAATGGATGAATAATAGCGTTTACCTCATAGGGATTGTTGGAAGGTTGAAGTGAGAAAATGATAGTGGACTTTTATTGAGTATTTATATCTATCCACCAGGCACTTACTATGCATTATTCACTGACTTCTCAAAACCATACAATAGGTACTGATATTCCTTCCATTTTATACATGAGGAAGTTGAGCTGAAGTAACTAGTCCAAAGTGATACAGTAGCAAGTGGGAGAACCTGAATTTATTCCAGAGCCCGTGAGGTGACAGAGACATTAGCCCAATGCTCAGCACGGGGCAATGCTCAGTAATTGGGAGCTATTATCATAAGATAAATAAACTTCTGAAACGTGCCCTACTTTGGAAGTAGGGATGAACAGTTTGTGTTGGATGAAACCTCTCAGCCCCAGAAGACACATACATTTTCTTCTAGGAGAAAGGCCAGGGTACCTGATGGGAGGACCAGCTGTTGATTATTCATAGTAACAAACGACAAGAGTTGAAGCTAATTGACACCCACACGTAACGAGGCAGTTGTAAGTTCCTCCCCTCCCCAAATTAATTAGGTGTATGTTTTTCCAGGCTTTATCTTTGTGTACACATACACATATGTATTTTGTATTAGATCAGGGTGTACATATTTTTTTGCAAATTGCTTTTCTTTTTAACCTGAGACTAGATCATGAATCTTTCCCATGACAGTCCACCCCAATCTATCTCATTCTCTCTAAAGCTGCTTAGCATTCCACAGTAGTTACTTGCTATCATTTATTTAATCCACAACAGAAGGATACTTAGGCTATTTCTAATTCTTCACTATTATAAATGATCCTGCACTTCACAATCTTTTACATAGATTCTAGCATATGTCTATGGGAGAAATTCCTAAAACTAGGATTTTTAGGATTTGTAAGGCAAAGAAAACACGTAATGTAAATCTTGACCAATGTACCTAGTTACTCCTCACTGTGAAATTTTAAGCTCCCAATATTCAAGGAAGGTGCCTTTTTGCCCATACTCTTACACCAACATTAGGATTACTCTGATGATTTGATTTTTCAAACTTATTATAAGTATTTCTAAATATAAAAATAGAGAAAATAATAATAATGAATGCTTATATACCTATCGCCCAGCCTCCACAATTATCAACATAAGGTCAATCTTATTGCATCTATATCCCATTCACTTCCTCCCCCTACTGGATGAAACTGAGGCAAAGTCCACACATCATACTCTTTCATTGGTAAATATGTCAGGAGCTGCCTCTAGAAAATGAAGATTCTATTTTTTAGCATAACCTCAACATCATTATCACATCTAAACATTTCTTGATGTCATCGCATATGCAGTCAGTGTCTAAATTTCCTCAATTTTTTTTCTTTTTTCTTTTTTTGAGGCAGGGTCTTGCTTTGTCACCCAGGCTGGAGTGCAGTGGCATGATTATAGCTCACTGCAGCCTTGACTTCCTGAGCTCAGGTGATCCTCCCACCTCAGCCTCCCAATTAGCTAACACTACAAGCATATGCCACTACACCCAGCTAATTTTTTTGGCTATTTTTTGTAGAGACAGGGTCTCACCATGTTGCCCAGGCTGGTCTTGAATTCCTGGGTTTAAGTGATCCTCCCACCTGAGTCTCCCAAAGTACTGGAATTGCAGGCATGAGCCACTGCACCCAGACAGTCTCATAATTTTTTGATGGTTTGTTTGAATCAGGATTCACCAAGATCCACACATTGCAGTTGGCTGATAAACTTCCTAAATCTCTTAAGCTCTAGGTTCCCCCACACGCACACCTCCTCTTCCTTTTTCCCATGCAGTTTATTTATTAGAGAGATTGGGTCATTTGCCTCGTAGTTTCCCACTTTCTGAGTTTTTCCTATTGCATCCCTGTGTTGTCATTTAACATGTTCACCAGTCTCTGTGTTTCTTGTAAGTGATAGTTAGATCTTGAACTATGCTGTCTAACACAGTAGACACTAGCCACATGCAGCTCTTCAAATTTAAATAATTAAAAGTAAATAGAATTTGAAATTCAGTTCCTCAGTCACACTAGCACATGGCACATGTTCAATAACCACAGATGGGCAGTGGCTGCTGTATTGGACAGCATAGAATAGCACATTTCCACCATGGCAGATAGTTTTATTGAGCAGCAGTGCTTCTAGAGGCATCACAGGATCCTCTGATAATTGTTAAATTATTTTTTCTCATATGCACTCAAGAACAAAGCTGAACACCCTGAAATCTGCATTACTAGTCTATATTGCAGGCTTACATAATGTAAGGGAAGTAACTAATGTGTGGTAGACTCTACTTCTGCCTGTTTTAAGTGGCAGTGGCTGTGTTTACAGAAGATGATTAAGTATTTGCATGAGTGCCTCAGGTATGTATGACATTCTGTGGTGACAAAAGGTCAGCAGCTCCCCAGCATGCAAAGCAGCCCGACCCTTTCCTAGCCTCCTAGGAGGAAAATTGAGGGAATTCATGCTAATCCATAAGGCTCAGTCCTGCAGTGATTATAGGACATGCTGGTTCCAGGATATTCATAAACATTCATCCTCTCATCAAGATGCAGGTGCTCCTGGAGGCTTCTTCCTGACTATGTCTTTGTCTTGGCATGCATG
Source organism: Homo sapiens (assembly GCF_000001405.40). Lineage (NCBI taxonomy): Eukaryota > Metazoa > Chordata > Mammalia > Primates > Hominidae > Homo > Homo sapiens. Next base: position 145,982,345 of record NC_000005.10, read on the forward strand.
TAATGAGCACATTTCATAGCACACCAAACAGGTTTCTCAGCTTGCTTCTGTGACACTTGGCAAAGCCGAGGATCCATGTCGAGAGGAGGCAAGCACTTGCACCCAGCCCACAGAGAAGTCTGGCTGACCATGCACTCTAGCAGGAGCCTCCCCTGGTTCTTGAAAACCTTAACCAATCTATGAAGAAATTGATATTTGGGGGTTCTGGTAGGACATATTTGGAAACTTTGAAATTAGGAGACTATCATTCATGGATTCATTCCTTCTCACAATACTTATTGGGCCAGACACTGCACTAGGCACTGAGATCAGTGGTGGGCTGGGTAGAAGTTTCTGTCCTCACAAAGTTTACAGTCAGTGAAGGAGGCAGATAAATAAGCAAGCCACTTCAACACCACTGGTCAAATTCCACCATGAGAGCATGTGAGAGCATCATAAAAGCACATGGAAACCTGACCCTGACATGGACATTCAGGAATGTGATATTTAAGCTGAGACCTAAAAGATAAGTAGCGATTGGGCAGGAGAGGGAGAGGGTGGAGTGTAGAAAGAATATTCTTAAGACCTATTCTAGATCTTAAGAATTCTAGATCCACCAAATAGGCATAATAATACCCCGCAATGTCATGATTAGAGCCCAGTGACATAGCAGATGCAAAAGAATACACTGTATCCTAAAATCCCAGTTGTAGAAAGGCAATGGTGCTAGCCAGAAGCAGTCTTTCACTCTGGAGCAAGTGTGAATTAGAGAGCTATGTAGTGGTGTTTTGGAGCCAGCTTCTACCAGCTCTTAGCAGGCAATAGGGCACATCTCTTCCCAACTTCACATTCAGCAATGTCTGTTGGTAGCCAAAATAGGAGTATTTATACCAGGGAAATTGGCAAATGCTACAAACCAGAGCCTTTTTTTTTTTTTTTTTGAGAGCTGACTTACCAGCATTTACTGAGTGAGGGCGAAAACCAGCATTTACTGAGTGAGGGTGAAAGCAATGAGAAGAGTAGAACCCCCCAGGCAGTAGTTATTAAGGAATGTCCACCCACAACAAAAACAAGAAAGTCTTTGGCATTATTTTCAAAAGAGTGACCATATAACTCTTTCTGCCATTTGTAACAGGCCCACCCAAATCCTCAGGGATGAAAAGAGGAAGACTCCTTCATGCCAATTCATTCCCAGACAAGCCAGATGAGTGTCAATGACACCCAGCTCATGGAAATGAGATTGGAGCCTCTCAGATCAACAGCTGCTGAGAGCTGCTTTCTTTGGCTCATGAGGCCAGCGATAAATTGGGTTTCAATGTTCTGAATAGGCAGAAAAAGATACCTCCTTGCTCTCTCCTGTTCCCTTTGCTGGAGCTGCCAGCTGGCACTTTTTGTCACTCATCATGGTTGCCTGCAGTGGTGATTATACACTCAGTACAGAGGGCATGTTGGAAAGAAAAAGTCTTCAATAAGCGAGAGTCTCCAAGGCAAGTACCCACTGGAAAAACTGGGATGTAGATATAGCTCAAGGCATGTTTTAAATAATGGAGCCTTTTTAAAGGATGGCCTAGAAAAATACTATATTTATCTTTGGCTAGCATGCTTGGATACTCCCCAATCTTGGGGAAATAACTAGTTGGGTATGTTGGAGTTCTTTTGTTAAGAGTAGCATTGACTAAATACCAAAGTTTGGGTTGGGTTTAACTGGCATAGTGTGATTTAATATTCATTTATTGATTTACTCTTCCATTTGTTTGTTTAACAAATAAATGAGTGCTTACTAGATGCTACTAGAATATAAGTCCCATAAAGGCAGGTATTGTGTATGTCTCATTTATTGTAGGCACTCAGTACTTTTTTGTTGAATGAATGAGTAGACGTAGCAAGTATAAAGATGAATAAGTCATACAGCCTGCTGCTACAGAGCTCACAATCTGGTGTGCAGACAGACAAGTAAAACAGCAGTTGCAACACAGGGTGATGAGTGTTATGATAGGGGAAGTATAGGGTGCAATGGCTTACAAAAGAGGAAGACCCAACCCAGGCTTTGGGGAAGGAGATAGGAAAGGCTTTCTGAAGATAAAGATACAAAAGACTCAGCGAACAATGCCAAAGATATTGGCACCTATGTGGATAAAACCTTATGGAAAAGAGAACTGTCACTTATTCCGCCATATCTCATATTCCTAAGGAAGACTTTTGGCTCTATCTCAGAGTGAAAAATGATTGCAAATAACTTCTATAACTTACCCATCAGTGATCTTTCCCATTTCTTGGAGACTTTCAGGAGGTTTCCCTAAGTTCAGACTTTTTGTTGAAAGAAATGACCTTATGTCCAGTGGACAAATGGTGTGTGAGTCTTTAGCACCCCTCTGATGCACAGCCACTCGCTCCTTCCATGAAGTTCAGCTCTATAGGCAGGCAGGGCACTTCTTCTCCAAGGTCATGTCTATTTCACTTGGTATAAATGAGAAGAATGCTCTGAATTTTTATTTGAAAGAGGCAAACTTCAGATTTGCAGAAGGTCTTGGTGATTAAAAATCTTGGCTTCAGCTGGGCATGGTGGCTCATGCCTGTAATCCCAGCACTTTAGGAGGCAGAGGCAGGAGAATGGCTTGAGCCCAGAGTTCAAGACCAGCCTGGGCAACATAGCAAGACCCAGTCTCTCCTAAAAATTAAAAAATTAGCTGAGCATGGTGGCACATGCCTATAGCCCCAGCTATTTGGGAGGCCAAGGTGGGAGGATCGCTTGAGCCCAGGAGGACCAGGCTTCAGTGAGCCATGGTCACACCACTTCATTCCAGCCTGGACAACAGAGCAAGACCCTGTCTCAAAAAAGAAAAAAGTCTTGGCTTCAGGGACAACTGAACTGAGAGGGAAGAAGTCCAACTTCCCAGGGCTTGTGGTCTCCAACAAGGGTCATGCTAGGCTTTTTCTTTTGGTATCACAAAATTAAACTGCAAATAAGTATAAATACGCACACACACAAACTTGTAAATCTTAAAAGATGGAGATTAATTAAGTAAACCACTTGAAATCAAGATGTAACTTTTTGACAATTGAGGACAAGCCCAGCTCCTTCAGATCTTCTCTTCAAGGTCATTCTCCCCAAGGGCCTGGGAGTATTTACAGTCACTTCATTCCTCACACGACAGCCTATCAGCTTGTGGCACCTTTACCTCACTGGCAATTTTGAGGAGGACCACATACACAAAAGTGGAGAGAATAATCAACTCTATAGAATAATGAAAAGCAGAGAATGTAATGAACTGCCTTCTACCCATGACTAAAGTTTCAACAGTTATTACCATTTTGCCAATTTGGTTTCATCTCACCTGTCACCTCTATTTCTGATGTATTTTAAAGATACTTCTGGAGCTTTCATTATTCACCTTTAAAAAGCTCTGGGTCTGGTACAGTGGCTCATGCCTATAATCCCAGTACTTTGGGAGGCTGAAGAGGGAGCCCAGGCATTTGAGACCAGCCTGAGCAATATAGCAAGACCCCATCTCTACAAAACAAAAATAAAAATTAGCTGGGCATGGTGGAGTGTGCCTGTAGTCCTGGCTATTTTGGAGGCTGAGGCAGGAGGATCTCTTGAGCCCAGGAGTTTGAGGCTTCAGTGAGCAATGATTGCACTGCTGCACTCCAGCCTGGGCAACAGAGCAAGACTTGTCTCAAATAAATAAATAAATAAATAAATAAATAAATAAATAAATAAATGTCTGTTATCGTTAGAGTTGGGAAGAATGGTAAAAATCATCTTCTTCACTTTGCAGTTGAGGAAACAGGCCCAGAGAGGTTCAGTACCTCATTCAAGGACACAGTGTATAAGTTGTAAATCACGTTCAGGGGCCACCTCCAGCCCCCAGGCCAGCTGGTTGCATTAGGAGAAACCTCCACGTCATTAGTCATTCCTCCTTCAGCTCCAAAAACCTCTCCGAGGAGAAAGCCGGGGTAGAGCAACCAGAGCTTTGCTTTTCCTCTAAGCCAGGGGAGAAGTAGTGGTGGGAGGGTTGTTTGACTCATTTTTTTCTCACTCTGCATGGTGTATTTGGCTCAGTTTCTCAAACCATATGGAAAAAGACTCACCCACCACGTGCCACACCTATTGGAAAAGCTCAATCTGGAAAGGGGGATAATTAAAGAGGGCAGAATTGCCTCCCAGGCCGAATGAGATGGCGCTTTCCCTCATCCTTCAGGCTCCCACGTACCCCTTGCCCTTCTCCACAGGTGCCCTGTGCCCTGGTGGAGAAGAGATGGTGACGGAAATCTTTTGCTTCCCTGGGGAGTTCAGTCCTATCCCATTGAACAGCTCTGGGCATTGGCATCTAGCCCATTTCAAAAACAATCCCAAGCTATTTATTGAGAACCAGCTTATGTTTGGAGCCAGGGATATGGCTCTAGACATATCTTGGATTACCTCCTAGGATAGGGAAATGAGATCACCTCAAAGAAATCTCAGGGAAATGTTTGGAGGAAAAAATGAAAATACGCCAATGGCAGCCCTGAAAAGGCACTACTGACTATAAGCAGCTCTTTCTCTGCCCAGGTGATGTAAACTCCTACTTCCTTCCCTTTTCCCTGCTGCAGAACCCTGGAACTGATGAAGGAGGGACCAGGAGATAAAGGCTGGCATATTCTGAGTGTTTGATAAATATTGGCTTGAAGAAGGAAGGAAGGGATGTCATGCCCACAGACTCAAAGTGGCAGGAGTTAGGTAAAGAAGGAAAAGGGAGCCTATGATGTCTTAGCATTCTACCAAAGACTGGAAGAAGAGAGGCCAAAGCAAAAGACTGAGGGGAGAGAAAGAGAGAGACACTTGCTAATATAGTCCAGGAATGAGAAAACAGGAAAATATTTTTTCTCTGTTTTACATTTTTTTCCATAAGTTATTGGGGTACAGGTGGTGTTTGGTTACATGCGTAAGTTCTTTAGGGGTGATTTGTGAGATTTGGGTGCACCCATCACCTGAGCAATATATACTGCACCTTATTTGAGTTCTTTTATCCCTCGCACCCTTCCCCCGAAGCCCCCAAAGTCTATTGTATCATTCTCATGCCTTTGCATCTTCATAGCTTAGCTCCCACATATCAGTGAGAACATACAACGGAGAAAACATTAAAATAAATAAAGAGAGAAACACATAACAAAAGTCACACGACATAACAGAATTTCAGATATAAATAAGCAGCTAATAAAGAGAATCTTCCCTACGTTGGGTTCCTTTCCATCCCTCAAGTCTCTGACCTCCCATGAGGTCATAACATAATTCTTTTCCTTCATCACGTTTACTCCAGCTTGCAATTATATATTTATGTGTGTTTATAAGTCTGATCTTTGTTTCCTCAACTAGATTGTAAGCTCCATGAAGGGTCTTGACCATACCTAGCATGGTCGGCACTCAAAAAAATATTTGTTGAAAGCAAAAAAGGAATGAATGATGACTAGAGCTGGGAAGTCAGACCAGAAGCTATAACAGCAGGCCTATTACCCCTCTCTCCTAAGCTTCCTTATTTATTGAGCACTTATTATTTTCCAGGCATTCCACTAAGTATTCTACATTGTTTATCACATTAATCGTCTCCAAAACCATGAGGAAGTGTGCTCAGGGGTCCCAAGATCACCTTCACTTTCAGTTATTCACTAGAAGGACTCACACAACTCAGCAAAGCCATTATACTCATGGTTATAGTTTATTCCAGTGAAAGAAAATAAGTTAGTCAGCAGTGGAAAAAGGCACATTAGGGCAGAGTCCAGGAGCTTCCATAAAGCTTCCAGTTGTCCTCTCCCAGTGGAGTCATGCAGACAGCATTTCTTTTTACCAGAGACTTGCTGTCCAGGATTTTACTGGAGATTTCATTGTGTGATGACATTTACCATCTCAGACCACCCATGTGGCTGCCCTCAGTCTCCAGCCCCTCCAGAGGTCAAGCTTCTACCGTTTGGCCCAGAGCCCCCACCATAAGTCACATTGTTAGCTTAGACTATCTCGTGTGACCCAAGGCCTCCAGGTAGACAAAATCTCTCTGATCAGCCAAAATATTCTAAGGACTTAGAGGTTATCTCCCAGGCAAGAGCCAAAACTTTTGTCAGAATATGCAGGGTTTGGATAACCCAGACTTGCTGAGTTTGCTGCACAGGGAAATAACAGTATTAGCCCCAATTTGTGGATGGTCCAAACTAAGGATCAGGGATGCTAAATGTTTTGGCCAAAGTTACAAAAGCCAGAATGCAAACCAACATCCCACTTGATTCTAACATGAGTTCTTAACTATTGCATCCTAGTACCTCTCCTGAAGTAAAGTTTTCTATGAAAAAAAACAAAAACAAAAAACTCACGCAGAGTGTCTTATAAAACTGGTCTCAAATCTGAATGTCGGATTTAGGGATTTCCACTTGGTAAGATCACTGTGAGCTTTCTGCTGATCTCAAGCACCCAGAAGTGGATCATCTGGGATTTGCCAAGGCCAGGTGGATCTGATCCTCCTGTTGGGTGAGCACTGGGGTTTGCATAGTGTCTCCCTCCTTATCAGAGAAGAGAAAACATACACAAGGGCTAACCAGCCCTTTCTAATATTTACTCTATTTCCCCCAACAAATCTGCTCCAAAAAGATTATCACTATGAGCGAAGGAGGCACAGTGGCTTCGTTGGTTAAGCAGCAACTACAAAGTTAGGGTACAGTACAATTTTTGACCCCTTACCTTATCAGTGGAGTGAACCCACAGGGAAAGTTACATTTCCCTTGCCCAGCATTCCCAAGACACGTGGGCTCTTCCAGCAAAGTGCCCCAGATGCAATTATGCAAATCATGTTCACAAAATAAAACTTCTGAAAAGCGAGTCAGCAAAGAAACCTGTGTGATTTTGCTGATTCAGTGATGCCTAACTTTTTGAGTATGGAACCTTTGTGTAAGTGTGTATAACACCAAATCATTAAAATTGGGGGATGTTTAGAAAACATGATGAAAACAATCCTTCTTTTCCCTAGCTCATCCAATAGATCTGCACTTGAGTAATTCTTATCAGCCATTTGTATTAACCTTGCATGCATTCTATGTATCTGAGAACAGTAATTCCTGAATGTTTTCAGAGCAATTCACTCATTCATTCATCAAGCGTTTCTTAAACACCTACTTGTGTACAGTGTTCAAAGATAGAGAGGCAGAGATGCTTCAGACACAAATCCTGAATTCTCCAGCAGCAGATAACTTAGCCTGGGAAATGATACATAACTTGAGTCAAAGGCCAGGATGGTTTTGGTTTTGGGCTGCATTCTCCAGTGATGGGCAATCTCATGACCAGCTCAGGGAAGTAAACCATTGATAAGCCATTAGCTCAGCATATTGATGTTGGTCCCACCTGATGCGAGGAGTAGAGAGAACCAGGCCAACCTTTCTAAATTGGTGGGAAGCATTGCCAGGGTGTGTCAAAGAGCTTATTACACAGTAGCAGGTTGAGTTCTCATCTCAGCTCTGCTTTTTCCCTTGTATGTGTCACTGTGGTTGATTCTACTCCACTTACATTCCTTTTCTTTTACCCTGTTATCAGCCTTTACCTCCCTTTATTTTTAAAATTGGAAATAAACTCAGGGCTCACTGGCAGCTGAACGTCCTGCTGTTTCTGAATTTTGCTATTTGGATATTACATTTTTATGAAGTTGGTTGTTTCTGGGTTTCAAATATGTGCTGGTTAGGACTGGTCCAGTTTCAAGTGTCAAAAAATAACTCCAAGTAATTTAAGTAATCAACAGTAAATTGGGGATATAGAGAATTGGAGATCTCATCTAACTGAATAACCAGGCACCATTTAATCTAGGAGTTCAGATTTTATTGTCAGGGCTCTAGCTATCTAGTTACCTATCTAGCTTGCTATATCTAGTTCTGCTGCCTTCTACAGCTTCTTTCAGGAAAGTGCGTCTACTGGTTGGGAAATATCACCAATATAATAGCCAACATTGAACTACACTATATTGCACTGGTGGTCCAAAGTCCACAACCTGAAGGCTCATAATTCAAAAGCAATAGAGATTATTTCTCAGTATCTGTATATCAAATCTCAGAGAAAATACTAATTATCCCTGATTGAGGCACATGCCTCATCACTGTGCTGAGGGTTTGGGATATTCTAACTGGCTAGCCTGGCCCACGTACCCTTGTGTGTATGATGTGGCCAGGGTGAATAACCTGCCTATCAGAAGGTAAGGAGAGAACAGGTGGTTCCTCACAGAAGGGGATGCTTGGCAAAGCAACAACATAATTTTATTGCTAAAGTGCCTGCAAGCTCTTGTCTCTGAAGCCTATGCATTATCTTTCTATCAAAATGATTCCTCTTGTGGCTTCCAGACCCTACTGAGGAGACAAATGAATAGGTGAATTACAAAAGCATAGAGTCTTGAGCTTTTTAAATATCAGAAAAGGAAAGCATTTTAGGTATACACAAGGAAAAAGAGTTTGGTGATGACCTGACTGTGAGATCTCCACACAAACTTTATTCCTGTGCCTTCTCGCCCCTGCATCTGTAGAGACAGAAAACAATGATGGGTGAGAAAAGCTAGTGCCAACAATACAACAGGTGAGAGCTAATGTTGAACTTGGAATCTTTTTCCCTTGAGAGAGCAGTGGGAGACTGGATAGAATCAACCAGCTGAGTCTCTTCAGATGCTTAACTTTTATGTGAGAGCTCTAGAGTTCAATAATTCATGCTATTACAACCAGCAGCAAGCAAATTGCATTCACATTCGATTCAGATTTTGATTACAAAACAGAGCCCCAAATGAGTTTTATGATGGAAAAACATGCTAGGTGACTTCAGGTGGATGGCAGACAATAAGAATGGTAAAAACACCCAGGCTTTCAGGTCAAACGAGCCTCAGCCAATCTTGGATCTGCCAATACACTGGCTGTGTGACCTTGTTTGGTGACATTTCCCATATCAGAACTTCTGTTTCCTCATCATAAAATAGGATAATACTATCTACTTCATAGGGTTTTGAGAGCATATGAATGAGATAATACATGGAAAGTGCAGTAGTGCAATAATGTAAGAAAAATGTCTGTGGCCTGGCAGAACCCCAATAAATGTTAATTTCCTTTCCTCTTCAGAGTCATTCACTCTCTCCCTCTCTCTTCCCCTTGCTCCACTGCTTCCTGCTTCCCTCTGCCCTGCTTTGCACTATGGAAGCCAATGTTTTCTGTGAGTATGAACATAGAAATGAGACTACCAGAGGAGGGATTATCCAAAACGGAGAAAAAGAAGAAAGAGGGTCTTCTTGTTAACAATAGAATCTATATATAATTCATTTGCACAATATTTATTTATGTTGAGGGGAGATGGAGAAAAGATGAAAATAGGCAATTAGTACTATTTTAGGGTTTCAAGGTTGAGGCACCTTCAAAGCAATTTGAGCATTTTGTGCAATTTTAGTTTAATATGCTCTCTCAGTAAGTCATTAAAATATGTAAGCTACTTGCACTGCAAATATCTTTCAGAAAAAAGAAAAGAAAGAAAGAAAGCTAGCAATTTACAAAGCCTATAGCCTATGTCAAAACTCCATTCATTGCCCCCATTTGAGTTAGAATAAGATATAGCTTAGACCTACAGTAGCATCAAACTTGGTGAGGGAGCTTGATAAAAATGCAGCTACTTGAATCCTACTCCAGGAGATTCTGATCAAATCAGTCAGGGGTGGGATCAAGGCATTCACATTTTTAACACCTCCCAGATTCTCATAGGGGGAAACCACAGATTATATTTTAAGAAACAGGCCTGGTGCAATGCCTCACGCCTATAATCCTAGCACTTTGGGAGGCCGAGGCAGGTGGATCACTTGACCTTAGGAGTTTGAGACCAGCCTGAACAACATGGTGAAACCCCGTCTCTGCAAAAAATACAAAAAAAATTAGCCAGGCGTGGTGGTGCACACCTGTAGTCACAGCTACTTGGGGGGCTGAGGCAGGAAGATCACTTAACCTGGGAGGTTGAGGCTACAGAGGCCAAGACCATGACACTGCACTCCAGCTTGGGTGACAAAGTGAGACCCTGTCTCAAAAAAAGAAAAAGAGAATTGCAGGCTTGGGCTTGGGGATACTGAGTTCAAATCCTAAATTCATTATTTTCTAGCTTTGTGAACTTGGGCAACTTTTAAATTTTTTGTATTAGTCTGTTTTCACACTGCTGATAAAGACATACCCAAGACTGGGCAATTTACAAAAGAAAAAGGTTTAATTGGACTTATAGTTCCACATGGCTGGGGAAGCCTCACAATCATGGCAGAAGGCAAGGAGGAGCATGTCACATCTTACATGGATGACAGCAGGGAGAGAGAGCTTGTGCAGGGGAACTCCTCTTTTTAAAACCATCAGATCTCATGAGACTTATTCACTATCATAAGAACAGCACAGGAAAGACTTGCCCCTGTGATTCAATTACCTCCCACTGGGTCCCTCCCACAACATGTGGGAATTCAAGATGAGATCTGGGCGGGGACAGAGCCAAATCATATCATTCTGCCCCTGGCCCCTCCCAAATCTCACGGCCTCACATTTCAAAACCAATCATGCCTTCACAACAGTCCCCCAAAGTCTTAACTCATTTCAGCATTAACTCAAAAGTCCATAGTCCAAAGTCTCATCCAAGACAAGGCAAGTCCCTTTCACCTACGAGCCTGTAAAATCAAAAGCAGGTTAGTAACTTACTAGATACAGTGGGGGTACAGGCATTGGGTGAATACAGCCATTTCAAATGGGAGAAATAGGCCAGAACAAAGGAGCTACAGGCCCCATGCAAGTCCAAAATCAAGTGGGGCAGTCAAATCTTAAAGCTTCCAAAATTATCTCCTTTGACTCTATGTCTCACATCCAGATCACGCTAATGCAAGAGGTAGGTTCCCATGGTCTTGGGCAGCTTGGGTACAGCCTTCCTCCCAGCTGCTTTACACAGGCTGATGTTGAGTGTCTGCAGCTTTTCCAGCACACAGTGAAAGCTGTCAGTGGATCTACCATTCTGTGGTCTGGAGGATGGTGGCCGTCTTCTCACAGCTCCACTAGGCAGTGCCCTAGTAGGGACTCTGTGGGGGGGCTCTGACCTCACATTTTCCTTCTGCATTGCCCTAGCAGAGGTTCTCCATGACAGCCCTGCCACTGCAGCAAAATTCTGCCTGGACATCCAGGTGTTTCCATACATCTTCTGAAATCTAGGCAGAGGTTCCCAAACCTCAATTCTTGACTTCTGTGTACTTGCAGGCTCAACACCAAGTGGAAGCTGCCAAGGCTTGAGGCTTGCACCCTTTGAAGTCATGGCCCAAACTCTATATTGGCTCCTTTCAGCCACAGCTGTAGCAGCTGAGACACAGGGCACCAAGTCCCTAGGCTGAACACAGCACGGGGACCCTGGGCCCGGCCCATGAAACCACTTTTTCCTCCTAGGCCTCCAGGCCTGTGATGGGAGGGGCTGCCATGAAGACCTCTGACATGCCCTGGAGACATGTTCCCACCACCCCCCTGTCGTCTTGGGGATTAACACTCAGCTTATTACTTATGCAAATATCTGCAGCCTGCAGCGGGCTTCAATTTCTCCTCAGAAAATGGGATTTTCTTTTCTATCACATTGTCAGACTGCAAATTTTCCCAACTTTTATGCTTAGTTTCCCTTATAAAACTGAATGCCTTTAACAGCACCCAAGTCACCTCTTGAATGCTTTGCTGCTTAGAAATTTCTTCCACCAGATACGCTAAATCAACTCTCTCAACTTCGAAGTTCTACAAATCTCTAGGGCAGGTGCAAAATGCTGCCAGTCTCTTTGCTGAAACATAACAAGAGTCACCTTTGCTCCAGTTCCCAACAAGTTTCTCATCTCCATCTGAGACCACCTCAGCCTGGACCTTATTGTTCATATCACTATCAGCATTTTTGTCAATGTCATTCAACAAGTCTCTAGGAAGTTCCAAACTTTCCCACATTTTGCTGTCTTCTTCTGAGCCCTCCAAATTTTTCCAACCTCTGCCTGTTACCCAGTTCCAAAGCTGCTTCCATATTTTCAGGTATCTTTTCAGCAACACCCCACTCTACTTGTACCAATTTATTGTATTAGTCCATTTTCATGTTACTGATAAAGACATGCCTGAGCCTGGGAAGAAAAGGAGGTTTAATTGGACTTACAGTTCCACATGGATGGGGAGGCCTCAGAATCATGGCAGGAGGTGAAAGGCAATTCTTACATGGCAGCAGCCAGAGAAAATGAGGAAGAAACAAAAGCGGAAACCCTTGATACACCCATCAGATCTCATGAGACTTTTATTCACAATCATGAGAACAGCACAGGAAAGATTTGCCCCCATGATTCAATTACCTCCCACCAGGCCCTTCCCAAACACGTGGGAATTCAAGTTGAGATTTGGGTGGGGACACAGCCAAACCATATCATTTTCTGATCCCCAGTTTTTTAATCTAAAAATTGACATTTGAAATAATACACACCTCAAAGATTGTTGTGAGAATTAGAGAGTGCTTAGCAAAGAGAATTAGAGCACTTAGCAAAGAATCTGGCACAAGAAAGAAGCACTCAGTAAAGGTTAGCTATTGATATTATCATTATGCAAATCTAAAGGGGCTTAGATCTTTTCTTCTTTATCTTCTCATTCTCCCTTTCTTTCCTTTTCTCTTTTCTGTTTTTCATAAATAATAAAAAAAAAGCCTCACAGTTCATTCAGCAAGGTGGAAGTTTATTTAGCTCTCCACCAAAAGTCTGGATGTGAAGTAATCCAGGATGGGTGTGGAAGCTCTGAAACCCAGGCCCCTTCCCTATTAGGTGTGGCCCTCGTCCTCAGTATTCAAGATGGCAGCTAGAGCTCTAGGGATCATGTCTGCATTCCACATAGCAAGATGGAGGAGAGGAAAAGAAAACTCCGGACGGATGCTTCCTAAAGGTTGCTTACTCCCACACTGGCCTGGACTTAATCACCAGAAAGGCTAAAAATGTGACCAATATTCCAGGTAGTCATGTACCCAGAAAAATGTGATATTACAATGGAAAATTGAGAGGAAGAAGTATGGAGGAACAATTATTGTTCCCTGATGTACCCAACCCCGGGGGTCTAACAGATTTGGGTCATTCCCCAGAAACCCATTCTCATCCAGCTTTTACGTGCTTATTTCTCAGGTAGGGAACACCTTCCCCAAAAAAGTTAGTTGCATAGTTTGCTTATCCTACTCAGCTTGGCTTACTTTCTAAATTCCTCTCATACCTTTTACCTCTCATCCACCAACTTCATTCATTTTCTAACTGTCCAATTTTAATAAGCAATACAATTATTTTATTATAGAAAAGTTAGAGAACACAGCTAAGCACTTAGAAAAAAAGCGTTTTTTCAATATTCAAAAATCTCACCACTTAGAGATAACCACTTCTAAAATATTGGCATATAGTCATCTAACATTTTCCCTAGATAAAAAACATACATATGTATTTATAATGAAAATCTAGTCTACATAATTATTCTTAACCTCTTCTGTTACACTTAATGGTATATTATCAGTAACGCTCAATATTATTAATTATAGAAAAACATCAATTTTAATGACTGCAAAGTTTTTCATTGTATGGGTATGGGTGTATAATAATTTATTCAACCAATTCCCTGTTTATTCCACAGCATTATGTTAAACCCCCTAGCACATATATCTTTGCTCATTTGTCCACCAGTTTCCTGGGGATGAGCTGTGTTCCTGTGGTTTTTTCACCCCTGGGGTCTCCTTACTTATCTGGGGACCAGCAGAAAAGGACACCTCCACCATTCCATCAGCAAAGTAATGTTGGGTCTTATCTCTACCACTAAGCTGCTCGGAATTCTTCTTTCAAATGATCATTGCGGATTCAGGAGATCCATGAAGACCTAAATTAATGCCTCTCTATACCCCACTGCATGAATAGCAAGATTATGAACAGCAAGACTGCTACAATGCGAGGTGATTACATAATCCCACTGCTTGGAAAAGCACAAAATAAAATACGACCTTAGGTGACTGAAGCACTTCCTCTTAGTCTGTTAGAACTTGCAGTTTACCCAGCAGACTTCGAGCAAGACTGGAGTGAGGCCATTTCTATGTGAAAAAAACAATTTCAATTAGTAAAAATGCATTTGACTGAAATAATTATTTAGACAACTGATTTGACAAACGATTATGCTTGAGCTGATTTTTTTTAAAAAACTGACGATTGATCTCTGACTAATTGTTTCTTTGTCTCAGCTGAGCTTCCTAATGATCCAAATGCTCATTTTATAAATGAATACAGTTTAAGAAAGATTAAGTAACTTAGCCATGATTACACAAAAGGAAAGAAGTAGAGCCAGAATTCAAAATCAGTATTCAGACCCAGAAAGAGTCACTGACTCCCATCTCATAGACGTAGAGTCAAGTTCACAGCCCTGTTCCTTGGGTAGTGATTAAGAAAAGGGGTTCCAGCATCAGGTAATCTGAGTTCATGTCCCATATCTGCCATTTCCCAGTTGTGTCATCTTATGCAAGTTAATAAACCACTCTGTGTCTCTGTCACCCTATCTTATAAATGGGGATGATGCGTGTCTATCTCCAAGGGCTGCCTAGATTAAATGAGATGATCCACATACACACTTAGCACATAGGAAGTGCTCGGTAATTAGTTATTAATGTTATGTAGGTGTCGTCTGAAAACCTTGGCCAAAAGGGTCATAGACATGGCGGTCATCAGGGTTCAGGTGTACATGTGAAGGTTTGTTACACAGGTAAACTCGTATCACGGGCATTTGTTGTGCAGGTTATTTCATCACCCAGCAATGAATGAGACTTCCTGTTGCTCCTCATTCTCCCCAGCATTTACCATTGTCAATGTCTCAGATTTTCACCCTGCTAGTAGATGGGAAAACTGACAACCATGCCTGCAAGTCTGATACATGCATCTGTAAATGTACATGGAACCAAAGAAGAGGAATCCAAAAAGCAGCTAGTGAAACCAGAGCAGCTCCCCGTATATACTGCACCACCGCTCCAGTCTAAATATGTTGAAGAGCAGCCTGGTCATTTATAAATGGGCTTTGCTTCCATCTACACTGCAACTGGTCATTATACTGGCTGGTGCAAGGATGTTTATGTCTTTGTGAAAAATGGGATAATGGATACAGTACAATTTGGGAAAGATGCTTATGTCTATCTGAAGAATCCTCCTCGAGATTTTCTTCCGAAAATGGGAGTTATTACGGTTTCAGGATTGGTGGGCTTGGTTTCAGCGAGAAAAGGTTTTAAGTTTAAGAAAATTACTTATCCTCTGGGACTGGCCACTTTATGAGCAACTGTTTGCTACCCAGTTCAGTCAGTAATAATTGCTAAGGTAACAGGGAAAAAGGTATATGCTACAAGCCAGCAAATTTTTGAAGCAGTTAAATCATTGTGGACAAAAAGCAGCAAAAAAAGAGTCACTCCCTAAACCTAAAGAAAAAAAATTAAGCTAGGATCCCCCGCCGAAATAGAAGTACCTGCAAAAACAACTCACATCTTGAAATGCTCAGTGCCCTTGCCAACAGAACTCAGCTCTGAAGCAAACACCAAATCAGAATCCACCTCAGGTGCTACACAGTTTATGCCTGACCCCAAGTTCATGGATCACAGGTGGTCCCACCCAGAACATATAGACAAGTATAGCACTGGAACCTGAAGCAGACTGCATAGAGAGACTACATAGAAAACTACAAGATGTATGAAGTTGCAAATAATGATGAAAAAAATCATGTAATGGGTAACTGATACATAGAGTATTATTTAAACCAAGTTTTTCCCTTACCTCTCCAAATGTGCAATTTGATAAATTGCATAAGTGGTTAACACACAAACTGTGAATGCAATGCAAACAATATTAAATGATTGATGAGGAGACTTAGGTAGAAGTATTAGCTTGAATTTAATGAGCTTTAGGGGCCCATAGTTAAAAAAAAAAAAAAAAAGACATGAACTCCAGTGAGACTAAAATCTGAAAATGCATATATGTATGTATAAAGACATACATATTTATATGTATAATCATATATTTCTGCTCTAGCTTTCCCTAATTAATGTCAGTTAAATTAGAATGGTGTGTAGAAAGATGTGTTTCCCTCTTTTTTTCCATTTCCTAGAGCTGGAATAAAATATCCATGTTTTATGGGAAAAAAAAGTATTATGCAGGTATGCCCCAGAGATAGTGTAGGTTCAGTTTTGGACCACCACAATAAAGCTAATACCATAATAAAGCAAGTCAAACACTTTTTTTTCATTTCCCAGTGCATATAAAAGTTGTATTTGGCTGGGCATGGTGGCTCACGCCTGTAATGCCCTTTGGGAGGCCAAGGTGGGTGGATCATGAGGTCAGGAGATCGAGACCATCCTGGCCAACATAGTGAAACCCCGTCTCCACCAAAAATACAAAAATTAGCCAGGTGTGGTGGTGTGCGCCTGTAATCCCAGCTAGTCGGGAGGCTGAGGCAGGAGAATCACTTGAACCCGGGAGGTGGAGGTTGCAGTGAGCTGAGATCACACCACTGGACTCCAGCCTGGCAACAGAGCAAGACTCCATCTCAGAAAGAAAAGAAAACAAAAAAGTTGTGTTTACACTATGCTGTAGTCTATTAAGTGTGCAATAGCATTATGCCTAAAAAACAATATATCTAACTTAATTTAAAATACTTTATTACTAAAAAAAAAACCTTAATGATGATCTGAGCCTTCAGCAAGTTGTAATCTTCTTGCTGGTGGTGGGTCTTGCCTCAATATTGATGGCTTGTTGCTTCACCTTGCATTTTTATGTTATAGAGACAGCTTCTCTTCTTAAACCTCAGACTATCTCTGCCAGCTTCAAACTTTTTTTCTGCAGCTTCCTCATCTCTCTCAGCCTTCATAGAATTAAAGAAAGTTAGGATCTTGATCTTGATTAGGCTTTGGCTTGAGGGTCTGTTGTGTCTGGTTTGATCTTCTACACAAACCAGTCAAACTTTCTCCATATCGGCAATAAGGCTGATTCACTTACTTATCATTTATGTATTCACTGCAGTAGCACTTCTGATTTCCTTCATGAACTTTTCTTTTGCATTCACAGCTTGACTGTTTGTCACAAGAGGCCTAGCTTTTGGCCTATCTCAGCTTTAGTCATGCCTTCCTCATTAAGATTAATCATTTCTAGCTTTTGATTTAAAGTGAGAGATGTGAAACTCTTCCTTTCACTTGAAAATTTGTAGGCAATTGTAGGGTCATTAATTGGCCTCATTTTAATATTTTTGTGTCTCAGAGAATAGGGAGGCCCAAGGAGAGGGAGAGAGATGGGAAAATGACCAGTTTGTGGAGCAGTCAGAACACAAACATTTATCGACGAAGTTTGCTGTCTTGTATGGGCAAAGTTTGTGGCGCCCCCCGAGACATTACAATAGTAACCTCAAAGATCACTGATTACAGATCACCATAGCAGATATAATAATAATGAAAGTTTAAAATATTTAAAGTTAATAACAGTTACCAGAATGTGACACAGAGACACAAAGTGAGCACATGGTGTTGGAAGAATGGCGCTGATAGACCTATTTAACACAGGTTGCCATAAACCTTTGATTTGTAAAAAACTCAGTATTTGCAAAGCATGTTAAAGCAAAGTACAATAAAAGGGGGAATGCTTGTATCTTCTGTTCCTCTAGACTCTAAGCTAAGTACATATCTTATTGGTCTGTGCCATTGCAGGTGCCTCGAGCAAAGGCCTTATGCAACTACAGAGGGCAGAATCCCGGTGACCTAAGGTTTAATAAGGGAGATATCATCCTTCTCCGGAGACAGCTTGATGAGAATTGGTACCAGGGGGAAATCAATGGCATCAGCGGGAACTTCCCAGCCAGCTCCGTGGAAGTCATCAAGCAGCTGCCCCAGCCGCCCCCGCTCTGCAGGGCCCTCTACAACTTCGACCTACGAGGCAAGGACAAGAGTGAGAACCAGGATTGCCTGACCTTCCTCAAGGTAGGATTCTGGGTGGCCACCAGAGTCACCTGGGACCACGTAGAGACCATAGCAGAACAGAGTTCCTTGTTTAATATTTGCTGATTTTAAAAAATTGTATTTTAAATATATTATATTATTGTTAATATTTTATTCATAAAAATATATTTTGTGCATAAATTACGTATGTATATATGTAGTGCATATATATGTAATATGTGTGTACAATTCAAACTACATGCACGTGAAATCTCTAGAGAAATCTACGAATAAGTGATAGAAGTCTGTAAGCCTTTTTTATTGTAATTACAAAAGTATTCACTCATTCATTCATTCATTTATCCTGAAACCATTGTAGAAACATTTGAAAATACAGATAAGCAAAACAAGGAAAATATTACACCACAATATAGATACAATCACTGTCAACAGCTTGAATAACACATTTGATTTATTCATTCTATCACTTTTGAGCATTTACTCCTTGAAGGCCCTGGGAATAGGACGTGAATAAGTCACAGTCTCTGCTCTCCTGGCAGAGTAATGGGAAGCACCGATACATGGACAGAAAATTAGAAACAATTTGATAACATGCTATGTAAAACTACAGCCTCTACCTCTTTATCATGTATGTGGCAGGGTATTCTTGCAACCAAGTTATGGTTACCTAATTCTACTCATTTACATTCTATCTTGTTGTAAACATCTCATTCAAAACACTCCAGACACACACAATAACATAATCGTGCCTTTCTACATAAATAACCTCTTACAAGATATATTTTTCAAACATTAATTACCCTAAGATTTCTTGTGCCTCTCTTTTTCATTAGATGATTCCCCACCATTTGCAATTAATGACAGTTGTACTAAAGTCTACACTACTTTAACTATCTGTATTCAGTATTTGTTATTCCATAAACATTCACATCTCTCATAGAAACCACAGTTGGAGTTATTTTCATTCTTGACTACTCGTGATAAGTAGATCAAATGTAAGTATAAAAAGTGGCACTGCTACAATAGCTTAGGCAAGGTGTTTCGTTTTACAAAATGTTTTTATTCCACCACTACCAGAAAGGAGATTTACTTCAGGTTTTCTCAAACTAGACAACCTCTCTGCCCTCCATATTTTGAGATAATGATCTTTATTATTGCCGTGGAACCTCAGAGCGAGACTCCTAAGGAAGGTCATTCTACAGCCCAAACAGCAAAGTGTAGACCTAGACTACAGCTAGAGGAAAGTCAGTTCAATTCCACAAATATTTATTATTTACTTTGTGCCAGGCATTAGACACACAGCTGGAGGAAGACATAAGGAAGTATCATCGTCTGCCTCTCTCACCCTTTCTGGGAATTTGTAAACTGGGGCACTTACTTCACACACTCATTCATTTCTTGAGCCCATCCATGTGCCAAGCTGGCCATTGGAGATAAAGTGATGAGTCATTGTTCTTACCTACACTGAGCTGGCAATCTAGTGGAAGAAACAGACATATAAATGGGAAATTATGACAAAGAAACCAAAAGAGAGGATTTGACCCATTCTGGAAGGCTGTGAAATACACAGACTTCTAGGAAATCTCATGGTCTAAACTCAGCATATCCAAATTAAACTCAAGATCTTCCTTCCCAAAGCTGTTCTTTTCCTAGTGCTTTCTAGCTCAGTAAATTGTGTAATTTATTCAACGTCATGTATTTATTCATGCATGCATGCATTCAATAAACTTATTGGCTGACTACTAAAAGGGAGCCACTGTGTTAGGTGCTAGGGAAAACAAAGATTAACAAAACAGACATAGGCCCTGCACACATGAAGTTTATAGTCAGATAGGGTAGACCGACATTAAAGAAATAATAACCTCCTGGCACGGTGGCTCACGCCTGCAATCCCAGCACTTTGGGAGACCGCGGCAGGCGGATCACTTGAGGTCAGGAGTTTGAGACCAGCCTGGCCAACATAGCGAAACCCCGACTCTACTAAAAATACAAAAATTAGTCAGGCGTGGTTGCGCGTGCCTGTAATCCCAGCTACTCAGGAGACTGAGGCAGGAGAATCGCTTGAACCCAGGAGGCGGAGGTTGCAGTGAGCCAAGTTCGCGCCATTGCACTCCAGCCTGGGCAACAGAGCGAGACTCCATCTAAAAATTAAAAAAGAAAGAAAAGGAAGGAAGGAAGGAAGGAAGGAAGGAAGGAAGGAAGGAAGGAAGGAAGGAAGGAAGGAAGGAAGGATAACCTATAAATGCATAATTGCACATGTGTAAGAGCAGGGGCCCCCAACCCCAGGACCACCGACCAGTACCAGTCCGTGGCCTGTGAGGAAACGGGCCGCACAGCAGGAGGTGAGAGGTGGGCAAGTGAGCAAACCTTCATCTGTATTTATAGCTGCTCCCCATGGGTCGCATTACTGCCTGAGCTCCACCTTCTGTCAGATTAGTGGCAGCATTAGATTCTCATAGGAGCGTGAAACCTATTGTGAACTGCGCATGCAAGGGATCTAAATTAGGTGCTCCTTATGAGAATCTAATGCCTGATAATGTGAGGTGGAGCAGTTTTATCTTGAAACCATTCCCTATCCTCTACCCTCTATCCCCACCTCCTACCCCCTGCATCTGAGGAAAAATTGTCTTCCACAAAACCAGTCCCTGGTGCCAAAAAGGTTGGGTACCGCTGTGTAAGAGGAAGCTAAGAAAGGGTATAATGCAGTAACAGATTTAAATTTAAATCAATCCTAATTCCTGAGGAGCATGGAACAGAATGTCAGAGAGATCAGAAGGTCTTTAGTGGATGAATATACAGGTTGAACTTGATGAATGGTTTATGGACAAGGAAAGGTGTTTCTAAAATGGCATTAAATTAAAAAAATCACTGTGTCCCATATGGCTTCATCTGTGTGAGGTACAGGAACAAAATAATGACAAAATAAATGTATAGTAGTAGAAGTCAGAGTAGTGGTTGCCTCTTAACAGGTGGTGGGAAAGGGCACAAAGGAACCTTCTGGGTGCTGGGAGGATTCTATACCTTCATCTGAACAGGGATTTCATGGATATATTCAAATGTAAAATTTCTCAAGATTTGTGCACTTTATTCTATGCATGTGTGTATGTTTTTGGAAAAGTTTTTTAAAAATATGTATGTTTATATGTATGTATGTTTTGTCTTGATAGAAAAGAATCTGGAAAAAATGTGTTATTCAAGCTGTTGACAGTGATTGTATCTTTATTGTGGTAAAATATTTTCCTTGTTTTGCTTATCTGTATTTTCAAATGTTTCTACAAATTTACATATAACCTTTTATAGTAAGAAAAATCTGAACAAAAAGTTGCTTTATGTTTGATGCATTAAAAATTGAATAGGTTCTGAAAGTCTTCAAAATGAGCATAAAATTCATTTTTCTTTTTGCAAAGCTAAAAGTGCTTCTCCCTATGGCTTCCATCTTGATTTCTCCATCAGATAAATTTAAATGAAAAGCTTGGACCCTGCTGGTGATTAAAAATTAGAAACATTTCAAAGTTTTCCTATTGGATTCCATTGATTCTCCAAATTATGTCTACCCCTCTATGGTCTCAGTGACACAAACACTGCCCTTTATGGAGAAAGTTCATTTTAGCAAAAAGACTTCCCAAATAAATCAAGCACAAGCTACATTCCTAACACTTTACACCATCTGAGACTCCAAACTGATCTCTGCTGAGAGCTTTTACTGCCTGAAAATGAGAGTAAATGCTGACCATGAGACTTTCTCTTTCAGGACGATATCATCACTGTGATCAGCCGAGTGGATGAGAACTGGGCAGAAGGCAAGTTAGGAGATAAAGTAGGCATCTTCCCTATCTTGTTTGTAGAGGTACGTGAGTATCAAGTCTACATCTGATTTACGCATACACAGAAATATTCATGTGCTACAGTGATGCCTGAGAGCAATTCCTATTTGCTATGAGGCTTATTTCAGAACTAACTAAAATCTCTAAAGAAAAGATGCCAGACAATAATACCCAATTCTGGCAAGAGTCTGGGGAAATGAGCCTTTTCTATTCTCCTGATGGGAATGTAAATTAGTGAAATCTCTCATATGCAAACTCAAATAAACTTATACCAAAAATATTAAAAATGTATGCCTCCTTTGAGTCAATAAGTCCATCTGGGAGTTTATTGTAAGAAAATATTTAAATAAGTATGCAAAGATAGATGTACAAAATATTCAAAAATGTTCACCATAATGTTAGGCGATGGTATATAATTATGAAAAAACAGAAATACTCTAAATATTCAACAATAAGGAGTTCATTTTTTTTAAATTGTGGTGATGAAAAAAGTGTCTCTCTATGGATAATACTATATTATCCATATATGGAGAATAATATTTATGGAGAATAATATGGAGAATAATATTTATGGAGAATAAATAAATGGAGAATAATATTTAATATCATAAAATGTTCAATATTATGGAAAGATTTATGATTCATTGTTAAGTTTTTTAAAAGTTTAATAGGTATAGAGTTCCAGATTTGCTGGATAAAAGAGTTCTAAAGATCTGTTTCATAACAGTGTGAATATACTTAACACTACTGAACTGTACACTTAAAAGTGGTTCAGAAGGTAAATTTCATGTTACATGTCTTTTATCACAATAAAAAATAAGTTGGACCATGTGGAACTAGCTTTATAAATATATATGTGTTTATATAAATGGATAAAGGACTAGAGAAGGATATGTACCAAAATGTTAACATTTTGTGATAACTAGATGATGAGATTCTAGATGCTTTTCATTTTCTTCTGCCAACTTGTATTTCCTAAATCTTCTGAAATTAGCATATATTTATTACTTCTGTTTTTTAAAGAAAAATCTTCTTTAAAAAAAAAAGAAAGAAAACATGCTAGGCTATGTATAGCTCCAGTATAATATAACCTGTCAGTGCCTAACCTCATTAGCCATGAGCCTCACTTTAGCTTGAAGCAAGTCATTACATATTTAAAAGAGAGGTTTCATTGTTTAGCTGCATTTACTGGGTGCTTAACATGCATAAAGCATTAAAAATGAGTAGTAGAAAGCTATGAAAGAAGTAAAAGGCGTGCTGTCCACCCTGGGGATTGGAGGGTTTGAAACAGAACAGACCACAGTTGAGGAGAAGCAACCAATTCTTCTAGTCATAAGAGCTAAAGCAGGTTCTGAAATGAATGGTGTACCCAGAGCATTGCACAGCTTTCAGGGTTCTCTGTACCTCCTCTACTCCATCAGTGTTGAAGGAAGGGATGGAGGAAGGGTCCAGAGAGGCTGATCTTCTTATTGTCTCTACTAAACTCATTCCTAATTCTCATTCCTAATGCCTTTTCTCTTGCTGGGACCCCTTTCAGATACACCACCCAATTCTCTTTACCTGTTCAAATTTCACTTATTTTATAAGGCTCAGATAGAAACCTACTTTGTCCATAAAATTTCAGCAAGTAGTTAAACCCTCAATGGCCTCTTTCCTCTGAATATCTGATGAGTGTGTTAGTTGTACTTCACAGGCTAGCCTAACACAGAACAAGCACTCTGTTTAAAAAAAAAAAAAAAAAGCTTAGCAAGTGAATGAATGGAAAATAATTGAGAAGGTAGTCAGAGCTCCCAGGGGAAAAAAAAATTTTTAAAGAGCAAACCATTCACTGTGACCCTGTCCTAAACATATGTTTAATTATTCACTAATTTTTCATTGAGTGCCTGCTATGCCAGGACCTGTGCCTAGTTCTAAAGACACAAGACAAACATGGGTCCCTACTCTCAGAGACTATAAATTCAGAAAGTATTCCAGTAATTGCAAGTGTGTTGAATCATGTAAAGACTGAAGTAGCCAAGTGTAGTGGCTCATGGCTGTAATCCCAACACATTGGGGGCCAAGGCAGAAGGATTACTTGAGCCCGAGAGATTGAGACCAGCTTGGGCAACATAGTGAGACTCCCATCTCTACAGAAAATTTAAAAACTAGCCAGGCATGGTGGCCCACAATGTTCCCAGCTACTCCGGAGGCTGAGGCAGGAGAATGATTTGAGCCTAGGAGGTCGTGGCTACAGTGAGCCGTGATTGTGCCACTATACTCTAGACTAGACAACAGAGCAAGACCCTATCTCAAAAAAGAAAAAAAAGACTGAAGTAGTGGAAACTATTAGGGAGTTATGATATGCAACTTACCAGGGCAGAAGGTCAACAAATGCCACTTATGCCAAGATCTGACAGATAGACAGCATTTTAGATAATGGAGGTAGAATGTGCAAAAGTCCTGCATGATGAGGAAATGTGGTGTAGCCAGGGGAAAAAGGAAGTACCAGAGCTGGAGCTTAGAGAGTGAAAGAGGAACAAAAAATGAAGCCAGGGAAGTAAATGGAAGACAGATCACAGAGGACTTCATAAACCATCCTGTATAGTCAGGATAGGCTAGGTTATGCCGTGGCAATAAACGGCACCAAAGTCTCAGTGGCTTAACAAAGAAAATGTTATTCCTCACCTAAATTCCATGTTCAGTGCAGAGTGATGAGGGGCTCTGCTCACATAGTCACTCAGGAACCCAAACTAATAGGGCTGGGCCATCTGGTAGCTGCATCATCTGGAACATGTGGGCTTCCTAGTTTCCACAGTAGGGACGCATGAAAAAGAGTGAGTTGTATCACCAACTAAATGCCTCGTTTCAGAAGTGACACTTGTCACTCCCACTCACAGCCCATTAGCCTGAACCAGTCACATAGCCTGATGTGATGTCAAGTCAGCTGAGAAGTATAAGGGAACACGTGAAACACTGGGTATCATTGCCTCTGCCATATCATAAGAAGTGTGGATTCGACCCAAAAGCCAACAGAAGCCATTGAAAGGTTTTTAAGTGACCAGGTTTGGATTTCTTAAAGACTGCCCTGGCTGCAGTGGGAGGAACGATTTGAAGAGGAGGGAGAAAAAAGCAGAAAGTAGAGTTAGGAGGCCTCTGCATTGCCCAGTTAGATGACTGTGGATTCGACCCATAGGTTCATGGACCTTTCAGGAGGTAGAATCCACAGGACTTTGGGATTGACAGAGGCAGGCGTAGAGGAGAGAAGTGTTCAAGGACAGCCCCACTTCTTGATTTATAGACATAGGTCAGTGGCAGAGCCATCTGCTGGGTAGGAGTGGAAGTTAGGATGATTCAGTCAGTGGTTGACTCTCCAAGGACAGACGTCAGCTGCAATTAGTACCTCATTGGACCCATATGAGGTGCTTAAGTATTTATGGAAATGGTTGCCTGGTCTCCTGCATTATCTTGAGATTCTTCTTCATAAGTCTGGGCTGGGGGGGAAGGCACCAGTCATCTTATTACCCATTTCTGAAACCCATTTCCCAAAACTTCTCCATTTAATGATTATTCATTTGGATACAGTTTCCTGACACTTCACCTCTAAAATTAGCGAGTACAAGAACCATCAAGATTATCATTAAACTAGCCAGTGCTTCATTTGTTCTCCTAATTGCTCAGAGGGGAAAAAGATAATTAAGTGGTTGCTCTAATCTGGAAACCTGATTTTCAAAAATTACCTGAAATCTAAATTGTGCTTTTTAAAGCAGCACTTAAATTTTGACTCCAGTCATTTCATTAAGACTAGCACTTGCTGAGAACTCTTTAAATAAACTTTGAATTACCAGTGCCATGGAAAGCAATTGGAAGGAAGGGAGGCTTTCTTATGAGCATGATGTGTGTATGTGTGCATGTTTGTGTGTGTTTGGCATAAACAGGATTTTTCTTGTTAATGTATCATTTCACTTATTGAATTGCACCCGCATTAAAAGGTGATAAAACAAAGGCTGAGCCTATGCTCATTCTTATCAGGACTCCTCCAATGGAGCCTGCCTGGGTTATATGAACTTTGCTCAGCCCAGTGAGCCTCAACAATATTGTTTCAAATGAGTGGGTGCAAATCTAAGAGACCTGCAATTCTTCCCCAGCAGAGCTATTAATCATGTTGGCAGAGGACAGGGCAGACGCAGAGTCTCCCGGAGCCCTGTGTCAGTGTTAATGTTAGAAAAGCTGACGGTGGTACTCACCTGGGGACAGAACAATTAGGTGGAAGCAGAAAAAATTAACTTATTTCATTATAGCCAAGAATGGCTATATAAAGAACTTTACTCATTCAATTCAGAGTGTATATTGCCCTTTTACTGGGTGAACAATGGAGGGGCAGGTGTCCTGGGGCCTCTAAGTCATTGTTCCTAGTTCAAGCTGCCATCAGAGCTTGCCTAAACAATTTCAATAACTTCCTAATTGGTCCCCCTATTTCTGTTCTGGCACTTCGAAATAGCAGCTGAAACGAGCTTTTTATTTCTTTTTTATTTACATACAGTAAAATTTACTCTTTTTAACATCCAGTTCTATAAATTTTAATAAGTATGTAAAATTGTTTAACCACACCACAATCAAGACATAGGAGAGTTCCAATAGTCTGCCCTGAAATTTCTCATGCTTCCCCTTTATAGTCAATTTCTTCCCCAACTCATAAGTGCTGGCAACCACCAATCTGTTTTCTGTTCCTGTAGTTTTCTTTTTCCAGAATGTCATATAAATGGAATCATACAGAATGTAGCTTTTTGAGTCGGGCTTCTTTCATTTTGCATAAAGCATTTGGGATTACCCATGCTGTTTCATGTATCAGTAGTTCATTCCTTTTTGATGCAGAGTAGTATTCCATTGTATAGATGTGCCAGAGCTTGTTCATTCACCTCGTGAAAGACACTGGAGTTGTTTTCCAGTTGTTGGCAACTATGCATAAAACTGTTATAAACATTTGCATACTGGTTTTTGAGTGGGCACAAGTTTTCATTTCTCTTAGGTGATTACTTAGGAGTGGAATTGATGGGTCAGATGCTAAGTATGTGTTTAACTTTCTAAGACACTGCCAAACAGTAGCATGAGCTTTTAAAAGCATAAATCAGATCTTATCACTCCTCTACCTAAGTCCTGCCAAAGACTTCCTATTATATGTAGAATAAAATGGAAGCTTCCCAGGCTCTTGTGATCTGGCCCCTGCCTGTCTCTGTGGCCTCTTTTATCACCTTCTCCTTACATGCTCTGTTCCAGCCTTCTCTCTGTTTCTTTCTTCTGTCTTTTTCTCAAGCAAGCTGAGCTCTTTCCCTCTTTAGGACTTTCAGAGTAGCTTATGGTGCCTCTTCTGGGCATATTCTTACCTCCATTTTCACATAGCTAGCTCCTTCTTGACATTTGTTGTTTCAGCTTAAATGCCACCTTCTCGGCAGATCTTCCTCGACCCCCTAATTTAAAGTGGCTGCCTCCCCCAGTCACTCTCTATCATGTCAGAGCACTTATAACTATATGATGTTTTCTTGTCTAGTTGTTTACATGCTGGCTCTGTAATTTATAAGTCACCCCTTCCAGGCCTTGGCCTCCTGATTTTTAAAATGGACATAATAATGCTCATTCCCCTACTTAATGAGTTTTTCACAATACTATAAGCTTCTTGAAGCAAGAACCATATCTTCTTTAAAATTTTCTTTTTAAGAACTTTATTTATTCCTCAACAAAAGCGACATTCAATAAAATTTTCTATCTCAGCTATTTTTTTGTTTTTATTATACTTTAAGTTCTAGGGTATATGTGCACAACGTGCAGGTTTGTTACACATGTATACAAGTGGCATGTTGGTGTGCTGCACCCATTAACTCGTCATTTACATTAGGTATATCTCCTAATGCTATCCCTCCCCACTCCCCCCACCCCACGACAGGCCCCAGTGTGTGATGTTCCCCTTCCTGTGTCCAAGTGTTCTCATTGTTCAATTCCCACCTATGAGTGAGAACATGCGGTGTTTGGTTTTTGGTCCTTGCGATAGTTTGCTGAGAATGATGGTTTCCAGCTTCATCCATGTCCCTACAAAGGGCATGAACTCATCCTTTTTTATGGCTGCGTAGTATTCCATGGTGTATATGTGCCACATTTTCTGAATCCAGTCTATCAGTGATGGACATTTGGATTGGTTCCAAGTCTTTGCTATTGTGAATAGTGCCACAATAAACATACGTGTGCATGTGTCTTCATAGCAGCATGATTTATAATCCTTTGGTTATATACCCAGTAATGGGATGGCTGGGTCAAATGGTATTTCTAGTTCTAGATCCTTGAGGAATCGCCACACCGTCTTCCACAATGATTGAACTAGTTTACAGTCCCAACAACAGTGTAAAAGTGTTCCTATTTCTCCACATCCTCTCCAGCACCTGTTGTTTCCTGACTTTTTAATGTTTGCCATTCTAACCGGTGTGAGATGGTATCTCATTGTGGTTTTGATTTGCATTTCTCTGATGGCCAGTGATGATGAGCATTTTTTCATGTGTCTTTTTGCTGCATAAATGTCTTCTTTTGAGAAGTGTACGTTCATATCTTTTGCCCACTTGTTGATGGGGTTGTTTGTTTTTTTCTTGTAAATTTGTTTGAGTTCATTGTAGATTCTGGATATTAGCCCTTTGTCAGATGAGTAGATTGCAAAAATTTTCTCCCATTCTGTAGGTTGCCTGTTCACTCCGATGGCAGTTTCTTTTGCTGTGCAGAAGCTCTTTCATTTAATTAGATCCCATTTGTCAATTTTGGCTTTTGTTGCCATTGCTTTTGGTGTTATAGACATGAAGTCCTTGCCCATGCCGATGTCCTGAATGGTATTGCCTAGGTTTTCTTCTAGGGTTTTTATGGTTTTAGGTCTAACATTTAAGTCTCTAATCCATCTTGAATTGATTTTTGTATAAGGTGTAAGGAAGGGATCCAGTTTCAGCTTTCTACATATGGCTAGCCAGTTTTCCCAGCACCATTTATTAAATAGGGAATCGTTTCCCCATTTCTTATTTTTGTCGCGTTTGTCAAAGATCAGATGGTTGTAGATGTGTGGTGTTACTTCTGAGGCCTCTGTTCTGTTCCATTGGTCTATATCTCTGTTTAGGTACCAGTACCATGCTGTTTTGGTTACTGTAGCCTGGTAGTATAGTTTGAAGTCAGGTAGCGTGATGCCTCCAGCTTTGTTCTTTTGGCTTAGGATTGACTCGGCAGTGTGGGCTCTTTTTTGGTTCCATATGAACTTTACAGTAGTTTTTAAAAATTCTGTGAAGAAAGTCATTGGTAGCTTGATGGGGATAGCAATGAATCTATAAATTACCTTGGGCAGTATGGCCGTTTTCACAATATTGATTCTTCCTATCCATGAGCATGGAATGTTCTTCCATTTATTTGTGTCCTCTTTTATTTTGTTGAGCAGCGGTTTGTAGTTCTCCTTGAAGAAGTCCCTCACATCCCTTGTAAGTTGGATTCCTAGGTATTTTATTCTCTTTGAAGCAATTGTGAATGGGAGTTCGCTCATGATTTGGCTCTCTGTTTGTCTGTTATTGGTGTTTAAGAATGCTTGTGATTTTTGCACATTGATTTTGTATCCTGAGACTTTGCTGAAGTTGCTTATCAGCTTAAGGAGATTTTGGGCTAAGACGATGGGGTTTTCTAAATATACAATCATGTCATCTGCAAAGAGGGACAATTTGACTTCCTCTTTTCCTAATTGAATACCCTTTATTTCTTTCTCCTGCCTGATTGCCCTGGCCAGAACTTCCAACACTATGTTAAATAGGAGTGGTGACAGAGGGCATCCCTGTCTTGTGCTAGTTTTTAAAGGCAATGCTTCCAGTTTTTGCCCATTCAGTATGATATTGGCTGTGGGTTTGTCATAAATAGCTCTTATTATTTTGAGATACGTCCCATCAATACCTAATTTATTGAGAGTTTTTAGCATGAAGGGCTGTTGAATTTTATCAAAGGCCTTTTCTGCATCTATTGAGATAATCATATGGTTTTTGTCGCTGGTTCTGTTTATATGCTGGATTACATTTATTGATTTGCGTATGTTGAACCAGCCTTGCACTTGATGATGGTGGATAAGCTTTTTGGTGTGCTGCTGGATTTGGTTTGCCAGTATTTTATTGAGGATTTTTGCATCGATGTTCATCAGGGATATTGGTCTATAATTCTCTTTGTTTGTTGTGTCTCTGCCAGGCTTTGGTATCAGGATGATGCTGGCCTCATAAAATGAGTTAGGGAGGATTCCCTCTTATTCTATTGATTGGAATAGTTTCACAAGGAATGGTACCAGCTCCTCCTTGTACCTCTGGTAGAATTCGGCTGTGAATCTGTCTGGTCCTGGACTTTTCTTGGTTGGTAGGCTATTAATTATTGCCTCAATTTCAGAGCCTGTTATTGGTCTATTCAGGGATTCAACTTCTTCCTGGTTTAGTCTTGGTTGGATTTCTAAATTAGAATGAGATACGGTTTTAGAGGGCAACTGGTAACAATTATAAAAATGAAAATTTAGGTAATCATCCTAAAATTTAAGAGTTATTGCACTAACTCTTGTTTGTCAACATGTTTCAGATTTCCAAAGGAAATGAACCCACAGGGGCTGTCAGTGAGTAGGGTACTCAAAATATTATGACATATTGCTTGTGAGAATGGACCTATACGGTGGGGAAGACAGACATAACACAGTGGTGTACTGGAGTTGGCTGGAACTAGATCACAAGAGCTGGTTGTTATATTTTCAGAAATTTTCCCAGCCAGTTGTTTAACCATTGGTGGCTTGAAAAACTCCACAAATCAGGGATCTGTTTTCTTTCTTTCTTGTTACTTTTTTTTTTGACAGCTGATTTACCAATACATCACTGACTAAGAGATATAGAACAAGGAAGAATGGTGATTACATGAACATATTTAAAGGAAGTAGTAAAAGTCAGTCTTAGCATAAGGATTCAGGGTCCTGAATGCACTACATTCTGGCTCAAACACTTATGAAATGTATAAACTTGAGCAACTTCATTCACTCACTATTCCACAAACACTAAGCATCTACTCTGGGGTACAGGAGAGAATCATGTGTAGAAGGTCCCTGCAACCCAGATAGCTAACGGACTAGTGGGGGAAAGGCAAGTAAAGGATTGCAGTTTGGAGTGGAAAAATACAATGATTGGGAAGCACAGGGGCTGCTGGGAGCACCAGGAAGGACAAGTGGCCAACCCAGCAGGGGATTCCAGGATGGCTAAAGGAAGAGGGGAGAAGTCCACTAGGTGAAAACAGCCAGAAATGACTGGGGAAAATGGGTAAAGGAAGAATACTCTCAGCCAGGGAAGAGCATCATGGCTTATTTTTATCCCCTTTGGACCTCAGTAAAAGAGTAATACTTACTTTGCAGGAAAGTTATGAGAATGCATTAATAGAGCAAAGTCATGAGGATGCATCGATAAAAGATGGAAGCTGTTACTGTGCTCACCAAGGAATGAGCATCTGAGCCAGTGACTGAGGAGGTGGCACCTGACCTGGCTTCAGATGTACATGGGTAGGAACTGGCTACTCACATTAGATCAGGAAGACAAACTTCTCATTGGACCTTTTGTCTTTTCAGCCAAACCTCACCGCAAGACACCTTTTAGAGAAGAACAAAGGTCGCCAGTCATCCCGCACAAAAAACCTGTCCCTGGTGTCCTCGTCCTCCAGAGGCAACACGTCTACCCTCCGTAGGGGCCCAGGGTCCAGGAGGAAGGTGCCTGGGCAGTTTTCCATCACAACAGCCTTGAACACTCTCAACCGGATGGTCCATTCTCCTTCAGGGCGCCATATGGTAGAGATCAGCACCCCAGTGCTCATCAGCTCCAGCAACCCCTCTGTGATCACCCAGCCCATGGAGAAAGCAGACGTTCCTTCCAGCTGTGTGGGACAGGTAGGGAAGAAACGCCTGGGATGAGGGCACTTTGGAGTTGGGCAAGTGATTCATACCATGTCACAACCAATATTTGATGTTTAGTACTTGCTAAGCACCCAGAATGCCCTACTAGTAACTAATGCCATATGTATTCCATGTTAGAATTGTATAAACCTTTTATTTCATCCTTGAACAGCCTGTGAGTTAGGTGTTATTACTATTATCCCCATTTTACAGTTGAGCGAACTTAGGTTTAGAGGGGTTAAACAACTTATCCAAATTCTCACAGATACTTTTCTTTCCCTTGCTGAGTGCCATGATATCGTTCCTGTCCCTTAGAGAACTTCCCTCTAAGGAGATGATGGCACCTATTTTCTCGAGAGTGTTTTGGCATCACAATCTGAGATTCAATATCCCATCCTCTGGCAATGTATTAGACATCAGATGGAAAGAAAGCAAAAGAAACAAAAAGAAACTATGGGTTATTGAATGTTCTCAGGACTGGTTACCTACATTTATAGGACCCAGTCCAAAATGAAAATACAAGTCCTATGCTCAAAAATGATCAAGAATTTGAAGATGGGAACAGCAGAGCATTAAACCAAGCAAAGAGCCCTGTGTGGCTATGCAAGGCACAAACCGGTGAAGCCAGCCCTGGGTGTTTCCAGATGGAGTACCTAATAAGATAATGCATGTAAAGTGACTAGCACCATGATGCCCACCATATACTAAGCATCCAATAAGTGTTGCCTCTTAATACTATTGTTAACCCTGGTCACTGTGTTGCCAACTGAAGACGCGTAGGGGTGGTCGTGGCAATCCAGAAGCTGAAGTATTTCTAGCAGCATGTGGCTATTTAGGTTGAAGGGTACTTTAAAAGATGAAGGAGTGGAGGTATGAGGCAAAGTAATTAAGAAGAGCTGCATGTTGGGTATTCAGCTGAAAACACTCTTTGGGACCATGCAGGTGGCAACTTGAAAGGACAAAACTCAACTTGTGCTGATGTGTTTTTTCTTTTTTTTAAGGAGCTGTAAATTTTGTTTTTAAACATGAATTTCTACCTTGGGATTAAAAGGCTTAATTGGACTCTAATCCCTTTTTAACAAGACAAGGAGGAAAGAGAAAGTCAAGGGCTCCTCAAAGACCTGTGTGCTATTCTGAAAGGAAAACAATCACCTCCTACAACACTTCATATCTTATACCACTGTCTGGGTTGCTAAGAAGTTGGCTGCTCATGTAATTCTGCCCACCAACTGCACCACATGCACACGCACACACATACACACTTTCTCTTTCTCCTCCATTTCACTCCCCTTGCTTTAACAGAAACTATAAAACTTTCTACATACACACTGCACTTCTTTACAAGTACATATTAATAGATGCTTTATGCCCAAAGTTCTCCTTCACACACACACACACAAACACACACACTCTAAAATGGGAGCCTTGTGACTCACAATTAAGCCAAAGAGTCACAGAATTTTTTGAAACGATTCTTTATATATAGTCATAGATATATAAAGTGCAGCCCACACTCAGTGGAAATAAGCTAGCTCACTCAGCTCTAAGTTGGCTTCGCAAAAGATTTAACCAAGAGTCATTTTCTGTGTGCTTTTAAAATTCTTATTCTGGGCATTTATGTCATCTACGGAGGCTGGACTAGAGTGGGAGAAGCTTAGTAGGATTCAAAACAAGTATTATTACTTCGTAGTTTTCACAAATAGTGAGAATTCCACAGTATGGCACTGCATTCACACATCCGATGACCAGGGAACTACTTCACAGCAGCCTTTTCTCCATTCAGATGGCTGTGGATTATAAGTATTTCTACATGTTTGTCCAAAGGTTGTAAAAACACACTCGAAATGGCCCACTTATGACATATCTAATGATGAGCAGAAAGTTGAACAAATGGCAAGTTCTTCCCTTTTCTCTAACATTCTTGAGAGCTGTGGTTGGGTCTGGCTCATCACACTCCCCCTACCTTCCCCACTCCAGCAACCCACATGGTGCCTAGACCCTAGCAGGTGCTCAATAAATCAAGGAATCAAGACTTTTAACGTAAATATCTGGGCAGGTGGTGGTGACATATACTTAGGGAAGACTTGAGAAAGAATTAATTTCCTAAAGAAAGATTACAGATTAGTGTAAATCTTCCAGCCAATAAACATCTGTTGAATGCTTGCAATGTGCTAGTAACCATAGTGAGTACTGGAGATTCTACTACCAAAACAAGAAGAGTAATATAACCTCAAACTTTACTGAAACTAATATGAGACGGATGGATCTATAGGTAGGTAGGTAAGTAGATGGATGGATGGATGGATGGATGGATGGATGGATGGATGGATGGATGGATAGATGATTGATACATAGATAAATAGATAGATAGATAAATAGATACAGTGATATCCTCTGATAGAAAAGTCTCCTTTTACTCTCAGTCTCCTAAGCCTCCCCTCCATTCTAAAACTGTAATAAGAACCTTTGTAGGGGAGGTATTATCAACACTTTATAGCAAGGTAATTAAGGCCCCAAAAGAAAAATGATTAAGCCAAGTTCGTGTAATTTAGTAAAGAGTCTGGATTGAATTTAGAATTGTCTAATTCTAGAACATAAGCTCTTGTCACTACACTATGCTGTCAACCAAGACCACACTAGGCAACATTCTGCCAATGTAGTTTATCCTGGATGTCTGCAGCCTCCCTTTTCTTGGTTGTCTTCACTTGGCTCCTTTTGAATGCTAAGGCCTTCCAGCATTTTCTTCTCCACCCACCCCCTCAGTAAAGAATTTGTCCTAAGTCTTTTGCACCTGAAAAAGGCTTCCATTTACTATCACTTTGTTTCTTTATGAACTACCAGTTGTGTCCAAACATTGTGTATGGTGCTGATGGCACCAAGAATAAGCTGCTGCCTCATTCTCCTCCTGTGGTAGAGACAAGTCTTGG
The DNA here is from genome assembly GCF_000001405.40 of Homo sapiens. Classification (NCBI taxonomy): domain Eukaryota; kingdom Metazoa; phylum Chordata; class Mammalia; order Primates; family Hominidae; genus Homo; species Homo sapiens. Next base: position 146,016,995 of record NC_000005.10, read on the forward strand.
ATTGTCCCTCAAGTCTCAAACCCCAAGGGGTAGCATTTTCTTCCTTTTCATAATGAGAAGCCAGAGCCAGGAATATTTTTTCCCCTTTGTCATTGTGTCTTTCTACCTGTGGGAAACCACTTGAAACTTCTGGGTAGAGCATCAGGAAATGACCTCACAGATGAACTGCAACTACGGACTAAAAACAATGGCACTCGAAAACAATTCAGGATTAGACCTGAAGATACTGAGTAAGTTCGGTGGAAAACTGCAGTGGAGGAAGTTAAGTGGGTGGATTGAAACCAATGCAGCTGGCCTCTGGGAGAGTCCTGGAGACAAAGAAAATCAACTGCACATGACACAAGTTAGAAAGAAGTCCTTCAGAAATGCCTCTTTGGGGAGTCACATGTGCAGGGCCCTCCCTGGAGATTCTAAAATTGACTTGGTTCAGGATGTGGATCCTGCTCGCCCTCTGCCTCCCACACTCACAGAGCAGTGAAGCATTCTTGTTTTCCTAAGAGTTTCTGCTCCTCAATATGCCTTCTTTCTCCCCTTCCCCTCCTCCTCCCCATCCCTGTCCCACTGCCAATCCTTCATCCCTACTCCTTAAGCCTCCCTCCTTCTGTATCACAGATCCAGGGTAGCAGAACTGCTATGCAACTAGAAAGCTCTTTTTCCCTCACCTCCTACATTCAGCTAATCAGTAAGCTCATTGTGCCACCTAAATAGTTATTGCTATTGCCCATTCCATTTCACTGCCTTAGTTTGGGTCCTCATCTCTTGCCTAGACTATTGCTCCAGCCTCCTCACTGGCCTCCTAGAGCCCACACTCAATCACTTCGCCTCACCCCGCCCAATCCCTCCCAACCCCATCCATACTTCCAGTCTTGGCTTCATAATGACCTCTTGCAAACCCAAATCCTTTCAGCCACTTCTCTTCCCCAAACCATTAATGGATCCCATTATTGAGTGATCACAAAAAGCCAGAAACTATAATAAGTGATTTACAAACATATGACTGTCCTCAAAACTGTTCAGAGTAGGTATTGGTATGCTCATTTTACCAAACGGGAAAACTCTGGGAGTGAAAGATTAGGTATTTTTCTTAGTCTTTTTTTAATTTTAATTTTTTCATTTCAGTAGCTTTAGGGGTACAAGTGGTTTTTGGTTACATGGATGAATTGTATAGTGGTGAAGTCTGAGATTTTAATGTACCCATCACCGGAGTAGCCTCCATTGTATCCAATAGATAATTTTTCTTCCCTTAACCACCCTCACCCTCCCTCTCTCCTTTGAGTCTCCCATTTCCATTATACCACTCTGTATGCCTTTTCATACCCATAGTTTATCTCCCACTTAGTGAGAACATGCAATATTGGTTTTCCATTCCTGAGTTATTTCACTTAGGATTATAGCCTCCAGTTCCATCCAAGTTGTTGCACAAGACATTATTTTATTCTTTTTTATGGCTGAGTAGTATTCCATGGTATATATATGTATGTATGTATATCTATATATCTATATATAGATATATACACACCCACACACACACACACCACATTTTCTTTATCCATTCAACAGTTGATTCCGTATCTTTGCAATTGTGAATTGTGTTGTGATAAACATATGCACGCAGTTGTCTTTTTGTTATAATGACTTCTTGTCCTTTGGGTAGATGCCCAGTAGTGGGATCAAATGGTAGATCTATTTTCAGTTCTTTGAGAGAGCTCCATACTGTTTTCCATAGAGGTTAAACTAATTTAAATTTCCACCAGCAGTGTTTAAGCGCTCCCTTTTCACCACATCCATGCCCACATCGACTGTTTTTTTACTGTTTAATAACAGTCATTCTGACTTGGATAAGGGTGGTATCTTATTGTGGTTTTAACTTGCATTTCCCTGATAATTAGTGATATTGAGCATTTTTATATGTTTGTTGGCTGCTTATATATCTTGTGTATCTTCTTTAGCCCACTTTTTAATGGGATTGTTTGCTTTTTTCTTACTGATTTGAGTTCCTTGTAGATTCTGGATATTAGTCCTTTGTCAAATGCATAGTTTGCAAATATTTTCTTCTATTCTTAGGTTTCTGTTTACTCTGATGATTATTTCTTCTGCTGTGCAGAAGCTTTTTATTTTACTTAGGTTTCATTTATTTATTTTTGTCTTTGTTGCATTTGCTTTTGTGGTCTTAGTCATAAATTCTTTGCCTAGGCCCATGTCCAGAAGAGTTTTTCTAGGTTTTCTTCTAGATTTTTTATGGTTTCCGGTCTTAGATTTAAGTCTTTAATCCATCTTGAGTTAACTTTGGTATATGGTGAGAGGTAAGGATTCAGTTTCATTCTTCTGCATGTGGCTATTCAGTTTTCCCAACACCATTTATTAAATAGGATGTCCTTTCCTCAGTTTAGGTTTTTGGGTGCTTTGTCAAAAATCATTTGTTTAAAAGTGTTTGGCTTTATTTCTGGGTTCTCTATTCTATTCCATTGGTCTATGTGCCTACTTTTATACCAGTACCATGCTATTGTGGTTACTATAGCCTTGTAATATAATCTGAAGTCAGGTAATGTGATGCCTCCAGATTTTTTCTTTTTGTTTAGAATTGCTTTGACTATTTGGGCTCTTTTTTGGTTCTATATGAATTTTAGGATTGCTTCTGTGAAAAATGATGTTAGTATTTTCATAGAAATTGTATTGAATCTGTAGATTACTTTGAGCGGTATGGTCATTTCACGATATTGTTTCTTCCAATCTATGAACATGGGACGTATTTCCATTTGTTTGTGTCATTTATTATTTCTTTCAACAGTGTTTTGTAGTTCTCCTTGTAGAGATCTTTCACCTCCTTGGTTAAGTATATTTTTGTAAATATTTTTAAATTATTTTTTTAATAGCTATTGTAAAAGGGATTGAGTTCTTTATTTGATTCTCAGCTTGTTTGTTGTTGGTGTATAGCGATGCTGCTGATTTGTGTACATCGATTTTGTGACCTGAGACTACTGAATTCATTGATACATCTAGGAGTCTTTTGGAGGAGTCTTTAGGGTTTTCTAGGTATAAGATCATCAGCAAACAGAGATGGTTTGACTTCTTCTTTTCTAATTTGGATGCCCTTTATTTCTTTCTCTTGCCTGACTGTGCTGGCTAGGAATTCCCAAAAAGATTAAGTAATTTGCACAATGTCTCAAGGGTAGAAACAGGGTCCAGACTTGAGGGCAGACCTGTGCTCCCTTCCCTAAGTGAGATTTTAGTATGATATTCTAGACTCTCCATGATCTGGCTACAGTTCACTTCCTGGTCTCCCAGGTCTGCTGACACACACACGTGCATACACATAAAAGTACGGTGTGTGTGTACATTCCTATATGCACACCATGTACTAGGCCACCTCTTTGCTTTTTGTCCTTGTACCCAGCACAATGCCTGCATTATTCTGGGCAATGAACAAATGTTTTTTGAATAAATAATTGCTGTTCCTTCTGGAATTTATTTTTGTTGCATTCACCTGTTGCCCTCATATCCATACCCCAAGGCCCTGTAAGCATATTATTTTTCAAGGAAGCTCTTGCCACTGCTCCTCCGCAGAATTATTTCTCTCATATATATCTCTCTTGTATTCACAGCACATTGTTTATACTTGTGTTGTAACATATATATTAGAACATATAACACCCTCTTTACACTATAAATACCACATATATATCTTACCAACATGCGTAAGATTGAAAAACTTTTAAGAGCAAGCTTGATGTTTTGTTCACTTATGTGCTCTTGAGTTTCCAAACCCCTCTTCTGATTACCTAGAACAAAAAAGACAAGAGAGAGAGAGAAAAAGGTGGGGGTCACTTAAGTCAGTGTAAGGAATGTAATTCCTTCCTCCACTGTCCTGCATCCTATGCCAGGATGATAATGACAAGTCCAAGCATCTTTCCTGGGCTCCTCATCTGGGAAGATGAGCTGTCACGAGCCTTGGGGAATTCTGAGGTCTATAAAGCTGACTGTCCTTTTAACCCCATATTTGAAATAGTCTGAATAAAGTAGTTTCTGGGAGCTTGAACTATTATAAGTCCAGATCTTCTCCCAGGGTGCTCCTTCATCACTGTCTTTCATAGGAGTCACAACCCAACTTTATGGTTCTCAGGGCTGCCATGAGAAATGGTTTACTTAGCACTAATATATATATTTTTTCCTTTGGATGGTTCTCAGGGCTGCCATGAGAAATGGTTTACTTAGCACTAATATATATATTTTTTCCTTTGGACACCCTCCCAGTTCAAATTTATATTTAAGATTCTTAGCTAATCTTCCTTCTTGAGGTAATTTACAGAGATAAATTAACTCTATGTTTATAGTCTTATGATGATATCTCCCAAGATAAATATTTCTTTTATTTTACAATTTTCACTCAACAAATTCATACTCATAAGTGATGTTGTCAGAGCACTCCAGAACTCACTGAGCATTCCCAAAGAGTTGTGGGTAGAAAAGAGAGGAGGCACCATTAGATGAACACCTATCCCCTCCAATTGCTCTGTCCCATATTATCATTATCTGCCCCCATAGTGCCTTTTATAGGGCCTACTGAGTGTCTGAAATGTGTTTGTTAAATTTTTGAAAATGTACCCACTGGGTAAATATAACCCCTTAAACTTTCTCTTAAATTACCAGTTAAGGCCTTAGCAGGGTTTCACAGGCAGGTGGCTGAAAGCAAGAAAGGACCAGAAGGCCTCCCACCTCTCTCTCTATTTTGCCAGAGCCCCCTGGGTAAAGAACTGTCATGAGCCACCCAGAGATACAGTGTTGTACAGGAGAAACCATGGCAGTCTTAGACCCAGGTACCTCTTCCCCAGCCCATGGTGGGATGTAGGACCAATCAATACTGAGCTTGTTTCCCACCAAAAAATGAGAATTAACCTCTGACTCACAAGGTTATTGGGAAAATCAAAAATAAAAAGTGAATATAAAGTGCTTGGCTACCACTTTTGTTATTGTTGTTATTTTAAAACTTTTTAGCAGTCAAAATGTCTTAGCAATCAGTTGCTGGATTGCTCTTCAATCCCTATCCTGTTATTTTTTGGACTTTTTATAAAAGAAAATTTCAAACGTATTTGAAAGTTGAAAGAATAGTATAATGAACCCTCATGTACACATCACCTAGTCTCAGCAATTATCCACTAATGGGCCAATCTTATTTCAGATATATCTCCTTTCATTCACCTGCTCCCCTCTTCGGTTATTTTATTTATTTATTTTAGATAAAGTGTCACTCTGTTGCCCCGGCTGAAGTGCAGTGGCATGATCTTGGCTCATTGCAACCTCTGCCTCCCAGGTTCAAGCGATTCTCCTGCCTCAGCCTCCCGAGTAGTTGGGACTACAGGTGGGCACCACCACGCCCAGCTAATTTTTGTATTATGAAGAGAGACTAGGTTTCACCATGTTGGCCAGGTTTGTCTTAAACTCCTGACTCAAGTGATCTGCCCACCTTGCCTCTTGGATTATTTTAAAGCAAAGTCCAGACATCATATCATTTCGTCCAGAAAAATGTCAGCAAGTGTCTCTTTAAAAATATTTTTAACATAACCATGATTCCATTATCACACACTAAAAAATGAACAACAGGCCAGGCACGGTGGCTCATGCCTGTAATCCCAGCACTTTGGGTGGCTGAGGCAGGCAGATACTTGAGGTCAGGAGTTCAAGACCAGCCTGGCCAACATGGAGAAACCCCGTCTCTACTAAAAATACAAAAATTAGCCAGGTGTGGTGGCGCATGCCTGTAGTCCCAGCTACTTGGGAAGCTGAGGCAGGAGAATGGCTTGAACCAGGAGGCAGAGGTTGCAGTGAGCCGAGATCTTGCCGGTGCACTGCAGCCTGAGTGACACAGAGCAAGGCTCCATCTAAACACACACACACACACACACACACACACACACACACACACACACACACAATTCCTTAAAAACATTAAATATTCAGTGTTCAAATTTTTATATTTGCCTTATGAATGTTCTTAGTGTTTGTTCAAATGGGAACAAAATGAATTAAACACATTGCATTGAGTTAATATGGCTCTTAAATTTCTTTATTCTACATATCCCTCCTTCTCCCTTAACCATCTATACATTAAAAAAACAAAGTCACTTGCCCTTTTGAATTTTCCAAATTCTGGATATTACTGGTTGCATTTTTGCAGTGATAATACATTCCTCTCTAGCCCATACATTCTTTTTTTCTTTTTTCTTTTTTCTTTTTTTAGACAGAGTCTCACTCTGCCACCCAGGCTGGAGTGTAGTGGCATGATCTTGGCTCACTGCGACCTCCGCCTCCCAGGTTCAAGTGGTCCTCCCACCTCAGCCATCCAAGAAGGTGGGATTAAAGGCATGCACCACCACACCTGCCTAATTTTTGTATTGTTAGTAGAAACAGGGTTTCACCATGTTGGCCAGGCTGGTCTCAAACTCCTGGACTCAAGTAATCCACCCGCCTCGGCCTCCCAAAGTACTGGGATTACAGGTGTGAGCCACTGAGGCTGGCCTCCCCCATACTTTCTGTAAGCTGATAGAACTAGAGGCTTGAAAGCTTCGGGCTCAATTTTTTGTCAAGAATACTTCATAGGCAGTACTAAGTACTTGTTTTTTAGTTTGGTTTGAGTTTTTTTAAGTGTACAATTCAATGGCTTTTAATATATTTACACAGTTGAGCATTCATCACCATAGTCAATTTTAAACATTTCCTTTACTCCAAAAAGAAATCCCACACCTCTTAGCCATCACCTCCCAAACTACCATTTCCTTTAACCCCAGCCCTAGGAAACCATTAAGTTACTTTCTGTCTTTATAGATTTGCCTATTCTGGATGTTTTCTATAAGTGGAAGCACACAGTATTCGAATATTTGGATCTTTGTGGCTGGTTTCTTTCGCTGAATATGTTTTTAGGTTTACTCATGTTGCGGTATGTATTAGTACTCATTCCTTTTTATGGCAAATAACATTCTATTGTATGAATATACCACATTTTGTTTATCCACTCATCAATGAATGAGCGTTTGGGTTGTTTTTACTTTTTGGCTATTTTGAATAATGCTGCTATGGAACATTTGTAGACATATGCTTTCATCTGATTATATACCTAGAAGTGGAACTGTTAGATCATATAGTAACTCTGTGTTTAAGGAACTGCCAATGATTTTCAAAAGTGATTGCACCATTGTACATTCCCAGGCTTGGTGTATGCAGGTTGCAATTTCCCCACATCTTCGCCAACACTTGTTTTATTATCAATCTTTTTTATTGCAGCCATCCAATTGGGTGTGAATGTTATCCTATTGTGGTTTTGATTTGCATTTCCCTCATGGCTAATAAGAGCATCTGTTCATGCGTTTATAGTGCATGTGTTCTTTGGAGAACTGTTTTTTTATATCCTTTGCCCATTTTATCATCGGGTTTCCTTATTATTATTGAGTTGTAAGAGTTCTTTACATATTCTAGATTCAAGTCCCGTATCAGTTATATGACTTGCAATTTTTTCTTTCATTCTGCGTGTTGCCTTTTCACTTTCTAGGTGTGTCCTTTGAAGCACAAAAGCTTTTCATCACATCTACTCTTTCCTTTGTTGCTTGTGCTTTTGTTGTCATATCTAAAAACCAGTGTCTAATTCAAATTCATAAGTATTTATCACTGCATTTTTTTCTAAGAGCTTACAGTTTTTACTCTAATGTTTAGATTTTATGATCCAGCTGGAGTTAATTTCTATGTATGTTGTGAGATAGGGATCCAGATGCATTCTTCTACCTGTAGATATGAAGTTGTTCCAGCATCATTTACTGAAAAAGACTATTTTTTCCCATTTTGTTATATTTACACTCATGTTAAAAATTAAGTACTTTTTATAGCAACACATCAGGAAGCACATAATGCCTAACTGCCTCCCTTTTTGTATTAAAATTGATTCTATTCAAGTGTCAGCCTGCTCCATCCATTAAATGGGTCCCCATTAGCCTTTTACCGGGTGGTTTGAACATTATTTCATTAGGGGTTGCAAAATGATGGTGTTCCAAATCTGTCACTCCTGAATTTTTTTATGCCACAATTCTTCCATAATATTGAGCTATTTGTAAGACACAGCACTGTGAGCTTTATCTCACTATTGATCTCCACACCTACACATCATAATCCCTCAGCATATATTGGGGAGTCCAAAGTTCATATTCTTAACCTCTCTCTCTGTCTCTCTCATTTGTTCCTGGGCATTCCCCTAGCTCAAAGACAAGATTCATTTCTCACCACCTTCCCGCATGGCATGTTTGCCATCACTGAACAGCCACCCCTTTTTCCACTGGCCACTGCCAGCTGGGCTAATCTTACTGCCTGCCTGTGCAGTCGCCTTGTTTACATCCTTGCCACTGCCGTAGGCTGGCCCCCAGTCCAGGCCTCCTTGGCCCACATGTTCCCTCCCTTGCCTTCCTGAGGTCTGGTTCCCACACTTGAGCCAAGATCAGGAGAAAGAGGCCCAAGTTTGTTCAGCTTGGAGAAGAAAAGATTGATGTGGGGTTGAATGATGACTTTGTTTTTCCAAACTTGCATTTCTATACCAGTTTTATTTTCCTGTGTTCTGAAGAGAAAAGGAACATAAATCAAAACATGAAGGATTTAAGGAAGTACAATGAGAAATCTCTCCTACCGCATAGACTGCTGGAAACTAAATACTGCCAATGCTGAAGTGGAATCTATGGATTCTGTTGTTGTTTTTATTGTGTTTGGTTTGGTTTGTATTTATTCTACAGAGGAAGGTAGCTTAGTACAAACAAAAAGGTTTTGAGTCAGGCAAAGCTTCTTGTCATGGCTTTGCCATCTGGTAACTAAATGACATTGAAATTAAGTATCTAACCCCAATAAGCCTCAGTGTACTCATCTGCAAACTGGGATAACTCCTTCCATGCAGGGTCTTGGCAATGGTAGCAATAACTCAAGCTGCAGCCATTGCTATTACCTTCCCCCTCTTTCCTCCAAGGGGAGCTTTTAGAATCTGTCATTTGTGTGACTGGGGAGAACCCTGAATTAACACAGGGAATGGGCCAAACGTTTTAAAATCTAAATGATCATTCCAATCTGAATGTTTTAAGGTATAGTTTTTCACAACTACTAACAGATATGGAGGAGGGGGTGATCTTGCCTCTTATATGTAAAACACTGGCAGGAAAAGGTACTTCCTTAACAGACTCAAGGTCTTCCCCCAAAAATTAAATAAACACATGAATTATAATTTAAAATATAACTAATAGTCCCTACAATATATAACATCTTTGAGCCACATAGTCCCAGGTGGCAGTAACCTTTATTTGCACAAGAAAGGTGATAGATACATCACGAGCGAGGCCTCAAAGAATGTGATCCTAGCACTCCCACAGTTAACTGTATAGCCCTGGACAAAGGGTTTTGCCTGTCTGGGTCCCAGTTTTCTCATTGGAATGACAAAAGTGGCTTGGCAGAGTATTATGTGCGTTAATTGGCTAACAGCACACTCTGAAGATAGGTAACACAGGGAAAGAGCTGTTTCTATTATTTAATGAATCATGGTTATTGTTGTGATTCTTCCTGTCTTCTGCGGGAGCACACATTTACACAACAGACCTGTTTTCTTTCTGTCTGGTGCAAAGTTTTGTCAGGCCCCGCAGGTATTGGGTAGAGCTATTCTCTGAGGCAAAGAGCTTCTCAGCACAGGCAGTATAGTAAGGAAATAAAAATATGGGCTTTGGGGTCAGCTAGATCTAGGACGGAACTCACACTGCTTCTTACCAAACAGTATAACCTTGGGCAAGATACTTTACTCCGTCTGAGCCTCAGTTTTTATATCTGTAAAATGGGACTAATGATGGTAATTTTCATAAGATGGCTGCGAGGATAAAACAAGGCAATGCTTATACATGAGATAATGGCCAGGGTTTAGGAGTGGTAAATGGCTCAATAAATGTTCACTCTGTTGTTATTATTATCATTGGGTCAAGCCAGGAAGCTAAAACCATCTCCCATCCCCACTGCCCCAGGGCCAGCCTATACAAACAGGCCCTACTGAGAATGAGCTTGATCAGCCACATGCTTCAGAGATGATCTGTTGGAGCCTGCTTTGAAGTGCAAAGGCTTCCAAAAGCCCCTTTGCTTTCTTGATAAGCAGTGACAATTCCAGAATTAGGGAAGGAGTGTGACTCTTGGGACAATTGCACTTGCTTAGTTCATACTGTAATTCCGTGTGAACCCATGTGAGAGAAGCCAAAAATGAATGCAGGAAAAAAAAGACTTTGGATAAAAAAGTCAAAGATAGAGACTGAGGCAGAGCCAGTCATCTGTCCACCATTTCCTATACACACCTCGCAGTTTTTTCTGGGAATGCTGTCCTCACCTGGCAAGCGTCCAAAGCCCATTGTGAATCCTAGTTGCCAAAGCCCCTCACAGCCTGTCAGTGAACCAGTCAACAGAGTTGTCGAATGCCCACCAGGCACTGAGCTGGGCACAGGTGATACAGTGAACAAGACAGACATGGTTGCTACAGCCATGGAACCTCCAAGCTAGCAGGGAAGACAAAAACTAAACAAATTATTAACATACTTGATTACAAGGTATTAAGCGTGCAAAGTGCTAGTGAGGTTCAATTATGGGAGATGAAGGGAGTATGTAATGGAGGGTCCACCTAGTCTAGAAAGTCAGAGAAGCCTGCCTGGAAGAAGTGATCTTCAGGTGAAAACCTGGAAGCTGATAGCAGTCAGCCAGGTGAAAAAAGGAAGCGAGCTGAGGTTCTGCACACACCTCTCCTTAGCGCTGCAGCCCAGTTGCCTTTCTACTGAGGTCACTCCAGAAAGCGCCAGTACTCCTGGGGCACAGTGACTTCTGCAGTACTTAGATCCTCAGCCCTGCCCAACCTCCCCGAGGTCCTCGGTCTGGTTTCTGGTGACTAAAGCAGGTTCGATAATTAACATTGCTTACTTCCTTGATTCAGCATTTCTCCAGCAAGAGGTTAAACTTTACATCATCGTTTTGCCCAATTAATCCTGGCAGGTGAGTCACTGAGACGACCCAACCCTGCCCGGGTGGAAAAGGGAGCGGCCTAGCCTGTACCTCAGACATTTTAATGTAGACACTATAGCTCTGGGAGCTGGGAGCAGGGGACATTGATATCCAAGGCCAATGAGGCCTGCAACACACACACACACACACACACACACACACACACACACACACACACAGAGATAATTCAACAAGAAAGGAAGACAAGAGAAGCAAAATAAAACAGAAGGGCAAAAGAAAGGGAAAAGCAATGTAACAGGGTAGCATTCTGGGAACAAAGAGGGTAGTATAGACATGTGGGCACAGACAGACCTTGATGGTGCAGTGGCCTCAGCCAAGTGGCTCAACCTTGCAAGACCTCAGTTTCACCATCTCAAATGGGAAAATTAATAGCGTCTTCCACACAGACCTGTTAGGAGATGAATGAGATACTCGCATACAGAAGGCTTTCTCAGCCTCAGCACTATTGGCATTTTGAGCAAGATCATTGTTGCGGCGGCCGCCCTGGGCATTGTGGGGTTTTTAGCGGCATCCCCGGCCCCTACCCACTGATGCCTGTAGCACCCACCACCACCACCCACCCACCTGTGGCAACAACAGACATTACCAAATGTTCCGCAGGGTCAAAGTTGCCTCCCGCTGAGAACAGCTGATGTGCAGAATGTAGCACAGGGTCTGGCTTGTAGTAAATGCAGAATAAAGGGCAGTTAAGTCAAGGGCTGTGTGAAAAAGATGCCCTTTCTGAATAGCCCCAGCAGACCACTCTTCTCAAACACATGGGAGAATAGAAGGGCTTTGGGGAAACCTGACACTTCCCACAGGTAGGATGGGGAGACTTGCCTGTGCCCTGTCCCTGGAAATGCGCCAAAACACGAACGCGCTCCTAGCTGGAGAAGCTGAAAGGACCTGTGCGTTGAGTGGATTGTTGGAAAAACATATTGTGCAGAGAAACATACATATGTAGTGAAAAGAAAAACAAATTGTGCAGAGAAACATACCCCCACAACAATAAACAAAGGCACAATAAATACATAATTCAGGCCCACTTTCCATTCCCACTCAGCTCCAAGAAAAAAAGGAACTCATTTTGTGACAGACCCAGTGCCACAGTCTTACATCCTCTGTGAGTATTGTTAATCGTTGTTACTTCTTTCCATTTTAGATGGAGGAACTGAGACTCAGAGAGGCTAAGTATCTAGTTCAGTTAGCAAGTGCATTTCAGAGTTTTTGTCAGAACCCAGGTCTGGCTGTCTTCCGGGCCCATGCTCTTTCCCTGCCCAAGCAGTGGGAGTAGTGGGGCATCTCACATGCTAACTCAATTGTCCCCAGAGATGATTGAGGAGAGATTCTGGGACAGCAACCAGACTCAGTGGGAAGGAATAAAGGGATCAATTATCCATGTCTGTTGCGGGCCCAGGAGTAGGAAATGGGTGCATGTGCCGTGTGTTTGCCATCCCCACATAGGCCCATCATCTGAGACTCGGTGATTCCATATCATTCTATTGGGCACTCCCTGGGGGCCATGCTGGGCTCGGGGTACATCTGGATTTGTTCAGCAAACAAGCTTCTGTGCTATTTGCTTTCTCTGCACATAAGCTGAAAATCAGGCCTTCTTCCTAAGGAAGAGTTTCTACAGAGGGCACAAAAGGGGCATGTTCTTCCATTGTTTTCATAGAAAAACAAGATATGGGCCCCTATATCACAACCCTCTGTGAATGCCTCAGGAACTTTATTTTTGATAAATGACAGTGTGTTAAGAAAAGAAAACAAAAGAAAGATAAAGAGAAAACTCCAAGAAAATTGACCATTTTCTTTCATCAAAGAAAAAAACCATTTATTGTATCTCAATGCACAAGCTTTGGGATATGTAATATCCATTCTTCTCCCTCTCTTCCCATCCCAAAACAATCAAGCCCTGATGGAAAATTGCACAACTAAATGCGAAATAAAAACTGGTTACGTATGCAAAGAATATTGCAAGCACCAGTTTGTCTGTTTCCAAGACACTTCAGCTAGGGAAGCCCTGTTTTCTCACGCTGAGTATAGGGCAACTCTGAGGACAAAAAGGGCAGAGTCAGAAATGAGAACAAATCTTTCCTACTCTCTGGGCTGCTCAAGCTGCCTAACTGAGCCCTTGTGCCTTCCCCCACTGCCTTTGACTTGACCTGAGCCAGTACTGATGAGAGAAATCTTGCTGCTTCCTTGCTTCTGCTCACAAATATGGTGTGTCTACCATGTGCCCATGTGCCCATGTCGTTTCATTCAGTGAAGATTTACTGAGGCCCTATTCTTTGCTAGGCCTGGAGCATATACTCAGGTGACAAACCCTAAACAGATTTGAACCAGACACACTGGAGCACGGAGAGAGTTTACTACTTTAATCATTTGTCTGCATTCGTTTCAAGGAGGCAGGACACTGATGAGGTCAGAGAACACCTATCCTGTATTTTCAAAATCCAATTGATTCCCTGTGCCCGGGATTAGGCGCTTGCTGGGCCCTCATCTGTCTACGTCTGTAGAGAAAGCAGTAACCAGGTCACTAGGAGGACTAACCCCTAAACTATTTCTGCTATTGGCATCTGGAAATTATCCACTGTTCATTCATTTCTTTGAGCTATAACAGAATTAGCAAATTACAGCCTATGGTCCAAATGCACCTGCTGCCTGTTTTCATATGGCCAGAAAGTTAAGAATGGCTTTTACAGATGTGATTTTGAATTTATTGGGGGGCAGGGGTGGGGGGTGAAAATCAAAAGAATAAAACTCCATGCTGTGAAAATTATATAAAATTGTATTTTCATTGTCCAAAAATAAAGTTTTATTGGTACTCAGCCAGGCTCACTCTTTACATAACATCAATGGCTGCTTTCACACTAGAAGGAAACAGTTAGGCAGTAGTGACAGAGACCTTGCACAAAGCCTGAAAGATTTACTTTCTAGCCCTTTAGAGAGTTTGCAGATCCCTGGGCTAAAAGATTGGCCTCTTCCTTTAAAAAGCAAACACCCTCCTCTGGTCTAGCCACTTCTGAGGTCCCTAATGCCTTTGTGAGAATGTGTGTGCCTGGTCACTTTGGGCCCTGTAGGGAAGAAGGAGCACTGGATGCCTGGGAGGACACCATCCCATCTGCACTTCCAAACAATTGACATATGCCCCCAGGTTGGAATTCTGTCACTTCCCACCTTGTTTTGGAATTTACCTAAGCGTACCTTAATGCCCTCAACTCCTTAAAGACAGGGTAACTGATGTCCCCCTGCTCCCTCCAGGGTTAAGCCCAGTTGAGCCTGGCATGAAGAGATGGTTAGTAAATGTTTGTTGAATGAATGAGTGGTGAAGCGAGTGAAATCCAGTGAACATATACATAGCTATGTACATAAGCCAATAAACAGAAGAGACTGAACGAATGATTAAGTGATGGAGGAATCTGATGAAAGAAAGAAGATGTGAATGAGTGTGTGAGGGAATTCTTATAATAATGAGGAATTTAATAAAGAAATAAGTATGTAAGTGAATGACGGAGGGAGGGATCAACAGGGTGGGTGAGTGAGAAGTGAATGCAGGCCGTGGGTTCTCTGCAAGCCCACAAAGGGTATAAGGGGCAGCAATGCCAAGCTCTGCTGTGTCATCATTTTGCCTTGCTTGCTCTTGTCCTGCCAGCCCTGGGGATTTTGAGAGTAATCAATACCCTTCCCCATGGAGTGTGTGTCCATGCTTTAGTGCTTTGATAGCTGGATTCTCTCAGAAGGACAAAATCAACTGCACCCCTAAGCTTGAGGCCAGGCAGCCACCATCCAAGACTGTAGCCTCCCATATATGGAAAAATACACATTTGGCTGGTGCATCCCCAGCACCATCCCTTCCATGTGCCCCAGGTATATAAGACCCACCCCAAAGCTAAGCACCTCACAATGATGCATGCTCCAGGGGTAAGAGACAAGCAGCATGTTGGGTTTGGATGAACTTCATAGCCAAGGTCCCCCAGCCAGGTAGGAGGGCATGGAATGGAAAACACTTTATCCAAAGTAGGTCTCCCATCATCTATCTCTGCTTCCTTTATGGTGTATATTTTATTCGTCTGTTTTCTTGGTTTTTGTTTTGTATATGAGTATCTTGTTTTACCTGCCATCTCCCTAGAATATAAGCTCCATAAGGACAGAATGAGGCACATGGAAAGCCTAATAAATATTTGTTGAAAATTAGTGAAACATAGTCTGGAAAGCAAGTCAAGCAAACCAACCTCTTGAACCAGCTACCAAGACATGGTACCCTCTCCCAGTGGTGGACTTAGGTCTGACTCTGTGGCCAAGCCCCATGGGTGATGACCTTCAGCATGCCACTTCCCCTCAGAGGATTAAATTGGGTGGTCTTGAAGCTCTTATGGCTTCAAGATCTTCAGCTCTTACATACTAGGATCCTAAAGCCAGGGGAAGGGGCTTCAGATTTTTCCAAGATTCATATAGGTAATATGAACCTGAGTTCCCTGACCAAAACTCTTGAAAAAAAATGTTGTCTATTACATAGGAGGCAGCAATTTCATCTGGCCAGTGACCGAGGGGTGAGGTGACACTAGGTGTGGTGACAGAGACAATCCAGATGCTATCTTGGCTCTCCTTCAGGCTTTACCAAACCTCAGCTCAGGGCCAAAGCCCAGCCTGACATCCTACTGCCTATGCCTTGGGAAAGTTAGACAAGTGTGCCCATAAATCACATTTCTCTCTGGTAACACAGAAATGACTGGGAAATCTCTTCTCAGGCGTCTTTGCAGAGTTCCAGAAATGGGGCAAACCCTTCCTGGCTTAGCCTAGCAAATGAGGCACAGGGAGCTAAAGAAGCCCTTCTCTGAGAATCCCAGCCCTCACCGACTCCTGCCCTCTAGAACCTTCCAGACCTTGGAGCCAGCACCACCTGATTCTCCCTCCAAAATATACACACGGACTTGTGTGCTGTAGTTAGGGCTGAGAGGACAGGCTCTGAAGTCACAGTCACATCATGTAGGTTCGAATCCCAGCTCAGCTTCCTTGCTGGCTCTGTGGCCTTGGGCAAGTTACTAATCATATGTTTTTGCCTTGACATTCTCAACGCCAGATGGGAAAAATGATGATAATGGTATTTAGCCCTTTGGTTTGTTGTGAGGATTATATGAGATAATAGAGTGTTTAGGAATGTGTGGCCTCTGACAAGTATTCTGTAAACATTAGCTCTTGATTTTGGAACTCTGTTTTCATTTTTCCCATCTTATCTCAGTGAGATTACACACTCCTTAAGGGCAAGGAGTATGCTTTCTTTTCAACCTTTTTTGTCTTTCACATTGTCTTACCTAGGAGCATTTGTCAATTGGAGGAGACCAGATATTCCCAAATCATGTCTCTCCAGAAGTTACAGGAATTTCCTTAGTGAAAATCTATGAGCACTAGCCCTTAGCTTTTTTTTTTTTTTTTTTTTTTTTTTTTTTTTTTTTGAGATGGAGTTTCACTCTTGTTGCCCAGGCTGGAGTGCAAAGGCCCGATCTCGGCTCACTGCAACCTCCGTCTCCCAGGTTCAAGCCATTCTCCTGCCTCAGCCTCCCAAGAAGCTGGGATTACAGGCACGCACCACCACGCCCAGCTAATTTTGTATTATTATTAGAGACGGGGTTTCTCCATGTGGGTCAGGCTGGTCTCGAACTCCCGATCTCAGGTGATCTGCCCACCTCAGCCTCCCAAAGTGCTGAGATTACAGGCGTGAGCCACTGCACCTGGCCATGCCCTAAGCCTTTTTGTGGGAAAAATGACACCCACGTTTTGTGGAAAAAGACGCTGAGTTAGGGAATATCAAGAAAAGGTAAAGAACAAAAGTAACACTCCTCCCCCACAAATATATCCCCATTGTTTGTTGTTACGAAAGTCTTATTACCAACAGAAGAGACAATTGGAAGGATGGTTTTCTCACATCCATCCCAGATGGTGTAGACACTGATCTTCCTAAAAGCAGACTCAACAAACATTTACTGACTGCTTAGGTATTGTTCTAAAAGGTGGGGATACAAATAAAAATTATGTTTGTTGTAAGGATGGGCCAAAATTAGGGATTCTCCCCTTCTTAATGCAAATGCATATTTTCTTTCCTTTTTAGCACAATGAGATAAAAATATCAGGACATCTGGAAACAAAGATTATCTGAAGGGTTTTATTCTCCCTTTATTTCCCATCAAATGCAGTGCTCTGAAGAGTGAGCTGCATTAATTGCCCAAACAGCCTGGGTCCTGAGCTTGTGTGGCTCATGCAGTGATGGGAGAGGACAGCAGAGGGCTTGCTTGCAGGGTAGCTGAACCTCTCCAGGCACCACAGGCTGGGACCTCGGGGCAGGGATGGTGAGTCTCTGGGGACAGCCAATTAAAACTGTTTAAATCTCATTTGAGACCATGAAGGACAACTTCTGATTTCCGCAGAACCACACAGAGCCAGCAAGCATGCCATCCAGAAGGAGCTTTAAGTGATGGCTTTGGAAACACATGCCCTTTTCACTTGCTGAGATCACTGAGCCTGTCTCACTGGGACCCTGGTGGACTTTGTGGCCACATTCTAATAATCCTATGAGAAGGAAAAATTGTCCTATGACCAACCAAGGTCTCAGCCTCAGTATGAGGTGTCTTCCCAAGGATATCCAGTGATAATAATTCAGAAGATGAAGTCAGACACGCCAACAAGAAGGTATCAGGGAGTGTTTCAAGGAACCATGAGAGCATTGGAGCCTAGGTTTCCAAGAATGTAAATCCTTCATTTATCGAGGGCACTCAGTTACTCAAAAAAGAACAGAGGCCAGGTGCAGTGGCTCACACCTGTAATCCTAGAACTTTGGGAGGCCAAGGCAGGTGAATCACTTGAGGTCAGAGCTGGAGACCAGCCTGGCCAACATGGTGAAACCCCATCTCTACTAAAAATACAAAAGTTAGCCAGGCGTGGTAGTGCACCCCTGTAATCTCGGCTACTCAGGAGGCTGAAGCAAGAGAATTGCTTGAACCCGAGAAGTGGAGATTGCAGTGAGCTGAGATTGTGCCACTGTACTCCAGCCTGGGCGATGAAGTGAGACTCTGTTTCAAAAAAAAAAAAAGAACAGAGACAACTGCTTTGATAATGGGTGGTGGTGGTAGGCGATTTTTTTTTCTCTTTTTTAAAATAAAAATGTTCGTTGTTGTCGCTGTAATATCATTTGAGAAAATTTTAAAATAAGAGACAACAAACACATGGCAGAAAGTAAATTTTCTGAAGATGCTGAGATGAACTTGACATTGCTAAATTATTTCTGGGCTCACTAAATTCCTTAGAAGGGATTTTTTTTAATTAACTTTTTTTTTAACTTTTTTTCATTCTGACTTCAGTTTGCTTCACCAGCCATCTCCCCTGAAGTGACACCTTAGATTTTAAAAAATTGACAAGTCCTTAGGAAAAAAGCGTCCCTAAACCAGATGAAGGAATTTAGGGCCAGGCAGGTTAAATAACTTGCCCAGGGTTACACGGTCGGTGAAAGCATAGCAAAGTGGGGACCCATACCCAGGGACATCTGAATTCAGAACCCAAGTTCCTAACAGTTATGCTCCCATGTCTCCTGTTTTGGTCTGCTGCTTTCCCTCATCCACCTCTCCTTGTGGGTCCACATTCCTTAGTTCAGAAAATAACCTCCATCACCAATATCTCCACCATAAAAAGCTACTTTATAAGGACGTAGGTCCTTCAGTCCATACGAGAGGTGAGTGGAGCATGGAAATTTCTAGATGTCCAGAGACTGCCCATCTTTGGGATACTCTTGTCTGGGGAATGTGAGGGCAGGAGCCTGGGGTAGGACAGATAGTAGGTTTGAGGCACAGTCTCCACTGTCTGTGAGTGCAGTGGCCTCATCACGGATCCCCCAGGCCTAGCACGGTGCTTGGTACCTGGCAGATGCTTTACAAGCATCTTCTGTGAGTAAATGCCGTGAGGAGAACTGCAGCAGACTTCAGAGAAACTTTGCATACTTAAGTTTTTGTGGCCTTTAATGAGGCCTGGTGAGAGGATTTAACCATAATTACTGCCAAACAGTTACTTCTTCAAGTGGACTGTTAGGATGAGGAGGGCAAGGGTTATAATTAAGACTTCTGTGTACCCTGGCATTTCAAAAAGCCCTAAGAGTACCCATCCCATCACACTCTGCTTTGATGCCCAAACTCTGCTTTGAAAGCAGCAGGACCCTTGGGCTCAGGAAAGCATGAGGTAGAAAATAGCAGGGGAGACCAGACGCAGTGGCTCACACCCGTGGTATCAGCTACAGAGGCTGAGGCAGGAGGATCGCTTGAGCTCAGGAGTTTGAGACCAGCCTGGGCAACATAGTGAGACATTGTCTCTACTTAAAATAAAAATTGTTTTTATATGGCCAGGCATGGTGGCTCACGCCTGTAATCCCAGCACTTTGGGAGGCTGAGGCGGGTGGATCACTTGAGGTCAGGAGTTCGAGACCAGCCTGGCCAACATGGCAAATCCCCATTTCTACTAAAAATACAAAAACTAGCTGGGCCTGGTGACACACGCCTGTAATCCCAGCTATTCTGGAGGCTGAGGCACGAGAATTGCTGGAACATGGCAGGCAGAGGTTGCAGTGAGCCGAGATCACGTCACTGCACTCCAGTCTGGGTGACAGAGCGAAACTCTATCTAAAAAAAAGAGAAAACAGCAAGGGAGTGGCAGGGCAGGAGACATTCTGTGCCCAACCAATGGGGAAAGCATATTTGTCTTTGTGGTTTGAAGTGTGGGTTGCATTTTCTGCTTTTTCCCAAAAAGCTAATGCAGAGCATAGCTATGGGGAAGTGCCAGGGATGGAAGCCTCAGGATCCATGAGAATGGTCAACCTAGCACCGGGGAAAAGGAAGAAAGACTCCTAAATACATGTCCCCACACTTGGGCTAAGCCACCCCTCACTGGGTCTTCCTCAAAGGCAATCTGGACTGTGGTGGCTGGCCTTTGTATCCTAGAGAATGAATCTTTCCTTCTTAAATCCAGTCCAACTGAGGAAGTCCTACTGTCTGCTTCTTCTCCCCAGACATCTGCTTTGTATGTCTCCTATGTCATAATAGTGACAATGGTAACCATTTATTGGGTACCTCATGTGAGCCGGACATTATGCAAAGCACTTTGCTTGCATGTTCTGATTGAACCCTCACAAGAACCTCATGAGGTAGCCACTATTCTTGCCCCCTTTCGTAGATAAGGAAACAAGGCTCAGAGGGATTAAGTCTGAGCCTCCCACAGCCAATAAGTTACAATGCCAAAGCTCAAACCCACATCAGACAGCCCCAAAAGTCCATTCTGTTAGCCGTGGCTGCATAGTGCCTCAAGAAGCTACAAAAGTCCTCCTAACTGTGACTGCTCCCATGGGGTTCCTTTTAAGTAAGGCACTGGGACTCTCGGGTGCTCTAAGGACTTGAATTGATGATGTATGGGGGGTCCGCATTGGCTGGGGTTTTCCAAGGTTCTATGTAGATACTCTAAGTACCACCTTTTCTCCCCAACAGGGAGGCCACCTGGCAAATGTTCCCACAGGAACTTCTCTTCAACAAACAGGGCTTATGGAAAAACATTTTACATCTGGTAAACAACTCTTAAAAACCCTTCAGAATAACATTGTAAGCATTTAAGAAATAGAATCAGCAATTTAAAATCTTCCTATACAGAAAACTCCAGACCCAGACAGATTTACTGGTGAGTTCTTTCACACTTTCAAGGAAGAGATAATTTAACTATTATATAAATTCTTCCAAAGAATGGAAGAAAACTTTCCCCGACTCACTTCATAAGATTAGGATAGCCTTACTATCAAAACCAGGAAAAGACAACATAAGAAAGGAAAAGTATAGTTCTGCTTCACTCAGGAACACAGATGCAAAAATCCTCAAGTATATGTTAGGAAAACAAACCCAGAAATGCAGGGAAATGGCATATATCATGATCAAGTTGGGTTTTTCTCCAAGATTGAATGGTTGGTTTAGCATTAGAAAATTAACTGATATATTTTATCACATTAACAGATTAAAGGAGAAAAAAATGTGATATTTTCAATAGGTACAGAAAATGTTTGATAAAATTTTATGTCCATTCATTATATATTAAAAAGTCTTAGCAAACTAGGAATAAAAAGAAACTTACTTAATGTGATTAATGGAATCTATTTAAATCAGTGGCAAACATCATACTTAATGGTGAAATGTTGAAGGCATTTCCTTTAAGATTAAAAAAAAGAACAAAATGCCCATTTTCATGTTTCTGCTCAACACTGTCCCAGAGGGCCTGGCCAGCACAGTAAGGCAGGAAAAAGAAGTAAAAGGTTAAGTCTTTGAAAGGAAGAAATATAACTGTCATTATTTGCAGATGATACTATTGTCTATATAGAGAACTCAAAAGAATCTAGAAAAAATGTAATGGGAATAAACATGAGCTTATCAAGGTTGCTGAATACAAATCAATATAAGAAAGTCAAGTTCATCTCTGTACACTAAATAGAAAAATGATTTTTAAAAAGGTACCATTAACAGGAGCAACTAAATTGTTTAAATCTCTAGGAATAAATATAACAAGACATGCAAGACCTTTATTGAGAAAATTTATAAAACATCATTGAAAGACATTAAAGAGGCTCTAACATAAGTGGAGAATTATGCAATGTTCTTGGATGGGACAACTTAATATTTAAAGATGTTGCTTCTCCCCCAAATTTAACCATGAATTCAAATCCCAGTGGGTCTGTTTGCTGTTTGTTTTTATGAAACTCAAAAGGTGATTCTAAGATTCAAATGGAAGAACAAAAACGCCAAGTGCCAAGACACTTCTGACGAAGAAGATGGAATTTGGTTGGGGTAAAGAATTGGACTTACCCAATCAGATTTCCATTTTTATTTCAAAGCTAATTAAGATGGCATGGATCTAGCATAGGGATTCTATTAAACCAATGGAACATGCTGGAGAACCTAGAAACAGACACAGCATAGAGGCTTGATTTATGACAGAGCAGACTTTGCAGATCAGAAGGGAAGGATGAACTATGGTGCTGGGCTAATTGGGTATCCATGAGGAAAAAGATGAAATTGGATTCCTCCCTTGTCAAAAATCAATTCCAGGTGGATTAAAGACTTAAATGTGAAAGGCAAAACTATAAAACTTTTAGAAGACAGTATAGAAGTATATCCTTATGACCTTGGGAGGAAAAAAAACTTATTGAAGACTGTTTAAAAACGTGAACCATAGGAAATATATTGTGAATTTGACTATATGAAAAATCAGAACTTCAGTTCATCAAAAGACACCACAGAGTAAAAATACAAGCTACAAAGAATTCATATCCAATATATTAGAACTCCATAATTTAATACAAAAATAATAAATAACCCCATGGAAGAGCGGGATACGAAGGGCATGAACAGGCATTTCATATAACAAGAATGGCCCATAAATATTTGAAAAAAAAAAACAAACTAAAGCTCACTGGTACTCAGAGAAATTAATTTAAAACCACAATCAGATAGCATTTCACACCCACCCAATCAGCAGGTATTAAAAAGCCAGGCCTTACCACATGCTGGTGAGACTGTGGGGTAACAGTAATTGTCATTCACTGCTGGTGGAAGTGTAAATTGTTACAGCCACATTGGGAAACAGTGTGTTATTGCCCAATAAAACTGAACAGGCTCATACCCTTTGGCCCATCAATTCCACTCCTAGACGCATATCCTGGAGAAATTCTTGCCCATGTGCACAGGGGACATGTACAAAAATGTTCATAGTAACATCACTCATAACAGCCCCAAACTGAAAATTGCCCAAATGACACATAACTGACAGAATGGTTAAATGGTGGTATAGACACAGAACGAAATGTAAGAATCAGCAGTGAAAATTAGCCACAAATATATGCGAAAACTTCCTGTTAAGCAAAAGATGCAAGTCACAGAATACACACATTGTGAGTCCATTCATACAATGTTCACAGATAGACAAAACTAAACAACATACTGTTTAGGGATATATGCCAAGGTGGTAACAACATAGAAAAGACTTGGAATGATTAACACAAACTTCAGCATTGTAGCTACCTCTGGGATAACTTGGGAGAGAGACTTGATTATGGGGGAATATGCAGAGGGCTTCTAAGCACAATATTCAACTTCTATTTTTATTGTATTTCTTAAGTTGGGTGGTATGTATGCAGGTGTCTGTTTTACGGGTGGTATGTATGCAGGTATCTGTTATATTATTATTCTTTAAATGACACACAAAATATATATACTTATCCGTATGCAAAATATATTTATAATTTTACATTTTAATAACAAAGGGAAGTTACAGTCAGACCAGAAGTGGGAAGTGGGAAGTAACAGGTAGGGGGGTGGCCAGGAGAAGTGCAAGGTCAGGGGTGTGGCCTGCTCAAAGAGCTAAGAAAAGACCCCACTGAAGTTGAGGGGGAAGGGAATGGAGAAAGGTGAGGCTGGAGAGCAAAACTGGAGCAGATCACAGAGGATCTTCCAAATTTTGATGACTACTTGGGAACTGTAAATTCAGTAGTCTTCACAGAGTTATGCAATATAACCCCTGCAGACCTGGCCGTGTACTTCAGAAAAAAAAGTATTTTTGAGATGAACCTAAAGGGACCTGCTGACAGCTCATAAATGAGTTCTCTATCTCAGACAGTGTTTTTACTCTCAGGACAAATAAATAGCTCTGGGTGGCTGCTCCTTGCTCATCAAGAACAGGGAGGGTTGCAGGCAGGGCTGGCTCTGAAATAGGCGTAGATAGAGAAGGGCTGATAGCCTCCTGGCAGCCGAAGCTCTGACTCCCTCTGCTCTGCCCTGCCAGGGAAAGGACAAGAAAAACAAGCACAGACAGCTTCATATTCCACTTGCCTGCAGACCTATTCCATATTACTAGGGACACGTGACAGGAACGGTGGTCATCCTGTCCACGAGCATAAACACACATGCCTCCTCCGTATGACCCCTTTAGCCACACTGAGATCTGGACATGTTAACCTTGGGCTCTACAGAAAGGACTCTGAGCCTAGGGTCCTTGCTTCTGGCATCAAGCTGTCCACCCATTTGGCCACTTCCTGAAAATTGTGAAATCTTTTTATCTCAGTTTCTCCATCTATAAAAATGGGGATAATGACCATGGGGCCCATGTATAAATTAGCACTGGAGTCATAGCATGTGAGGGTGAAGCAGCCCTTGGAGGTCCAGGCAAGCCTCTTGTGCTAGCTCCCAGAGCGTCCTGATCTTCCCCGACCCCAACACGCTCAGGCTTACACAGCATAGTTATAGGTGTCACTGAGTATGAGTATGTTACACAGTATGTTACAGGAGCTTCCTGGCATACACTGTGAGCTCCACATGAGAACGGAGCCCTGCGTGTCCTGCTTATTGCAGTAACCCCAGTGCCTAGCACGGTGCCTAGGACCCAATAAGGTCCACACACAGCAATTACCAAATGTGGCTCTTAACTTGTTTTGAGTCTATAGAAGGGAATGAGCTTTTAACTTTATAAAGTCAGATGGTCAACTCCAGATTGTCCCTAGTGGTGGGTACAGAAACTACCAATACCTAATTTTCTATCTCTAAAATGCAGCCCTAGGCCAGGCGCAGTGGCTCATGCTTGTAATCCCAGCACTTTGGGAGGCCGAGGACGTATCACCTGGGCCCAGGAGTTGGAGACCAGCCTGGGCAACGTGGTGGAACCCCATTTCTACAAAAAATACAAAAAACTGTCTGAGCATGGTGATGCACATCTGTAGTCCCAGCCACTCAGGAGGCTGAGGCGGGAGGATCGATTGAACCCGGGAGGTTGAGGCTGCAGTGAGCCATGATTGCACCATGGCACTCTAGCCTGGGTGACAAAGCAAGACCCTGTCTCAAAAAAATAAAAAATAAATAAAATAAAATGTAGCCCTTCTCTCAACTCTGAGTGAACACTGTAGGTTCAAGGCCCTTGTTAGTTTTGGGGAATACCAAGTGTAGTGCCATACCAGCTCTAGAGTAGTTCACACTTTGCTGGGGAAGACAGTCACCCCATACCCGCCAAGTTACCGCAAGGCAAGAGCCCTGGAGGAAATAGCTGAGAGCCACGGCATGGGATGGAGAAAAACAAACTTACATTTGGAAAGGTGGAGAGGTTTTCTGCTAGAAGAGAGAAGCAAGGTTGCTACAGACACTCTTCCCCATGCCCACCACATTCTTGGGTCCTGCTCTCAGTCCAAGACCTTGCCAGGCTGTACCATAAAAGGCACCCCACCCACTCTGTCCCCACCCTATGCAGTAACTAATCTCTTTGCAGATCAAAATAAGTAATATCTATTGAGCACTTACATTGCGTCAAACCCTGTGCTAAATAGTTTATATGGATTACTTTATTTAACCCTCATAACAACTCTAAGAGAGAAATACCATTATTGCCCCATTTTATCGATTTTGAAGAAATGGAGGATCCACAGAATTCAATCACTTGTCCAAGATCACAGGTTCTGGTAGATGGTAGAGCCACTGGCCTGAGTCCTAAGTTAGACCTCCTCTCTGGACTCCTAAGAGGTAGCTGCATTTTCTATACCTGAGTGGCTGATGGTGAAGGCAGCAGGGCCAGCAGGGCAGAGCATTGCCAGCAACTCTGTGCCAGGAGGCTTCATACCCTCTTCCTCCCTCACTTAGCACCTGAAAACCTGGAAATTCCCAGAAGCCATATAACTGTGGATTCTGCTGTGGTTGATAAAGACTTCTTTTAAGTGAGTCATTTCCTTCAAAAGGGAGGGAAAAAAATGTGTTTAGATTTCAGCAAGAATGCCCTTCCCCACCACACCCGCACACCCTTACTTACCCCGATCTGGCTCAGGACTCGGAACCCTGTGCCAGGGAGCATCAGTTGGTGGAGAACCTCCCATCCAGCCTCACAAACTCCTTGTGGCACAGGCACCTGAGGTCACAATTGACCCCAGGGAAAGGAACCAGGGCCAGGCCCATTCATTCAGAAAGGCTGGGCCTCCTTCTTCGATCCCAGTGACAGGAGCAGACTTGCCTCCTCAGAAGCTGGCCATCTGTCTGGTTATCTTCACTTACTGGGTGGGGCCTTCCTTTCTGTCTTGTTCTGCCTGTCTTCTTTCCCACCCAGTTTCTCTCTTCTCTGCCTATGTCTATCTTGTTCTCTTTTCCTGTCTCTCCAGTCATTCATTCGTTCATTTTTCCTTTGCCTTATTGATTGAGCCTCTGATCCATAGGTTCCCATTCTTGGTTTCTCTCCTATTCAGGTGGCCCCCTACCATGAGGGTTACTTGCTAGCTGCCCTCTATGAAGCTGAGCGATTCTCATCCCCTTCCCTAATTCCAGACCTCGAGCTGAGTCAAGCTAAGGCCTCTTGGATGTTTCCTGTGGCCTTAACTAGATAATGTATTCACGTTTTTTAACAGCTTTACTGAGGTTTAATTATATACAATAACACTTAAGCATTTTGAGTATACAGTTCAAAAACTTTTGGTAAACATATACAGCATGTAATCACTACCAACATCAAGATACCAGATGTTTGCATCATCTCAAAAAGCTCTCTTGTGCCCCTTTGCTATCAATCCTGTCTCCCCACCCTGGCTCTTGGCAACCCTTAATCTGTTTTCTGTCACTATAGTTATGGCTTATTTTTAAAACATTTTATATAATTGGCATTATATAGTGTATAGTCTTCAGTGTCCTGCATCTTTCATTTAGGGTGATGTTAAGATTCATCCCGCTGTTGCATGTATCACTGAGGAGTACACCGCTGTGGTTATACCACAATTCGCCTCTTGATTCACCAGGTGATGGGCATTTGGGGGTGTTTCTAGTTTTTTGTTAAAATGAATGAAGTTGCTCTGAACATTCGTGTACAGGTCCTTCTATGGACATATGTTTTCATTGCTCTTAAGTAAATATTTGTGAGTACAATTGCTGAGTAGTATGAAAAGTGTATGATTAACTTTATAAAAAATGGCCAATCTGTTTTCCAACATGGCCTGTACCATTTTGCATTCCCATTGGAAGGGTATGAGAGTTGCAGGTGCTCCACATCCTCACCAACACTTGGTATGATTGGTCCGTTTTTGTTTTTTTTTGTTTTTTTTTTTTTGTTTTTAAGACAGAGTCTCGCTCTGTCACCCAGGCTAGAGTGCAAGGGCATGATCTCGGCTCACTGTAATCTCTGCCTCCTGGGTTCAAGCGATTCTCCTGCCTCAGCCTCCTGAGTAGCTGGAATTACAGGCGCATGCCACCACCCCCAGCTAATTTTTGTATGTTTAGTAGAGACAGGGTTTCACCATGTTGGTCAGGCTAGTCTCAAACTCCTGACCTCATGATCCGCCCACCTCGGCCTCCCAAAGTGCTGGTTGGTCTTTTTTGATTTTAGCCATTCTCATCAGTGTGTAGTGGTATCTCACAGTGCTTTTAATTTGCATTTCCCTGGTAATTATTGATGTTGAGCATATTTTTATGTATTTATTGGCCACTCAATATATCATCTTCTGTGGTATCTGTTGCCCATTTTTATTGGGTTCTTTGTCTTCTTATGAATGTATTGTGAGAGTTTCTCCAAACTGTTTTTATCTCCCTCTCTTCTCCTTCCTTCCTCCCTCTGTCCCTCTGCAGCTATCGTTCTCCCACAGTATCTCTGTCCCAGTTTTACCCTATGCCATTCTCAGGGTCTTCCACTATCTCCCCCTCACCCCTCTTCTTCATTGTCTCCTTCTCATGTCGTCCTTTCTCTTCTCCTCCAGGACACTTTAAAACCTGAGAAGCTAACATCCTTTCCCATTCCCTATTAGAAATAATGTCATCACAAGCCCACAGGTTACTGTCCTGGCCAGGCTCACTGTTCCAAGTGGGGGAAACATGCCCTCCCCAGATAAAGGCCCAGAGAAGTAAAAAGACAGACCCTAGTGTAATGAAAAGATGGCTTTGCATTCTGGCCTTTTCTGCCTCCCTAAAGGATTAATGGTGTTTGTGGATAGCAGTTCTTTTACTCAAACATAATATTGGAAATCCAAGAGTGTTAAGTGAAGTCCATCCCATTTAATCAGTGTTCCAACAGTTTCCACATACATAAGCCCTGTAGGGGTTTAACCTTCCCCAATCATAGGCAAGGAGCAGCCTAGCCCAAAGCCAGCTCCTTGTCATGTCTGTTTGAAGGAACCAGTGTGACAATATCTGATTACAAACTCAGAACACTTTATGCAGTGCTAAGAGTTCCTCAGGAGGGTGATTGTGGAATGGTTTCATTCTTCTTAATGCTTTATTATTGAGATATCATTCACCTACCATACAATTCACCCATTTAAGGTGTACAACTCAGTGGTTTTTAGTATATTCACAGATGTATAGCCATTACCATTACAATTTTAGGATATTCTATCACTTCAAAAAGAAACCTTGTGCCGTTTAGCTATCACCTCATATTCCCCATCATCCCAACCCTTGGAAATTATCATCTATTTTCTATCTCTGTAGATTGACTTATTCTGGACATTTCATATAAATGGAATCAACTAATATGTGGTCTTTTGTGTCTGGCTTCTTTCACTTAGCATAATGTTTTCAAGGTTCATCCATGTTCTCTTATGTATCAATACTTCATTCTTCTTTATGGCTGAATAATATTTCATTGTATGGTTGTACCATATTTTGTTTATCCACTCATTAATGAGTAGACATTTGAGTTGTTTCCCGCTTTGGGTTATTATGAATAATGCTGCTGAAACATTTGCCTATAAGTTTTTGTGTGGACACATGTTTTCATTTCTTTTGAGCATACACTAGAAACAGATTTACTGGGTCATATGGTAATCCTATGTTTAATCATATTAGGAATTGCCAGACTGTTCTGCATAGAGGCTGTACCATTTTACATTCCAACCAGCAATGTATGAGGGTTTCCATTTTTATACCTCCTCCCCAACACTTATTATTTGACTAAAGTGGTTTTTTGATCCTACAACTTGATCTTTGGACTGTCACAATTACATACATGACCACACATACATTTACGCAATCATTGACGTAGACACATGTACAAAATTACGTGGTGGGCATACTCGTACACACCTCTAGAGTTCACATACATACACACAGAATCTCATAATCACAATCCTTTATACAATTGTGTCTGCAATCCCACATCAGCACATATAGCATACACACATCAATCCATAGACCACATGTGTGAACAAAACAAGATTTGCAATGGACCAATGCCATCACACATGTACATTAAATTGCCATGGGCCTTGAGCAAACATACATGTTTGCTCAAAACAAAGGGACATATGTATTTAATAACACACTCATACCTACATAAACACAAATACACAAACAATAGTTGTACCCACAAAAGCATAGTCCTAAAAAGGCACACACAGAGTTACCAT
This sequence comes from Homo sapiens, assembly GCF_000001405.40. NCBI lineage: Eukaryota > Metazoa > Chordata > Mammalia > Primates > Hominidae > Homo > Homo sapiens. Next base: position 146,046,453 of record NC_000005.10, read on the forward strand.
CATTTATCAGTAGATGACTGAAAACAGACTGAATGTATTTACTCTGGATGGCATGGAGAAGGTTTCATTATCCTTGGTGTACTAGGTAGGAAGACCTTTTCATTCATTCCTTCACTCATTCCTTTGTTCTTTAAGCTACAAGTACGTATTGAGCATGCAGAAATACAATGATGAACCAGACTTACATAGTCCCTGCCCTCATGGAATTTACAGTCTAGCAAGGAAACACTCATAATCTGTGATATGTGCTCAGAAGGAAATAAGCAAGGCAATATGTTTGCCAAAGCCCTAGGATAGTAGGCAGTTTACAGGAACTTTTTTTTTTTTTTGAGATAGGGTCTCACTCTTTCACCCAGGTTGGAGTGCAGTGGCACAACCATGGCTCACTGTAACCTTGACCTCCCAGGCTCAAGCGAACTTCCCATCTCAGCCTCCTGAGTAGCTGGAATGACAGGCACCTGCCATCACACCCAGCTAATTTTTTTAAAAGAGATGGGATCTTACTATGTTTCCCAGGCTGGTCTAGAATTCCTGGTTCAAGCGATTCTCCCAGCTCAGCTTCCCAAAGTGCTAGGTTTATAGGCATGAGGCACTGAGCCCGGCCTTCCAGGAGCTTTTATCATTTTATCATTATTGTTTCCTCTTTTATCCTAGAAAAGTGAAAGGGATTCAAATTCAACTACTATAAGTCATTGGATAGGCGTGTGTGTGTGTGTGTGTGTGTGTTTCTAGCAATAGTCAATAATAAGAATATGGGCTCAGAACTTGGACTACCTGATTTTAGATTTTCTTTGTTTCATACTAATTGTGTGACCTTTCTTTCCCTCTTTGTCTCAGTTTCTCATCCAAATATGGGGATTATAACAATTCCTTTAATAAGGATTAACTTAGCTGATACTTATAGAGTACTTAAAACTGCCTAGTAATTGCTCAGTTCTGAATCAATATTAGCCACCATTTCATTTTCCAAGAGCAGGTTTTCATAGAGGGAGATGGGTGGGGTGGGGAGAGGGACAGGAGGAGGAGCCTGTGTAGTGCCCTGTGGACTGTAAATTGGACGGCTCTTCATCTTCCACCCTATCTGAGCAGGCTTTTGGAATGCAGTCCTGGCAAGCCACCCCACCAGGCCATAAACCAGCTCCTCCCCACCTCCCTGTGCCCACAGCCACAAACCACAGAGAGGACGCACAATGGGTGGCACCAGGCATGGCTGTTGGTTTTCAGCTGTGTCAGGTCTTTCTACGTAGCTGCTCTGTTTGCTGTGGGCCTGGGTTGTGGCATTCATTGGTTCTGCTTGGCTGTCTTTTCTGTCTGTGCAGGTCAGCACTTATCACCCCGCACCTGTCTCTCCAGGACATTCCACAGCCGTGGTCAGTCTGCCTGGCTCCCAGCAACACCTCTCAGCGAACATGTGAGTAAAAGGCTCATCCCTTCACCCAAGTCCTGGCACAAAGGGGTCATCTTTACCATGTACAGTGGTGATCTAGCATCACCATTCCCAAAACATCCCATCCAGAGACAATAGGTCGCCTTCCTTTACCACTTCCAAGTGAAATAATGGTGAAAAACAGAAATTAGGGCCAGGCGCAGTGGCTCACACCTGTAATCCCAGCACTTCAGTAAGCTGAGGCAGGAGGATTGCTTGAACCCAGGAGTTCCAAACCTGCCTGAGCAACATAGTGAGACCTCATCTCTACAAAAAAAATTTAAAAATTAGCCAGGAATGGTTGTGCACATATATTTTCCTAGCTACTTAGGAGGCTGAGGCAGGAGGATGGGTTGAGCCCAGGAGTTTGAGGCATCAGTGAGCTATGATCATCCCACTGCTCTCCAGCCTGGGCCACAGAGTGAGACCCTGTCTCAAAAAAAAAAAAAGACAACACAAATTAGCAAACCACATCACTCTTAGCTCATTATTTTACAAAAGTAGAAAGAGACTGGAAGATTATATACCACAACATCACTGGGAGATTGGGTATTGAGCAATTTCTATTGTCTTGCTTTAGATTCAAAATGTTGGGTCATAAATACATGTTGTTTAGTAAACAGCAAAAAATAAATATAGCATTTTAGAAAGAAAAAACAAAACAAAAAAAACCTTGTAGAGAACACTCCCCCATTCCCTTTGATAAAACGCTCCAATGTCTCACAGTCCTTGGAGTCTGGAGGGACTTCCTGATGTCTGAGATGCCTGGAGGCCATATACTGGTGATCCCTGAATCTGGCAAACCAATGGATTGTTTCCTGAATGCCTTTGATCAGGTAGCTATTCCCACCTCCACAGCCTCATCAGTCCTGATTGTCTTTACCCCCTGACTCATACTTGGATATTACCTGCCTGATTCCTGTGTGGACTTCAGTCACAGCTAATTTTTTGTATTTTTAGTAGAGATGGTATTTCACCATGTTGGCCAGGCTGGTCTCGAACTCCTGACCTCAGGTGATCCACCTGCCTTGGCCTCCCGAACTGCTGGGATTAGAGGTGAGAACCACCGCACCCGCTCGACCAAGAAGGTTCTTATTGCTAACCACTGGGCAGTCTCTCTCCACCATTCCCCCACTCCATGCCCCCCATCAGGCACGTCTTCCTTCCTCCCTCACCAGTTCTCTGTGTCTTCCCAGGTTTGTAGCCCTGCACTCCTACTCAGCCCATGGACCCGATGAGCTGGACCTGCAAAAGGGAGAAGGCGTCAGGGTCCTGGGGAAGTGCCAGGACGGCTGGCTCAGGGGCGTCTCCTTGGTCACCGGGCGAGTCGGCATCTTCCCAAACAATTACGTCATCCCCATTTTCAGGTGTGTCGCCTCCAATCCCAGACTTTGGGAGGTTGGGCCACCCTAGGCCAGGGGCCATCTGTGGGTTGAACTGGTGGAAGACCCAGTGCTCTTTCAGAAAACAGGCCAAGAAAGCGCTTTTTGCTCTATAACCCGCCTATCTCTTTTAAAACAAAATAGCAAAACTAGTTATCTTTTTCGTAGCCCTTCACAGCTTACAAGCACTTTTGTATCTCTTAGCTCACAGGCTGTGCCCAAGAATCCTCTAAGGTAGATATTATGTTACAGATGAAAATGGTGTGCAGAGTTAAGCAACTTGCTCAAGAACTGGATGTCAGGTTTTCTTCTGCACAAATCCCAGGAACCCCACTTCACATCCTCTATCCCAATGCTCCATCTAGTGGCGTGATGGGAAAATGTGGTCAGATGACTTCCCCAGAGCACCTCGGGAAACTTCTCAGGCTGCTAGAGTGACCCCTAATCAGAGTTTCCATGAACTGAGACCCCTACCTCTTCCTCCACACCCAAGATGAAATGCTAGTAACCCTGCAGGGCCTCCTCCCTCACCGCTTTTCCCGATCTCTTACATTGTGTGGCATACTGTTCATGTCATTGACCCCCTCTTTGTCTTACCACCTCATACCACTGCCACAAATGCACCTAGACCCCAAAACTATCCATGACTCCTCCTGCCTCCACCCCCGATCAGCCCAAGCAAACCCTGTCTCAAGGCAGTGAGGCTACCACCACACATCCAACACTGTCTTTATGACATACCAGAGGGTCACAATCACAGGGAAAGAGCCCCATTGTATTCTGTGCGGGTCAGACCTAGTCATATGCCCACTTTTGGGGACCTTCATTTAGGTGAGCTGCCACGTCCGGAGGAGGGCAGCAAGAATGGTGAGGAGACAGCAAACTATATCATAGCAGAAACCGATAAAGAAACTGGGGTTATTTAACCTGTAGAAGACAAGGGACAGAGGGATCACAATACACTGTGTCAACAGGGCAGTAAATTTGTTCTGAGAGGGGGCAGTGGAGTGGATCAGTGTATGCAACTGGTCTTGGTTCAGTAAACCAAGACGTTCAAGAACATCTTGGTTCAATAAAAGGCAGCTTTTTCTAGCCCATAGATTTTTCCAACCAGGCTAGCTGGTGAGGTGGTGGACTCTCTTTTTAGAAAGAGTGCAGGCAAAGTCGGCCTGAGTCCTCATAGATCTAAAGTTGTATAAAAAGATTTCTTCACATGGCAGAAAGTCAGGATAAAAGATCATAGCTTTTCCTTTCAAAGAAAAGTTCTTGAAATTTGTTACAAAGTTGTAAAATATCCAAGGGCAAACTGAGGTCTATAATTGATGCTTTAATTCATTTAATTGGCAAATATTGAGTGCTAACTACATGGCAGGAACTTTTCCAGGCACTGGAGAAATACCAGTAAACAAAATATACAAAATTCCTGCTTACAGAAGCTTACATTCTAGTGGGAGAGACAAATTTTTAAAACCAAGATATTTAAGTAATCTTTATGATGTGTTAATTATACTGGCTAACAAAAAAATCAGAAAAGGAGGATAGAATTTTTGGGGGTGGTTACAATTTTAGATAGGTTGGTGAGGGATGGCTTTGCTGAGAAGTAAGAAGGAAAGCAGGAGCCAAGCCATGTGGATCTCTGAGGCAAATGTCCAGACTAAAGACACAGCAAGTACAAACAAAAGACCTGTAGTAGTCCAGGTGCAGTGGCTCATGCCTGTAATCCTAACACTTTGGGAGGCTGAGGTGGGTGGATCACCTGAGGTCAGGAGTTTGAAACCAGCCTGGCCAACATGGTGAAACCTCATCTCTACTAAAAATACAAAAAGTAGCCAGACGTGGTGGTGGACACCTGTAATCCCAGCTACTGGGGAGGCTGGGGCAGGAGAATCGCTTCAACTGGGAGGGCAGAGGTTACATGAAGCCAACAGGATTGGATTAGAGCAAGCAAGGGGGATATTAGAAAGGAAGCCAGAATGGTAATGGGGTAGCCAGGTCATAAAGAATTTCCTAGGTCATAATGAAGGGTTTAGCTTTAAGCCTGTTGCTGGGTTTTGAGCAGAAGAGTAACATAATCTTAGTTGTGTTTAACCAGAATCCCTGTATTTGCTGGATTGAGAATAAACTATACAAAGGAAAAGGGGGAAGCAGAAAAACTAGCTAAGAAGATATCATAATCCTGGGGAGAGGTGATGGTGAATTGAACCGAAGTGTTAGCTGTGGAGGTAGGGAGAAGTGGTTAGATTCTGAATACATCTTAGACAACAGGGTTTTCTAAAAGATAAAATGTCAGGTGTGAAAGAATAGAGGATCCAAGGTGAGAGCAAGTTTTTTTTTCCTGAGTGACTGCAAGATGGAGTTGCCTTTAAATGAGATAGTGACTGCTCCATAAAACGAGCATGTTTTGGGGTATGGAGGGAAGTAAAAGCTTAGTTCACAGCAGACTAAGCCTGAGATGTCTCTTAATAATCCAAGTAAAGGTGTTGGTAAGCAGTTGAATACATGAGTTTAGCATTTAAGAGAGAGCTCCAGCCTTGAGATGCTATTTAAAGCCCTGAAACGAGATGAGATCATCATGGTGGGATGAGTTGTATCCAGAGAATGACAACGAGCCAGAAGCTGAAATCTTCAAGGAGTGAGAGGAGAGACTTGGAGAGTAAATGCTGACTGCAGGAAGGTGGAGTGGTGGGTAGTCAAGTCTGATAATATGAGTCAAAGCTGGGAAGTATTGAGGAGTGTGGGAAATGGCCTAGAACTGACAGTGAGGAGCAAGGAGGATGCCTACCCTAATTCATGAACGGTTTCTTCCATGGCTTTAAAATGAATTCCCCAGGGCCCATCCCCACGACTAGGGCATTTGCTTATACATCAGGCCTTAGTCCTAAATCCTGGTTATACCATCAAAGACTCAATAGAATAAGGGTGACCATATGCTTTATCATCCAAATTAGGACACTTTTGGGCAGGTATCAGCTGAAACTCTCCCGGGAAAATCAAGCCGTGTGGTCATCCTAAATAGAGTGTGTGTAGAATTTCATCCCAGTGTATTTCAAGGCTCCAGTTTTCATTTCTCTCCTTGGCCAAGGTCGGTCTATTGTGTTCTTGGGCAAGTCATGAGCATCTCTACTCACCCCTTCTGAGATGCCTACATGTCAGGCAACAGATGGAGTTTCAGCACAATAGATTGCCATTGAGTTCTCCCCTCACTCCCAGTTCAGGGAAATCTGAACATATGCAAATATTGAGGTGCTACTAACATTGAGGCATGGTTTTGTTTATGGGGAACCAACATTCTCAGGAAGAACAAGTGCCTATTAGAGGATACGCTCCTGAGGGTTCTTAGGTGGCAGAGGATCAATGCTTTCACTGTGTTTATACTTTTTCCTTGATGATCTCTCTAATGCAAAAAAAGGCTCCCATCCCCACTAATCTCCCACATGAATGATACATACCCAGTCCATCTATCTGTGTGCAGGTGACCCTTGTTCTTAACCACCATTTCCTTGGTGGGAAGTTTACTTCTTCCCATGTCTCAGGGATGAATAATACTGTCCTTTTCAGCTGAGTTCCTACTATTATTATTAGCAAGTTTTGTGTAAGAACTGAGTGGATTGGGCTACATGTGCTAGGCCCCTTTCTGTTCTTTGATTCTCTGTGTTTGGGTCCTTTTCCCCCTAGCCTTTGTCTTCTGTTTATAATGATGGCTCTTCACTGCCATCCAGCCCCCTTGGTGTGTACTGCAGCCTTTTATAAAACAGCCAGGGCCCAAAGGTGTGAGCATTTGAACCTATGCTCTTATTAACATCATCACCTAATGAACTGAGCCACCCAGAATTTGGGGATAAACTAGAGATTATAATTGACTAGAATGCTAGGATTTCAATTTAAGAGCCAGCAAGTGAGCCTTTCAGCTACCAGGAGAGGAAAAGGCTGTTGTGCTATTCTGTGGTCCAGCCCTCGGTGCTAGATGATGACACCAACCTGTCCAGCTGTTATTGACCACAACTAAATCTCTGCCACCATGTTGCCTCTTCCCAGATCCTGGAGACTTTCATTGGCTCAGGTTATATAGAACATTTGTCAAGTTTTCATCTGTCCAGCATCTAAATCCCCCTTTAATAGCGGCAACATCCCTTTGGGTCTCCTCTATTGTGTGTAGTCTTGGTGGGAGGCAGAGGTTTCCTTTCTTTTCAGAGGCTGAAGAAATGCAATCCTCCTCCTCCTCAACTCATCACCACAGCTAAGGGTCAGTCTCAGCCAATATGACATTCCCTCTTGGGATTTGGAAACTTGAACAAGGGAGGAAAAGATGGGGGCAAAGTTGAAGACCACTCGATGTGAGAACACCAGCCACAGCATATGATTGGACTCTTCCTGCTGCTGAGCTCCCTGTAGCTTCCTTGGATCTTGTTTCCAAGTCCTCTACTCTTCTTCCTGTCCTCCTAATAAATACCCTTCTGCCCAATTAGCCAGGATCTTCCTCTTTCTTGCAACTTTCGCAGACATATGCCTACCTGGTGCCTTATGGGTGGAGAAAAGTGACAAATGGGCCACCACTCATTTGCCTTTAACTCTACACAAAGCTATACAAAAATTGTCAAGATCCAACTGTTCTCCTTACTGGGAGGCTGCTGCCAGTGGTGAACACAGTAGAGCTGCTGTTTGTGATGCCCTTTTTGAATATTGGGCCAGCTCTTAAGGGCTAACATCCCAGTTAGAGAAAAGGACGCAGGGACCTGCACGGTGGAGCAAATCAGAGGCAACATCCACTCTTCCCACCTAAGCCCAGAATGCTTTTCAGTCTCTCCATCTGGAAAACAAAGATCATAATGTCTGCAGGTCTGGGGGTGTCCTGGGGGTTAATATATGATAGCAAAGTGTTTTGACATTGGAAGAAAGTGCTAGATAAGTGCTGAGCTTTCTGCCAAAAGACATAGAGGCACTCAGTGTTGGATGGGAGACTTGGGATTTAGAAGTTCCTGGAATCCAGCTCAGTGCTGAGCTCAGAAAAATGAGGTCACACCTTGGTCTATAAAGAGTCATTCAAAAAGGGGACTGATGGAATAAGGCTGGTGTGGGCCTAATTAGCTGTATGCTGCCCTTGCTGCTGCTGCTACTGCTGCGAAAAAATTTGAAATTTGTCTTTCCTGTTGCCAGTCCACTTTGCAGCATCCAACACCTTGAGGCCTCTGTTCAAAAGACAGGCAGATCAGTTGCACTCTGGCATGGAAGCCAATGCTGGAGATTTCTTCCCACTGCCCAGGCCTTGTCCCCAGAATATAGTCTGACCTCTCTCTAATGAACAGCCGTACTCGTTTTCACTGACAACACCACCATGGGGACCAGAGACAGGTTGAAGTCCCCTTGCTGCGACCATCAGTTCCTAGAGCACTTGGTTGAATATACTTCTCAGGCAGCACTGACCACAATTAAACAATGCCTTACTTATCTTCGTACAATACTGGCTTGTTGTTAAACTACATATTACTTTGTCAATCAAAAGAAGGAAAGACAAAGAGAGAGAGGAGAAATGAGGGTAAATGACCTAAAGGAAAACTTGGAGGCATTGGTAAGAAGGAAACCATTTGGCATCTCTGTGCCAGGGTCTTAGTTGAGTTGGTTATTCCCAGGAAATTAGCAGAGGTTACTTAATCAACAGGGTGACAAGGTGATTAATGGACTGCTCAATAGGAAATGTGATGTTGGGAATGGATTGGTAAAAGGGCAAGAAAGGCATGTAAAATGACAGTCACTCCCCATGGAGTTCAGGGAGCTGCAGTCTGGAAACAGTGGATAAGGGATTGTTGTTTCATAAAACTTTAATGAAATTCTTGAAAATCATAGCCCAAGGCTGAAGAATTAAAGTCTTATGGAGGCATGTGTAGGGCCTACCATCTGCTTTAGTTCATTTGTTGCAGGCAGAATAAAGGACTTTTCCTGCCACCAAATGATGAATGCTCCAACTAGCCAGGAGGTGGTATAGCTCACTGGTAAGAACAGAGAGCCAGCCTAGACCTGGGTTCAAGTAGCTGCTTGGGCAACCAACTGTATAAGTCTTTGTGTTTTTTTATTTATAAAATAGTGGCACTAAGAGTACCTAGCTTAGAGGACTATTGTAAAGAACCCATGAGAAAATATGGGCAAAGCACTTGGCCAATACCTGGCATACAGTAAGCACTCTATATGTGTTAGCCAAAATGATGTGTCAGTGCTGAAAGCAGCATAGCAGACATTTAACAAATGTTTATTGATCCACAGTATATGCAGAACACAGATATATAAGTCATATGAAATCTCTGCCTTCAAAGACTTTGGAATTTGTGAAAAAGTCACTGACTCAACAAGAAATTGCCACTGTAAAACGAAATAAACACATATAGGATCTTATGCTCTGAGCTTAAGAGCTAAAGGGATGTGGGGTGAGGAATGATCAGAACTGGAGTGAAAAAGGATGAAATTCAAGTCTTCTAGCTCCACCAAGGCCTTGATATGAGCCCCCCTTCCTTCCCTCAGCACACCCTCACAGTTATCCGGGTGTAGGGAGGTGGGGCCAACTTTAGTTAAGCCTGTAGTTCACAAAATGGGTGTGTATGGGTGGGAAGAAGGTGAGAAGTAGCCACATTTGGTATGTGGTTGGGAGCTGATAGGTTTTTAAATAGGACTCTTGACTGAACATTTTCTTTCTCTATTTCTTCTCTTAAAAAAAAAATTTTCCAAAACCAGAAAGACCTCTAGTTTTCCAGACTCCCGGAGCCCTGGTCTCTACACCACATGGACGTTATCCACCTCCTCTGTGTCCTCCCAAGGCAGCATTTCAGAAGGTGATCCACGGCAAAGCCGTCCCTTCAAATCCGTCTTTGTGCCCACTGCCATAGTCAACCCCGTGAGAAGCACAGCCGGCCCTGGGACTTTAGGACAAGGGTCTCTTCGGAAAGGGCGGAGCAGCATGAGAAAGAGTAAGTGGTGGCAGAGAGGTACGTGCCTAGAGCTAAGTGATGGGGGGAATCTGACCCAGGGGTACACAGGATGCTTTTTGCAAAAACAGGATCTTGGCTTTAAACTAAGCCCCTGCAAAGGGTATTATACAATTCCCAAATGATGAGTTTTATTGAATGAAGTCATACCAACTCAAGGTGATGGCCCTAGGTTACTTCATACATGCTTGTTGAATGACTGGGGTGATGGCAGCCCTGAGTGCCAACATGTAATTAGAACATGGCCAACGTGGACACTGGCTCTTATTAAGACACAGTGATGAAAGCATTTGCTGGGTCAGTGCTTCTCAAACTGTATTCCAAGGAATCCCTCAGCGGGTGCCACAGGAGAAACAGAAGAATGGGGTGGATGGGCAGGGCGTGGGAGTAGGAAATGAGGATTAAGGAGGCAGTGATCAGAGCCCCTGATTCCCACCATGTTATTTAAGTAATGAATGCATAGAACTTTTTTAAAAAGGTTTACAGTATACGAACTGGACAAAAGCAAATCTCCCTCATATCCTTAACCCTGAGTCCCAAGTTCTCTTCCATAGATAGACAGATGGAAACACACACACCTGTTAACCATACTCACTGCATTGTTCTACACCTTGCTTTATTTTTACCATCATAACATCCACATTGCACACATGGCAGTACATACAGATTCTTGAGAACTATGCTTTTGTCTCTTCACATAGTGAACTTCTACATAAGATTTCCTTTTCAGGCATTGTAAAAAGTGTTTGAAACCCAATTCTTCTACAAAAATCAAGATTTTATTTTCTTATACCTCTGTAGAAGAAGACAACAAGCCAAGCCCAGAAAATATGATTTATTCTATGTTCCCTGAATTAAACTAAGCTCTGCGATCTCTCTTGTGATCTTAACAGATGAATTAACATGAAAACGCAATAGGATTGGTCAATACAGAAGAGTAACGTGTGGGACAATATGCCCCTTTTTAAGGAAAGATCTCCCCTTAAAAAGAAAGCACATATCTTAGCTTCGCTGTCCAGTGCCTTCATCTGACAGCCTGTTTGACTACCAGTCCCATGACTCTGGGCACTTCATTCCACCCAACTATGCCTCCCTCCATCACCTTCCTGTACCTCCCTCCACCTCTCCCCACAACACACACACACAATAAGTAATCCCACCACAACAGCCTTGGGAAAATGACTAATTTCTTCTGCCTTCAGTTCACTCTTCTGTAAATGGGAAATAAAAATTCCTACCTCATCAGGGTTAACTTAATAAAACAACCCATATATGGCTGATAGCACAGTGCCTGGCACATAATAATCTGTCAGGAAACATTAGTTTTTTATAGTATTTTTTTATTACTATCATTGCTACTGCAATCAAGATCATCTTTGGTCCATCCAGAGCACGAACTCACTTAAGGTTGAAAGGTTCATACACGGCTGAATGTGTGTGGCTCACACCTGTAACCCTAGCACTTTGGGAGGCTGAGGTGGGAACATTACTTGAGCTCAGGAGTTCAAGACCAGCCTGGGCAATATAGTGAGACCTCATCTCTAAAAAAAAAATTAAAAGAACAAACCAAGTATGGTGGCACTTGCCTGTGGTCTCAGCTACTTTTGGGGCTGAGGCAGGAGGATGGCTTGAGCCGGGAAGGTTGAGACTGCAGTGAGCTACAATCTCCTACTGTACTCCAGTCTGGGCTGTTAGTGTCTCTCTCTCTCTCTCTCTCTCTCTCTCTCTCTCTCTCTCTATCTATCTATCTATCTATATATATATATTTGATTTAAAAAACGAGAAATGTTCACACTCAGTCTAGACCACTTAGGTATGCAGAGTTGCATCCTGAAAGCAATTGCTCACACTTTCCTTAATATACTCCCTCTCCACCTTTGCAAAACCTTGATTGGCATGGAGCCTCGACTGCTTGCATTGTATACACATGTAATAAGAAAGCATTAAATCTCTTGGAAATTAGGAATTGACAAGATAAATAGATAAGGCATAAAGCCAATTTTTCACACATTTACAAGAGCCTAAGGACATGTCTGCCTGGTGCTGCTTTGACTTCCCAGGTCCGGGAGGCTTTCTCTTTCTCTCTTTTCCCAAGGTGAGGCTGGCAAGCTATCAGTCTCTCCAGAGCAAAGAGAAATGGCAGGAGAATTGACTGCGTGAACCCCACAGGGCCGTTAGTGGAAAAATAAATGTCTAAATTGAAAGGGTCACACTTGTGTAGATGGTGACTGTCTTGCTTGCAGCAGCTGAGGACACCGACTGTGTTTAGCGAGTGTCCTGCTTTTCATGTACACATCTGGCTTAATAAGAAGTCACGATGCAGACGTGGCCTTGGCTCAGACCCTCTGTGCTGGACACAAATGACTTTGATTCAAACTCAAGTCCTTGGAGTGTCACAAAGGACTAACAACGCTGGCTGGGACAAAACCTACAGCTTCTCTAAATGCTGAGGGGCCCCTATGGAGAAATGGCCCAGTGTGTTTCTCATGGGTGTCTCCTCCACTTCCCCACAGAATGCAATGAACTCCTGATTCCCCAGGTCACCTACAGGATATATGTCCAATGGATGGGGATCTCCTGCCTTCCAGAGAATTTGAGGGGAAGAAATGACCTTTTCCTGAGACAGGACCATCTCAATTTAAAAAAAAAAAAAAAAGGAAAAGAAAAACAATGAGCTCAGGAAGGGACAAAACCAAGCTCTTGGACCTTGCATTTTTAGGATATGTGATCCTTTACCCAAAAATAATGATAGCTAACAGACATGCGGCATTTATCATATTCCAGGCACTATCCTGATACTTTGCACACCAAATAGAATGCAATCCTCACAGCAGCCCAATGATGTACTGTTATTATCTCCAGCTTACAAACGAGAGAACTGAGGTGCAGAGAGGTGACGTGACTTAACTCATCCCAGGCTTTCCAGGAGGAGGTCTGATTCCAGATCCTCTGTCATGAGACATTGCAAAGCCCATCCTCACAGCCCTAACTGTGGAATAACCTTTCCAAATTTGCCTTTGTCTGCTGTTGTGCTTGCCTAGCCCTTGCCACTCACCCTTTCTCCCTGCAGCCCCCGACAAAAAGCAACCCCCACCTGCCACATGCCTAAAGCTTCTGTCAAGATTTTCACAGCAAGTCGCTGGGCAGAGTTTTCCTCTCTCCTCCTCTCTTTCTCCTTTTCCTCTCTCTCATTCTTCTCGGTTGCCTCTCCTTTGTGTTTCTCAATGTCTTCTATTTCCTATCTCTGATTCTGTCATGTGTTTCCTATTTGGTCTGACTGCCTCTGTGTCTGCTTCACGCGCGCGTGTGTGTGTGTACGTGTGTGTGTGCGTGTGTGTGTGTGTATCACAAGGCAAATGGAAGCAATATACCTTCTGACAGCCCCCCTACACACATACACACATACACACTCACACACACCATTCAGCCAGAGAGATATTTGCTGCCAGCATCAGCAAACAGCACTAAAAAAAGAATAAGGTCACCTTTGAAAGACCCGGAGAGAATGTGAGTGCAGTCAGATTAGGAAAGCGCTTGTCTATTCTGGGATATCAGGAAGCACTGCTTACCCAGCCCCACCCAACCTACTGCCAGCCGCCCCTGCTGCTGATCTCTCTGTCCTATAATTCCCCAGATGGATCCCTGCAGAGACCCCTCCAGTCCGGGATCCCCACTCTCGTGGTAGGCTCCCTCAGACGCAGCCCCACCATGGTCCTTCGGCCTCAGCAGTTCCAATTCTACCAGCCACAGGGGATCCCCTCCTCCCCCTCAGCCGTGGTGGTGGAGATGGGGTCCAAGCCTGCCCTCACGGGGGAGCCCGCCCTCACGTGCATCAGCAGGGGCAGTGAGGCCTGGATCCACTCCGCGGCCAGCTCCCTCATTATGGAAGACAAAGAAATCCCCATCAAGAGTGAGCCTCTGCCAAAACCGCCCGCATCTGCCCCACCATCCATCCTGGTGAAACCAGAAAACTCAAGAAATGGCATCGAAAAGGTAGGATCAGAGTGACATTGGGGGCCCAACTCTTTCGATCCCGTACTATGCATAGTGTCTCAGCTCAGAGATTTTAGTGTTGGTGAACAAGGAACCAAAATTGCAGCCTCGAAAGAATCCTCACACATAACACTCCTCCTCCCCAACTCCCCACTGAGCCATGGCCAACATCCCCAACATCACCCACGCCCTCCCTACATGTGTTACTGATTCGCCTTTATGTTTCCTGAATATTTTATACATCTTTTGAGGCCCAAAAGTGGCTTGAAAAAAAAGCATGACTTTGGCATTAGATGAATCTTGCTTTGAATTCTAGCTTTGCTGCTTGCTAGCTGGGTGACTTTGGTCAAAATACTTCACCCTTCTGAGTCACTTAGTTTGCATAATCTGTAAAATGGAGGTAGAAAGAGTAATGGCCACACAGTAATGGAGTGGAGATTAAACGAGATATGTGAAGTGCTTACATAGGGTTTGACACATAATTATGCATTGTATAAAAGGGGCAACTGAGGCACAGGATAATGTAAGTGACATCGAGGTCACACTGAATGATAATGACTCCAACTACCTTATTGTGACCTCTGTGGCAGACGTCAGATCTGTTAACTTCTAGTCCAGGATATTTCCCACTAGAAGACGTGAGAGTTTTTGTAAAAGGCTTATGTTCTCAATAATATCCTTGAAGCAGGAGGAATAGTGGGAAGAGAGGACAGTAAGAAAGTTAGGTGATGCTTATTGCTGTCTTAATTTATGAACATCACCATCATCACATCATCGCCATCACCACCTCCATCACCACCGCCATCAGCATCATTCCACCATCATCGTCCATTCCCCTCAGAACGGAAAGAGGATGCGATTCCCCCATTGGTTAACCAGTTATCGAATACTAACAAGCTGGCAGGCACTGTGCTGAGTACTTCATGTGTCCCATATATTTAATCCTGACAACAACCCTCTCAAATAGGCATTAGTTTCATCCTCATTTTAAAATTAGGAAATGGCAGCTCAGGGAGTTAAAGAACATTACCCAAGACCGCACAGTTGACACATACGTGTGGAGTAGAATCCAGATCTGATGCAAAACTCATGCTCTTACTGCTAAGCTATCAGCTCATAGGGAAAGGTATTGGAAAAAGCACTGACATATATAAAGGTTGGGAGTTCTTATTCTGAATTATAGAAATAATTCAGAGTTTTCTAGGCCCCAGTTGCCCATTACTCCAAGCTTTTAGATACAACTATAAGCATTTCATAAATGCCCAGACCTTGGCTAGATATTAGGAGGATCAGAACGTATGAAGAAACTCAGATCTTAGTGGGGGATACTAGGGTTGCATTACATGGAAGAAAGACATCATTCCTGAGCAGTACCACAGAACGCTTTATTAGGCCCTGAGATAGAGACTGGCTAAAGCAAATACTGTACCTATGGGTGCCTAGCAGATATATAACAGGCTAGGAGATGTGAAAGGAAAGAGGAAGAGGGGGAATTGGCATAAACTGGAGACCTTGCATCTCATATAAAGGGGGCACTGCTTCTCAGGTCCAGCCAGCTGTTGTCAGAATGAGCCATAGGCCCAGTGCGTCAGAGCTTTGATTTTTTTTTTAAGAGACATATGAAATTCTGATTTTTATATGCAATCTCCCAATTTTTATGTGTTGGCGAGTCGATCAAACCCTCAAACATTCTGCAGGCTAAATTCAGCCAGCAGGTGTCCAGTTTGCAAACTGTGCTCTAAGGATTTATAAGGCCATTATGGAAATCTCTAAATGGAGTCATCAGGAGAGTGGCCTCAAAGAAAAGGAAAAACTTGAGATTGGCCTTAATAGTACGTAGAGAGGAGAGAGGCAAGGTAAATTTCTTTAATCTTCCAGAAGGGATCATACCCTCTTGCCTCAGGCTGTTTTTATAGGCGGCGGCCTACCCTATTTCTCCCAGATAAGTCCTAATCCTTTTGTGGTTCTCAATTTAAAGCTTCTGGGAAGACTTCCCTGGCTTCTCCACTTCCAGCTGAAGTTAGATGCTCCTCTGCATTCTCAGCATCTTGTACTTCCCCCATCTTAGCACTTGACACTCATGGTAGCCACAGATATTTGCAGAATGAACACATAAATGAGACATTTCAAGTGGGGACAAGCATGGGGAAATAGACATCTCCCACCTCACCTGTGTCCATTTCCTCTCCTTTCTCTTGCAGCAAGTCAAAACCGTGAGATTTCAGAATTACAGCCCTCCTCCCACCAAACATTACACCTCCCATCCCACCTCCGGAAAGCCTGAACAGCCAGCCACCCTCAAGGCGTCCCAGCCTGAAGCAGCGTCCTTGGGCCCAGAGATGACCGTCCTATTTGCCCACCGAAGTGGCTGCCACTCCGGACAGCAGACAGACCTCCGGAGAAAGTCAGCTCTTGGCAAGGCCACAACCCTGGTGTCCACTGCCTCAGGCACGCAGACCGTGTTTCCCAGCAAATGAACCTACGGGTGGCTTTTCCTAGACCCCAAAGAGGTGAATTGCATTTAAATACAGTCTGCCTCCACTGAGGGCATCCTGCCATTCTTTGGGGACTTGAGCATGGGTCCTTGTTCTTCCTATTTCACCTCCAGGAAAGCAAAAGTGGGAGCAGAAATTCCTGCCCTGGGTGGGAGGATAGATGGCGTGGCCTTCCAAACATACAAACATAATGATTTGATGCCACAAAGCTCGCTTACTCAGACCAAGGAGTGAAAAATTGTCGTGCCCACTTTATGCCCCAGCATGGAGTATGTGGCCTCTTGTCATCCCCGTGTTACTGTGTAGAATTTCTATGGTGTCCTAAAGGGGGCTGCAGCAGGGGTGTGACAACGGTGGGATTGTTGGCGTTGCTTCTTTGACCTTACAATATCCTCAACAAGCATTAGAACAACTTCTGCCATCTTCTGGGGCCTGTACACTGGCCACTAGTAGCTGCCATATCTTTTTCCCTCTGTAAAGTCATAATCCTGGCTGCAAAGGGAGGATTTCTGCGCGGGGTGTGAGGTGGATACTTTGAACATTCTGAGAACCCAATAAAACTAGAAGGAGCCAGCTTCCTGAGTATGCTCCACTTAAGAAGGTCAGAGAGATCACTGAGTACCAAATATCAAAGGATTATCATACTTTAAGCTTCTCGATCCATTTTCCCACATATAATCCTATGCAATAGATAAGCAGAAAGCATGTGGCTGTGGATAGGGCCATGTATGGCATTATGGACAATTAATTCATCCTGGCTCTACAGTCTGACTTCAAGAAAACACAGCGTGCTTACAAACAATCTTATATGGGGTTAGGGTTTAGATATATAGTCTGACTTCAAGAAAGCACAACGTGGGCCAGGTGCAGTGGCTCATGCCTATAATCCTGGCACTTTGGTAGGCCGAGGTGGGCAGACCACTTGAGGTCAGGAGTTTGAGACCAGCCTGGCCAACATGATCAAACCCCATCTCTACTAAAAATACAAAAATTAGCCAGGCATGATGGCGCACACCTGTAATCCCAGCTACTCTTGAGGCCGAGGCATGAAAATAGCTTGAACCCGGGAGGCGGAGATTACAGTGAACCAAGATTGCACCACTGCACTCCAGCCTGGGTGACAGAGTGAGATTCTGTCTAAAAAAAGAAAAAAGAAAAAAAGAAAGCACAACATGCTAAAAAACAACTTTATATGGGGTTGGGGTTAGGATCTATATTTGGATATATATTGTTTGCATTGCAATATTCCTGACTTTCCCTGCTTTCTTCTCACTTGGGGCAGATGAGCTATTTCACTCACAAGGCAACAACACCAGTGCGAACATGGCAGCCCGAGGCTGGGGTGGGAGTGCTTCCTAGGGGAAAGCTGCTATAAAAAGGGTAGGACAAAGAAGGCTGGAGGAGAAAACAGGGGAGAGGAGAAGGAGAAAGAGGAGGGGTTAAAGAAAATGTGGAGGAAAGAAAGTAGGCATAAGAGTAAGAGTGAAAGAGGATTGAGGGAAAGCACAGGAAGAGGCTAAAGGAGACAAGGGGTGGGGCAACCTTACATTCCCTGACAGGGTGAGGAAAGAAGGACAGAGCCTGCGATGAAGAATGGGGCAAAATTAGATGACCCCACTAAGATGGAACTGACGTGAGCAGGACCAGCCAGGGAGAGCCTTGTAATCAGGGTAGAGGAGGCATCCCAGGAAGCCAAGGCAATGCTGTGAGACAACCCATTAATTCTCATTAAACTTAATTGTTGTGATTTAACATTTATTGCATGCCCATCAATGTGGGCACTTTAACGCAGAAATAACATTTGCTACTAAGGCTGGGTGCCATAGAAAGAAAGAAAAAGAAAGGAAGGAGGGAAGGAAGGAAGGGGGAGAGAGAGAGAGAGAGAGAGAGAGAGAGGGAGAGAGAGAGAGGAGAGAGAGAGAGAAAGAAAGAGAGAGAGAGAAAGAGAAAGAAAGAAAGAAAGAAAGAAAGAAAGAAAGAAAGAAAGAAAGAAAGAAAGAAAGAAAGAAAGGAAGGAAGGAAGGAAGGAAGGAAGGAAGGAAGGAAGGAAGGAAGGAAAGGAAGGAAGGAAGGAAGGAAGGAAGGAAGGAAAGAAAGAAAGAAAGAAAGAAAGAAAGAAAGAAAGAAAGAAAGAAAGAAAGAAAGAGAAAGAAAAAGAAAAAGATGCAGGGAGGGAGGGAGGAAGGGGCATGTCTAATTAGACCTTTCCCCTAGATAGTTCTTGAAAGTCCTGGGATTCAAAACATGTATCTTTTACACACCCACTCACACACTCGGCAAACAGAATTGTCCACAGACTTTTTCCAGACCTTAATAAAACAAAACAAAACCATACTCCTCCCATAAAATACTGCCATTGTGTCAGACCTTTGGGGCTGGTAGAGCCAACATGACAGCACGTTGTTCTAGCTATCTCAATCACGTTTGGGTCCACATCTCACAAACTTTGGGTCAATATCTGATGTTTGTGGACCCAAACAAACATGAGATATTGACCCATTAGGTCCACAAAATCAACATGCCCAAATCCATGCCTCATTGAACTAAATATAATAATCCAGATGGAGAAATGAGATAAAGTCCCAAGGACAGGGAGGCATTGTGTGATTTGTCAAAATATAAGTACCTATACCTCATCTTTACCCAAAAAGCACTCTCAATGAGTTTAGCAATGTTTAGCAGTCTACTCTACACTCAGAGTGGCACAGATATGGCATGACTGGCCGACCAAATATTTAGTCTATCCCTCAGTGGCAATGTATCCAGTTAATTTTTAAGTTTTGTGGCTGACAAGCAGGGTGCTTAGATGGAATGGAGATGTCCATGCCTTCCAAATGAAATGAAATATTCTTCTCCCACCATCTATTTATTATCTCTTTGGGATAACCTCTCTGAGAGATGCAAACAACTCCAAGACTTGCCACCTCCACTCCCTCCAGTCTCTTCACCCATGTGCAGCATCAAACTCACCCTCTCCCAAAGAAAATCCCATCTTTGTGGAGTTTTAAGAGGGTTTGAAAGGGACAAAGGATGTTTTTTCCAAGTAAAAGTTGGCTTCACTGGCAGCTTTAACTCATTCATTCCACCAACATGCTTTGTAAATTTATTGTTTTATTTTTTGTAGAGATGAAGTCTCACTGTGTTGCCCAGGCTAGCCTCAAACTCCTCGGCTTGGCCTCCTCATGCCTTGGCATCCCAAGTGCTGGGATTACAGGCGTGAGCCACCACACCCAGCCCCAACATGTTTTTAATATTTACTGTGTGCTAGACACAGCAAGGAAGATGATAAACACATCCCCTCATGTAATTTCCACCATATCCCTATAAGGCAGGTAGATTGTCCCCATTTCAGAGCCAAGGAAACTGAAGCTTGAAAGTTAACCACAGATGATGGCAGAGCAAGGACACAGTCTCAAACTGTCTGACTTCAGAGCCCAACTTGGGACTTGCTCCATGAACCAAAAACCCATCCTTGACTTCAGGATGCTGACTCTGGACTGCCAGGAGGCAGCAGAGTGCATTTTTGGCTGCAAATGCGAAAGAGCCTAGAACGCTCGGCTGCGCACAAATACAGTTCAGGTCTTCATTTACCACTTTCTGGCCATGGGATGTCAGGCCAGTTACTTAATCTCTCAGAGCCTCGTTTTCTTACATAGGAATAATACAGTGTAGTGCCAACCTCAATGGGCTATTATGAGGATTATCTGAGATAATGATACAAAGTGACTTAAACAGTGCTGGCATCATGAACACCTAATAAATTTTAGACTGGGATGTTTTTAAGCAAGCAGGCTGTTGAAATTTCCAGTGAAGAAATTCTAACAGAAGGGCCTGCCCAGGACTGTGGTGCTAAAAGGAGACTGACACAGACTAGTCTTGGAAGTAGAACACAGTCTAAGCTGAGTCCTGAAGGAAAAGAGAGAGTCAGATACACAAAGTGGTGGGAAAAAGGGTATTTCAAGCAGGAAAAGATCTTCAGCATTTGGGTTTAAATGTAGCAATGGACCCAAATTCACTTAATACTTAGAGGAATTTATTCCTTTGTGGAACATTCCAGAGATCCCAGGTAGAACCCCAGCCCCTCAAGTCTGAAGGTGAAAATTCCATCCTGTGAGAGCATCACCCCTCAACTAAGGTTCAGACAGTACCTAGGAAGAGTGCCCCTTTGCCCCGTGGTCAGACTCTGGCATCTTGGTGCTATGAAAAGTGCTAAGAGTAGGATTTGATTGGGGGAAAATGGGAGACATCTGAGTGGGGAAGGCGGGTCATGCCCAGCTGGGGACATACTCTGAGGACCATACCTGAGGAAATGGTCCCATTGAGCAGCATCAAGATCCTTACTTAGGACTTGTCTCCTTCCCTGTGTGTGTGGAACCCGCCTCACCTCCTCCACCCTTCACCCATCCCACAGACAGGGCTTTCAGAGCAGGAAGAGTTTAAAGCAGCGCCCCTACCTGTGTCTTGATGAGATGCAGAACTGACTCAAAACATGGCTCAGTGACCTCCAGTGTGTCTTGAAAAGTCAGGGGGTCCGTCCACACCAGGCCTGCCTTCCCCGGCAGCAGCAACCCAGGCGGCTGGATCAGGGTCAAGGCGGCTTCAAATAAATGAACATTCATTCTTCAACATACTGCGCCACAGCAGCCTGCTTCACTCACCCACGTGACCTGCCCCTGAATTAGGCACATTCCCTCCAGAGACTGTGCAGGACCGCATCTCTCAAGTCCTCATAACCCCCTAGAAAGTCGCAGCCGAATACTTAGGGATCAGCTGATCCAGGACACTCAGGACTTAGGAGTGTAGTAAGCCTGGCCTGGGCCCTAGAGAGTCTCACTCAGTAGTTTGAAGGCGGGTTCTGGGTGTCTGTTTTTAACAATATCCCCAAGTGATTCTGATTCACATAAAGTGTGAGGCTCCAATCCACCTTTCTCATACGGCATGGCAGAGCCAACATTCAGCCCTGACATCCAGCAGGAGTGTGGCAACACTGGTTGGTAGAATGTTGAAAGAGGTTTGTACTGATAGGTGAACAGTGGATGCTCTGAGCTCCCCAAGGCCTGCCCACACCCACACCCCGGTCCTTCCCTCAGGTCCTCCCCATCGCTCTACCATCCAGCACCTAAAAGCTCAGGCCAGGTGCAGCTAAGACCTCCAGCAATAAAGCCCTTCTCCATTCCAATTGGCCGGTGCCTATGCCATCCTGGTTGCTAAATATCTTAACTGTGACCCTGGAGTACAGTGTAGGACCCAGAGAGGTCACTCAAAAGCTAAGAGCTCTGCTAACAAGCCCAGCACTCATCCCAGCCCGCTCCTGACCACTGTCCAGCCTTTGACAATCACCTTCACCTGGTCCTTGGCCTAGGAAAGGCGCTGAGTGGGAGGGAGGGCAGCTCCATGCTGGCTGGTCTGCCTTTCTCAGCTAACATCTTCAAAGGCCTCAGCAATGCCTGTGAGCTTCCCAGCTCCTCTGCCATTGGTTTGGCAGGTACGGAAGTTATCTGTTTCCATGAGAGGAGCAAGCATCCATCCTCATCTTCTCACCCACGTCTGACCACACAGGCAGCCACATAGCTTCTGGACTCCCTTCCTGAGAAGTGAACAGCTGTGGCAGGCAGAACGGCAAAGTCCTATCAAGTCTCTCCAGCTGGGACCAAGTGCTTAGCGAGCTGGCACGGGGCAGTGCCGGGCCAGCAGCTGCCGCCACTGATGCTTCTCTTGTTTATATCTTGAGAGAAAAGATTCTCTCTTTAGCTAAGAGAAGATAGTACTAGCACTTCCAGAAACCTCTCATCTGACCATGAAAGACAGTCACTTAGGGAATGTGTTTGGCAGGCAGGACCAAACCAGAGACGTTAACTCCAAATATCCTCGTAGCAAATTGGTGTCATGGAGAATAAATCATACAAGGACATTTTACTTGAAATAGAGCAATGTTAAATGATCGAGCAGACTGTTTTCCAGGCCTAGATTATGTCCTAGACCAAAGCAGAAACAGTGTTCCCAGGTGGCCCTATGCCCACTGATCTACACTTTGACAAATAGAAGGCAGCGAGGTGGGATCTTTTCTGGATTTGGGGCCTCCTTTCTGCTTTTCTCCCCTTTTTATTATTAAATGCTTCACACATATGAAATATATGTCTGTACACATATGTAATTATACAGGATCATAAAAATAATCATATACCTGCCACTCAGCTTTTTTAAAAATAGTAATTGTCAATACCACTGAAGTCCACTGTGTGCCTCTCCCAGTCCCATTTCTTTCTTCCCCTCCCCACAACCTCCCTCACAACCACTATCCTGCATCCCACACTTATCCTTCCCGTGTAATTCTCCCACACATATACCATATGGAATTTTTAGTGCAACCCATAGAGATATTTGGTAAACACTACTCAAAGCAGATATTGCAACCTAAGGCCGTAGATATTCTGCCTGAAGATTTGAGCTCCCATCTGGCTTCTGTGCCTGAGATTCTAAGGCTTTGATTCATTGCTGGGAACTGATTTTGATGCGCCAACATGTCTGGTTTTGAGAATTTCTGGTTTGGAGGAATTTTGTCAAGAATTTTTCCAACTACATCTGTTTTGGGAGACCTTGTTGCTTCTGAATGGGGAAATACAGGTTGTGGCCATGCCCAAATTGCTTGAGGGCTTTTAAGTGATTTGGGGGCTTTTAAAGTAACTCTCTGGGCCTTGCCTGGGACCTCAAGGTAGCCAACCATAGAAACCAAAAGCAGCTTCTCAGAATCTGAAACTGAAATGAGATCTTGCTGCTGCTGCTGCTGCTGCTATCAATCTTTTAATAAATTATCATAAGAACCTTGTGAGGTATGCAGGGAAATGCTTGTTTATTTTTTGTTTGTTTTTTTGAGACAAGGTCACACTCCTGTCACCCAGTCTGGAGTGCAGTGGCACAATCTCGGCTCACTGCACCCTCAACAGCCCCGGCTCAAGTGATTCTCCCACCTCACCCCCACAAGTAGCTGGGACTACAGGCGTGTGCCACCACACCCAGCTAATTTTTGTATTTTTTGTAGAGGTAGGGTTTTGCTATGTTACCCAGACTGGTCTCGAACTCCTGGGCTCTACCGATCTGCCTGCCTCACCCTCCCAAAGTGCTGAGATTACAGGTGTGAGCCACCATGCCTGGCCTGAAAAATGCTATTTTTGCCTCCAGACTACAGATCAGAAAACTGAGACTCAGAATGTTTCAATTCCTTGTTTAAGATCACAAAACTAGTTTGAGGTATAATGGAAACTGAAAAAAAAAAAAAAGCATCTCTGACTCCTCATCCAGCAATAATTGCCATCATGTATCAAGCACCTACTACATGCCAAGCACTTTACATGCTACATACATTGTGTCATTTAATTCTACCCAACCCTATGACAGAAGTACTGCTATTTTCCCATTTTGAAGATTAGAATTGAGACTCAGAGGTCAAATGACCTGTCCAAGGCAATAAGGACTAGAACCCAGGACTCTAAGCCAAAACCTTAATCCCTCTTCTCAATGGCAACTATCAACGTGGTTGAGATTGGAGAGCATGGACAAATGAGATGTGCCGCTGAGTTTGCTAGGATGGGGCTGGAGATGGAGGAGGGTTTGTCTCACAGGGTCAAGCCCTCCCAGAAAAAAACCATGAGGTTAGGTCTTGCTGTCCAACAAGTAGGGGTGAGAAGTAAGATAACTGAGAGTTTTATGCACAGAGAAATCCAAAAAGCAAATCTACCCCTGCTCCAAAAGTTGCCAGACACAGCCAAGCCACTTGAAAAAGAACTGAAGCTTACAATGTGGTTCTGGATCATTGACATCAAAACACAATGATCATTTTGCATTCCCCAGGTCACTCTCTCTTCATGAGATTATTTCTGGTTTTGCCTGTCCTCACTCTAAATGATACAGAGCAGAGTCCCACAAGAAGAGGGATATGATCTCCAAAATGACCCCCACTTCCATCTCCTCTGCAGGAACAAAAGGGCTCAGAGAGCTGACATCTTCTTCCAGTGTTCCTTGCTGGTGTTTATCCGAAGTTCAAATGCAATTTCTTTTGGGGGGTAGATACACACCCACAGATGCAAACTAATTAGGCAAATGGGGTCACTGCTGGATGGACAAGAGCTGCAGCCTGATAAGGACTAAAAGGATGCCAGCCAAGGCCTAGGGAGAAAGGCAAAAGACATCTGCAGAGGCTGTTTTGTGCACTATGTGCATTTTGTGTTAATGCTCTTGGAATCAGTGCTAGCATGACCGACCGACTTAATGAGAGCCATTTTTGATGTCAGGGTTTGACTGCTATAGGTCACACATGTCCTGGAGGCTAGCACCATCCTAATGACCTTCCCATGAGAATCACAACTCCCTGACCATCCAAGAGGATTGTGAAGGCTATTTGCATTCAGGAGACCCTCACAAATAAGTAGAAAGGAAGCTTGAATCAAAATGTACAGAGGCAGCTAAAACAGGCCTGGAGGTCCAAAAAGGAATTCAAATAAATAGTGCCTTCAAAAGGTTGTACCCAGATTCCTGCAAGCCCCACCACCACCTTCTCTCCAATTCCATAAGAGATGTCTTATGTCTCTGTCAAGGAGAGGGTAGAGGACTGCATTGCACGAAGAGGACATGTCAGTCACAGCTTAGATAGCGCTAGCCTCCACGACAAGGAACAACAGTCAAACAGTCAGAAGGGGTGATACTGTTTTGAAGGGAAGGCTAATTTTAGATATCAGAACTACATTTCTAAATATTCTGTTCTGCACATTCTATTTATAAGCTGAATTCTTTTTTAAGCGTAAGTTGTTTTTAGATGTTGGCAAGTTTTGGAGCTTAGGACTTCTTTGTTATGGGGGCCTCCAACAGAGAACTAAAAGCATCAGTCAAGGACCAGCTATGTTCCCAGTCCACTAGAATGTCACAAGATCTGGAGAAGTAATTAATATAATAGCTGGGATGATGAGATTTGGAACTGGATCACCTGGATCTTTGTCACAGCTTTGTTACTAGCTATGTTTCCTTTGGCAAATAACTAAAGAAACTTGGAAAAGTGACACAACCCTAGACCTCGTTTTCTCATTTGTAAAATGAGGATCAGACTATGCACCTCCTAGTAGAGTTCTCAGCAGGATTTAGCAAGTTCAGGCATGTCCAGCTCTGAGTATGGTATTGGGTACATAGAATTGTTCAATAAGTGGTAGCTATTACCATTTATTGGATGTAGAGGCACAATTCAAAACAGAGTACAATAGCAAGCTAGGCTCTATCAGACAGAAGTGAGAGGAGAGAACAGTGAGAGTGTTTTAGTTGTTAAGAGAGCTTCGTGAAGAAGAAAGATTTTGAAAAATGAGCAGCACAGAGAAATGTGACATGAAAAGGGAAGTGCCTGGACTCTGGAGTCATATATCCCTGGGTTCAAATCCTGACCCCACTTGTCAGCTATCTGACCTTGAACCAAGTTAACAAACCTCTCTGAGCCTTTCTTTACTCATCAGAAAAGTGGGAACAATAATCAGCACTTCACACTGTGATTGGGAAAATCAAGTGACACGAGGCCAGATGTTGGTATGCAGAAAGGGACCCAGAAGTGGTAGCTGTTGGAGAAGTTTGCAGGATGACATGGGCTTGAAAGCAGGATGAGCAAGAAGAATGCTAAATATAAAAATAGAATCTCAGGCTGGGCATGGTGGCTCACGCCTGTAATTCCAGCACTTTGGGAGGCTGAGGCAGGCGGATCACAAGGTCAGGAGTTTGAGACCAGCCTGGCCAATATGGTGAAACCCCGTCTCTATTAAAAATACAAAAATTAGCCAGACGTGGTGGCGGGCACCTGTAGTCCCAGCTACTTGGGAGGCTGAGGCAGGGGAATCACTTGAACCCGGGAGGCAGAGGTTGCAGTGAGCCAACATTGCACCATTGCACTCCAGCCTGGCAACAGAGTGAGACTCCATCTTAAAAAAAAAAGAACAGAATCTCTTACTAGCTGCCATTCATTAGTTGTTGACTAAATGCAGGTACCTAGTGAATCCCTTAGAGGGTTTGTAACTACAGGGTTGCTAAGAGCCCAGTAGAGTCAGATGACCTGGATCCAAATACAGGCCCCGTGTTTCCCTGCTGTGTCATCATGGGCAAGTCATTTAACTTTTCCAACCTGTAGTTCCCTCCCTTGTAAAATGCAGGTATTAATTGTGCTTTCCTCAAGTGGTTTGGTGGGGATTAAGTGAGACAATGTAAATAGTCATTAGCACAGTGCCTAGCACAAGAAAATACTTTAATGTTTGCTACCATTATCATTATTTACATTCATTTTCTCATTTAATCTTCACAAGCCCCCCATGAGTTGTATTATTGTCCCCTTGTCCAGGGCAACCGTTAGCAAAGATGGGGCCAGCTCTGAAGGACAAGAAATCTCAGCTTCTTTGTTCTCTGACCTTTCAGATAAGCTGGTCAACGGTGCCAGGGTTGGGGCAATATGACAATTATTTTAAAATGCATTTTATGCCATAATCCTCGTCAGTCTTTTCTCATCTGGTGGTCCCCACGGCCTCACCACCTCATCTGCTGAAGGTTTCAGATTTAGGGCTGTGTGTACCCCAGAATGCAGCCAGCAAGCACATTAGTGTTGCCCCTCTGGGCACTTGCAGCTTCCCAAGGTTGACACAGTTTATGAAATGTCCATTCTGATTTGCAAATAGGTCTGACACGGACATGCTTCCAGCTGGCTGGTGATTTCGATAACAACCTCTCCTCCTTGGTGCCAATTAACAGAAATTAAATGTCCCTGGCACACTTTGTAATTCAGAAAATGCTGATTAAACCCCCGCTGGGCGTCCATTATGACCTATGGGCTCCAGGCAAGTGCTGCTCCCACTCCATCTCCATTTAAAGTCGCAGAATGTTTTCTTCCTGGGCAAAAATCAATGTCACTTCATTCACTTACTCATTTTTTTTTCAACGGATATCAACTGAGCATCTACTATGGGCTATGTGCCAGGTGTTGTTCCGTACAGTTGGGATACAGCAGTGAACAACACAGATAAGGTTCCTACCTGCAGGAAGTGGAGTAAATGGCAAAGAAGCAGGAGAATTTCTACATGTCAGATGTTATGAAAGAAACAAAGTGATGGGACAGAGAATGGCTGAGGGGCATGAGCTATATTACGTAGGGTGGCCAGGGAAGGTTCTCCAAAGGGATGACATTCGAGTTGAGACCCGAAGACTAAGAGGGAACCAGACACGCAGCATAGTGGGAATAGCAGGAACAAGCTCAACCTGTCCCCTGTCCATGAAACTCTCCATGGGGTAGGTTTCATTAACACTCTTTTTTTTTTTTTTTTTTTTTGAGACAGAGTCTCGCTCTGTCGCCCAGGCTGGAGTACAGAGGCGCGATCTTGGCTCACTGCAAGCTCCGCCTCCCGGGTTCACGCCATTCTCCTGCCTCAGCCTCCCGAGTAGCTGGGACTACAGGCGCCCAACACCACGCCCGGCTAATTTTTTGTATTTTTAGTAGAGACGGGGTTTCACCGCCATTAACACTTTTTCATTTATCAAACATTTTTTATCATACAATAAGTATTTGTTGAATGAACAATTGGAGAATAAATGAATCCCCTTTTATCCTGACAAGAAGGCCTGTCATAGGAAGGATGAACATAGGGAAGATGCCACTGGAGTTATTACAAGCGGAGAGGCAAATTACCGCCCTTTTCTCCACCGCGTTCCCCATCTCTACAACGAGGGACTTGGCTTAGGCACCAGCATTCAGGACTGTGAGATCTTAAGAACTCACCTTTCAGAGGAACTGGCCCTGGCAGTGCTTTAAAGCAGTAACTAGGCAGCAAACAATAAGCAAACTGACATCTAAAAAAAAAACAAAACAAAACAAAACAAAAAAACCAGCCAAAATGGTTGTTTGGAATTGTATACATGAAACATAAAATATAATTTCCTTCGTTATCATTAGGGTATAGTTATTGAATTTCTGCACCCACTTACTCATTCAGAAAATACTTATTACTAGTTGTGAGTCTCTTCTCTTCCTCCCTTCAGCCCTCTGCCCTCTCTCTCTCTCTCTCTCTCTCTGTTTCTGTCTCCCCCTCACTCCCCCAACCTTTCTCTGGCACAGCATTTCAAAGCCCAGGCTATAGATTTGGAACACCTGAGTTGTACCTAAAGTGTGACTTGCTGTGTGACTTTAGGTAAGTCACTTCACCTATCTAAGTCTCAGTTTTCTCATCTATATAAAGGGAATAATAATAGAAGACATCTCACAACACCATACAAAATAAACACTAAGGTATTATTATCTTTGTTACTATCCATTATTATCCTTTGATAGACAGGAATGTAAAGTTTAAAGAACTCAACTTAGGAAACTGAGACAGGTTTTTAGGGCATAAGAAACTCCAGTAACAAATGTGACAGCCACTGTTTAATGACCTGTTTCTACCTGTAGGATTTTCTATTCTTTGAGATAATTATGAAGCAGGATCACAAGAAATATCCTTCAGGAGGTCTTTTAATCTATAATAATAATTTTGAGCCAACAATTATAGAGCACCTGCTATGTGTCAGACACTATTCTATGTGCTTTACTTATATCAAACATCGACTTATTTAAAATTCCCACAAACAGATAAAATAAATACTATTACTACCCCCATGTTAATCGTAGAAACTAAGGCCTAGAGAGATTAAAAAACGTCCATGGGGTCACAAGGCTAGGAACTGTGGGGTTTGGAAATAAACCCAGGCAATCTGGCTCCAGTCTGTGGCTGCTAACTGCTTTCCACCTCAGTTAAGGTTGAGTGAAAGTACAGACAGAGTGGTTCATGCCTATAATCCTAGCACTTTGGGAGGCCAAGGCGGGTGGATCAACTGAAGTCAGGAGTTTGAGACCAGCCTGGCCAACATGGCAAAACCCCATCTCTACTAAAAATACAAAAATTAGCTGGGCATGGTAGTGGGCACCTGTAATCCCAGCTACCCGGGAGGCGGAGGTTGCAGTGAACCAAGGTGGCACCACTGTACTCCAGCCTTGGGCACAATGGCGAAATTCCATGTAAAAAAAAAAAAAAAAAAAAAAAAAAAAAGGATGAAAAAGCTATCTCCAGACATCAGGGGGTTTTGGTGATGTTTTTGTTTTTGTTTTTTACTTCAAATAGACTTGGTTTCTGAGTGCTCAGTAAACAAAGAATTATTACCTGCCTAATCCCAAAACCCCTGGCCTGTAGACAGTGCTAATAAGGGCTGCTACTTCATACTGCACAATGCCTGCCTAGGAAAAGTCACACCTCCTACCATTGATGGGATTTTTTGGGTGCCTATTAAAATGTCAGTTGATCTTAGAGTGGAAGTTCTTTCTACATCATTTAGCACAACCTGGAAGGTCAGATTAATGTGGCAGCCAGCTTTCCCTTGGCAGTTACTTCCTTATTACT
Source organism: Homo sapiens (assembly GCF_000001405.40). Taxonomy (NCBI): domain Eukaryota; kingdom Metazoa; phylum Chordata; class Mammalia; order Primates; family Hominidae; genus Homo; species Homo sapiens. The sequence goes on from NC_000005.10 coordinate 146,076,156, forward strand.
TCCCTGCCCCTCACTTGTTCTCAGAAATGTTACATCACAATAAATGTCGTTAAAAAGAGCAAACAAACCACTGCTACTCGCTTGGGATGCAGATGCTGTAATCTGGGAGGGGCATTCTCACAGCTGCCGACACCAAGACTGATAATACAGATCAAAGCGGCCATCTCTGGGCCCATTGTGATATTAACAGGTTGAACCTTCTCCATAGGTGGACACCCAGCATCAGCACTGGCACCAACCTAGGCACAGGGAGGAGAGGCAGGATATGTCTAAGGCAGACCGCCTTCCTTTTGAGGGCTAAAATTGGTAAATAACAAAATGAACCCCCCGCCCATGTTCAGTGGTATGTAGTGAAGACAGCATAACTCCAAATCCTGTGTAATTTATTGACATGGTGAGACGCAGAATGCATCCTCGTTATCAAGGAATGCCTGCTTCTCCCGCTGAATGCAAAGCAGCCACCTGGAGCCTCTGACAGCTCTTACTTGCTGTTGTGCTGAATGGAGCACATTAGCTAATGAGGAAGTGCTGCATTGCATTTGCAGGCCCTGGGAGCTCAGAGCAGCTCAGTTTTGAGCCCAGATGTGGTTGTCTGCTTGAAAATTGGGGCTCCTCTGGTACATTCAGTCTCTGGAGCCAAAGATCTTAGTTCTGCCTTTGTAAGTTGGGAGTTTAGGTAAGACTCCCCAAATTGATGTGATAAGACTTCCACAAACCGCTTGTAAGATCTGACTGTTCCACACCACCCCCACAAAGAATGAGGCTGTGATCATTATTAAAGTTTCCCCAAAGAGAAAACTAGCCTGTTACATCAGCACAAGTCCCTGGACAGAAAAGAAATCAGGGTCTAGATGAAAGAAAATTGGACAGGAGATAGAAAATTATCGAACCAATTTCCCATCATCCTTTTAGCTTTCTCCTTTCCTCCTCCAGCATGGTTAGTTTGGACTTTATTTGTACTCAGAAGGGCCAAGAGCCATGCAACAAAGTCATAAAGATCGAACTTCTGTTATGTGCAATCAAACCACCTGCCCTCCCCTCACAAGGGGCTGCCAGAGAGGTTTGGCTGCACTTTCCTCTGGAGCATCCTCAGCCTAGAAAGAGAAAGGAGGCAAGAGATTGGCCAGGGAGGGGAGGATATTGATTACATGTGTGAGGATCATAGGAATGCAGGTTGAGTTTGGTCATCAAAATACAATATTTGAGACCTCAGAGAAATTCTGGGGGCTCATGGATTTTAACTTTTTATTTTTGAAATAATTTCAGACTTTTATAAATGTTTGCTAAAACAGTGCAAAGAGTTCCTGTAAACTCTCCCACTAGGTTCCCCAAAAGTTAACATTTTACCAGGTTCATTTTTATTTTTTCTGGACCATTTGAGTGTAAGTTGGAGACTAAATGCTCACTTATCCCTAAACATTTCAGTGTGTATTTTTTAAAAATAAGAATATGCACTTACATAACCATAATAAAATCATGTTGATATAGTACTATTAACTAGTCTACAGGTCTTATTCAATTGCCCTTCTATTTTTTAATTGTCCTGTTTTCCCTTATAGAAAAATTATTTCAAAAGTCTTTTCTAGGACCCCTTTCAAGACCACATCTTGCATATAGTTGTCATACCTCTTTAGTTTCCTTTAATGTGGAACAGTTCCTCAAGATTCATTTTCTTTCATGGTCTTGGAATTTTGAATATTATAAGCCATTTATTTTATGGAATGTCTCTCAATTTGTGTTTGTTGTTTCTTCATCATTAGATTCAGGGTTTAGAGTAGGAGTAGGGGGCTTGGCAGTAACGGATGATAACCGGTAGAATGAAATAGGAATCCCTGAGCCTATACTGACATAAATAAATAAATGTAGGAGAAGGAAAAGCTCTCCCTTATGGTCAAGTGCCAACCTCTGAGTGTAAAAGGAATTATGGAATTAAAAAAAATAATTTGGCAACCATTCAGTAGTAATTGGTTCAGGCAATAACCATGAATGAATATTAAAACTAGTGGATGAAAGCTTGAAAAGTCTCAGAATATCTCCTCACAAGATACTTATTAGTCACTGAAGGAAAAAGAAATCACAACTTTACAGTACCAAACACCTTAACCAAAACACCAAAGTTAGCATCACAAGCAATGAGGAAACAGATACTGTGTACCTCCTGATATGATGCACTCAGAAGACCACAGCATCTCTTCTGGGAGAAGATAAATTTCTGCCCAAAAGATGTTAAGAATTCTGAAGAACTATAGTTCTTCCCAGCTGCATTCGCACACAACAGACTCTGAAATCCTTTTTACCTTACAGAGCCTGCCTTGGTCATCTTCCCAGGAGGAATTCATGACAACTGGGATGCAGAAGAGAGCAAATGATCTGCTGGGATGGAAACTGCTCAATGGAGAGTTTGTGGACTGCATGATATTCCTTGAACATCAGGGATGGTACAGGGATACCAATAGTCTGGCCTCCAAGACAGGAGAGTAATAGGAGGAAGAGCAAATCTGTCTTCACCTGCAGTATTAATGGGTGGTGGGCCAGAATGGAGGAAAGCAAGTGAGTCATGTGCTGCTACAGGTTACACCAAACTCCCATCCCTCTGTTACTCACTGCTGTTGTCAAAGCCAAACTTTATCTTGCTAATTTCTCACAGCTTGGCACCTAACAAATGACAAGGCAGGACATCCAATGCCTTCGAGCTCTGTGGTCTGGCCTGTCTCTCCAGATCAGATTTAGAGTGAGGTAGCAGATGACATAATATTCTCTTTGGTGTTCAATCCGAAGAGGCCAATGCTTCAGCACAATGTCCCCTAGCCATCACCCCCAGCCCGACTCCCCACCAAGCATCCTGCATCCCTCTGCCACATCTTCATTCTTTTCCATTCTGTCTTTTCCCCGATACCTTCTGACCCCAGGGATTTCTAATAGAGCATAATGATCAAGAAAATAAAGACCTGGTACATAAAGAGTCTCAGAAAAAAAATCCATGATGTTATATGAAAGATACCAAACTGCAATGCTTACAAAGAGGCTATTTCAAGTAGAAAGATATAAATATCACTTATAACCATGCATCCTTTATGTTCATAAATAAGTCATCATAAAGAACAAGCCATTAGAAGACATTCTAATCCTTGTTTTTAAAAAAAAGACTATAATCTAAGATACAATTCTAAAATTACTGTGCTAACCTGCAAGAGACATTGCTCACATAAATGAAATTCATATATACCGTGATGTTATTTGAACCATATATTTTCATCTTCTCCTCCTCTCTTAAGACATCAATAAGAATTTGATTTTTAAAGGCACATGCTGCTCTGATTATCAAAGACAATAACACAAATGCAGCATCACTGGGATATGTCGGTTGTTTTAAAGTTCAGATCCTAATTTTACTGAGGAAGCATCCTCAGTTTTTCATCCAGCCCTGCTTGTAAACAGGATCCAGCATCAGCCAGACCATGAGCAGAGTAAGGATTGCATCTGGAGGTTACAGAAATGTTTTCTTCTATGTGAAGCTATCACATGCAGGGGTTAAACAGGCAGCCATCTTTTAATGCGATGAATAATTTGGACTTCTTAGCCACACCCTTGTCTCGGTTAACCACAGGAGGAGGTGACAATACACCACAAGAAGCCCCAGAGTTCTGGCTTTATCTGCCAAGTGGTAGGTGAGAAGGGAAGAGGTGGGATTGAGCACACTGGCTATTTATACCTTGTCTTCAAAGCCCTCTTAGTCACATTTCCATCTTCATGCATTGGCTTCTGCCTTACAATTGAGCAATAGGAAACCACCACTCCTAATTTTTGCACGTGCTGCTTTTTAAGTCTCTGGGAACTTTCCATGAGGTATAGTGGAGGGTTTCATAAGGATTTAGCTCTTCCTTCGAACCTGCTTGGCCGATAAACCAGATATTTTTTTAAAACACAGCATACAGATTCCAAATGATCAAGGATCAAAAAGTGTTGGGGATGTCAGGAAGGATGCAAGGATGGGCTTGAATGATCACAATGAGTCAACCCAGAAATGTGCAGTAGAATAGTTTGCTAATGGTGACATCTGAGTTGCATCTCCCGGAAATATTGTTTCTTATTATTACACTTTGGGTCGGGGGAAGGGGTGTTAAGGGTAAAAAGAGGAAGGAGCAAATAGATAAAGAGAAAAATTCATGCCTCCAGGAAACATAAGCAGAAAAACTATAGACTTGTGTCTCTGCTTATTTTTTTAAGTACAGTGTTTTTAATAGACCAAAGAGAATCTCTATGAGTTAATATGTATGTGAATAATGTTTATAAAAGGGGTATAATGTGTTAGTCATTATGGAATATTGTATAAATAAACCTTCCATATATAAAACATATAAAAAATGATTGCTTAGGGCAGTGGACACTTAAGGACTTCCAAACCTTTCATATCTTCATCCCAAAAAATAGAGCGTTCCAGGGCTGGCAACTTATTTCCTTAGTATATTCCACTGTAAAGCCAAGAGGTGTGGGGGCTTGTTTTCTGGTTTTGTAATTTGTAATAATCCGTATGGATTACTGTAAAATGTCTGTTGCATGTGTGTTGGTGTTGGTGTTGGTGTTGTTTACCCACATGGAGTCATCAGAGATTTGTTCCACACTTTGTATCCTGGAAAACCAAAAGGAATTTTCTTTTCTTCGAGACAGAGTCTCGCTCTGTCGCCCAGGCTGGAGTGCAGTGGTGCCATCTTGGCTCACTGCAACCTCCGCCTCCCGAATTCAAGTGATTCTCCTGCCTCAGCCTCCCGAGTAGCTGGGACTACAGGTGCGTGCCACCTTGCCCTGCTAATTTTTTGTATTTTTAGTAGAGACGGGGTCTCACCGTGTTAGCCAGGATTGTCTCGATCTCCTGACCTTGTGATCTGCCCGCCTCGGCCTCCCAAAGTGCTGGGATTACAGACGTGAGCCACCATGCCCGGCCTGGAATTTTCTAGTAAGAAGAAAAACATACAGAATATGTCTTCACTGTTGGGTAACTCTCAAATTTGTAGCAATCCAGATTTTTTGTAAAACTGTGCTAATGGGATATTTAATGTCAGAGTTATTGTCTCTCACTTCAATATCTAGTACTGGATAATGTTTCTCCTGGGAGCACGTATTTTTTTTTCAAGTCCTCTTTTCCTGGACTTAACATGTTCTTCTAGAAGACACCAGAAGTCATGACCCTAAGCCCCCTCCCTTCAGGACCACTTTCTACCATCGGTTTTCAAAAAACTATCCACATGTTAATTCTGTTTTATGTTCTGTGATTCTGTGGTAGACTCAGTGCTTTCAGAGTCCAGAGCTTGACTTGGGTTAGTGGCCTTAATGAAGTGCTAAATTTGCTCTTTACCGCGAGACTGATCAGAAGAAGCAAAAGGGGAAAGGGGGCTAGAGGTCCACTCGCACCTTTTACATCAGACAAGAGGAGGACTGTGCCAGAAATCTGTGCATGAAACACCATCTGCTCTTCATGCAGGGAGGGGTCAACCGTGTGAACGTGCAGAGATTACTCGAGCCTTCTTTGCCAAAAATATGCATTCTTCCCAGCTGTAAGCGTGTGAAGCCAAATATGTCTTTTAGCATGAAACAATAAAAACATGTTTATTTTCACTTAATAGGTTATTCCCCAGGCCTGGATTTTTTTTTTTTCAGTAGTTGATTTGGAGAGGGCAACACTTCATCATAAATTGTCAACAGTGAGCATTTGATTTCTCCCAAAGGGGTTTAACTCCTGGCAGCTGCTCTGGACATCCAAAAGGGAGGGTTGGGAGGAGAGGAAATCACTTTGACGGATGGGAATTGCTAAGTTTCAGTGGAGGTAGGTGGAGAAACAGGCAAGAAACACTTCCTTTTAATGCTCAGCAGGCTGAATTCACCTCTGTGGAGCAAACTCTGGTTTGTACAACCATGAGGGCCCACAAAGGCCTCTTGGCTGGAAGTCTTCTCTGCCTGATGAGTGCAAAGGTTAGGTGCACAGCCTCAAGTGCCTGATTTCCTGTGTTGCCAGCTGTTTAGCCTTGGGTAAGTTACCTAACCTCTCTGTGGCTCAGATCCCTTTTCTAGAAAATGGAGATATAATAGCACCTTTCTAAGGGATGTTAAGGATAAATTTCTTAAAACATGTAGAGTGCTTTGAAGAGTGCCTGGCACATATAAGTGCTTCATAAAATTAGTATTTTACCACCTTCACAATGTTTGCCATATCCATCTATTGCCTGTGTTATTATTTACTTAAAATTCTTATTTTAATTGACTCAGTTTTCTTTTTTGAGGTGGGGGCAACTTCATCTCTAGTATCAACTTTCATCTAGAATTTAATTTAAAGGAAAACTTTATGTTCCAATAGTAAATTAGTAAAATTTGGCCAGGTACAGTGGCTCACACCTGTAATCCCAGCACTTTTGGAGGCCAAGGCAGGTGGATCGCTTGAGCCCAGGAGTTCGAGACCAGCCTAGGCAACATGGCAAAACCCTGTCTCTACTAAAAACACAAAACTTAGCCAGGTGTGGGGGCACACGCCTATAATCCCAGCTACTCTGAGGCACAAGAATTACTTGAACCCAGGAAATGGAGGTTGCAGTAAGCCAAGGTCATGCCACTGCACTACAGCCTGGGCAACAGAGCAAGATTCAGTCTCAAAAAAAAGGAAAATTAGTATCATTTTCCACAAATATAAAGTAGCCATAAAACAGTAATCACACTTATTGAGTCCATCCTACCTGCCAGGCAGTGTGCTAAATGTCTTGATGTACAATTCTCATGCCCTGCAAAGTCAGTACTATCACCATCTCACTTTCCGGATAAGGAAACTGAAACAGAGAGAGGTTAGCAAGTTTGCCTATGGTTGTGTAATTAGTAAACAGAGGAGGCATTTCAGGCTGCAGAACCCAGGTTCTTTGGCACTGTTCGGTGCTGCTGCCCTAACAAAAACATCTACCAAACATGGTAGATGGTCACTTCTTAGGGCTGCTAAAATAAATGATCACAAACTGGGTAGCTTATTCTGTCACGGTCTGGAGGCTAGAAGTCCAGTATTAAGATGTTGGCAGGGCCATGCTCCCTCCAAAATCTCTGAGGGAGGATTTTCTCTTGCCTCTTCCAACCTCTGGTAGCCCCAGGCATTCCTGGGCTTGTGGCAGCATCACTCCCATCTCTGCCTTTGTCTTCACATACCCGTCTTCCCTCTGTGTCTCTATCTTTGTGTCTTTTCTCCTCTTCTTGTAAGGACACCAGTCATACTGGATTAGGACCCACCCTGAAGATCTCATTTTAAACTAGTTACAACGGCAAAGACCCTATTTCCAGATAAAATCGTGTTCACAGTTACCAGGGGTTAAGACTTCAACATATCTTTTGATGGAGGAGTGGGAGGTGGGGAACACAATTCCACCTATAGCTGTTGCTGCCTGAGGTTTTGAACCTGGGGCCTGAAGAAGATTTCTAAGTGTTACAGAAGTGTTCAAGATGAGCACCAACCTGAGACTTTCTCCTTCAAGCAATCAGACCTGAAGAGTTGGGACAAGGGAAAGACAATGGCTGATGTGTTTCAGTGACATTTCCAGCCAGTCCAGATGCTACCTAAAGTTAGCCACCTCCTGCCCCATCCCTGATACTCTGAGGAAGGTGGCTTGACATAAGAAAGCCACATAACAACTCCTCCAGCTTCTCAGACATCCCTCATGAAAGGATGGCAGTAGAAATCTGGAGGGGGAAAAGCAAGCTTCCAAAACTCCAGCAGGGGAGGGGAGGCACAAAACTCACCTCTAGGCTGGGCGCGATGGCTCACGTCTGTAATCCCAGCACTTTGAGAGGCTGAGGCGTGTGGATCACCTGAGGTCAGGAGTTCAAGTCCAGCCTGGCCAACATGGTGAAATGCCGTCTCTACTAAAAATGCAAAAATTAGCCAGGTGTGTTGGTACATGCCTGTAATCCCAGCTACTCAGGAGGCTGAGACAGGAGAATTGCTTGAAGGCAAGATGGCGCCACTGCACTCCAGCCTGGGTGACAGAGCCAAGACTCTGTCTCAAAAAATAAACAAACAAGAAAACTCACCTCTAGATCTGCTTTATATGGCTGGACTGGAATAGCAAATTCAGACAAATGATAAAGTCATCAACAGGGAAATGTGTAAAGAAAGAAGAACAGTAGAGACAGTAGGGGGGAAATCATTTATTTTCATACCATTTCAGTAAAAACTTAGGAAAAAGCAATTGTTCCACTGAGAGGTTTGAGAGGAGGGTGTTGGGGAGTAAGGAGGAGGAGTTATCTTGCTGTCAAACCAGGGTGTCCTTAGTCATTGGGACTGCACAGATTTCATAGACTTGGGAGGTCCTCATCTTGAGTTCCCGGGCCACCTGGCAGATGGAAAAAGCCCAACAGCAGTGCACCGCCAGCCAGTCTTCACACAGTGTGCCCTAGGGCAAGACCAGAATCTGTTCTGTTGTAGTCACACAGGCTCATTTTTCTTCCCCAGGGTCCTGTACAATGTTACCTCCTGGCCCTTCAACCACAGCTTCCAAGGTTCACCAACATCCTTAAGCCAATGCCCAGGGACACTAAGTTGCATAAGTGCCAAGCAGCTGAATTGCTAATCAATGCCTGCGATTCAGAGCGCTGCCCTTAGGACCTCTGATATGGGCCTTTATAATTGAACCACTGATTTCTCTATCAACTTCTTGGTTCTTTCTCTTAGAACCTAATATTTATAATTATTTATTTCTTTGGAGTAGGTAATAAGTGAACATGGCCTAAAATTTCAGTGTAAGAAGGGATAGGAAGCAAAAAGTAAATCCCGCTCTCCAGCTGTCCCCAGCCATCCAGTTGCCTGCCTGGAAGTAATCATTGTTACCAGTTTCTTGTAACCACTTCCAGATACATTCTATGTCTACATAAACATATACATATATAGTCTTTTAAAATAGTTCCATACTTCTGTGCCTTACTTTTTTTTTTTTCCACTTAAAAATACATCAGTCTGGGCCAGGCATGGTGGCTCACACCTGTAATCGCAGCACTTTGGGAGCCCAAGGTGGGCGGATCACTTGAGGGCAGGACTTTGAGAACAGCCTGGCCAACATGGCAAAACCCCATCTCTACTAAAATAATATGGTATTTTAGTTAACTTATATTTCCTGGTAAAGAATAAAATTTTTAAATGTATTTCCTTTCTCAAAGTTTCCCACTAAGCATGGTATGTTTCAACATCCTCACCCACCCTTCTTTTATTTGGAAAATCACAGGTTTGGAAGGCATCTAGGTTTTCATACAGATTCGGGTTCACGTATACCTTCAAACACACTTACCTGTATTTTATGTCTCTCCCTGGTGCCAATTCTCAGTGCAAAGGTGGACCCAGGTAACAACGGCCAACAAAGACACTCTCCATAATGCCTGGCGATGTCACACTCAAGACACATAGGACAGAATAGACCACAGAAACCTGTCAATAACCACATCCAAAAAGCCAAGGTTCTCAGATTTCTTGGAGCAACTTCACATCTCAAAGAATATTTACAACATTATGCCACCAGTTTAATGCTGCACTGTCTCCCTGCTATCAGACTGAGAATAAATAACCAATTCCCAAAACTCATTGTATGAAAATTGCCATAACTGAGCCACATCAAAATTGCCTTCTTTTGTTAAACACTGGCAAAGATGAACCTGATACAATTCTGTTAGCATTGACTATGGTAATTGTTTTGTTCCTGTTAAGAGAAAAAGCATCAAATAATTTTTTTACATTTGAATCATAACTGTTGCTTTCATTATGTTCATCTATCTAATTTCAATATTTAAAATAAACATGGTATACAGGATATTTTTGAATAACAGACATCTATTTCTATAAGTGTAATTGAAAGGTCTTTTTTTTTTTTTTTTTTTTTTTGAGACGGAGTCTCGCTCTGTCGCCCAGGCTGGAGTGCAGTGGCGGGATCTCGGCTCACTGCAAGCTCCGCCTCCCGGGTTCATGCCATTCTCCTGCGTCAGCCTCCCAAGTAGCTGGGACTACAGGCGCCCGCCACTACGCCCGGCTAATTTTTTGTATTTTTAGTAGAGACGGGGTTTCACCGTTTTAGCCGGGATGGTCTCGATCTCCTGACCTCGTGATCCGCCCGCCTCGGCCTCCCAAAGTGCTGGGATTACAGGCGTGAGCCACCGCGCCCGGCCGAAAGGTCTTTTATAGTACACTAATTCTGCCTCCTATTCTTATCAGGGCTTTATTCTATTTCTCAGACCAAGTTATTCAAATTTATGTTAGTGTCTTGGAGCCACTGACATCTGCCAGTTTTAATCTGCAGATTATTAGGGGCTTGGTTCCTTGAACATCAACTGTAAACAATTTGTCATTAGTTCACTCATCTTTACTGATATTGTTTTCTACATATTCTGCATGAACCTTCCAACACAGAGGTTCTATTCTAAATATGTTTTGGGTCACAGACCATTTTGAGAGTACAATGATAGCTATGAACTCAGTCCACAAGGGAAAAGAAAACTACATGCACATAGACATGCAAAATTGTGCATTCAATTTCACGGAGTTCATGTATCCACTGAAAATTATTAACAGACCACAGGTTAAGAACCCCTGATATACAGTTAAGATGTTATGTCATCTAGCATCATAAAAGATGACAACTCTGATGAATGCAAATAATTAGGACTGTGAAACAGCAAAAATTCCAAGCTAACCATAATCTCTGAAAATTTTTTAAATAAATATTTTATGGAGGCATAATTTATATATAAGAAAATGCACAGGCCATCAGTGTTCTGTGGGATGAGTGTCAACAATCACATACACCCAAGTAACCAAATGTGTGGAACATTGCTCTCACCCCAGAGCTCCTGTGTCCTTTTCCAATCAATCCCAGCCCTCCCGTTGCCCACTAGAGGCAACCATTGTTCCAATATCTATTCTTCTAGATGAGTTTTGCCTCTTCTTCAACTTCATATTAATGAAATCATGTTTGCTTTTGTATCTGGCTTCTTTCGTTCAACATCATGTTTTTGATGCATCTATGCTGTTGTGTGAATCTGTCTCTTTTTTTAGAGTTGAGCCATATTCCATTGTATGAATATTCCACAAATTGTTTCTCCATTCTCCCATTGATAAACATTTGATTATTTCATTTTTTTGCTATTATGAATTTGACTGCTATGAAGATTCATCTGTAAGTGTTTACACAGGCGTATGTTTTTATTTCATTTGGATGGATACCTGGAAGGGGAATTGCTAGGTTATGGGGTAGATATACGTTTAACTTTGCAAGAAATGACAGACAGTTCTCCAAAGTATTTGTACCATTTTAAACTCCCATCAGCAATGCATGACAGTTATATTTTGTTTATTTATTTATGTATTGATTGATTTTGAGACAGGGTGTCGCTCTGTCACTCAGGCTGGGGTGCGGTGGCACGATCATGGCTCACTGCAGCCTCAACCTCCCAGGCTCAAGCGATCCTCTCATCCTTTCATCTCAGCCTCCTGAGTAGTTGAGACTACAGGCATGCACCACCACATCCAGTGTATTAGTCTGTTCTCACATTGCTATAAAGAAATACCTGAGAATGGGTACTTTATAAAGAAAGGAGGTTTCATTGCCTTACAGTTTGGCAAGCTGTACAGTAAGCATAGCAGCTTCTGCTTCTGGGGAGGCCTCAGAAAACTTACAAACATGGTGGAAGGCTAAGGAGAAGCAGGCTTGTCTTACATGGCCAGGGAAAGAGGAAGAGAGCAAAGGCGGAGGTGCTACACACTTTTAAACAACCAGATCTCATAAGAACTTACTCACTATACAGTACCAAGGGGGGATGGATCCAATTGTGATTGGATCACAGGGGCAGCTTCTAATGGTTTGGCACCATCCCCCCTTGGTACCATATAGTAATCCCAGGCCCCATCTCCAACATGGGTGATTACAATCCTATGAGATTTGTGGGGACACAGATCCAAACCATATCACCTGGCTAACTTTTTTTCTTATCTTTTGTAGAGATGGGGTCTCCGTATGTTGCTTGAACTCCTGGGCTCAAGCAATCCGCCCATTTTGGCTTCCCAAAGTACTGGGATTACAAGCATGAAACACCACTTCTGGCCAAGAGTTCTGATTGCTCCACATCCTCACCAACATTTGCTATTGTCAGTCATTTTTATTTTAGTTACTCTTGTGAGTGTGAAGTAGCCACCATTGTCTTTTAGTGCACCAGACACGAAGGCTCACATACCATGACATCAGCACACTGAAGAACTTCCTGACAATGGTCTGTCTCTGGCTACCCCTTGTTCTCCCACAGTGAGCACTTCAAAGTCCCACTCCCAAATTCAGTGACAAAGAGGCAAAAAACTAGGAATTCTGTATCTTAGACTCTCCAAGGCTCCAGGACTCTGGACTTCAGCTTCAAATAGTGGATGAAGTAGCACAAGCATACAAAGGGCATGAGGGATGGGGGCAGAGAAGGAACATCTATTTCATCTATTTGGAAGTCTCAAGATAGTCACTCAATCATCTACTGTAGACATCTCTTGGCCCAAAGCAAACTCTGAATTCAGTCTCAAATAAGACTGGGATATTTCACCCTACATTTAAAAAGTAATCTCAAGTAGATCAGCAGGCCCCACCCAGCCCGGATACCTGGTATGAACAGCTTAGAGGACAGCAAATGGTCCAGTAAATTTACTGAGAGTACAGAGTACTCACACTGTATGCAACCTTGAATTAGGGGATTTTGAAATCAATGGCACATAAAAATCAATCAACTCTCACTTTATGAGTGGATTACAAAATAGTGTAAATCCCTGTAAATAAAAAAAATTAATCAAAACTTGCTTAATTGTAAAGCTGGCAAACTAAGTGACTAATAAATAGTGTTTACACAATTGCCTCAGCTGCACCTCTTTAACTGATAAAGAGAAATGCCCACCATTCTCAATAAGTATATTGTACAGAAATTGTTTAAGTGCATTTGAACTCTTGCACCATATTTTTATGACTCATATGCTTTTTAAAAAAAACACACGCTTTTGTTTTTATTTTTAATCTTTTTGTCATATAATCATGTTATCTAAGTGTTCATTAGGAGGTAGTACTAGATGCTGAAAGAAACATACCTCAAATTCAATTACTGTACTTTGAAGAAGAAATCAGATGTGATTTTTAAAAAACACTATGAAGAATGAATTTTTATTATATAATAGCTCATATTTATACAGAGTTCACTATGTACCAAGCCCTGTTAAAATCACTCTGCACTTATTAACTCATTTAATCTTTGCAACAATCCTATAGGTATTCTTCTTATCCCCATTTTACAGATGAGGATACTGAGGCCCAGAAGATTTGAGTAATTTGTCCAAATTCACACAATCATCAGTGAAAGGCAGAGGAGAGATTGAACTCAGGTAGTCTGGTCCCAAAGTCTGAACTACTATACATATTACTATATGTTCTCATGTTTTATGTATTTATCTATTATGCCACAGTAGTTGTGGATTGGTGTGCTAGACAGTAGACAGTATCCTATCACCACTTTACATTTATTCCTGTGGGGTAGTCTTAAGTCAGGCAACTTCTTCTTCTTTTTTTTTTTTTTTTGAGATGAAGTCTTCCTCTGTCGCCCAGGCTGGAGTTCAATGGCACAATCTCAGCTCACTGCAACCTCCACCTCCTGGGTTCAAGAGATTCTCCTGCCTCAGCCTCTCGAGTAGCTGGGAATACATGTGCCTGCCACCATGCCCGGCTAATTTTTGTATTTTTAGTATAGACAGGGTTTCACCACGTTGGCCAGGCTGGTCTCAAACTCCTGACCTCAGGTGATCCGCCCGCTTCAGCCTCCAGAAGTGCTGGGATTACAGGCTGAGCCACAGCGCCCAGCCTCAACTTCTTTAAGGAAGATCCTTTCATCAAGTATTGCTGCTCTGTACTGTGAGGAATGCAGTGGGATATGGAAACACTGTCAGGTCACACCCCAAGAAGGGATGCACAAAATCAGGATGATGGGATCCTTTGTTCCAAAGACTCTCTAGGAAAAAACTTTGCAACACATATCACAGGCCAAGGATAAGTATCTAGAATATATAAAGAACTCTTGGCCGGGCACAGTGGCTCATGCCTGTAATCCCAACACTTTGAGAGGCCGAGGCGGGTGGATCATTTGAGGTCAGGAGTTTGAGACCAGCCTGGCCAACATGATGAAACCCCATCTCCACAAAAAATACAAAAATTAGCCAGGTGGTAGTGGCGTGTGCCTGTAATCCCAGCTACTCAGGAGGTTGAGGTGGAAGAATCCCTTGAGCTTGAGAGGTGGAGGTTGCCATGAGCCGAGATCGGGCCACTGCACTCCAGGCTGGGCAAAGGAATGAGACCGTCTCAAAAAACAAAACAAAACAAAACAAAACAAAACAAAACAAAACTCCTGCAAATCAACATATAGAAGATTAAACAAAAGAAGAAAATGGGCATAGGATATGGGCAGGTAATCCACTTAAGAGCAAATACAAATGGCCAGTAACGAAGGCAAAAATTTGCTCAATGTCATTGGAAATGAATATTAAGACATCCAGAAACTACTTATTATCCATGATAATGCCAATTTTTAAAAATTTGTCAGGCCGGGCGCAGTAGCTCACACCTGTAATCCCAGCACTTTGGGAGGCTGAAGAGGGCAGATCACCTGAGGTCAGGAGCTCAAGACCAGCCTGCCCAACATGGTGAAATCCCGTCTCTGCTAAAAATACAAAAAATTAGCCGGGCGTGGTGGCAGGTGTCTGTAATCCCAGCTACTCGGGAGGCTGAGGCAGGAGAATTGCTTGAACCCAGGAGGCCCAGGTTGCAGTGAGTAGAGATCGCACCACTGCACTCCAGCCCGAGCGACAAGAGCAAAACTCTGTCTCGAAAAAAAAAAATTGTTAATATGATATATTGTGGGGAGCCATGAAGAAATAAGTACTCCACACACAGATGGAAGTAGAAATTAGCACAGCCACTTTGGAAGTCAATTTTGCTGAATCTATGACAATGTTACATCATCTAGGACCTAGTGATTCCACTTATCAGTGTCCACCCTGTATCAATGCTTATACATGCTCACAAAGAGCAGGTACAAGAATAGTCATTGCAGCATTACTTGTAACTTTAAATTTGAAACAACATGAATGTATATTAACAGGCTGAAGTACAAATAAACTATAATGGTATAACTATACATACTGTGGAACACAAAAGATCAATTAAGAACCAACAGAGTTAAATCTCTAAGGCAAATTTTGAGTTTAAAAAAATCAAACTGCATAATGATATGCACAGCATAATACATAATACCATTTATATTATAAATATAGAGAAATATAGAGAAAAAGATCAGGAAGGAAATTCTCTAAAATTTCAACACTTTGGGAGGCCAAGGCAGGAGGATCACTTGAGGCCAGGAGTTTGAGACCAGCCTGGGAAACATAGCGAGACTCCATCTCTACAAAAAAAAAAATTAAAAAATTAGCCAGGCATGGTGGCATGCACCAGTAGTCCTAGCCACTCTAGAGGCTGAGGCAAGAGGATCACTTGAACCTAGAAGTCCGCGGTTACAATGAGCTGTAATCATGCCACTGTACTTCAGCCTGGGCAACAAGTAAGACCCTGCCTCTATAAATAAATAAATACAATTAAAAGAAGGGAAATGATTCCCTTTTCTGTAATGTTTCATTTTTTGCAAGGTAAATGTATTGTTACTAGTGAAAAAAAATTTTGTCTTTTTTTTTTAAGAAGCTCAGGTTCAAAAGGGATAAATTTAGCTTCTTCCTCTTACACCTAAAGGCCTGGTGGTTATGTAAGCACGCACAGTATAAATGATTCAGGTCTGTTCTCTGAGATGGGTTCCACCCGCATGTGTGGAATGTTGCTCATTATTCATCCTTCTAACTCATAGGAGAGTCAAGAGAAAGAAAAGAAACCTACACAAAACCAGAGTGTGGAGCCCCGAGATTAGAAGTAGGAAAGGTGGGTGGCAATTGCAGCAAGGCATATTTCAGATCAATTATTGCAAAAGAGGCAGAACTTTCTAACAATGAGATGCTCAGAAAAGAAATAGGTCATATTCATACATTGCTGGTGGGAGTGTAAATTAGTACAACTTCCAAATGGAAAGCCATTTGGCAACATCTATCAATATTTAAAATAGCACATACTATTTGACCAGCAGGTTTACTCTTTAGTGGTTATCCAACAGATATACTCACACACATGCAAAATGACATCTGTGCAGTGATATTCATATAGCAGTGGTTTGAATGGCAAAGTCTGGAAACCATATAAAGGTCCATCAATGGAGATTTTCAGATAAATAAGCTATGGTACATTCATACAATGGAATCTTTGCAGATTTTTTTTTTTTTTTTTTTTTTTTGAGACAGAGTCTCACTCTGTCACCCAGGCTGAAGTGCAGTAGCATGATCTCAGCTGACTGCAACTTCCACCTCCCGGGTTCAAGCGATTTTCCTGCTTCAGCATCCCAGGCAGCTGGGATTGCAGGAGCCCGCCACCACGCCTAATTTTTGTATTTTTAGTAGAGACGGGGTTTCACCATGTTGGCCAGGCTGGTCTCAAACTCCTGACCTTGTGATCTGCCCGCCTTGGCCTCCCAAAGTGCTGGGATTACAGGCGAGAGCCACCGCACCCGGCCGAATTTGCCAAATTTTAAGAAATTAGCTCCAGATATGTTGATATGGTCTGATCACCTAGGTATGTTTTTTTTTCCTTTTATACTTCTTTCAGAAGAATGTGATGTGAGATATATTATTAAATTAAAATAAGCCAAAGGTACTAGACAGTATGTGTTTACAGTGCTACCACTTGTATAAATTATACACACACACACACATATAAGCAAAACATCTAGAAGGATAGATACCAAAATATTAACAATATTTATCTCCAAGAGCTGGGATTACAGGATGCTGTTTTTTCTTTTATAGTTTTTTGCATTTTTCTTTTTTATAATTATTATATAATACTTTTATAATTAAACATCTATTTTAACTTTTTAGATTTCTATATCTGTATAAGTATATAGACTATATGTGGACTCAAGTAAAGGTATTTGACTCTGAAGAGAAAAACCAGGTGGATAGAGAGCAAGGATGGAGTACTACTTGCTTTTCATATACAAAAAAGGTAGGTACTTTTGAATTCTGCATTATGTGCATGGCAGTCTTTACAAAATAATTTTTTAAGGTGCTGAACTGGGTCCAAAGGAAATGAGCCCTCCTCCCTGGAAGTGCTCAGAAAGTCGAGGCTGTCGGGTCTTTGCCACGCACGTTGCAGAGGGGATTTACGCAAACAGATGGGGGACCAGACAAGCTGACTCGCAATATCCCTTCTAACTCTGAGGCTCTGAGTTTTTCAATTAAATTTGACAAAGAAGCAAATGAGAATACAAGTTAAAATTCATTTATGTGTTATCCAGCAAATATGTTTAAGTGCCTCCTATGGTCTAAATGCTCTGCTGGGCGTCAGAGCATTGAACAAGAAAACTGGTCCCTGCTTCAGGGAGTCTACAGGTTACCTGAGATGCAGTGTGGGGACATGAATCCCAGTCCAATGCCTTCTCATGCCTCCTTCCTTTTCCAGAAAACCAGGGAAAATTCTGGCTTGCTTTCTTCTTCCTACCTTGGGTATCTACTAGTTCCTAGTACACATCAGTCTCTTTACTGCCTGGTGCTTACAATGCTCGCTACAGGGAAGCTGTTTGAGCGGCTGACTCTTTCCTATCTTTCAGGTAACAGCTGAAGTCAGCTCCTCAGAGAGACTGTCCTTTACCCCATTCTCCTATAATTTCCTTTCATAACACTCTGTTTAATTTCTTCATGGCATTTATCACAACTGCAATTATTTTGTTTATAGATTTTTGTTGTTGTTGTTGTTTTGTTTCTTTTGTTTTGTTTTGTTTTGAGACAGTTTCACTCTGTCGCCCAGGCTGGAGTGCAGTTGTGCAATCTCGACTCACTGCAACCTCTGCCTCCTGGGTTCAAGAGATTCTCCTGCCTCAGCCTCCGGTGTAGCTGGGATTACAGGCATGTACCACCATGCCCAGCTAATTTTGTATTTTCAGTAGAGATGGGGTTTCACCATGTTGGCTATGGTTGGTCTCAAACTCCTGACAGGTAATCTGCCCACCTCGGCCTCCCAAAGTGCTGGGATTACAGGTGTGAAGCCACCGCACCCAGCCTATAGATTTGTTTATTATCCATCTCCTCTAAGACACTGTCTCTGACCTATTCACTAATATGTCTGTATCACCTACCTTGTGCCTATACATGGGAAGAAACTCAGTAAACATGGTTGAATCATGAGCTGAATTATGAGTTGATTACACCTTCCACATAAACCTTCTCTGAGGCCACATCACAAACATTCCCAAAGCTGGATTGCCCAGTCTTTCACTCACAATGCCACTTAGCAGCCACTTACTTCACCTCAGTTTAATCTTCACATCTGAGCTCTCAGCTACCCTATCTTCAAAGGACACAGAGACACCCATTTGCTAATCCCAGTGCAGTGTGAATTCAGATGAAAGCACAGAGGTGGGAAGAAGGAAGCACTTAAAATACATAATTACAATAAAATGAAGAAGCAAAATGTCAAAAAGAAATGGAAATCACTGCTGTTCATAATGTACCCTTTGCTTAATGGATGACAAATTGTAGCAATAATTCTCAGCGTTTGATGGAAAAATGTCCCAGGATGGGAATCTGGCATGGAACAGTCATGAGAAGAAGCTCTCCCTTTGTTCCCAAGTCTGTCAAAACAATGGACACAGTGATTTACTCTAAATAAAACTTTGTGGATAAAACAATCCCCAATTAAAAGTCTTTCTAAACAAGGAGGGGAAGAAATCCAAGACTCATAGCACTCACACTCCAGCAGCATTCTCAGAATTACAGTGCAGATAATGAGTGTACACAGTAATATATTACCTTTAAGTTTTCTTCTAAGACAATTAATTTAAAACACTATGAGCAGTCACAACATGGAAACACAACTAGGGAACAAAAATTACAACACAACATTCGAGATCACCTTGAACCCTATCCATGGCCTTTCATTCAGAATTCATGCCAATTGTAAAGAATATTGTATTTCTCCCCATATCCTTTTTCCTCCCCTTGTCACTAGAATGGGCTCTCAAGTGGACAACCAGGGAATCCTCAGGAAGTGTGGTTGGTGTCCTGAGCGTTGATGCGGGTTGAGAGCAGAGGTGAGCAGTGAAGTAATGCTTAAGGCAAACAGTATGGCTGAGGAGTGAGAATTCCTTGACCAGCTTTTCTAGGTGCTCTTAGGATTATGTAGAAATCATTCTGCAGAATCTAATATAAGCCTTCTGACTCATCTACTCTTTGCTCTCAACATGCTGAAGGATAATTTTTTTTAAATAACAGTAGTATTAATAGCTAAGATTTACTAAGTGCATTGTAATGATATTTTTTTGAATTTTCCTGGTAACTGCACCCCAATAGTAAATTTAGGAAATTATCCCTTCCTTATTATGCACCATATTGGTAGGACTATCATTCAGAGAACCGTGGGCCTGGTCAAGAAGTAGGCACATGATACAAGCTGAGCAAATTGAGCTGCTTCCACTGAAACATCAATTCTCAGATGGGGATAACACAAGGATAAAAACATTTAAAGCTGATTGGACTGTCAGCTAGCACCTAATAACAGTGCGTCTTGTCCCTTTCTGGGCTTGGCTTTTACCTGGCTCATTGATTCCGGGAGCTATCCCATGGCCTTCTAATGAAATTCAATGTTGGCTTATATATTCGTTTCCTAGGGCTGCCATAGCAAAATACCACAAACTGGGTGGCTTAAAACAACAGGAATTATTTTCTCATGGGAGAATTCTGGAGGTTAGAGGTGTGAAACCAAAGTGTTGGCAGAGTTGGTTCCTTTTGGGGGGTCCGAGGGAAAAATCTGTTCCCTGTCTCTTTCCTGGCTTCTGGGGGTTGCTGGCAATCGTTGGTGCTCCTTGGCTTGCAGATGTGTCACTCCAGTCTCTGCTTCTGTCTTCACATGGCCTTCTCCTTTGTGTGTCTGTGTCCAAATCTCTCTCTTCTTATAAATAAGGATTGACTTTATTTTAATTTGACTACATTGTAAAGACTCTATTTCCAAATGAAGTCACATTCAGAGGTTCCAGGTGAACATGGATTTTAAAGTGACACTACTCAACCTAGTATAGTTTGCAACCCTAAATCCCTAACTGATCCAGTTATGCCCAAACCAGTGTTAAGAGTGGGTTCTATACATCTTCTGTTTTCATCTTTACAGTAAACCTTGAGGTAGGCACCTTTATTATCTTCATTTTAGAGGTGGAAAAATGAAGACCCAAAGGACTTGTTCAACGTTACATGGCCAGTAAGAGCCAGAGTTAGGATTCACGGTGTATATGTGATATGAACCTGTTCTCCTAACCACTACACCATATTCCAGGCTTTGCCCTAGTTAAAAGTGCACTGAAGTTCCCCCAACCCCCAACCATAAGCTATGAAAGGAAAATGGTCCACTTACTATTCTGGGGCCAGATCTGCACATTTGTGCATGGCTACTCTAGCTCTCTGTACCTTAGTACTGGGTGACTACCAAAGTCATGAAAAGAGCAGAGAATCAGGAAGAATTCTGAGAGAACCAGAGAACAGCTTCCATAATTGTCTGGTCAGAAATCCACATGGGTAGCCGCGACAGGAAGAGACTTGCCAAACTATGGGTCACGGGGAAGACTCTCAGCTGAATGAGGACTTGCTCAGAGTTCTCTGGTTGATATGTCCTGTGAGGCATTAGGACAAATTCAGATCTTCCTAGAAGGCTGATATATCCTTCAAAAATATTTTACCCAGGGTCTGTTGGATTTGGAACTTAAGAGACTAACCCTCATCCATCACACATACCCTCCCCCTCCTCCCAGAGAGACTCTGTGATCCAATTGCTCCCTAGGGCAAGACCATCAGGTCCTGGAAGGGGATCCTGACATGTGGTACCAAAGATGGGTCAGAATGTCCTCAGGTAAAAATAGAATCAATGAGCTTTGAACTCTAAGCCCAGGGGGGAATCATGTAGCCAGAAGACAGTGTTATTTGCCCCTCTTTATAGCTGAAAAGTGTCAAACCAGTGTCTGAAAAGATTTCAATCAAGGAAGGGAGTTTCTTTTTGTGATTGTTCTTGTTGATAGGAGTACTACATATTCTTCCAAGACAATTGAAAAAAGAAAAGCAAAAAGGAAATAAACACTATCCATTAACCTCCCATCTGGAGACATCTGCTATAAATATTTGTATTTGTATTCTTCCAGACATTTAAGAAATGTTTTCCTCTCTCCAAAAACACGGTATCTACTGTGCACAGTTTTGCAATGTGTTTCTTTAATGTAAAAATGTATCCAAATCATCTTTTCATCTCATTAAATATTATTCTACAATATGACTTTTCGTGGCTGTATAATAATTCATTGTGTGGATTCCTCTTGTTGAACATTTAAGTTGTTCCAGGTTTCTGCTGTAATAACTAATGCTGCAAAATTTAATGTTCCTGCTAAATCTTTGCACATGATTTATTTCCTTAAACTCCTAAAAATGTAATTACTGGGTCAAAAGCTATGCAACAGCTGAGGTTCTTTCTATATGGATTGCTAAACCATCCCCCAGAAGAGTTGTACCAATTTACACTCCCACCAGCAGTGGATAAGAAAGCTCATTTTGTGCACTTTGCCAACAGTGGAGTCTGTCATTTAGAAATCTTTGAAGGCACCACTTATTCTATAAAACATCCATATCTCTGAAAAGCAAGATTTTTCCAGACAAGGAGTACATTTGAGTCACTGAAAGATTAGTCCAGTTATTCTGAAAACATTTAATTTCTGTCCTTGTGCCTGCTGTAGGTTTTCCACTCACTGATGTCCTGGAAAAGAAAATAGTAAGGAGGAACTTAAATAAGGAGGAAAAACTTACAAATTCTCCTATCTCTGCAGACACTGAAGAGACCGGTGCTCCAGCCCCCGCCAGTCTGGACAATTGCTGTGATTGTCGTCCTGCCACTGGCTCCCCGAACAGGCTGCTTCACCACAGCGCTGGCTGGTACATGGCCTCTGGAGAGTCAAGGATGATGATTAACTTGGAAACAAAGGTGTTTCAGAACAATAACCATTAAGCCAAGTCAGAACCATAAAGAAGAGATAGGGACCCAATGATGCCAAGGGGCTCATAGCCCAAATCGACTTTGCCATCTCCCTCCCTCCTCCCCCTCCATCATACCTTCTCTTCTGGCTTTTTGCCTCATCTCTATTAATGGAATTATTGTTCTAAATCCTGACACACAAATTCAAGCTCAATGTCCAGTCTACTTCCTCAGTGTTTCAAATAGTTAAATTCACAAATTTGGAATCGAGGCCTCAGTTCAAATCCAGGCATTCCTGGAGGCTTGACCTTGGTTAAATGACTTTACCTCTCTGCTTTCCGTTGGTTCTGATGAAAAAACTACCTCATGAGATTATTGTGTCTATTGAAGGACATCTGATTCGTTTACTGTGCCCAGGGGATGTGTGACAAAGTAACTCTGAGTGAGCTGCATCCCAAGGATTTTGAACCTTTGCTGAAGTGATACTGAGAAGGAACTGGACTGAGTGGGCAGACTGAAACCTGGACTAGGCTGTTGAAGTTGACATGGGTATCATTTAAGTGAATTGCCCAGACTTCAGAATATGTCTTGATATCAAATTACTGTATGATTGACCTAGTGGTGCCACAAAGTATACTTTGGGTTGATTTTCCCAGAAAGGGATGAATATTCCTATCATCAATCATTCTGAATTAGAAAATGAAAACCTGGTGGCTGGGCTTCAAAAGCGAGGTAAGGAAAAACTTCTCTTTCTGAGGATGAAAATCAGTTGTGCCTGAATTTCAACCATGGGGATGTCTGGAGTGATTTCCATAGTGAAGGGTAAGTTGCACTTGGCCTCATAGAAGGGGTGGGTCAAGAGTGGGGTAGAAGGGCCCTAGAATGAATCTGAGCCTGTGCAGTGTGGTAATTATTCTGTTTTGTGCTTCTCTTTCAGCAAGCCTCATTAAGATTTTGCACCTGTTTTCTGATGTGCTATGAAGAATTAAAGAAAGAGCCTGCCTCATAGTTGAGACAAAATAAGAGACAGCAGCATTTCTTCCTATAACAGTTGCTGCAGTAGGGTGCGGCGGCTCATGCCTGTAATCCCAGCACTTTGGGAGCCTGAGGTGGGTGGATCATGAGGTCAGGAGTTCAAGACCGCCTGACCAACATGGTGAAACCCCATCTCTACTAAAAATACAAAAATTAGCTGGGCGTGGTGGTGTGCACTTGTAGTCACAGCTATTCAGGAGGCTGAGGCGGGAGAATCGCTTGAACTCAGGAGGCAGAGGTTGCAGCGAGCTGAGATCACGCCACTGCACCCCAGCCTGGGTGACAGAGCAAGACTCCGTCTCAAAAAAAAAAAAAAAAAAAAAAAAGTTGTTGCAGTAATAGTTGCCAAAATTCAGCACCTGGGACACATGGCCTGGAGGCCAAAGCAGAACATTCCTAACTACCCTTAAGACAACATCCTGGGGGCATCTTGGAAACAGCTGTGGAGCCCATTACCTCTGATTTCTGGCAATAAAGCCAATGGAATTTCATGGTATTATAGTATAAGTTGCATTGTGGATCTTATTAAGATCCACATCTCTTTTTCATCCCACCAATACGGATCATGTCTACACCTTCCCAAAGATGATAGCACATTAGCTTGTTAAAAAAAGAAATTCCCAAGCCTTCCCTCGGACCAACTGCACAGGTTTCCAAGAATGAGGTACAGAAATTAATATTAAAACAAGCCTTTCAGGTAATTTTTAAGCACTCATGCCATTCTGAAACCTGATACCAGTAGATTTGGACACTAATGATGGTGACTGCAGTAGTCTCCCACTAGCTAGGTGGCGATGTCAACGCAAGAGAGACGGCAAAAAGTAGAAAAATAGGAGAATAAGAGGTAGGGATGTTTGGAACATATTTAGTCTCAATGTCAGTGAGAATCAAGACAATACTTAACAAACGGCTGGAAATGATGTACCAGAGCTTGGAAGAGGGGTTAGGGTTGGAAGCGACCTGTCTGGAAGTATGAAGTGGAACTATGAAATACCCCCAGCCCTTTTATCCATTAGGCATTGTAGACAGTTCTCATGGTTTAATGAGCTTTCTAGGAACCTACCATGGAAAAAAAAAATTGGCTCCAAAATATAAAAACTGCAAATAAATTAATGCTCAATTAAACACAAAAATCTAGCATGTCAATTTTATTAATTGCCAAATTTAGAATTCACAAATATTTAACATTTTGAAAATTTGTAAGTTCTCATTTTGCAAAAATTCCCAAATATGAATGGTTGCTAAGAAGCAGCAACTAGACATAAATGAGTTATTCATAGTCAAATAATCTCAAAAACAAAATTATAAAAATTATTTTAAGTATTGTACAGAAAAATATATATATATGGATATAACAAATGTATGGGTATATTTTAATATGTTTGTTATGATGTAAGTTAGGGCCCATTTCTGTAGACTGCATCGCATCCCCCAAAACGCATATATGTTGAAGTTCTAGCCCCCAGTGTGAATGTATTTGGAGACAGGGCACTTAGGAAGTAATGAAAGTTAAGTGAAGTTGTAGGGGTGAGATCCTGATTCAGTAAGTTTGGTGGCCTTAGGCCAGGCACAGTGGCTCATGCCTATAATCCCAGCACTTTGGGAGGCTAAGGCAGGTGGATTGCTTGAGCTCAGGAGCTCGAGACCAGCCTGAGCAACATGGTGAAATCCTATCTCAACTAAAAATACAAAAAGCCAGGCATGGTGGCACGCACCTGTGGTCTCAGCTACTTGGGAAGCTAACGTAGAAGGATTGCTTGAGCCTGGGAGGAAGAGGCTGCAATGAGCCGAGATTGCACCACTGCATTCCAGCCTAGGCAACAGAGCAAGACCCTGTCTCAAAAAAAAAAAAAAAAAAAAAAAATAGGTGGCCTTATAAGAGAAATTGCTGTCTCTCTACATGCACGTACAGAGAAAGGCCACGTGAGCACACTGCAAACCAGGAAGAAAGTCCTCGCCAGAGCCCAATTGGGCTGGCACTCTAATCTCAGACTTCCATTCTCCAGAACTGTGAGAAAATTATTTCTCTTGTTTAAGCCACACAGCCTATGGTATTTTGCTACGGCAACCGAAACAGATTAAGACATCTTTGCTGATTTGAAATTGGCCCTGAAAAAACTACTTTTATGTCTTATTTCCTCTGCCTCCATGTGTGCTCCCTGAGGTTGGGGGCATATGCTGTTCCTCCCTGTATACCCACTATCCCGCACACTACCCTGAAACCTCATGGGTGCATGATAAGTATTTCTTGGGCTGGACCAAATAGATTCTCTTGTCTCTTCTGTTATATTTGAGTCCTCCTCAAGGCTAGCTACAAATTTATGTGAACTTTACTGTGTTTCATTCTCTAGTAAAGCCACAAGTCTTGGGCATGAATTGATGAAATACAAGCAGAGGGTAGCCTAAAAGCTTTCTGCATTCCTCCATACAAAGGCATTTACCTCTCAATGTGATGGCCACAAGCTGGGGCTTCCATCATTAGGCTAAGAGCTTCAATCGTCTTTTAGTAGAGGGATTTCTTAGGGCAGCCTAAGAATAGAATGTCTGCTTCTAACTCAGTATTATGTGCGTGACACCTTTTATTATAGCAAGGAATGCTGTATTCTATCCATTCCAAATCAAATAACTAACAGGATAGCTTTTCCTTAATGGAAAAAGAAAATGTTTTTTTTCTGTGTTTACCCTTTTTTTTTTTTTTTTGTCTTTTGTCTTTTTTTGAAACAGGGTCTTGCTCTGTCACCCAGGCTGGAGTTGAGCGGCATGATCACAGCTCTCTGCAACCTCGAACTCCTGGGCTCAAGAGATCCTCCTGCCTCAGCCTCTCAAGTAGCTGGGACCACAGGCACATGCCACCATGCCCAGCTAATTTTTTTTAATTTTTTGTAGAGATAGGGGTCTCGCTTTATTGCCTAGGCTGTTTGTCTAATTTTGAACTCAAGGATAGATTTGTTATTTATTTCCTTAATACCCTGAGTCTTCAGTTATTTTTATATTAAAATGTTTGAATTGACATACATTGGCTGAGACATTTCAGTTCAAAATGATTGCTCATGTGTTGTAATTGAAATAACAACCATAGCTAACTTTCACTGAGTACCTTCCATGTACCAGGATCTCAGTAGTTCATTAACAACTGAAAGATTATTCAGGGGCTGCTACAGGTATCAGACTCAAGTAGCTCCTGTAGCTTCCTAGACAGCTTTTCTACATATTACGCCCAGGGAATCTTCTGCTACCATGAAGAACAGGAATGAGTATGCAAACAGTGGATGAAGCTTATGGCCACAAAGCTCTGCTAAACCAGAGAAGATGCTCATTTACCTATCAAATTCCATAAGTTCTTCATTTAGTAGAAAAAGCAAACATTTTCATTTCAGACACAAAAAAGTTCAAATAGTCACATTCTAGTTGTGACATCTTAGAAAATACAACTTGTCACAACCCTCAGCTCTGGCCTCCTCCTCCATAAAATTGGATTTAAAATATCCTAGCTCCTCAGTTGCCAGAGTATTAAACAAGATCATGTATGTACCTGACACGTAGTATGCATGAAGTCGATGGCCACTGTTATTATTCTAACTTCAGGATCCTGTGTATGCTCTAGGGCATTCTGTATACTTTTCTCAGAAACAAAGGAAGGAGAAAGGAGAACTGGACCAGGTTTTCAGTTGTCATATGTGCTACCCAAATGCCTTAAAATTCAGTCAGAGTGATGGCCAGGCACGGTGATGCACACCTATAATCCCAGCCACAAGGGAGACTGAGGTGACAGGATTGCTTAAATCCATGAGCAAGACTCCCATCTCTTCTTTCTTTTTTTGAGACAGAGTTTTGCTTTTGTCGCCCAGGCTGGAGTGCAGTAGTGTGATCTTGGTTCACTGCAATCTCTGCCTCCAGGGTTCAACCAATTCTCCTGCCTCAGCCCCCCTAATAGCTGGGATTACAGGCATGCACCACCACGCCCAGCTAATTCTGTATTTTTAGTAAAGACAGGGTTTCACCATGTTGGCTAGGCTGGTCTCGAATTCCTGACTTCAGGTGATCTGCCCACCTCAGCCTCCCAAAGTGCTAAGATTACAGGTATGAGCCACTGCGCCTGGCCTCAGACCCCATCTCTTAAAAAAAAAAGATTCAGTCAGGGTAACCAACCATTCCAGTTGGCCCAGGACCAAGGGTTTTCCCAGGATAGGGAAGTTTTAGTGCTAAAACCAGTACAGTTCCAGGCAAACCAAGATGGTTGGTGATCCTAACCCTCAGAAGGTGAGGGAGGCTTTAACTCAGGAGGCAGGAGGCTAACTCCTGTTAAAGTTTGATGGATGAGATACATACTTTTCCCTCTTTTTGACCTCACTCCATTCCTCTTCCTCTTCTAGCACAAGCCCTACCATGTCTCCCACATGCCTGGTTCTTCAGCCTGGGGTGTTACATGTCACTCTTCCGTAATCACACTTGGAGTATTGTGAAATCATTCTGCCTTGTACCTAGGCCTCCTTGATTATTTCAAACTCAGCTGAAGCCAAAACCCTTGAGTTTTCATTTCAAAAGGGTGGAAATGATTGGCAGTCTCTAAAAATAAAGTTCCACTTGGTCAGGGTTCAACATTTTAAGAATAAAGAGATACCATTTCACCCAAGCCAGCCCTTTTCTTGTCACCAGCCAAGAAAGGCCAGAAGGAACAAATCAGTTGCCCTCTTTTCAAGTTTGCATGGAGAAAAGATAGCAACCACTTTCTTCCCAAGCCCAGTTTTCTTTTCCCTGGTTCCTTATAAGTAGAGGTTGATTCGATAGTCCAACTAAAGAGCAAAAGCTAGGGGAAAAACTCACCCTATTCCCTACCTCAAGTTGGAAATAAAATGTTCATCTTCAGATGACATGTGTGACAACAGAGGTGAGTATATGTTGAGTAAGGAAAGATCCTCAGGACACCTGAAGAAGTTACTTCCAAACCAATTCATAGTGAGAAGTGTTTTCTTGTCCTTTGGGCTATCCTTTTTCCCTTTGGCAATAAGCTGGTTTCTAAACTTCGGATTAGTCCAAAGTGAAACATCTCTTGAAAGAATGTTCCCTTAATATTCTGGAACCTGAGGTCATAGCAGTGTAACTAACAGACATCTTTTTTCTTTAAAAACAGGTATACACCTAACTGTGGACACATTCATCTTACTAATCTGTAGGGAGATATTGCTGGAGTATAGAGTAAATAGAAGAAAAAGACTTATCTTTGGTGGAAAACTCTTTAAGAGATGCCTCTAGTAAACATTTATCTAGCTAAGTGCCACTTGACCGTTCCTTGGAAGATTCAGAAGGCTGAAAATTTCTGCCATGCCATGTGACTGAGAAGCAGCAGAGACCTCTCTTCATCCCCTGAACTGCTGGTCCAATTCAGCCAGATGATGCAAGTCCCATAGCCAACCCAAAAGCAGGAGCAAAAAAAAGTCTTTCAGCGCAGGTATTGTATTTGAATCCATCTTATGAAAGGTGGTCTCCTCAAGTTTGAGCTATGGTAGATTGTCACAAGCCTCAAAGCCTTTTCAGAACTTCTAGAAATTCTCTGCTCTTCCATTAACTTCATTGATAATGCCAGGAAAGTGGCATTTCTTTCCTACCCAGTCCAGACGGAATCTAGTAACTGAAGCAAGGCTTGCCTGGTGATGTCCTCACAACAGCTCTGAATCCTCAAGGTCTCAGGAGCCTCTGAATCATGCCTCTGGCACATGTCTTATGGAGGTGTGGACCCTAGAAATATTAGGAAATATCCTAAGACAAAAAATTAGGCAAAATTTCACGTTGAGGAAAGGGCTCTGCAATCATAATTTGACATTACATTAGAAAGACATCAGGAGGATACTGCCAATTATATCATATATTCTTTTCATCAGACCCATAGAGAATGGTTGCTTAGGGTTCTGAACTTCAAAGCATTTATTGAACCAGGTTGTTAGGAAAAGCCTATAATACCTTCCAAATCAAGATTCCTCAGACATAGCTTCATAACTGCCTTCAATCATGGGGTTCTGGGCAACTGTCATTGTCTTCTTAACAGTAAGGATGTACCCTACATTAAGGACAGGTATGTTTTTTCTGCTTACTACTCTATTCCAAGTGCTGACCACAGTGTCTGGCACATAAAAAGCACTCAATAATTTGTTGAATAAATGTGCCCTACATGAAAATTCAGGTTTATAAGAATAACAGAAATTAAGAGGTGATTACTAGCTTTGCAAAAAAAAAAAAAAAAAAAAAAAAAGATTTACAGTAAGATTCCTTTGAAGAGTAAACCACCATGGTACATATAAGCTATGACTCCATATTTTTACATTTCATTTGCGCCCAACTTTTCTAATCAAACGTCTATTGTATGAAGTGACTAATCCACATGCTACACAGCTTTTTCATTTAAAAATAAAATGAAAAGAATAGAAAAGGCATGTGCTTTATAAAAGAATGCCAAATATTTATGAAAAAGAAATAATAGCATTAGAATATCACCATTTTGCATAGCCCCAGCATAACAACATATCAGGAAGGAAATTCAGAAGCATTAAAACCATTAGATAAAAAAGATTAGGAACCAAATATTCTCAAGGTGCAAAAATATAACTATTCCACATATTTCTAATTGCAAAAGAGAAAATGTACCTTAACTATGAAAAATTCCAGAAGTACTCAAAATGCATATTTACATTGGAAAGTTCTGAAAGTGTAAGAAAAAAAAAGTACCCTTACAATAAAAGCTCTGGGTGTGATTTTAACAAATATGCCTTTACATCAGAAGGTCCTAGAAGTGATCAAAATGTATCTTTAACATTACCCTTCACCCTTCCTCCATGATTGTAGGTTCCTGAGGCCTCCCCAGCCATGCCTCCTGTATAGCCTGTGGAACTGAGTCAATTAAAACTCTTTTTTAAATAAATTACCCAGTCTCAGGTAGTTTTTTATAGCAGTATAAAAACACACTAGGCCAGATGCAGTGGCTCACACCTGTAATCCCAGCACTTTGGGAGGCTGAGACGGGCAGATCATCTGAGGTCAGGAGTTTCAGACCAGCCTGGCCAACGTGGTGAAACCCCATCTCTACTTAAAAATACAAAAATTAGCCAGGCGTGGTGGCAGGCACTGTAATCCCAGCTACTCAGGAGGCTGAGGCAAGAGGATCGCTTGAACCTGGAAGGCAGAGGTTGCAGTGAGCCAAGATCATTCGACTGCACTCCAGTCTAGATGACAGAGCAAGATTCTGTCTCAAAAAAAAAAAAAAGAAAAAGAAAAGAAAACACACTAATACAAGCTCTATGCACAGCAGAGGGCCATTACAAATCTTATTGATGCTGTAAATTTTGGGGTGAAGTATTTTCTACCTGACTGGGGTCCATATAAACTTCTCCTTTCTCTGACCTCCTAATGGCCCTGGTAACACTGGCCTTGGTCAAATACATTCCTGTTTTCCATGCACGAATTCTTTGTTGTCTAAGTGCAATGAAGATGGAGGCCAGGGCTCTAATTCAACTCTGCTGCTAATACATAGGATCTTGAGCCAGTGACTTTGACCTGTTTCTTCATGTGGCTTCCTTGCTATTCCTTCAGCACACCAGCTACATGCCCCTGCCTCAGGGCAAAAAATGCTTTTGACCACATACGTGCTAACAAAACTACATATGCATTTACCCTCAGACCCACAAGCCCACTTCTACAAATTTACTCTGAAGATATACCTCCACAAAAGTGAAATGACATTATTCATGAGGTTACTCACTATATCATTCCATACACATTCTATAAAATATTAAAAACTTAGAAACAACCTATATGTCCATCCATGGAGACTGGTTGAATAAACTAAGGTACACCTTTACAATAGTATTACATGAGCAAGGAAAGAAGAGGGGCAAAAGAGGAAGGAGGGAAGAAAAAGGAAGAGAAAAAAAGATTTTTTCTTTTTTTTTTTTTTTTTTTTGTGATGGAGTCTCGCTCTGTCGCCCAGGCTGGAGTGCAGTGGTGCGATCTCGGCTCACTGCAAGCTCCGCCTCCCGGGTTCACACCATTCTCCTGCCTCAGCCTCCCGAGTAGCTGGGACTATAGACACCCGCCACCACGCCCGGCTAATTTCTTTTGTATTTTTAGTAGAGATGGGGTTTCACCATGTTAGCCAGGATGGTCTTGATCTCCTGACCTTGTGATCCACCTGCCTTGGCCTCCAAAAGTGCTGGGATTACAGGCGTGAGCCACCACACCTGGCAGATTTTTTTCTTTTTAAAGAGCATGATCACAGCTCACTGCAGTCTTGAACTCCTAGACTCAAGTGATCCACCTGCCTCAGCCTCCCAAGTAACTGGGACTACAGGTATGAACCACTACAACTGGCTAATTTGAAAAAAAAAATTTTTTTTTTAGAGACAGGGTCTCACTATATTGCCCAGGCTGGTCTTGAACTCTCCCACTCCAGCCTCCCAAGGGGCTGGGATTACAAGCACAAGCCACCACATCTGGCTGAATCATGTATTTTTACTTATTCAAAAATCAGATAAAAAGAAAAAGCAAACCATAAAACTGAATATAAAGAGAAATGAATGGCTTTAATTTTATATTAAAAGCACATACAAGAAAGAATCCAAGAAACATTTCTTGATTAAAGAAAAAAACCAGCCAGGCATGGTGGTGCATGCCTGCAGTTCCAGCTACTTGGGAAGCTGAGGCAGGAGGATCACTTAAGCCCGGGAGATCAAGGCTGCAGTGAGCTCTGATTGCATCACTACACTCTAGCCTGGACCACAGAGTGAGACTCTGTCATCAAAAAAAAAAAAAAAAAAAGCAAGCAACCACATACAAAAAAGAATTCAGGAAATATTTAAATAGTGCTCTGACTATATCCCTTAGAGAAATATGTTCTAAGGACACAAAGAATTGCAAAACAAACAAAACCAAATACTGTACTTATTTATTGCTAACAGAATTGGATTGGCAATTCTGAAATTTTTAATAGACTAAATGACTAAATATATTGAGGTTCTTGAGAACCAGAGTTCTCACTGTGTGAGAAGGGAAATACAATTGCAAAGGGGAAAAGATGAGAGAGAATTCAGTGGTATTAGATAAAATTATGATTTTAAAAAACACTACTGTATGTATTTCTTAGTTCTGTCTATTGGAAGGGCCTGAAAAACAATGTCCTAGTAGCGCCTGGATCTTGGTT
Source organism: Homo sapiens (assembly GCF_000001405.40). NCBI lineage: Eukaryota > Metazoa > Chordata > Mammalia > Primates > Hominidae > Homo > Homo sapiens. Next base: position 146,108,544 of record NC_000005.10, read on the forward strand.
TCTTAATAACACTCTCCATTAAAATGAAGCAAAGCTCTCTGGAGAAAAGACTGATTTCTAGTTCTGAAACAGAAAACACAAGGCAAGTTGGGAACTTCTTATGCCATTATACAAAGAAATGCCCCAAAATTAATGTGGAGTTATAAAAAGGACAAATATTGTACTGCAGCCAGCTTGAATGGGGCTTCCACTGGTTAACTCAGAATTTGAGCGTTCAAAGAATAATGATGGTAATAGATTATAGCACATATGAAAAAAAGAAATCCATCAGTCCACAGTGATTTTAAAAGAATGATGAAAGAAGAACACTGGGGCCAGACACAGTGGTTCACACCTATAATCCCAGCACTTTGGGAGGCTCAGGCAGGTGGATCACCTGAGCTCAGGAGTTCAAGATCAGCCTGGGCAACATGGTGAAACCCCATTTCTATGAAAAATGCAAAAAACTTAGCCAGGCACGGTGGCACACACCTGTGGTCCCAGCTACTAGGAAGGCTGAGGAGGGAGGATGGCTTGAACCTAGAAGGCAGAGGTTGCAATGTGCTGACGCTGCACCACTGCACTCCAGCCTGGGCAACAGAGCCAGACCCTGTCTCAAAAAAAAAAAAGAAAGAAAGAAAAAGAAAAGAAAAAAAATTGGCAGCAAAAAGGAAACATCTTCTTCACAAAAGAATAATATCTAATAAATGTAAAAGAAATAATAATTTTATCATTTTTAAGAACTCACCATATTACAACCATCAATGCAATAACTGACAGCTTATCCATGAATGCTACCACTTCATGAAAGTTAGCTGATAAACAAATGTCTTAGTCCCTTCAGGCTGCTCTAACAAAATACCTTAAATTGGGTAATTTATAAACAACAGAAATGTATTGCTAGTTTTGGAGGCTAGGAAGTCCAAGAGGAAGGCACCAGCATATTCAACTTCTGGTGAGGGCCCATTCCTTATAGCTGGTGCCTTGTGTGTCCACACATGGCATAAAGGCAACAGGACTCCCTCAAGCCTCTTTTGTAAGAGCACTAATCCCATTCATGAGGAAGCCACCCTCATGACCTAATCACCTCCTACAGGCCCCACCTCTTAATACCAACACCGTGAAGATTAAGTTTCAACATATAAATTCTGGGGGGACATGAACACTCAGATCATAACAGCAGGATATTCATATAAGCCTCAAAGTATCAGCTCACAGACTACTTAATTACAAAAAGGAAGAGTAGCTTTTCAACCGAGAAATATGATGCTAATCAAATCCACAATACATTAATCCTGACATGATCCAGTGGGAAACATCACCTATGTAGTAATCTTGCCAAGAATTTTAAATCTGATTACAACCATGAGAAAATACAGAAATCCAGATTGTAAGCATCATGCTAACGACCAGCTTGATGTCTTCAAAGATGTTACTGTCATGAAAGATCAAAAAAAGAACAGAGAAACTACCCTAGTTTAAAGGAGATTAACAGACCTAACCACAAAATGTAATACTTGATCTTTGAATCCTGAGAGTTTTTCAAAGAACACATTATTGATGAGACATTGGGGAAGTTTTACTAGAAAAGCTTATTACCTAATATTATTGTATCATGTTAAATTTCTTGGGCATAATAACAACACTGTGATTATATAGGAGAATGTCCAAGTTCTTAGGAGTTGCGTGATAACCTATGGGAAGATGAAGTGTCATGGTGTCTGTAACTTACTGTCAAATGGTTCTGAATTTTTAAAAAATATTTTCTAAATACAATGTGTTATCCTGGATAGGATCCCATAATAGTAAAAAAAATTAATAGAAAAATTGGTGAAATCCAAACAAAGTATACAATTTAGTTAATCATAATGTACTCATGTTAATTACTTAGTTTTAACAACTAAACCAAGGTTAAGTAAGATGTTAACAGGAGAAACTGTGTAAAAGATGTACAGGATCTCTCCATATTAAAGATGCAACTTTTATGTAAGTCCAAAACTATTCCAAAATTAAAAGTTTATTTTAAAAATAGATACTTAGAGAGATAAAGTAAACGTGACACAATATTAACAATTGGCAAATCTAGGTGACAAGCGCATGGATGTTTACTGGCCAATTCTTTCCACTTTTCTGTAGGCTTAAAATTTCTCGAAATGAAGTGTTAAAAGAAAATAAAACTACTGAAGGTTAAAAGTAAATGAATGGAAAAGATAGTCTGCATGGACGTTAACCAAAAGATAACTGGTGTTACTATATTGTTAGGCAAAGTGGTCTCTAGGCAAAAAATAAATTAATTAAAAATAAAGAGAAATGGCCGGGTGCAGTGGCTCACGCCTATAATCCCAGCACCTTGGGAGGCCAAGGCAGGTGGATCACGAGGTCAGGAGTTCGAGACCAGCCTGGCCAAAATGGTGAAACCCTGTCTCTACTAAAAATACAAAAATTGTGGGGGGACGGGGGAGGGATAGCATTAGGAGATATACCTAATGCTAAATGACAAGTTAGTGGGTGCAGCACACCAGCATGGCACATGTATACTAACCTGCACATTGTGCACATGTACCCTAAAACTTAAAGTATAATAATAATAATAATAATAATAAAGAAAAAGAAAAAAAATACAAAAATTAGCCGGGCGTGGTAGCAAGTGCCTGTAATCCCAGCTACTCGGGAGGCTGAGGCAGGAGAATCGCTTGAACCTGGGAGGCAGAGGTTGCAACGAGCCGAGATCGTGCCACTGCACTCCAGCCTGGGCAAAAAAGAAACACTTTCTAACTAGAAAAAGTTCAACTTACCAGAAGGAATATAATCTGAATTTATATGTACCTAACAAAACAGCCTCAAAATATATAAAACAAAAACTGTCAGAATTATAACAAGATACAGGTAAATTTCATTGTCATGAGAGATTTTGGTATACCTCTCAAAAACAGAAAGAGAGAAAACAGTAAGGATATAGGTTTGAACAATTCAATCCACAACTCTGACCTAATGGACACATACAGTACTTTTGCATTTACAGAATATATATTTTTTTCAAGCTCAAATGCAACATTTATAAAAACTGACATATACTGGGCCAGAAAGCTTATCTCTAGCGACCAGAGAAGGCAAAAGGCAGACCTCTGTGGTGCTGGCACTGTGCCATTCTTCAACTGTTTGGTGACTGTGCAGGTGTTTGCTTTATTAATAAATTCTTTTTTTGGAGGTGGGGAGAGAAAGGAAGTTCATTTTTTGTGTGTGTATATTTTTTGCTCACTTTTTGTGTATGTGCATTGTATTTCAAAACTTAAAAAGAGTTAAAATCCTCTAGGAAGGCACTAACATAAGTTATATATAACATTATTATTATGCACCCAATTATATTATTGTTAATAATAGAATAAGCCCAGTGTAGCCTGTTTTTCCTTCAGCATTTCAACTAACTGCTGGTTCTTCTGTTGAGTACCAGATGAAGTAATGGGCTTATGCTCAGACGACTCCTTATACAAAACATTTGTATCTCTACACATAAGAAGCATATTCAGCACAGCAAGAAGCTTATTCTAAGAGAGACACACAGAAATCAAGACTGAAAAAACAAAGGATCCATGAATCTCAACTCACACCTAATCCAAAACAGTACAGGTTCATAAGATGAACACAATCACAATATTATTTTCCTTTCTCTCTCTTTTTTTTTTTCTGGCCAAGCACACATAGTTTAATTTTCCTAAGTTAAACACAAGTAGGTTTGTGTTTAGGCAACAGAAAGTATTACTTAATTTCAGAAATAATTAAGGCTTTGCAGATCAGAGAGGACAGCAAAAGAATCTAGAGGAGTGCAAAGAAAGAATCAGTTGCCCCAAAGGAACCAACACAAAGGACATGATTACAGACTACAGTAATCTGAAGCCAATATACCTTGGTATCCATCATCTTCTTCTTCTTCAATGGTAACATTCACTAAAGACTTACTACTTGCCAGGCACTGTGTTATGATTTTCCTAGATCAGTTCACCTAAACGTCTCACAATAAGCCTACAAGGTACCAGTATTAGTTCCATTTTATAGATGAAGAACTGCAGCTCCGAGTAATTGGCCAAGAGCATCCTAGTAGCAAAAAGAAGAACTGGAAATCTAACCTAGCTAGTCTGATTTCAGAGCATGCGCTCTTACCCCACTATGCTATAGTGCCTGTCCCTAGTAGATAAGTGATTATTTGCACTTGATGATTTCTAATTCTAACATCCTATGATTGGCTTCAATAAATCTGTGATAAACCATATGACTAGGCCTAGTGGTCCCTAACTGCGGAGAGCAAAATAAGGAAGCTCAATAAACTCTATTTACATAACCGCAGTTAGAATTCAGGTTCCTCTGGGTTATCAAAATTGTTCTTTCTCCATATTAAACCCATCAAAATTAGAAATGTTTCTCCTGTTAGTCAATGCCTTACATTTTTTCCTCATATGAAGACAGATGGCGCAGATATTAAAAGACACTCCAACAAGAATAAAAGAATAAATCTGTAATAGTCAGCATGACCTCTATTTTATTGATTGATTGATGGATTGATTGAGACAGAGTTTCACTCTTGTTGCCTAAGCTGGAGTGCAATGGCACGGTTTCAGCTCACTGCAACCTCGGTCTCCCAGGTTCAAGCGATTCTCCTGCCTCACACTCCCAAGCAGCTGGGATTACAGGTACCCGCCACCATGCCAAGCTAATTTTTGTATTTTTAGTAGAGACGGGGTTTCACCATGTTGGTCAGGCTGGTCTCAAACTCCTGACCTCAGGTGACTGCCCACCTTGGCCTCCCAAAGTGCTGGGATTATAGGTGTGAGCCACCACACCCGACCAGCATGACCTTTAAACACAATTGGACTTAAGACAAATTTAGTAAATGCAGATTTCTGGGGGGGAAGGGGGGAATCTTCTTTTAAAATGCCCATATTTAGTGTAGGTGAAATATACTGCTTATAAACTATTGATATTAGCCTTGAAGAAGCCATTATTGGTTCTTAGTTGAATAATTAAAGCTTTAAAAAGTCTTATAAAATGCAGGACCTATTTGTTCTTTATACAAAATACTTAGTAATTGAAGTCAAGTCAAAATATTCTCATTAGTTCTTTTAAATCATCATGAAGTTCTCTTCATTTAAAAAAAAAAGCTGCTAATTTACTACTTTTCTTTTTTAAAAAAAAATACAGCTAACTCCATAAATGAATATACTATAAAAAGCTGTTAGGTACACCTTAGCCTTCATCAAAGTATAAAGTACACCTCATAAAAGAAGCATACTGACACTTTTATGTTCATCTTAAAAACCAGAAACTTCTAGGAAATAGCAACAATTTGTTTTTTAAAAAGAGTTTGGCAAAAACCATTTCTCTTGGACACCCAAAGAAAGGGAAAAAAAATTTATTAGGTCCAGGAATCAAAGATGACTTGATAGAATTATGAATACATGCAGAATTGGATGGTTAGAAATGAAATCAATCTATTTAGGTCCAGCCTAAGGTTCTGATAGCCAATCAGTAGACACAATCAGAGTAGTAGTATTCCTAAGAAACCAGGATAAATCTCCAATGTGCATGAGTTTAATGAACCAGATAGATTATTGTATCGCCAATATCCACCCTTATCCCATTCTCAGTCAGATGAATTTTCTTGCTCATGAGGTCCACATTGAAAACAGCATGCTCAGAAATGGGGGTCTTCTCGGTGTACTCCTTTCCCAGGACAGGAACTCGTCGAGGCCCCAACAGTGGATCATCAAATCTCATCAGTTTCACTTTGGAAAGGTCTACAACAAAATAAATTATCAATATAAGCATTTAATTACAGTCACTCAAACCCTGGAGCAGTCTGAGAACTCACGTTTTAAATACGCTGGTTGTTATATCTAAACAAAAATATTTTCTTCAGATTATTAAATAAAAGCCACGCTGGGTGCGGTGGCTCACACCTGTAATCCCAGCACTTTGGAAGGCTGAGGCGGGTGAATCACTTGAGGACAGGAGTTCGAGACTAGCCTGACCAACATGGCAAAACACCATCTCTACTAAAAACACAAAAAAATTAGCTGGGCCTGGTGATGGGCGCCTGTGATCCCAGCTACTTGGGAGGCTGACACAGGAAAATCGCTTGAACCTGGAAGGCAGAGGTTGCAGTGTGCCAAGATCGCACCATTGCATGCCAGCCTGGGCAACAAAGTGAGACTCTATCTCAAACAAACAAACAAACAAAAAAAGCAGTGGCCGGGCATGGTGGCTCATGCCTTTAATCCCAGCACTTTGGGAGGCTGAGGTGGGCAGATCGCGAGGTCCGGAGATCGAGACCATCCTGACCAACATGGTGAAACCCCATCTCTACTAAAATACAAAAAATTAGCCGGGCATGGTGGTGCATGCCTGTAGTCCCAGCTAGTAGGGAGGCTGAGGCAGTGGAATTGCTTGAACCCAGGAGACAGAGGTTGCGGTGAGCCAAGATCGCGCCACTGCACTCCAGCCTGGCAACAGAGCAAGATTCTGTCGGGGGGAAAAAAAAAAAAAAAAAAAAACAATCCCAGGAGCAAAGCTAAAATGTAGCAAATCTTCATCCCCTTTCAGCTTTTACCCAGCTCAAAGTGTCAGAGATTCTGACATCTCCTGGAATTACAAACTAAGAGAGAGAAAGAATTGTGTGTATTTTTTAGCATTATCCTATATGGTCTCTCAAATCATTTTTATATGCTTCAATTAACCATTGTACAGAATATCGAAAAATCTAAAACTTACCCCTTTCTTGAGCTCCCTGGAATACACTAAACTTGCAAGAATTGTAGCTTTTCTCAGAGATACTTTTGGATAAATAATGACTACTCTAAGAAATGGCATTACCAGTTTCTCATTTGCTCAAAAGATGAAAGTATTTGTATTAACAAGTTGATGAGACAAGGAGAGCGGGGACAAGGCAGAGAAAGGACAGAAATTTAAGCTTTCAGAATTTTTAGCTGTAGGATGAGGTCTAATACCCACCCTGCTTGAGATTTTCCTAATCTGCTCTTATGCAAGCTGAAAAAATAGCGCCTGACCAAAAAAAAAAAAAAAAAAAAAAAAAAAAGCACCTGTCTCTTGAACAACTTTGTAAGTCAACAATCCTGCCAACAACTGAGCCCAAAAGAAGTATATTTATTTCAGCAATTCTGAGACTTCCCAACATCAAATGGTTTTATTTTATATGGCAGAAAAACACCAGAAATGACTACAAATGCTGATTCTGGGTTTATATCTCATTCGAAGTGTAGCATGGCTAGTTATCCTTAACCTGATCCATAGAAATAGAAGATATTTTCTGAATTACTTCCCATTTCTTTCTGAAACACACCTGAGCTACCCTCCCTCATGTTGACTTGAGAGTACAAAGCTTAGTATAAGAGGGATAAGAGATAAAAGAAGACTTTAATGCAGCTGGCGGCCATGCCAACCAAGAATACAAGTTATCCATGCATTCTGTCCTCTTCGGGAAACAAAGACCGAAGTTTAGAGAAGGGGCTTATAGAACAATTACCTGCGACTACCACAAAAGCAAACCCTGTCTAAGAGTCTTTGGAGAGTTTCTGCAGGGACCATACAATCTATTCCCAGACACAGTACGAGCCCTGAAAATTAAAATGGGAAGAGAGCAGGCGCAATCTTCATGACAGCCACGATCTTATTTTGGGGAAGAATACAATTAATTTTAACAGCTATTGCAATTCAACGTACACATCAGTGGTACCAAATATTTTGCTATAGATGCAGTGACAAGTTCTGCCAGCAGATTTTATGCATAAGGCCTTTTACTGCGGATCTGCCTCTGCCTCTTTCTCTCTCATACACACACACTCTTTCTCTCTGTCTAAAACAGACCTCCCTCATCATTCCAAGCAATTCTGAATCAAACTAGTTCAAAGAAACCTTAATACTCAATCAGGCTTCTAAGTGACAAAACATATTTGCTTTGATGTTTCACCATGTAGTTCATTACTGTCCATAGATTCGTAGAGCTTTCTTACTGGTTTAACTGTCTTTTATCCCAGACTTCTCTTATCATTGAAACTGTTGAAATTTAAGCCTGCAACTACATAAGATTTAAGGCTCTTAGAGAAAAGATGAGAGTGATTCTAAGTCCCTAGGGACTGATAACGAGAAATGAAGGCTTTCACTTCCAAGTTGTTAGTTCACATATGGCATGGGTTGTGAGTGATTCAAATTTATTACCATCAGATAGTTTACTCAGTGGCCTTTGTGGAATGAAATGATAGTTTTAGTTCAGTTCCTCCCGGACCCAGATCATAATTACCCTCAATACAACTGGCACTAATTGGACAATTTGCTGTCTATTGCAGCAAACAGACCAATAACTATGTTACTGAATTTAACTCCTCTTCCATCTCATATACTGAATATACTCAGGCCTTTTAGATATCAAGGCATCCTGAGGGCTTTTGGTAAAGTATCAAGGTTAGATCTCTTCTGCAGATACTTATAGGAATAGCAATTTCAAACTCTCTCTAATGTTTCTATTTTCTAAAATTTACAACAGCTACTAACATCAAACTTAAGACACTTTAGATAATATTTTTCACAGCTAGTATGACAAAGGAGATAAGAATTATGCCAAAGGCTCAATGAGAAAAGACAAGAAATAGGAAATACATTTCAGTACAATTCTGCAGAACCTAGTCAGTGCTATATTTGAGTACATTTAAAACAGAGGTAGATTTAACATAATATAATACAATTTTCAATACAGAAATACATCCTTTTATGTGCTATAACATCATAATAATCCCATCCAAGCAGGGCCGGTGTCTCATCCCTGTGATCCCAGCACTTTGGGAGGCCGAGACAGGCAGATCACTTGAGGCCAGGAGCTCAAGACTAGCCTGGCCAAGTTGGCAAAGCCCTGTCTCTACTAAAAATAGAAAAATTAGCCAGGTGTGGTGGCTCATGCCTATAATCCCAGCTACTCAGTAGGCTGAGGCATGAGAATTGCTTGCATCTGGGAGATGGAGGTTGCAGTGAGCTGAGATTGTGCCACTGCACTCCAGCCTGGGTGACAGAGGGAGACTCTATCTCAAAATAAGTAAATAAATATAATCCTATCCAGTGGGTCCACACACATATCTATTTTCTTTAAAAGCCACTATCATGCTCTTTCTGCTTCTTGTGGCCTATAAGTTCTGAGGATGAAGCTATCATTCTATGGTACCTAGTTCACTGAGAGGACATAATAAATGCATATAACATGATGAAACTTGAAGATATTTTGCTAAGTGAAATAAGCTAGACACAAAAGGAAAAATATTGTGTGATTCCAATTATATGAGGTACTGAGAACAGTCAAATACATGAGGTAGGAAGTAGAACAGTGTGGTGCGAATGTAAATTTGTATAGCCACTATAAAAAACAGTATCGAGGTTCCTCAAAGTATTAAAAATAGAACTACAATATGATCGAGCAATCCCACTACTGGACATATATCCAGTAAGAAATGAAGAAATGAAATCAGTATGTTGAAGAGATATCTGTACTCCCATGTTTATTGCAGCACTATTCACAATAGCCAAGATATGCAATCAACCTAAGTGTCCATCAACGGATGAATGAAAAGAGAAAATGTGGTAAACAATGAAATATTATGCAGACATAAAAAAGAATGAAGTCCTGTCATTTGTGACAACATGGATGAGGCTGGAAGACATTATATTAAGTGAAATAAGAAAGGCACAGAATAACAAATATCGCATGATCTCACTCACATGTGGAATCTAAAAAAGTTGATTTCATTGAAGTAGAGAATAGAATCATGGTTATCAGAGGCTGGGAAGGATGGAAGAGAGGGGACTGGAAGGAGGTTGGTCAACAGGTACAAAGTTATAATTAAATGGGAGGAATAAGTTATACTGTTCCATTACACAGTAGATGACTACAGTTCATAATAATATATGGTACATTTCAAAATAGCTGTAAGAGGAGCTGTTTGAATGTTCTCACCACAAAGAAATGATAAATGTTTGAGGTGATGGATATGTTAATTATCCTAATTTGATAATTACACATTGTAAATATGTACCAAACCTCACACTGTACTCATAAATATGTACATTTATCTGTCAAAAATAAAACTTAAAAGAAAAAAAGACAGTAGAGCAGTGATTACCAGGGACTGGAGGGAAGGAGAATGGGAGTTATTATTTAATGGGTATAGGGTTTCAATTTGGGATGATGACGAAGTTGTAGAGATGGATGGTGGTGATGGTTTCACAGCAATGTGAATGTATTCAAGCCTCCTGAACTGTACACATAAAAATGACTAAAATAGTAAATGTTATGTTAGGTATATTTTACCACAATTAAAAAATACACCTATAAACAACAACATCCCTAACCCTAGTATACTGTTGCTGCTGATGCTCTGTACACAGAGAAACAAAAGCAACTGGTATTTCCCTCCTGGATACCCTTTCCCCTTACCTTTATGGGTATAATGTTCAAGGCCCCATCCAAACAGTATTTTCTCCATAAATTAGTCCCTGATCCCTGCAAGTGGAAATAATCTCACGTTCCTCTGTGCTATACATTTTACCTGTACCTTTCTTACTACACTCAGCAATTTCTCCTTACATTATCATACACTGCAATAGCTTAGTTCCCTACTCCTTTACTAGATGCAGCTCCTAATGAACAGCACTCTGTGGACTCCCCAAAGCCCCAGTACATACAAAGGAGTCTCTACATACACAGTTGTCTCTACAAACACTACATATATTAGTGTCTCAATAAGTATCCACAGAAGGGAAACAACTTCGAGAGAACACAAAATAAATGACAGAATGAATTCCCAAGAGCTATTTCAAGTCTCCTATTTTAATTCATGTTACTACCCTAATATAGTTCCATAAATTAGGTTATTGTTAGGGATTTATAAATCTTTTTAGAAAATTTTTGTAGTGATGGAAAGTGGCCAATCAACTTTTGATTGCTATCAAAAAGAAAAAAGACAGATAATACAAAATAGAGAATCACAACATTAATTTGTTTTCATAGCTCAGAAGAAAAATAAGAGAGACACACTATCTCCCTTCACACTCTGCTCACCGTAGGACCTGGCTGGATGACGAAAAGAAAAGCCATAAATTATTACATTGAATCTAATCACAAAAGATGCAGACTTATTCTTGATAATAAGTTAAGATTACTGACATATTTTACCTGGAGGCACATTGTTTAGAAGAAAGAATATGAGCTTTGGAGTCAAACAGACCTGTTTGAATTCCAGATCTAGAGTTTACTAGCTAAACAAACTTTGCAAGTTACTTAGCCTTTTTAGCCTCCAGTTCACCATCTATAAAAGGGAAATAATAAGAATACCCTCTACATTATAGAACTGTAAAAGGATTAAATGGTTAATACATGGAAGACATGCAATAACTTTTACTCTGTTTCTCTTCCTTCTCAAGGAACAGACCTGCTGGACAGGTTAGTTTAGAATATTAAGGGTATGTGTTCCTTGATTCTGAATATCTCTGAGAGACAGAAATCACTCATTACAATTTTAGAGCTAGAAAGAAAGATGAAAACTATCTAATCCCTCTATTGTCCTCACATTAGTAAATGAAAAATCAGTTTTGAGCTTAAGTGACATGGCAAAGCCACTAAGCTACCTAGCCACAGAGTCCCAAAAAGAATAGTTTTCTTGATTCTGATCCCAGTACTTTTTCCATAATAATACACAGCTGTCCATAAGCAAGCCGGTTTCTTTTCTTTTTCCTTTCTGCTTAGAACTCACCAAATCTACAAGCTACTGACAAATGGGAGTTTTGGGGAACAACTTACCTTTAATTCCTCGATTCATTTTCATTAAACGCCTGATTATGGAATCACAGTTATCTCCTTGCCTGATTTCAATTTTGGTTGAGAAGTGGCCATTGGATGGCTGGGGATTCACCAGAGAAACGGACACACCAGGCTAGGAAAACAACAAGAAAATGATTGTTTAACTTGAATACTGCTGAGGGAGGAGGAATCTCTGCTACGTTTTCAATGCCCAATGAAAGACAGATCTAATTCTGGTATTTTAAAATCATGACTAAGGAGTACTCAAATATGAAAGAAAAGCTGTACAAGCTCATGCTTATAACCAAATGCCTAGGTAAAGATGACTACAACTACATATATCAACACCAATGATGGACACTAACAATAACTACATTTTCTCTTCCACAACCACCATCATTCACTGAATCTCTACTATGTATTAGGCATTGTACTAAGCACTTCATCGACGTTAGTTCTATATCCCTGAAGTAGTTCTTTTGTACCCTTTTTCACAAAAGAGAAGCTGAGAACCAGAAAGATTAAAAATCAGCACAAGGTCACACAGCTAGTAAGTGGCAAGGTCAAGATTCAACATAAACCTATGTTGTACTTATAGAAGCTACATAGTCCAGAACCCTGTTTATTATTTTTAAGTGGAAAAAAGTCAAATGAGTCTTGTGAAAGACTTAAATACATAGTATCTTAATAGAATACTTGAAAATGGTTTGAAATAAATATATTTGTATAAGGAATATTTTCATATACCTATCTCCATGGCTCAAATGACTGAACTATTAAAAGCTACCACATCTTAATGCAATGAGCATATTCCTTACATGATGCTAAATTCAGGAGGTATCCATAATCACGATTTCCTTATTCTTTCAAAATAGGCCTTTTCTGTTTGCTGGGTTTTCAAATGTGGCAAAAGTAAAAAAACATATCTAAGTCCTCTGCTTATCAAGACAAGGAGGGCAGTTTACAGACTCTCCCAATTGCAGTCCCCTGGACTTTGCCAAATGCTGCCAATCTGAATGGATTCTTTGAGACTAAAAAAACAGAATGTCCTTCCTCAAGGATCTAGATCCAGAAATACCATCTGACCCAGCAATCCCATTATTGGGTATATACCCAAAGGATTATAAACCATTCTACTATAAAGACACAGGCACACATATGTTTACTGCAGCACGGGCCACAATAGCAAAGACTTAGAACCAACCCAAATGCTCATCAATGATAGACTGGATAAAGAAAATGTGGCACATATACAGCATGGAATACTATGCAGCCATAAAAAATGATGAGTTTATGTCCTTTGTAGGGACATGGATAAAGCTGGAAACCATCATTCTCCACAAACTAACACAGGAACAGAAAACCAAACACTGCATGTTCTCACTCCCAAGCTGGAGTTGAACAATGAGAACACATGGACATAGGGAGGAGAATATCACACACCAGGGCCTGTCAGGGTGGGGTGGGCAACAGAAGGGATAGCGTTAAGAGAAATACCTAATGTAGATGACGGGTAGATGGGTGCAGCAATCCACCATGGCACGTGTATACCTATGTAACAAACCTGCATGTTCTGCACATGTATCCCAGAACTTAAATTAAAAAACAAACAAACAAACAAAAAACAGAATATCCAAAACCTTTTTGTCTTCACCAATAACAGCCAAAAACTAAGAGGTTAAAAAAAGCTATTCCAGCATAACTTAAGATTATGCATCAATCCAGTTTATACAAAACAGCCTTGAATAACAATCAAACCAAGACTCATCTGAGGTTTAAAAGCTCCTTTTAACTGTCTAAAAAGGTCCTACATTTCCAGTATTTTTAAATAAAAACCAGATTTTGAAAATCATACTTTCTATTTTTAAAACCCACAAATAACATCTGATAGTTCCTATAATAGTAAACTGAGGAAAAGGTAAGTATTGCACTGACCAAGGAATTAGGACATTTCAGGTACATCCCCATTTCTAACACTCTATGGGGTCTACAACAAACCAACCACTTAATTTCTCTGGACCTTACTTTGTTCTATTTTTTAAATGTGGGTTTAGATGTAATGATCTCTAGGTCTCTTCTGGTTTTAAAATGCAATGATTCAGTGAGATTCCTTCAACTTACTTCTATTCTAAAAACATTAAGTGGTTTCCCAGGACAGCAGTCTTCCCTGATTTTATCTTCTGCTTCGGAGGCAAACTTGACTTCTATGTGTTCTAGCTAAACAGACGGGAAAAAATGGAAGTTATTAGTATCACTTAATGTGATTCAAATTAATCATCACCTCATTTCACCAAGAACAAAACTAGGTTCTCCAGTTAACATGAAATGGTCTGTGCAATTTTATTATTTTCCATATAAATATTAAATGAAATCTGTAATCAGTTATTTAACATTCGTTTTAGATGTCTCATAGTATTGTTATTTATATAGTCATGTTTATCATTTTCTATAATGAAATCTGGCATCTATCTGCCATATAAAACAAAATGAAAATCAGCATAAGAGGCTTCCACTTAAGACAAATGGAAGTTCAGAAATTTATCATTTGAGAATAAAAGGCTTCCACTTAAATAAATGGAAGAAAAGCTCAGAAATATAGCACAGTGCATATGTCTGAATATAAGATGACCCTGAACATAAGGTGCGTCTGCATGGTCCAAGTGAAAAGATCCAAGAAGTTTTTTGACCTACATGAATATATATGAACATTTAGATATACATAAAATGGATGTCATTTAATATTTATTAATTTCATTAACTCATTTAAAATAAAATACTTAATTAGAAACAACTTTCTTCCATCTCCGTATTTCACAAAACAATTTTACTTAAATTCCAAACCTATATTTTTTTTACTTGAGTGTCTTCATTATTACTAGGACCACTTTTTGAGTGCTCTAACAGTTTTCTAGAGCACATGACTTTTCCTTTTGCCTAAGTTGTCTGAGACCAGCTTATTTACGATCTATATATAAAGTTGTGAGTGGGGCACAAAGATTGGATGGGGAGAACGTCACAGATATATAAAAGCTATTGGTACTGTTCTAGTTCCTGGATTGGGTAGAAAATTCAGGGATGTTCATTTTATTATAAATTGGGAGGAAAAAAACACGGCAAGACATGGAACAATCATAATATATCATGAACCAAATCATAATATATCATGAACCATAATATATCATGAACCAATATATCAGTGCAGCAATTCTAAACCAAAGATTATAATTAATCCAATTCTGCAAATCAAAAGGGAGGGGGGAAAAAAGGCAACAATTCAGAGTACTCCATAACATGAGAGGCTTGGAAAGCATTTGAATATAAGGTCTCTTAAAAATAATTTGCAGTAGAATAGCCAGATATACAGTTTTTTAATGTATAATTGATTATATGTAAATTAAGAATTGATGAAATAAGATGACATATCACTTTTTTTCCTGCAACTTTTATACTCACCCATTTTTCTTCTCTCCAAAAATATTTTCGACTAATATATTTAACAAAGATACTAAACACAGAAGATGAAATTTATAAAAAGGTTTATTATAAAATAAAAGAGCTGGATTATGGTTTAACTACAGTTAACTGGTTATTACAATCCCTGGCCCTCTTACCTCAAGCGAATTAGTCAGATAGACTATATTCTCCATAAGCACAGCCTTTTCATCAAATTCTAATTGCAAATCCAGAATACGAGGCCCCATCTTCTCCAGATTTTCCTAATAGCCAAAATGGTATGGAAAAACAAAATCACAGTAAGAATATGTTGGAAAACATACTTCCTCCAAAGTAATCATTCTTCTCTCAACTGATAAAATCTTCAGATTTCAGGAGTTAAAGGAAAGGCCTTGGACTCATGATTTCCTTTACCTACATTTGCTTGTTAATGAAATTTACTAGCTCCAAATAATTATCTTTTAAAGTATTATAAGATTATGGCAGCACTGAAAAGATGGGAAGGCACAAGGTTTTCAGATTTATAAAATAAATACGGTTTTATGATTGTTTATTTAGACTGACTTAACATGCAAGCCCAAAGAATTCACTTTACAGGGAATCAGCCAAATGTGTGAAAATATCCCTTTAAGTTACCCAAAAAAAACAAAATTTTAATTTTCTGAGATACCACCTTCTTAAAGCTGTTTCAGAGAATAGTGAATTAATAATATCCAAACAAAAAATCCCCAAAGATATTTCTGCAAAGTTTAAAGAAAAAAAACTCATACTACATGAGTACTCAAACATGGCATGTAAAAAATAATTTCTTATTCTTAATTTTCTTGGGTAGTCAATATTTGCTGTGCAAAATAGAATCCTAGAGATCCAAGTACATATGCAGATATAACTACCTAGAACATGTTATACTTAATGAAAGTGACCTGATATTATTCCTGCTACTCACTGTTTTCGCTTACTATGCAAGTTCTATTTCTTTTTCTCATGGAAGTGCTAGAAAGTCATTTTCTTATTCCCAGATGTATTAATCCCTTCCAAAATTTGCAAAACCACTAATTTGCCTGGCAAATCACCAACATAATTTTAAAAATATATTACCACTCAAACGGTCTGATGCTGGTTCTTCAAATTTAAATGAGATCCTAAAGAAGCCAACTCTTGAATCTAATATCATTTTATACACACACACACACGCACACACACACTCTATATATATATACATATACACATAACTACTTTTCAAATAGGTTTCCCTGGATTCTTTTAAAACATGTCATCAAAATTAATTGCCTTTGCAACCATCAATGGAATATTTTGTTGGATCCACATGTTGACAGAGATTTGGCATTATGACCAATGACACTAGCCACTGGGGAACCAACGAACTATGAACATACCAGCACTTACATTACAACTTGATTAGTGTAGGTCAACACAGGATTCTAAATTACTTCTGAAACTTAAAATACCCTGAGGATCAAATAGTGACTTTGGTCTAAGAGAATTAAAAACCTTTTCCAAGAATACTAATCTATTATAATATTGAAGAAGTTAAGAGGTCTGGTCTCCATCAGGCATCTGCAGCCAAGAAGACACAAGAATTAAAGGACAGTACAAGAATAACTACAATATGCTTAGTAGGCTGGAAGATACTAATTTGTATTTTTAAACAACATTTACTGAGCCTACTTCTTGACTAGTGCTACTTAAGTGTGTTAGGTACACTATTTTATTTACTCCTCACAGCACTCCTAAAAAGTTTGGTTCTATAGTATCCTCATTTTATGGATGAAAAATCCTGTAGCCCAGAAAATTTAAGTGATTTGTCCAAGGTCTCAAAACTAAGGAGTGACTGATACACAGAATTTCAACCAAGATTTTTCTGGCCCCATAGCCTGCGATCTTAAGCAATATAAGCCTTCTTTCGGTTTCTTTTTGTCAAGAAATCCAGTAATACATCAGCGACGTATATGAAGAAAACTAAGGGTCTAACCCAATAATTCTCAATGGTAAGAAGTGGAAGGTGATTCTGCCCCCAGCGGACATTTGGCAATGTCTGGAGATATTTTTCATTGTCATAACTAGCAGGAAAGGTAGTTCTACTGGCTTCTAATGAGTAGAAGCCAGGGATGCCATTACATATCCTACAGTGCACAAGAAAGTGCCCCACAAGAACTATCTAGCCCAAAATACCAACAGAGCTATGCTGAGACACCCTGGTCTAACCACTATAACCAATGTTTACCCTGTTAAGCTATACCTATACAAATGTTGAATCCTGGTTCCAGGAATAGGGTCTAGGAAATGCAAGCCTCTATAAGCCTAATGTAAGCCAAAAGAGTTTGAAAGAAGGGAAGGTAGAATATGAAGGGAATAGTTCAGTGCAGCCATTCTAAACCAATTTTTCTCCCACAATAATATTTTTCACATACTCAGCAATTCCACAAGTAAACCCAAAATCTGATAGATCATTTCTCTCAGTCATTGATTGAAAAGTGCTATTTTAGCAGATTTCTGGCAGGAGACTATGTCCAAGGCTTTTCCCCATCCTTCTATTGTCCCATCTAACCATTGCTCATGTGGTCACAGCTGCATAAGGTCCACAGCTTACCTTAATCATGGCAACAAATGGCATGACTTTCTTCATGTATTTCTTCAGTTCTGGCATACTGCCTAGTTCACTAGCAATGACTTTGTTGTCAGGCAGTTTTCCGTTATTGGCCTAAGAAAAGGAAGGAGGGAGAGTAATGTAGAAAAAAAAGTCTCAAGAATAAGGCAGAACAGTAGATGTGACCAGGCATAGAATGGTGGCCTCTATCAATCCTTAGAGAACAGCAGAAAAGTGTCCAGCCCTAGCATCACGGGGAAGTGAAAGCTCAATGAACAATGCAGAAGGAACTCTCCTATTCTCTATAAATTAACAACACATACTTTTTAGTTTAGAAGAGAAAAAGAAGTGATTTGTGTTGAATATTTCTCCTGTTCAGAAACTAAATGGTCTCATAAAAACTTGTTTTCAAATTTCTAAAAGCATTTTATTAGTCATATTAAAATAAAAAATTACACAACTATCATACAAGTTTATATAATGTCTGCTTTTGGACACTTGGAAGAAACTGTTACCACAATTGTGAAAAGAATCCCTAGCTACTGACCTGTTAAAAACAGAATCATTTCTATCTACTCAAAAATAAATGTCCATATCATATATCACTGATGAGTACAATCCAAGTGTGCTTTAAATGAATCTAAATTCATTTCTTTCTACAAATATTAACGGTCCCCTCAATAGAGTGAGAAATAAAGCAACTGGTCTTTTCAAAGTTTTGGGCAACTTGTTTTCTCTTTATTGTAAAAGAAGGGTTGGGAATGAATCTAAATGAAAAGGAACATATAATACAATTTCAAATAATCTATTTTCAATTCTAACTTTTACTAAAGTACATGGGAAAAAAATATTCTACTTGTTAATATATTCCTCTGAAACACACGAAAAAGAAAAAGGGTGGGAAACACTCCTTTGCCTTATGTCACCAAAATGGTGCCACATTCAACATAAGAACACTCTTCGTGATTATAAATGAACATTCTTTTCATTCCTGTGGATGAAAACATACAAAAATCTAAAAGACAGCTGCTAATGCCAAAAGATACCACTGTTTTCAATTATCTAGCAAATGAATAGTAAGTAAAAAAACAACTTCAAAAAGAACAGAGGTGATGCATTTTTTAATACCTAAGACATTACATATTATATTTGGGTTCTTCCACTGCTTCCTTGAAATTGCTGGTATGAATATATAATCCACTGAGGTAGTTTCACTTTTGTGCCAACCAAAGTAGCTTTTATCTTTTATTTACCTTAATTCAAAATCTGCAAGCAGATTCTAAAGGCCACCTTCTATTTCTATCATATATACTCAAAGGTGGAAATAGTTCTCCACAAAAATAGACTCACAAGAAATACAAAAACATTTGCTCTTCTCTATCAAATTTTACATATGTAAAAGCAGCTTTTCTTAGCATTTCTTAATTAACTATGAAAAGTGTTGAGGCAAAATTCCAATAATGGTCTAGAATATCAAAGCTAAGAATTTTTCCTTTACGTTTCTTCTTTACATTTTGACCACAATCCGTATTTTGTCTCTCTTTTTAAAGTGCACCTTAGTGGTCTGCATCTAGCAATAACTGTTTTAATAACCTAAGCAAAAAAGCCAAAGTTCATAAACATACTTTGTTTCTACATTTTGAATGCAGAGGAAAAATACATTTTTTTCTTTCAGGAAAACTTAGATCTAAGTTATTGAGTTCCCTTTAAGTGGATTTATCATTACCTGGCACAGCCAAAAATGTCTTCAAGCTCTACATTTCTATAGGTAATTATCAAACCAAACAACATTTAAAGTACTCAAGAACAAAGCTTCACTTTTTTCCAAACAATAAACAAGGTTACGATTTGAAATAATTTAATGAATGAATATAATGAATGAATAAATTTAATGAATGACTCCCACTGCTCAAGTTACAACAAATTCCAAAGGCAAACTCTGTCCTTTTATTTCATCATTTCAACTACACATATGAAAACCCCCAATTCTTTTGATTACATTCAACTAGATCCAATGTATTTTTGTATAAATTTTTCAGAAATGAGAGGAAAACAGCAGCTTTTCCCTCAGCATCCATTTAAGAGCCACCAAGAATAACAAAAGGATGCTGTCTGCCTAGAGGGAATGAAACAAAGCTGCCTATCTTTCTTCTCCCAGACATTGCCAACATCCTAAAAACAAAAACAACATAGGGAGCATACAACACCATCAGGGGGGAAAAGTCTACTGAGAGCATCACCTCAAAGTGTTTACGTAGAACAGACAGGGTGGTATGTTGCCAAGGTGGATAGTTCTTTGCCACATAGATGGTGCAATGTGAGGGCTTCTGCAGGGGTTGTTTGTCAGTCTTCTAGACGGTAAAAGAAAGGAAAAACATTCAATAGCTTTTATATAAACCAAAAATGAGAAGAACCCTCCCCCAACATACACCACCACGGTCTTCACCATTAATGAAAATCTTTTTAACTTTCATTATTGTTAAATGTTATCTGATCAATAACTTTTAAGGAATAATCCTTTAAAAAAAAAAACAAAAAAACTTTACCTTCCCTTTAGCTGGCATCATATAGTTCTTGAGTCGTAGTCTAAGGTCATGTGTTACTTCCATAAGATACTGTGAGGAGTGTATTAAAACTTCATTAACAGGACCTGCCACAGGCCATGAAGCATTCATAATTGAGTCAGGCTTTTAAAAAAAGAAAAACAAAAAAACCTTCAGTGAGATTAGACAATATAACTATTTTACGGTTCTTGATTATAGTTTCATACCAAGGATACCATCTGTAATTGTGTGCTCAGAGTTCAAACTTGACTACACATAACACACTTGCACAGCCCCTGATCTAATGTTCCCTAGAATTCAAGCTGTGAAGTCTGACTCTACATTCTTAATTAGCATCCATTTGTACAAGCATATTAATACCCACACACATATGCTCACTTTCAAAGAAAATTATGTAATGCTAATTTGCCTAAATTTAATCATTATTATATAAATTATGCATACACTCAGTTTTTATCCTGCTAATACATCCAGTATTCAAGTACGGTTATTTGGTATATAGATCATGAGCACATTTCTGTATTGTTCATGCATTTAAAAATACAAAAGAGCCTAGCTAATATGGCTGGAAAGGAGTTATTAAAC
Source organism: Homo sapiens (assembly GCF_000001405.40). Classification (NCBI taxonomy): domain Eukaryota; kingdom Metazoa; phylum Chordata; class Mammalia; order Primates; family Hominidae; genus Homo; species Homo sapiens. The sequence goes on from NC_000005.10 coordinate 146,129,581, forward strand.
CAGCCAATCTATTTATCTGTAAGCCTGGGAGAAATAACTGAATTTATATTCATAGTAAGAATGCTACTATCCCTGAATATTAAGTCCTATATATGCCAGAAGTTTTATATAAAACAAGAATACTTACACAAATATACACAAATATACACCTATATCTTTGTTTTTAAGCAGCTCATAACAATTGTTTATATCTTTCTCAATATTTTCACCTTTTAAAAATATGTATGCACTGTTGTGTATATAAATAAGGGCACATATATCCATCTGAATAGGAGATAGCTCTGGTTTAACCCGTCATAATTATGATGCTGAATCCAGCATTACTCTTGAATTACTCACTTTCAGACTTTCTCTCTTAAGTAACAATATTAGCACAACACTTATTTAATGAAGCCAAAATCAAAACCACTCGAAACATTTTAAATGCATGAAGGTACCTTTCCCAGGAGTGTCCAGATGTGCTCACACAAATGTGGACAGAATGGAGCGAGGAGAAGTGTCTGAACTTCAATAAACCGGAACACAAGTTCTCTGTGCATCCCTTCCACAGCCAATTCACGGTACTTATCTTTTGCGGCCTATAAAATTTGAAATTATTTACCATTTCCCTCACCTTCTTTAAAATAAAAATAAAGGGAAAAATTGCAGTATCTTGGTTTTAACACATTTTTAAGTTTCTAGTCTTTTAAAAATCCATAACAAATTACTGTAAAGGTTTTACTTTAAGAATCTGCAAGTATTTATCTTTGTCCAAAGTATATGGCAGTTTTATACTAATAATTCTCAAAAAAAGAATTTTTTTACAGACAGTTTGTAACTGAGACATAAAAGTTGAACAACTTTAACTGTATATTAAGGGTGACTGCTCTTAGCAGCATATAGGATATTAAATATAAAAAAAGACTATAAATACAACACATTGCTATGCCCAGCCATTTATCCTTATTTAACCACAACTCTGAAAACCAAGTTATATAAAACTCAATGTGATATTTTACACAGCTCATTGCGTAAAGCTACATTTTTACTTTAAGCACTTTAAATGCCAAACTTGAGGAAATACTGACACCTTGTGGAAAACCTCAGAAAACGCTTGCTCTCAAATTAATGGCAATTAATTACAATTTTGCCTTTGTTTTTATCAATTTTGAAATGTTTTCCTGGAAAGTATAGCTGAATTTTAGATTTAATCTCCTTTATATTAATGCTCATAGCTTAACTAGGAGCAGAATTATTAAATTAAATGGACACAATAGAAAAAATACCAAAGATAATAACTTAAAATCACAATTTATTGAAGAATTTAAAATTTTTCTGGCAGGATTTTCAGTCTACACTTTAGGCGAGTAATTGTGCTATAGCAGGAAGAAAAAAGGGGGAAAATACATAATGTTCACATTGACATGTTTTATAGCTACCAAAAGAATCAACAGCCTACCTGAAACTCAAAAAACCCTGTTTTCAAAGCTTCTTTAAACATCATCTTTTCATAGTTTTGATCTGTTTTTATAATTCCTGCATTCAATTCACTATTGAATACGGGGAAAAAAAGGTTATTGAGTTTAAAGGCACTTATACATAGCTATAAAAAACTGCTGCATACACAAATTTAAAATACTGCTTTTTAATATACAAATTTGAAATACTGCTCATTTAAGCAGTAAAATGAGAACAATGCCCAGAACATTTAAAACTGCTCAACACAACACCATCTTTGCGTTCCTTAAAACAAATTACTGCAATCTCTCTATTGTCTATCCATCCTTAAGTACTGTCATCTGACACTGCTTAGGGCTCCTGTTTATGACAATAAATGATGCTTCTTCAGAAATTTCCTGATGGACACTTTATTCTTATAAAGCCCAAAATGCAACATGAAAATAGCCTAACTAAGGTTGTAGCCAAGTTTTTTTTTTTTTTTTTTTTTTTTTTTGAGACAGGGTCTCTGTCACCTAGGCTAGAATGCAGTGGTATGATCACAACTCACTGCAGCCTCAAACTCCTAGGCTCAAAGAATCTTCTCACCTCAGCCTCCCAAGTACTAGGACTACAGGCGCAAGCCACCACACCCAGCTAATTTTTTTTTTTTTTGTAGAGACAGGATCTCACTTTGTTGCCCTGGCTGGTCTCAAACTCCTGGGCTCAAGCAATCCTCCCACCTCAGCCTTTCAAAGTGCCTGGTTTACAGGCGTGAGCCACAGTGCCTGGCCATAGCCAGGTTTTAATTATTGCATTTACAATAACTAATACTGGATATCAGAAAAAAATTTTCTCATACCAATCCAGGTTCTTCTTAATTTGGCCTAATCTGGCCCCAACCTGTTTCATTTCCTACCTCTGCCCACAAGATAATGTACTTCAAATAAATATCAGACCCTTTCCATGGCTTATCCACACTTTCTCCTCTCCCTGAAAACATTGTTTATTTTTCAAGAAACCCAGAATTTGGCCGGGCGTGGTGGCTCACGCCTGTAATCCCAGCACTTTGGGAGACTGAGGCAGGTGGATCACAAGGTCATGAGTTCGAGACCAGCCTGGCCAACACAGTGAAACCCCATCTCTACTAAAAATACAAAAAATTGGCCAGACGTGGTGGCAGGCACCTGTAATCCCAGCTAGTAGGGAGGCTGGGGCAGAAGAATAGCTTGAACCTGGCAGAGGCTGCAGTGAGCTGAGATTGTGCCATTGCACTCCAGCCTGAGTGACAGTGCGAGACTCTGTCTCAGGAAAAAAAAAAAAGAAACCCAGAAGTCACATGACATCTCTGAATTCTCCTTGTCTCTATTATTGTGCTTAGAAACTGGGTGTTTGTCTCTCTTGCTAGACAATAAGGATCAGGTCTCATTCATCTTTATAATACCAGTGCGTAGGATGACTCCAAAGATATTTATCCTTTTCTTTTAATCTACTTTTCCTTTAACCATTTTGCCCTACTCGAAAACAAGACAACATGGTAAAATGGTTATGAGAACAGACTTTCAAGACAGACAGAAGCAAGTTCATATCCCAAGTTTGCAACTACTAGCTTTAAGGCATTTAAGGAAATACTTAATTGTTCTAAGCTTCAGTTTCTTTATTTATAAAATAGAGCTAATAATATCTGTATTAAATAAGGTTGCTTTGAGGTTAAAGTCAGATAATGGACACAAAATACTTAGCATAGTACCCGGCACAAGTAAGCCTTCAATGAACACTAGCTATTATTATCATTAGTTTATTTTATTAAAAAAAAAAAAGAAAAGAAAAGAAAAAGAAAACAAAAATGCACCAGGACTAAGTAACTCTAAAACACAAAATGATTGGGATCTACAGATTACCTGGCAAAAACTCTATCATTGAAAGTGCTGGCAGGACCACTTCTTAGGCTGTCCCAGTTGGCAACCATTTCTTTCACCCACTCTACCCAGGTGTACAGACGGAGAATACCTGCATCTGCCATGGCTTCCACAAAGTTGGCATCTTCTACAGTGTCACCAGCATCAGCCAGAGCCAAACGCATTCCTGGAAGAAGAAAAAAAAATTCAATGCATTAAAAATATGGTTACTGAGTATCAACTGTGTCCTATGTGTCCAGTTGGATACCTTGCAAAGCCCATATATAAATTAACAAATGCTTTAAAGGACTGTCCTGGATCAACAACAAAAATTAAAATCACCAAAAAGTAGCATCCCTAACCGTGATGTTAAAATATTCGAACCATCCATATTGATTTGCATCCACTAAGCACCAATATGTGTTTCTTCTCAGGCATGTTGAGTTAATGAGATAAAGTGATCTTTAATGAGGCAGAGATAGAAAATGATAAAGTGGGGATAAAGACACACCTTTCATTGTGGTTTTCTTATCAACATTTCAGCCTCATTTAGAGGTAGCAAAATACATTTTAATACATGAGAATACACACTGGTGCCTTATGTGTACAAATGCATATGAATTTTTCTCAGTTTTGAAACTAGGTTCTTACAAGTTTATCACTAATAAAACTTTACTTTTTCAATTCTCATCTCTCAGTACTACCAAAATCTTCCATTCTAAAATATTGAAAAAAAGAACCTAAATGTCCATCAATTAAACTGTAGGATATCCCTACAATGGAACACTATAGGGTTGCAAAAAAAAAAAAAAAAAAAAGAGGGAACTCATTATGTAGTTATTTCCGTCTTTAGCTTTGGTGTCCAATCAAAGCATTCAGGTTCTGCACTTTGCCTTTTCCACTTAACAGTTCATATTTGTATACTAACCCATACATACACATATCTATGTTTTTTGTTTGTTTGTTTGAGATGGAGTTTCGCTCTTGTTGCCCAAGATAGAATGCAATGGCGCGATCTCGGCTCAGTGCAACCTCCGCCTCTTGGATTCAAGCAATTCTACTGCCTCAGCCTCCTGAGTAGCTGGGATTACAGGCATGCGCCACCACGCCCGGCTAATTTTGTACTTTTAATAGAGACAGGGTTTCTCCATGTTGGTCAGGCTGGTCTGAAACTCCCGATCTCAGGTAAACTGCCCACCTCAGCCTCCCAAAGTGCTGGGATTACAAGTGTGAGCCACCACACCCAGCTGTTTAGTTTTATATCTACATATCTATACACAAAATAAAAATCATGAGCTCATACTTTTATCACCAAATCCAATCTGACCCCATAGGGCTCATTCTAGCATTTTCTCTTTACTTATTTATAGCTTCTTTTTCTGATAGTGAGCTCTGTGAGGCAGAGGTTCTCATTATCTACCTGTTTACTTATTTATTCAATCCTAATATATACATAAAGTGGTTTCATAATTGCTTATATATCTTGTAAGAAACAGACTAACTATATTATTTGGATACAGTTCCGTCTTTGGCTTTGGTGTCCAGTCAAAATACTGAGAACACAAACTGAGTTAGCCATGACCAATAAAAAGAAGTACCATGATGACCAATGACTAATTATATAAGAAATGAATGGTTCTTTCAGGATAGTGCATTTCTTCTCTTGACACGATAATAATAAAATGTAATAGGACTGAGGCCAGACAAAAAAACAATTTTCTGAAAAAATCAATGTTCCCAGGTTCAAGACACATTTAGGAATACCAAATACAGGCCAGGCATGGTGGCTCATGCCTATAATCCCAGCACTTTGGAAGGCCAAGGAGGGTGGATCACTTGAGGCCAAGAGTTCAAGACCAGCCTGGCCAACAAGGCAAAACCCCGTCTCTACTAGAAATACAAAAATTAGCCAAGCGTGCAGGCACATGCCTGTAATCCCAGCTATTTGAGAGGCTGAGGCACAAGAATCGCTTGAACCCTGGAGATGGAGGTTGCAGTGAGCCAAGATCATGCCACTGTACTCCAGCCTGGGTGACAGAGCAAGACTCTGTCTCAGTTAATAAGAATGGAATACCAAATACAGAGGAAATATCTTGGAAAAGCTTCCTACATACTCAACATTTTTTTTTGAGACAGAGTTTCACTCTTGTTGCCTAAGCTGGAGTGCAATGCAATCTCAGCCCACTGCAACCTCCGCCTCCCGGGTTCAAGCGATTCTCCTGCCTCAGCCTCCCAAAGTAGCCTGGATTACAGGCACCTGCCACCACACCCAGCTAATTTTTTTTTTTTTTTTTGTATTTTTAGTTGAGACAGGATTTCACCATGTTGGCCAGGCTGGTCTTGAACTCCTGACCTCAGGTGATACACCCACCTCGGCCTCCCAAAGTGCTGGGATTACAGGCGTGAGCCACCGCGCTTGGCCCATACTCAACATCTCTACAAAACAAGTCTTGAATCTTAGCAATGATATTGAGTTCATTAAAGGAAGACTCAAACTAACTTCAGCTTGATTTGTTCCTGAACACATCATGTCAGCAATTCTTATATATTAAATATTATGTTGCTCATCCACAAAGGAAACATTAAGATTTTAAAATTTTGTTAAAAGCAAAACAGAAAGTAAAATTAAAACACCAATTTTAACGTGTCTTCTATAATCTGAGAACTGGACCCTACAGAACAGCAATAAGAAAAATGTTTACTCACCATCTGCTGAAAATTTGTCAATAGCTTGGGTCAAAGTGAGGAAGTTGCCTGTGGATTTTGACATCTGAAATAGAGAGTCAGTGATCAATCATTAATAACAGTAATATAAATAAACCAAATGAGCCAAATAAAATTAACTAGGTTGGCCATGACCAGATAAAAACAAAAAAGAATTCAAAATACGGAAAGGAAAAGATATTACACTAATTTTAGAGCGGTGAAAACTGAATTTCATCCGATAAAGTGCCTTGTTTGGGTTACTCAGCTATCAGTGACACAGCTAGGAGAGGACCTCCAGACTCACACTCAGTCCACTGTGATTTAGCCTATACTGTCTGGGTTAGACATGTGTAATGATTCCACTATAACTCTAGAACACCACCTGGTTACCTAAGAAAGAGCTTTACGGCAATTAGAATCATTCAGAAATGGAATGGACCAGCTCATGAGGTTGGAGTTATGATTTTAGGAACCCTCCTATCATTAGGGTCACAAAAATCGGTTGTTCAAGTTGTGCTCTGCCTTAGGGCAATGCATCGGAAGAGGCACCACTCACAGCCTAGCAATCTTTATCGCTTTAAAATTGTATGTCATTAGTTTAACTATGCTGATATCAGAAGGAAATGATGATTATATCAGTTTTCTATTATACTACATGGCAATACATATCTTGTTCTAATAAAATCAGGATAGTACAACAACTTTCAGACAGCCAAAGAAAATGTCATGTTCTAACAAGAATAATAAATGTATTGTTCTTCTTTGACTTACAAAGAAGAAATGAGTTCAATAATCAAAGGTTCCTTATTGAGCTAACAAAATCTATTAAAATCGCCTGTGCTTCTAAACAGCAGTTTTTCAGTCTAATATACAGATTACCTATTTTTTTTTTTTTTTTGAGATGGAGTCTTGCTCTGTTACCCAGGCTGGAGTGCAGTGGCGCAATCTTGGCTCAGTGCAACCTCCGCCTCCCTCGGTTCAAGGGATTCTCTTACCTCAACCTCCTGAGTAGCTGGGATTACAGGCGCGCACCATCATGCCCAGCTAATTTTTGTACTGTTAGTAGAGACGGGGTTTCACCATGTTGGTCAGGCTGGTCTCTAACTCCTGACCTCGTGATCTGCCCGCCCTGGCATCCCAAAGTGCTGCAATTAACGGGCGTGAGCCACCGCACCCGGCCACAGATTATCTTAAAGGAACATCTTTTATTACCTTTCAATATTAGGGCACAGGCTAAGTCTGATGTTACATAATGCAATTTACATCAGCTGCCATTTGTTTAAAGCTACAACTATTTTCTCCTTTTTCCCTTTTTTTGAGATGCAGTTTCACTCTTGTCGCGCAAGGCCTGAGTGCAATGGCACGTTCTCAAATCACTGTAACCTCTGCCTCTCGGGTTCAAGCGATTCTCCTGCCTCAGCCTGCAGCTGGGATTACAGGCGCCCACAACCAGGCCCAGCTAATTTTTTGTACTTTTAGTAGAGATGGAGTTTCACCACATCGGCCAGGCTGGTCTTGAACTCCTGACCTCAGGTGATCCACCCGCCTTGGCCTCCCAAAGTGCTGGGATTATAGGCGTGAGTCACCGCGCCCAGTCCCCTACAACTATTTTCATTATGACATATAGACACTTATGACAACTAATACAGTCATTGCTATTCTGTTGGTTACAGCAAAATTCACTGGTTGTAACAAATCTAATTTGTTACCATTTTTATTAATGAGGAATAAATAATTTTGTACTTTTTTTTTTAAGTCAAGTAGGGGTGCCCTTCTCTAATTTGCACAGAAGTATCATAGGGGCAAGTGAGGGGTCTGTCAAGTTTGCATAACCTCCTACTGAGGATATTGATTAATAAGATAAAGTACTATGCAGTCTGTTTTAAAAAAATCACCCATATTATTAATAGTAACAGTAGTGATAGTAACAGCAGAAGCATAGAGAGGACTACTATACTGCTTGGGAAGGAGCATTACGTGACATCTAAAAATCTTACAGACTCCAAAATTCTATCATTCTACTAATTTAGTGGCCAGTCACAGTATAAAACAAAAAGCACCGAGTCATTTTCTCAACTTACTAAGAAAAATAGCTCTTCCCATCATCTTGGATCCTATGGAGGCCTGCTGGGAGCAGGACTTCTAAAAGGAAATATGGCTGGAAGGCTGTGGTCCAAGGCCATTTTTGCTGGCTATGAGCAATGTCTCCAGAACACACAGCTCTTCTTAAAATTGAAGGTGTTAGCTGGGCATGGTGGCTCACATCTGCAATCCCAGCACTCTGGGAGGCTGAGGTGGGCGGATCATGAGGTCAGTTTGAGACCATCCTGGCCAACATAGTGAAACCCCGTCTCTACTAAAAATACAAAAAAATGAGCCGAGCATCATGGCAGGCACCTGTAGTCCTAGCTACTCAGGAAGCTGAGGCAGAATTGCTTGAATCCGGAAGGTGGAGGTTGCAGCGAGCCGAGATTACGTCATTGCATACCAGCCCAGGCAACAGGGCGAGACTCTATCTCAAAAAAAAAAAAAAAAAAGTGAAACTGTTTATGCTCAAGATGAAACAGAATTCTATGTGGGCAAGAGATGTGCTTATGTATACAAAGCAAAGAACGACCATGACTCCTGGCAGCAAACCAAACAAAACCAGAGTAATCTGGGGAAAGGTAACTCGGGCCCCATGGGAACAGTAGCATGGTTCATGCCAAATTCCTAAACAATCTTCCTGCTAAAGGTATTAGACACAGAATCTGAGTGATGCTATACCCCTCAAGGATTTAAACTAATGAAAAGTCAATAAATAAAAGTGGATTTGTTAAAAAGGAAAAAAAAAAAAAAAGAAATGGCTGGGTGCAGTGGCCCATGCCTGTAATCCCAGCACTTTGGGAAGCCGAGGCGGGTGGATCACTTGAGGTCAGGAGTTCCAGATCAGCCTGGCCAACATACTGAAACCCTGTCTCTACTAAAAACACAAAAAAGTAGCCGAGTGTGGTGACAGGCACCTGTAATCCTAGCTACTCAGGAGGCTGAGGCAGGAGAATCGCTTGAACCCAAGAGGTGGAAGTTTCAGCAAGCCCAAGATCGCATCACTGCATACCACCCTGGGCAACAGTATGAGACTCTGTCTCAAAAAAAAAAAAAAAGAAAGAAAAAGAAAAAAAAATTTGAAGGTGTTTATGCTCAAGATGAAACAGAATTCTATTTGGGCAAGAGATGTGCTATGTATACAAAGCAAAGAACCAGACGGTGACTCCTGGAGGCAAACCAAACAAAACCAGAGTAATCTGGGGAAAGGTAACTCAGGCCCACGGGAACAGTAGCATGGTTCATGCCAAATTCCTAAACAATCTTCCTGCTAAGGCTATTGGACACAGAATCGGAGTGATGCTGTACCCCTCAAGGATTTAAACTAACGAAAAGTCAATAAAAGTGGATTTGTGAAAAAAAAAAAAAAAAAAATGGCCGAGTGCAGTGGCTCATGCCTGTAATCGCAGCACTTTGGGAAGCTGAGGCAGGCGATCACTTGAGGTCAGGAGTTCGAGACCAGCCTGGCCAACATGGCGAAACCCCATCTCTACGGAAAAAAACAAAAATTAGCCGGGCATGGTGGCATGCGCCTGTAATCCCAGCTACTCAGGAGGCTGAGGCAAGAGAATCGCTTGAATCTGGGAGGTGGAGGTTGCAGTGAGCCAAGATCGTGTCACTGCACTCCAGCCTGGGCGAAAGAGTGAGATTCCATCACAACAAAAAAAAAAAAAAAGAAAAAGAAAAAAAAAGGAAAAGAAAACTCTTCTGGGTCACAATGCTAAGCTCTTTATGATTCCTGTCCCTGTCTCTGTCTCTCTTTTTCTCTCTTTACTTCAGTTGCAATTTGTGTCACCTTTGGCCACTCTAAATACAAATGTTACAAATAGGTAACTCTTCCCTATCTCTCTCTTCAATTAATACTATCTACTCCCCTTGCTCAATTTTAAAGATAAAAATTAATTTATAGGCCAGGCGCGGTGGCTCACACCTGTAATCCCAGCACTTTGGGAGGCTGAGGGCAGATCATGAGATCAGGAGACTGAGACCATCCTGGCGAACACGGTGAAATCCCGTCTCTACTAAAAATACAAAAAAAAATTAGCCAGGCGTGATGGCGGGTGCCTGTAGTCCCAGATACTCGAGAGGCTGAGGCAGGAGAATGGCGTGAACCCAGGGGGCGGAGCTTGCAGTGAGCCCATATGACGTCACTGCACTCCAGTGTGGGAGACAGCGAGACTCCGTCTCAAAAAAAAAAAAAAAAAAAAAAAAATTAATTTATGCCTCGTCCTAAATATGCTAATTAGAAGGTTTTTAACTCTGATTAATTCATATTATTTCTTATTTATTTACTAATTTTTTGGTAGAGATGGGGTCTCACTATATCGTCCAGGCTGGTCTTGAACTCCTGGCCTCAAGTGATCCTCCCACCTTGGCCTCCCAAAGCTCTGGAATTACAGGCATGAGGCACCACACCTGGACACATTATTTCTTACATACATTTAAAAAAAAGTGCAACAACCTAAATCTGAAAAGCCTTCCACAGAATTTTAAACTTTTAAGATGCAATAAGCCTTACCTTCTCAGAGTTCAGGAGGAGATGTCCATTTGCTCTCACAGCTGTAGGCCATTTGTCACTTCACAGATAAATGTTTAAAGATAGAAAATAAAAAAACAAAGATGATAGTTCTGGCTTAAAATTTTGAGGTAAAAGCTAATAGACTCATAAAGGCTTGCTAAGATAAAAGTGCAAGGATATACACTATAGTCCTTTTTGTAATGGGAAGTGAAAACAAATCAAAGGACTGGCTACATAAACTAGGATACAGGTATACAATGACGTAACTACTTAGGTGGGGCTACACGTATGGATATAAAAAGATCTTAAAAATATATGTGAAGGCTGGGCGCAGTGGCTCACGCCCGTAATCCCAGCACTTTGGGAGGCCAAGGCGGGTGGATCATGAGGCCAGGAGTTCAAGACCAGCCTGGCCAGGAGGGTGAAGCCCCATCTCTACTAAAAATACAAATATTAGCCGGGTGTGGTGGCTGGCGCCTGTGATCCCAGCTGCTGGGGAGGCTGAGGCAGACAGTTGCTTGAACCTGGGAGGTGGAGGTTGCGGTAAGCCAAGATCGCGCCACTGCACTCCAGCCTAGGCGACAAAGCAAGACTCCCTCTCAAAAAAATGTATATATACACACACACACATATAAATATACACACATATATATACACACACACACATATATATACACACACACATATATATACACATATATACACACATATACATGTGAAAACAAGACAGAACAGTGTAAACAATGTGGTATCTTTATATACATTAACAAATAGAGATATCAGATGCTGGTATATAAAATCACAAGAAACCAATAGCATCATGATGAATTTTGGGAAATAGAGTAGTGTGCAGGCAAGGATGAAAGTTCACTTTTAACTTTTTGCCTTTATGTATTCTTTAAATTTTCAAACTATGTACATGTCATTCATTCATTCTAGCAATGAGATCATATGGGGGGTTGAGAGCAAGAGTTGTGGAGCCAATCTCTCTGGGTTTGCATACTTGTACTATCTTCATTAGCTGGGTAGCTTTGGATTATGATTTCTTCCTCTTTATTCCTCAGTACACTTCCCTGCCTACAGACATGGATATTAAAGACCTTCCTCGAAAAGCTATAGTAAAAAGAGTTATTAAAAGTGATTTAAAAAGTACCTGGCATAAGCTCTTGATGTCAATACTTATTTGTAATTTTTAAAAACCTAACAAATGTGAAAAAAATTGGTGCAAAGGAATGAAGATTCAACTTATTGGTAAAGAATACTTCTGAGATACCAATTTGCCTACAAATGCATTGTAAACAATAGAGAAAAATACTAGGGCCAGGCACGGTGGCTCATACCTGTAATCCGAGTACTTTGGGAGGCCAAGACAGGAGGATCGCTTGAGTCCAGGAGTTTGAGACCAGCCTGGGCAACAAAGTGAGACCTCGTCTCTACAAAAAATAAACAAAATTAGCCAGGCAAGGTGACATGTGGCTAGTCCCAGCTACTCGGAAGTGTGAGGATCACGTGAGTCTGCGAAGTTGAGACTGCAGTGAGCCAAGATCATGCCATTGCACTCCAGCCTGAATGACAGAGTGAGACTCTGTAGAAAAATAAATAAATAAATTAGGTAAGTAATAACAGTGGATGACAAGTAGTGTAAGAACCACATTAAATTTATCTTATTCCTCTGGGCTGGGCACGGTGGCTCATGCCTGTAATCTCAGCACTTTGGGAGGCCAAGGCGGGTGGATCACCTGAGGTCAGGAGTTTGAGACCAGCCTGGCTAACACGGTTAAACCCCGTCTCTACTAAAAATACTAAATTAGCCAGGCGTAGTGGTGCACACCTGTAATCCCAGCTACTCGGGAGGCTGAGGCAGGAGAATCGCTTGAACCCAGGAGGCGGAGGTTGCAGTGAGCTGAGATCACACCATTGCATTCCAGCCTGGGCAACAAGAGCAAACCTCTGTCTCAAAAAAAATAAAAAATATTCGGGAGGCTGAGACAGGAGAATTGCTTGAACCTTAGAGGCAGAGGATGCAGCAAGCTGAGTTCGTGCCGCTGCACTCCAGCCTGGACTCTGTCTCAAAAAAAAAATTATTTTATTCCTCTACTCCAAAATCTTCGTTTTATTGTTGAAGGAAAAAATGTAATTTTATTCTAAATACAAGAAGGCATAAGAAATTGTCTTGGTTTTATGAAATAAAATTTGAACAGACTGAGAGGTTTGTTTCCTCAGCTACTTGAGGAACTAGAGGGAAAAGTAGACATGTCTGGGTAAAGAGGGAAAAGGACAGAAGGATTACTCTGAAGAAACAGACTCTAGTCAGAATGTTACCACAACTAATGCTGGAACCTTGGGGCGCTCTGCTCTAAAGAGAAGGTTCTTTCCAATTCTAATGGTCTAGAATTATTCCTGCATTTAACAGGTCAAATGAATTACTAGCAGACCAGCAATGCACCTGAGATATGACATGCTTTGGTGCCTGGGGTAGGTATGTGGATTTCTGGATGTAAGAGATAGGAGGTGGCCTTTCTGCTTTAGTACATATTTAAGATAAGAAAAAGAATGTAACTGGCAAATCTATACCATCCCCTCCACAATAATTTATTAGATATTTGAAGCCACAAGACACCCCTATTGACAATCAATAAATCTAGTCCACACCTATTTTATCATTCACCTTTGTTCCGGCCACATAGCCACATGATTATAAAGGTAATATGAAAGATGATTTGGAACAAGATCCTTGCCAGAGACGCGAAGATCAACAGGATACCAGAATTCAAACTCCTGCTTTAACTGATCTAATTTTTCCTTTGCAATCTGAGTCTTAGGAAATGGAGCCTCCTTGAAGAAAACATAATCCCAAACTTCCTTGGTCATCTGTTGCGGTCTGTATTAAAAATAAAACAAACTATTTTATATATATATATATGTAATTTCTTTGGAAGAATCAGTACCTGAATCGAAACATGGATTAGGAATCTCTTTCTTAATGTAGTTACAGGAACAAATAAGGACAACAGCTTCCATAAGAATGAAGAATAGATGATGACAGTAAGGGGCTATTTATTAATTTTTCCCAGTTCAATAGTAAAAAAGCAAAAATATCATGACAAAATTCTGTGAAATAAATCTTATTAAAACATTTAAATACATAAATCAAATATCACAACTCTTACTGACAAATTATGCTCCTTTCCCTTATCTGTTTACCAACCTAATGCCCAGCGGAGACTCTGCCTGTCCATGCAAGTTACCCCCCTGCAATAGGTGTGCAACTGTGTAAAATGCCATGTAAATAGTGGAGTCAGAAAGTGATTCAATCAGCCACTGCTCATCCCAAGGCAGGTGAGTGCCTGAAAAATAAAAAGTAACGCATGAGGAACCTGAGAGACATTTCATCTATAGAATCCACATTTTTAAGAAGGGGGCTATAACATTTACAAAGCTACTTATTTAGGAAGCTCTTAAATTATTCTTGAATAATTAATAAAAATAAAATTGTAGATAAAAGACAAAATGGGCCAGGCATGGTGGCTCACGCCTATAATCCCAGCACTTTGGGAGGCCAAGGCAGGTGGATCACCTGAGGTCGGGAGTTCAAGACCAAACTGGCCAACATGGTGAAACCCCGTCTCTACTAAAAGTACAAAAAAAATTAGCCAGGCATGGTGGTGGGTGCCTGCAATCCCAGCTACTCGGGAGGTTGAGGCAGGAGAATCGCTTGAACCCGGGAGGCAGAGGTTGCAGTGAGCTGAGATCGCACCACTGCACTCCAGCCTAGGCGACAGAGCAAGACTCTGTCTCTAAAAAAGAAAAAAAAGACAAATGGTTGAAGCTTGGAGTCTCTCCATAAAAAAGTCACACCACAAAATCTATATAGAGAGGGCATATTTCTACCACACAGTAGATGATAGTGGACTATATCCTAGTTTTCATGACCATCCAGAGGAAACTTACTGCTTTCAATTCAGAAAACACTAGAATTGAGGGCAGGGGGGAAAGGTAAAAATGTATATTTTCTGTGTAACTGGCAAAGTTATCCAAACAGAAAAATTTCAAGTTTGTTTACCTAGACCATAAGTTCTTGAGCAAGCATGTTCTTGTAGCCAACCTAAGGTGGCTTCAAAATTCCTCCTGGTCTCCTCACAGAATCTAGAAAAGAGCAAAAGACAAAGTGTATCTTTACTGGTTCACTTTTTTTGTTGCATTTCAACTTTACTGTTTCCACATTTTTCATCTCCTTTTTCCTCCTTCATCACTTTCTCCCATCTTACGTTTCCAGGTTCTTCAAGCACTGAGATGTCTGTTTCTTCCAATTCTCTTCTCCATAATCCAAGTACCTGGGAGTGGACAAATTGATATGTTTTTTTTTAAGTCAAAGGTGAGCAAATTGACTAGGGGAATTTTCTTGCTATAAGAGACTAACCACTGGTCACACAGAGCCACAACACATTCATCTGACGACCTGGACATCACTTGTTTCTCTGGTTCCATGTAAATAAGTGCATCTCCCTAAAGGAAGGTAAATAAACATACATTAGATACTATGTCAAATCAATCTTCATTCCTCAAGGATAAAAATTACTTTAAAAAAATGCTATACCACCAATAACTGAAAGCCCACATTTTCATTATGTCTTGCCCGCCTTCCCAGGGTCAGTCATCTTCTACCTTTCCTTCTATGTAACACCTGCTTTTAAAAAGGCATGAATCTTCATCAAGTGGATCACTTTCTCTAGCTACTGATTATTTCATTTCAGTGAAAATTAAAAAGTGAACAAAAAGGAAAAAAAAACACAAAAGATGGTCAGCAGTTTCGAATCCTATGGTTTGAAGGTTGGGCTTCCTATGACAGTTTTTTGGGGTTTTATGTTTTTTTTGTTTTGTTTTTATTTTGACAGATAGGGTCTTGCTCTGTTACCCAGGCTGGAGCGCAGTGGCACTATCATGGCTCACTACAACCTCGACCTCCTGGCTCATGTGACCCTTCTACTTCACACTGCAGCCTCCTGAGTAGCTGGGACTACAGGCACATGTCAACCCACCCAGTTAATTTTTTAATTTTTTTATAGAAATAGGGTCTCACTATGTTGCCCAGGCTGGTCTCGAACCCCTGGGCTCAAGTATTCCACCTCAGCCTCCCAAAGTGTTTGGATTACAGCCTTGAGCCACTGTGCACAGCCCTATGGCAGCTTTTTATCCTTCTTATAAACTACTGCTTAAGAAAAAAAAAAGATATACAAAGACTAAACATAGAAAATCTTGTTACTAAAGATTTATAGTGCCATGAAAAATTTCCACTAGAAAACTGACCATGTTTTTGATTTTTTACCAAATATAAATCTTTCTTAATGCTATTATGATCCTAAATACTTTAAGCATGAAAATTGACGATGTTTTTGATTTCTTACCAAATATAAATCTCTCTTAATGCTATGATGATCCTAAACATTTTAGGCTAGGATAATTTTTAAAAATAAAATCCAGCATTATTATTCATAAAATGATTCACTGCTCTGTTTTTAATGCAATTCTTCATGCTGAAATTAAATAGCTGGAATTTTGGTTTAAAGATGGTAGATTAAAAACAGACATTTAACTCCCTCTCAAAATTCCAATAAAAAGACAACAAAGAGGGTTTTACAAATGGCATGAACCTACAAAGTCAAAATGAATGAGAAGAAAAAATATTAACTGAATTTTGAAAACAAAAAAGCAATATGAATGACAAATATATTAGCAGCAATTAAAAAGCTATCTGAATCCTAATAGAAAAAGCTGAAAAGCAATCCACTCTGCACTCTAGTTCCTCAGAAATTGGTGGCATTAAATAGAAAGAGACTCAGAAATTGGTGGCATTAAATAGCTCTAGAAATAGAGATAAGGGCTGGGCGTGGTGGCTCACGCCTGTAAACCCAACACTTTGGGAGGCCAAGAGTTCAAGACCAGCCTGTCCAACATGGAGAAACCCCGTCTCTACTAAAAATACAAAATTAGCTGGGCATGGTGGCGCACACCTGTAACGCCCAGCTACTTGGGAGGCTGAGGCAGGAGAATCGCTTGAGCCAGGAGGCAGAGGCTGCGGTGAGCTGAGATCGTGCCATTGCACTCCAGCAGCCTGGGCAACAAGAGCAAAACTCCGAAAAAAAAAAAAAAAGAAAGAGAAGAGAGAGAGAGAGAGATAAGGTGAGACTGAAAAGAAGAGCACCAACTAAAGTCATTTAAAGAAGTGGGTATCTGGGAAGTGGTAAAAAAATAACATAAGATAATATAAGATAAAATAAAATAAAATAGAGGTTAGAACCCCATATACTGCCCCTACCTATGCCAGAACCAAAAAAAAAAAAAAAAAAAAAAAGGCTAATTCTCTGGAAAAGGTAAAAGAAAGTCTCTGAACTAGAGACAAAGTTACAAGTATCATAGTAAAAATAGGGGAATTAAGTGAAAGTCAGCATACTAGATGTTGGTACACATTCCTAGCTATCTTCTCCCATCCAACTTCCAAAATGCTCAGTTGCTTAGACTTTTTTGTTTGTTGTGAGACAGCGCTCTGTCGCCCAGACTGGAGTGTGGTGGCGCCGTCTCGACTCACTGCAACCTCTGCCTCCCAGGTTCAAGCGATTCTCATGCCTCAGCCTCCCGAATAGCTGGAATTAGAGGCAGACACTACCATGCCCGGCTAATTTTTGTGTTTTCAGTAGAGACAGGATTTCACTATGTTGGCCAGGCTGGTCTCAAACTTGACCTCAAGTGATCCACCGGTCTCAGCCTCCCAAAGTACTGGGATTACAGGTATGAGCCACTGTGCCTGGCCACCTAGACCTTTTGAGCTAGAGATTGGCAGAATCTTCTGTAGGGAAATCTAACAAACCCAAAAGCCAATACTAAAAAAACTTAACAACCGGGAGTCGCCAAGGCCCAAATGGCCCTTTCTAGATCTCCCCCAGTGAAGCCTAGTGACAAGTCCTACCCATAAGCAAAAACATTTCTTTTTACACCCAAATATATTACATATCAACGGTCTTCCTCAGAGAAATAAGATTAAGATGTCCCATCTATGAAACAACAACAGCATCCTACAACAAATCAGCCAGGCATGGAGGCACATGCCTGTAGTCCTAGCCACTCAAGAAGCTGAAGTGGGACGATCACTTGAGCCCAAAGCCAGATCAGCCTGGGCAATATGGCAAGACCCCTGTCTCTTTAAAAAAAAAAAAAAAATCAGTCAGAAAACAAGAACAATTATTGAACTGGCCCAAAATTAGTAATTATTGAATCCGGGTGATAGGTATTACAGGAATTTATCATTCTACTCTCTACTTTTTTATACATTTGAAATTTTCCATACGATTCTTTAAAAATAAGTTCTTATAAATTTGTATTCATACACACACACAAATAGTAAATAAAAGCACATAGTAAAGAAAAGCTCAGGAAGAAAATGATGAGGGACTATCCCACAAAGAGGACCAACAGGACTGCCAGGATCTAAGAGGTTCAATATCTGAATGATAGGAATTCAAAAAGTGAAAATAGAGAATAAGAAAAAAATAAGATAATCAAGAAAAAAGTCAAGAAATGTTCCCCAAATTGAAGTACACAAGTTTTCAGATTGAAGGAGCCCACCAAGCACCCAGTAGAATGAATGAAAATTGACCTACACCCAAGGCAAATCATGAAATTTCAGGATACTGGGAGAAAAAAGATTATACAAGCCTCCAAAGTCAGGGGAAACAAGTTAGTTACAAAAACATCAGTCACTACCAGAAGAGTTTTCAACTTCTTAATAGCATCAATGAACCAAAAGATGATGAGGTAATACCTTCAGGTTTTTAAGGGAAAATTATTTCCAATCCAGAATCTATACTCAGGCAATCCAATATAAAGATAGAAGACATATTTCAGACATGAAAAGTCACAACAATTTACCTTCCAGGTACCCTTTCTCAGAAAAGCTATCAGAGGCAGAATTTCACCAAAATGAGAAAGAATATAAGGACATAGACATGGGATTAAGGAAACAGGAGATCCAGCTCAAGAGGAGCAAAGGGTATTCTTAGCAATAGTGGAGGAACATCCAAGATTTGTGCATCAGGACAGTAAGCAACCAGTTCAGACTAAAGCCAGAAAGCGCTGGAAGAGCTTTCTCTGAGATGGAACTGAAAGCACACTGATGTGTTTGAACTGAGTAAGAAAAGAAATAGACAGTTGGAAAAGAGTTGAGAAATGGAGTACTGACGAGTGTATTTTAATTAAGAATGTTTTAAAAATAAACCTAACTATTAATCCCAGGGAAAACCAAAAGCTGAGGATGAAAAATTATTGTATTATGGATAAGCCATGTCTCAAAAATGTAAATAATAACTATTCATCTAACATTTGTTATAACTACAGTGTACGGAGAAGACAGGGTATGGAGTAGTATATACCAATAAATGTGGGACGTTAGAGAAAACAAAAAGTAGGGGAAAGAGTGTAACTTTGATCTTCCTCCTACTCCTTCCAAGAGTAGGAGGTTAGTGGCTGATACCTAACCCTGAAAAAAAAAAATCACATTACAAGCATTTAGGTCAGAGATCTGTTAGAGATGGAGATTAGCCGGGCATGGTGGCTCATGCCTGTAATCCCAGCACTTTGGGAGGCCAAGGCGAGTGGATCACCTGAGGTCGGGAGTTCGAGACCAGCCTGACCAACATGGAGAAACCCCATCTCTACTAAAAATACAAAATTAGCCAGGCATGGTGGCTCATGCCTGTTATTCCAGCTACTCAGGAGGCTGAGGCAGGAGAATCACTTGAACCCAGGAGGTGGAGGTTGCAGTGAGCTGAGATCGCGCCATTGCATTCCAGTCTGTGTAACAAGAGCGAAACTCCATCTCAAAAAAAAAAGAGCTGGAGATCAATACTAAAACGATTAAATGTTACCCCCTCCAAGGAAGAGAAATTTAAATTATGGAAAAGTGATGAGGAAATTGCTGCTTTTTTATTTCAACAAGCCTAACAGACCATTGTCTCTCATAGTATTATGGGTATACAAAGTTGTCAAAAATAAAAATGTAAAGGGTTAACTCAGCTAAATAGAAGAGAGTTATAACAGAAACGGAGGGATGAGAGGAGGACGACAGAAACACCACAGAAAGAAAGGATTGTAACTACCAGTATCTAAAATGGCCACTGCCAGAAATATCATCAAAGTTCTCTACACATGCTATGCACACATCGACTTTAAAACACTACCTTTATCAACATTATAGATGGGATGTTCAAGTTAAATGAATTGCTAAATAGGTCTATTTTCTGCCGCAAAACTGTATGATATTTTTATTATAGCTCCAGGTTCTACTGTAGAACTCACTGCTAATAACACTGTCAAGTCTATTAACAGCTCTTCTAAAACAGCCTTCAGAGCATAGCCTATCACATACAGCGTCAATCATCTTTTTCTGAATAGTCTTCTTTACATCTTGAACCTTCTGTCCTTTAAATCCATCCACCAACATGATCTAAAAGGATGAGAGGGGAGAAAAACCACATATAAAACAGTTAGAATCTGCCTTGAGTTTCTTTCCTAATTTTCCCTAACTAAATTTGCTTCTGCCCACCGAAATATTTTTAGTATGAAATTTATCATATTTACAACGATAATTTTTCATTTTGGTATAGCATGGATAACTAATATTTATAACACACTTATCGTTCTGTCAGTGATACCCACACCTCACTAGGTATCACGGAGATACCTAGTGTGAGCATGATTAGGAAGGAATACTCACTTCCACTTCTTAAGTTTCCACATAGACAGACTTCAATTACACTCACTCACCTCATTCCTGGTGGTTTCTGAAGGAACTAAGTACATTCGGCTTCATCTAATTAGGCTCCTCTTTCTAACCCCACCTGCTGCAGGTGAGTATTCTTTGCCTGACCATGTGATAAAGCTTGCTCTTAGAAGGAGGCCTACTCTTTCACCTCTATCTTTTTCAGTAGGCCAATAACATTCTAGGGCAAAGTATTAGCTTATCCATTGTTGCCATCAATTAAGCCTCAATCACCTTCCAGCTTTCTCTGGTAATAAAGCAGATATTTTCACCTACATGACTCTTATTTTCATCTACATGACTCTTATATTTCTCTCAAATTGTTTCTATCTTAGGTAGAAAAGACATGCATTCTCTTTTGACATTCTAAACCTCTAACATACCAAAATACTTCAATATCTATTTAATCCAGCATTATAAAGTTATATTTAATGAATGCAGTGATTAAGAACACAAATCTGAATTAGCTGGGTGTGATGGCAGGGGCCTGTAATCCCAGCTACTCAGGAGGCTGAGGCAGGAGAACTGCTTGAGCCCAGGAAGCAGAGGTCGCAGTGAGCCAAGATTGAGCCACTCCACTCCAGCCTGGGCGACACAGCAAGACTCCGTCTCAAAAAAAAAAAAAAAAAGAACACAAATCTGGCCAGGTGCAGTGGTTCAAGCCTATACTCCCAGCACTTTGGGAGGCCAAGGTGGGCAGATCACTTGGGGTCAGGAGTTCGAGACCAGTCTGACCAATATGGTGAAATCCTCGTGTCTACTAAAAATACAAAAATTAGCTGGTCATGGTGGCACGTGCCTGTAGTCCCAGCTACTCAGGAGTCTGAGGCAGGAGAATCGCTTGAACCCGGAAGTTGGAGGCTGCAGTGAGCTGAGATTGAGCCACCGCACTCCAGCCTGTGAGACAGAGCAAGACTCCGTCAGATAGACACACACACACACACACACACACACACACACACACACACAAATGTAAATCCCAGAGCCAGGCTACCTAGTTTGAATTCCAGTTCCCACTGGCTAACTATCTGGCTAATCTCAAGTAAATCAGTTAATAATCTCTTTGTGCCTCCATTTCCTCATCCGTAAATTGGAGATAAGAGTGCCTACTTCAGAATGGGGTTATTTTCAGAATTAAGTAAATTAATATATAAGTGCTACATAAGTGTTGCTTTTATCATCATTCAAAATATGTGTCACTTCAAAAAAAAGAAATGTAACCAATTCTTGGTTATCCAGAAAAATGTAGGAAAGCTAAACTAAAAAACATTCTTGTTGATGTCCTTAAAAATCTTCATTTGACTCTGAAGCACCTAATAACTTGTTTGGATTTTTATGTTCTCTAGCCTAGCCTTCTTTCCATGGAAATATAAACCACATTAACATATGCACAATTAGGAGAAAAGAATGGTTCAGAACATGTTTGTTGAACTCACCTGGCATTTAGTAGACATTAATAAATAAATTAATGGACTGAATAAAACTGCTTATCTAAAATATGAACTCCTTAACTAAAAGAGCAAAAGAAGGGACCAGGTATTCTCCATTCAATAAATCTTTGAAGTTTACTGCATAATAATATGAACTAATTTGAAATATCTTGTCAAGAAATTCACTCCATAGAGATTCCTAGAGGGCACGAAAAAGACAATTTCTGAAAATGCTTTTAGGCAAAGGACATGATAAAAACAAAAATTAGAAATTTGGAAATAGAATACATTCTCATATTAAGCTCTCAAATCAATGTATAGCTGAAACTATGTTAAATTTTTCTACATTTTTTCTAATTAAGAAAATCACAGAGCATGGAGTAAAGCAAATAAAAACTAAAAAAAATTATTACTTACACCCTCATAAAATCCTTTTAGATATATCTTCTCCTTTGCTTCTGCAAGTTTTTCCCGGTCATTCTGGCTCTGAATTTTCAACTCATCACAAATGGTTACAGCAGAAAGATTTCCAAAACCTGGGATTTCAATGACTGGCACCTGCAGCAAACAGCAATCAGGAACGTGTTCACACTGACTGGACACACAGCTCTGTAGGGCACAAGTCCTTTTGCCTCTAATGTCCAATTAAGTCATTTCAGATTGTATATGTCATTACGACACTGCCACACATTAAGTAATCACAGAGTGACTAACTTCCAGATGTAAATTTGTCCTTCTACTCTCCACAGGAACCACCCATACTCTGTGTACCAACACCCCCAATGCCCTTCCCCCACCACACACACCTTTCCCAACACTCTATCCTCCACTGGCATATAATTACCTAAGTAATTCATACTGAAACTAGCAAAATGATGTAAACCAGGGGTTCCCAACCCCAAGGATGTGGACCGGTACCAGTCCATGGCATTAGGAACCAGGCTGCACAGCAGGAGGTGAGGAACGGGCGAGCATCACCCCCTGAGCTTCACCTCCTGTCAGATCATGGGTGGCATTAGATTCTCATAGAAGCACGAACCCTATTGTGAACTGTGCATGGAGGGATCTAGGTTGCTTGCTCCTTATGAGAATCTAATGCCTGATGATCTAAGGTGGCACAGTTTCATGCCAAAACCATTCCCCTACCACACCCTGCTGGTCCATGGAAAAATTGTCTTCCACAAAACCAGTCCCTGGTGCCAAAAAGGTTGGGGCCTGCTGATGTAAACAACTAGATTCATGGATGGTTGTGCTTTTGGTTTATATTAATTCCTCTGGATCTTTCATGAAATGAAAATCATTTGCTAGTAATTTAAAAGTTTTTCTTCTATAGATACTAACATGAAAATACAAGAAACATAAAACAGAGTTGTACAGGACTTTGTTAAAGTTATTATGGTTACATATAAACATTCATGAAAAGGGCAAAATTTTATCTTTAGAAGCCAGGAAATTGATCACACTAGCAAAGCAAGCTACTATAAAATTGGTGATGCTAAAAAGCTATTTGTTCCAGAACTGCAGGTGCCAGGTGGTAAGAAAATGCTTGTTAGTTTTCCTTTTGCTCTTATCTACCATAGCAGGTATCAAATTAAAGTGAGTAAATCCTTAAGCAAACTCTCTTTTTCATACTCCACCAATTAATTTTGTTATAAGGAAAACATGTTAGCTCTTCTTTTTCTCTGATAAAGAGATGGATGTGAATATTCTGAATTATCTATGTACTCACCGGCTCAAATGGCAAGACCATGTCATCTCTAATTCCATATTTTGCTCGTAAGGCCTACAGAAAAATTTGCAAGTTAACACTAATGATCAACACTTTACTGGGAGAATCATTGAGAGAAGCAATCTCCAAAGTTTCTTAAAAGTTTCTTTAAAGTTTCTATTTGTTCTCCTCTCCATAGAGAGCAATTTTCTAACTTTGCCAAATATCTCAAAAGGGATCTGTAACCTTCAAAAATTTAATAGCTAAAGTTATAGTGAATAGCCTAAATGAAACCACACAACCAAAAGCAAAAATGTACATAGACATACACATATCACTTAAATTGAGGTTCATATGCCAGATTTCAATGAAAATGTGAATATCAGAAAGCTTTTTCAAAATTCTGTGAACATATTTAAAATTCAAACCACAGAAAATATATTAACATCAAGAAACAAGTTAGAGATAGCAGTTTAAAGATAAATGCATAGCTTTTTAGCCTAGTCCCACAGCGTAGTTCAGCAGCACCTAAGCAATGAGATGGTGAGGACGAAATACAAACATGAAACTCAGATACTTACTTGCTTTTTCTTCAAGTCTCTGAGGGCAGCAATATCATCAGGGGAGTCGGAAGGAACACTTGTAACCACACCAGTGCCTTAGAAAACAAAGTGTGGAATTAATAACTAGAACCAAAATGTGTTTATCAAAATATTTCTAGAAATAAATAAACTCTTTACCTTTATCCTCCTTAATAGTTAGCATTGGGAGAACATAGATCACCTTGTATGATGTTAAAGGTGCAGAAAGTGATGCACCAAGAATTTCCTGCATAAGAAAAAAATCAATATAAAAGGTGAAGTAATTCATTGTGACCATTAGAATTAAAACTATGTTAATATTTTAAGCCCTGAGAAGCTAGTAATCAAAAATATATGGAAATAAATTCAAGAGCTATATTGTACAATATGGTGACTATAGGAAATAACAATGTATTTTATACTTGAAAATTGCTGTGTAGATTTTTTTAAGAGACAGAGCCTTGCTATGTTGCCAAGGCTAGAGTGTAGAGGCTATTCACAGGTGCTATCATAGCATTCTACAGGCTCAAGCTCCTGGGCTCAGGCAAGCCTCCTGAGGTCCCAGCCTCCCAAGTAGCTGGCTCTACAGGTGCATACCACTGCACCTGATTTAAATTTTAACTCTTCTCACCACAGAAAATGGTAAGTACGTAAGGTATAAATTTGTTAATTACCTCAATTTAGCCATTTCACAATGTATATATATTTCAAAACATATTGCGTACCATAAATACAATTTCTGTCAATTAAAAAATGAATACAGGCTGAGCGCGGTGGCTAACGCCTGTAAACCCAGCACTTTGGGATGCTGAGGCAGGCAGATTGCCTGAGCTTAGGAGTTCGCGACCAGCCTGGGCAACATGGTGAAACCCCGTCTCTACTAAAATACAAAAAATTAGCCAGGCGTGGTGGCATGCGCCTGTAGTCCCAGCTATTTGGAAGGCTGAGGCGGGAGAATTGCTTGAACCCGAGAGGTGGAGGTTGTAGTGAGCCAAGATCGTGCCACTGCACTCCAGCCTGGGTGACAGAGGGAGACCCCGTCTCAAAAAATAAAGAAAAGAATATAAATAAAATACATATGAAGTAAAACAAAACACATTATTTTATACCTACTAGAGGAAAAATAATTTTTTTTTTGAGATGGAGTTCTGCTCTTGTTACTCAAGCTGGAGTGCAATGGCATGATCTCGGCTCACTGCAACCTCCGCCTCCCAGGTTCCAGCGATTCCTGCCTCAGCCTCCCATGTAGCTGGGATTACAGGCATGCACCACCACGCCTGGCTAATTTCTGTATTTTTAGTAGAGACAGGGTTTCACCATGTTGGCCAGGCTGGTCTTGAACTCCTGACCCCAGGTGATCCACGCACCTCTGCCTCCCAAAGTGCTGGCATTACAGGCATGAGCCACCGTGCCCGTCCCGGAAAAATAATTTTTAATAATTATAATAACTAAATCTGTCAATATTATGACATGAGTACACTAATACATTGTTTGTGACATTGTACTCCTTGAAGAAAATATAGGAATCCACAGCAAAAGCCACAAAATGTTCATGTAACTCAGACTCAACAACAACTAATTATTTTTTCTTAAACAAGTCTACCCAATGCTGAGTTAATTATACTAGGAAAGCCTGGAAACAACTAAAGCTTTCAATGATAGAAAAAATGATTTAACAAAATATGTTACAAGAACAAGAATGGGTACTATACATCTATTTAAAATAGTAGTTATGAAGACAAAGTAAAAGGATAGTTCTAATTTCACTTGAAAAAATCCAAAAGATTAAGCAATTTTAGACCCAAATTCTCAGATGGCAACAAAGAATTTGCAGCTTCTTGCTCTAGCTAAGGAACACACTTTTCCTTTCCACATAATTCCCACCCACCCCTCTTTATTCATATATGTACTTATAACCTGCCTTTATAGAATTTGCAGTCATATGGATGACAGCTAAATATTATAACCATTTTAAATGTTGAAACTATTTTGCAATTTATAACATCCATGTCCCTCACGCCAGAATTTGCTCAAATTAACAGGGAGAAAAGTTGCATTAAGAATAGGAAAACATGTATGTCCCTAATACTGTTCCCAAGAACTTCTCAGACAAAATTCCAACATTAGGAACTAAAGAGATGTGGCAGTGCTGCTTTTAAAAGAAAAAGGCAGGAAACAATTCAAATATCCATTAATAGAGAATGGTTAAGTAAATTGTGGTACAACCAAACAATGAAATACTATGTAGCTATAAAAAATAAGAATAAAGAAGCTGTTTATGTACTGACAAAATGATTGCCAAGATACAAATTAAAAAGCAAGATGTGGTACAATGCATATAAAGTATATTGCCATTTGTGTAAAAACAGAGGGACAAAGAGTATGTGTGTATTCGCTTGTGTATACATGAAATATTACCAGGATACACAAGACACAGATATTACTAACTACCTCTAGAATGGGGAACTTTTGTATCTTTTTGCGTTTTTTGAATTTTGGGACTTGTAAATATACTGCAATCAAAGTATTAAATAAGGAATAAAATAGTTCAATTTAAAAGAATTGAGATGGTACTCTACTCATATTTTTCTTTTTAAAAAATTATTTAAGATACCAAAGATCAGCATTCACTAAATGGAATTAAACACACTCAGAAATATTGATAATACAGTAGATAAGGCTGGGTACAGTGGCTTACGCCTGTAATCCCTGCACTTTGGGAGGCCGAGGTGGGTGGATCACCCGAGGTCAGGAGTTCAAGACCAGCCTGGCCAACATGATGAAACCCTGTCTCTACTAAAAATACAAAAAATTAGCTGGGCGTGGTGGCCCGCACCTGTAATCCCAGCTACTCAGGAGGCTGAGGCAGGAGAATCGTTTGAACTCAGGAGGCAGAGGTGCAGTGAGCTGAGATCGCGCCACTGAACACCAGCCTGGGCAACAAGGGCAAAACTGTCTACAAAAAAAAAAATAAAAATAAAATAAAGTAGATGAGCTGTGTAACCATCCATATTTAATTAATATCAACCAAGACTTTCTTCACATGAAAAAAAAAAAAGGCAGCTACAATTCCAAATTTAGTATTACCAGGAATTCAGGTAATAGTATTTTTAAAATAATATAATGACTAATGCAGCTATTAAATCTCTTGGGGAGGACTGCCTATATTTTTCAACCAGATATTTACCGAGTTGAAACCTAAAAATAAAATATGCTATCTTAATGATACAGTCATACAATGAATATTACACAACAATAAAAAAAGAACTATTCCTACAACATGTATGAATCTCACAAACATAATGTTAAGCAAAAGAAGCTAGACACAAAACAGTCAGACTACACAATTCCATTATGTAAAGTTCAAGAACAACAACTAATCTTTGGTGAAGTCAGAGCAGTGGTTACCTTTGGAGGAGAGAGGTGAGTACTAATGATATGGACATGAGAGAGCCTTCTGGAGTGCTAAAACTGTTCTATATCTTGATTTAGGTGGTGTTTACGTAAGTGTATATACATATGAAAATGCACCAAAACACACAAGACTTACACAGTTTACTGCATGTACACCTCATTTTTTAAGGTTGTAATGCTCTTTTCTCAATATTCATTGTTGAAATTTTCCTTGAAATTTACGCATTAAAATAAAAAATCTGCTATCCAACTTACCTCCCCCATTAATTCCTTAACAACAGGCACCACGCCATTGTCTTTGGTAAAGCCCTGGTATGACATATTCCTGGCTGCTTTTTGGGTACAGATGAATATATCACCATTCACCGTCTCAAATCCAATGTACTTCATATCAGGACGAACCCAACAATTTGTCTGCCCAAACATGGTCTCAGGTCTGAGAGTAGCAGCCACCAAGAAAATATTTTTACCTTTCAGGCCACTGAGAAAAAAAAACAAATATTGATGTAAAAACATGTCAACTCTGTAACAACTATCTGATGGTTCAGAAATGATAAAGCAATTACTCTGGCAAACCTACCTTAATTTAGATGGGTATGGCTCAAGCACCTTCAATTTGAGTAAAGTATATTCCTGAGGTCCAACACCCTAAGCAAATAAACGATACAAAAATTTGAAGGAAAAAAAAGACTTGCCTTAAACCTACTAATCTATGTGAGAGATCTGATTCAAGTCCCTAAAATGGGTTCTTGCATTATTAATTTTTTTTTGCAGAGAAGAGATTGCCAGTGGTGTGCTAACTATACCCACACAGAAGTCTAGTACGTTAGGAGAGATTTGGAGTAATCGCCCAAAATAGTGTTTGCCAAAATGAAGGTGAGAAGACACAATCAACCCTAATTCCATCCCAGGGCATGTCCCACATAGTAGTCATCAAAGGAAGACACTAGACCAGAGGTCAGAGATAATGTGCTTTCTAAACTTAGTTTGCTCCCTTACTAATGGTTAGACCCAAGGTAGTCATAATCTCTCTAAGCCTTTCTTTCCTTATTGGTAAAATAAGGATGTTGCGTCTCAGATAGGACTGTCCTGAGGAACACACAAGATAACAGATGAAAAATGCTTTGAAAAATCTACAAAGGATTACTGAAATCTAGGATATTGCTGCCATTGGCTATATTAAAACTTTACTGGGTCTTAAGTCTCTCAAATCTTTTAAAATTTTGATCAACTCTCACTTAGATAAGTTACATCAAAATTGAAGGCTGATTTTGAAAATATGTTCAAAGATGGTAATAAAAAATGATGCAATCATAGGGAATCATAAGTTCAGATGCTGGCATTGTCATTGATTTTTACTTTGCCATGGATTTAGCCAAATCACTTACTCTTGATTTATTCAAGTATTTCAGAGAATAATGTTAATAATGTGTTCTACAGGAATTAGAATGAACTTCTAGGCATGGCTAGAATTACTTTGGAAATAAGCAAGAAGGCACATGATCAAAGCAAATATAACTGGAATCTGTGTATATCAAATCTTGGTCACATATCTTATTACCTCTCCCCATGCTTTCTTTTTAGAGCTGTTTATTTTCCAGATGGTGCTTCACAACATTAGCATGCATATACATCACATTGAGAGCTCGTAAAAAGATATTCCTGGAGGCCGGGCACGGTGGCTCACGCCTGTAATCTCAGCACTTTGGGAGGCCAAGGCGGGCAGATCACGAGGTCAGGAGATCGAGACCATCCTGGCTAACACGGTGAAACCCCGTCTCTACTAAAAATACAAAAAATTAGCTGGGTGTGGTGGTGGGCACCTGTAGTCCCAGCTACTCGGGAGGCTGAGGCAGGAGAATGGCGTGAACCCAGGAGGCAGAGCTTGCAGTGAGCCGAGATAGCACCACTGCAGTCCGGTCTGGGCTAAAGAGCAAGACTCCGTCTGAAAAAAAAAAAAAAGATATTCCTGGGCCCCACCCCCAGAACTTTTGATTCAGCAATTTTGGGGTGAGGCTAAACAATGTGCTTTCCTGTAACAAACTGATGCAGCTGTCCTCACATGACTCTTAGGATAGCTAGGTACTACACAAGATACAGGTACCTGTATTGATATTCTATCTCCTCTTCATATCCACCAGAGTATCAGGACTACATCCCTCAGCACTACAAAGAAGTTATTTTTAGGTTTCTATTTCTTAAACTCTATAGTCTTATTAAGGATTATTATAATAGCTACTCTGTCTCACAAATAATCACCTCTCCAGTTTGTCTATCATGATCCATGCAAGGCTGTCCATCTTTCGGAGAGTAAATTGTATACCTAAAAAATAAACAAAAAGTGACAAACATTATTATAATATTCACGTTTTATCCTACCATATTTGCCTGTGTTGCACCTAATTTCTTACATGTCTTGCAACTAGAATTTCTGAGTAGATATCTGTGTCTATTATGTGTACTCTTATGGTAGTTCCACTGTCAACCTACTTATTTAATGAAAGCTTTCTATCTTCGTCAAAGGTAATACCACTGAAAAATACACACTGATCTTGGCTTTGTGGTATTGAACAAAAGATTATAAAACATAAATTGACTTAACAAATGAAACTATCAGGAAGTTGATTATGTAGATTAATCAAGGAAGATAACTTATTTTCATTTCTTAAGTTATCTTCCTTGATTAATCTACATAATCAAGGAAGAATCTTAATTTGTAGAACAAAGTATAAAATAAAACACAAATCAAATGATTACTTTTTCTGCTTGGCAGGGAATACTGAACATAATCTTTAGTAAGATAATAAAAGCCCACCCTCCCATTCTCCCTGGTTATATCTGTCATAAACACTAAGCAGCTCAGAGAAATTAAGACACTGGTAAGGAAAAAAGGAAAACAAAGGATACAAAAGAATAGAAACAACATATTTTAAAACCTGAAAGGTAATGGGAAAAGGTAGGCTACAAGGTATTTATTTATTCATGTAAGCAATCCTCCTGCCCCATCCTCTCAAGTAGCTAGGACTACAGGTGCATGCCACCATGCCTGGCTAATTTTTTTTTTTATATAAAGAGATGTGGTCTCGCTATGTTGCCCAGGCTGGTCTCAAACTCCTGGCCTCAAGCAATCCCCTCACCTCAGTTTCCCAAAGCACTGGGATTACAGGCGTGAGCCTCTGTGCCCAACTGATTTTTGCTTTATTATGCTCAAGTATAACAAACTTACCGCTTCCCAAATTTAATTTTGTTTCTTTCTCTTAATGTTAAAAATTGCCATCTGACAAATGAATCATAGTAAGGATTAACATCAGTGGTGATGAAGGAACGACGCCAGTCTACCTATAAAAGGAAAATTTTAAAAGGCAATTACTGAGAAATACACAAATTTTGTTTAAATAAGAATTCCTATGAATCAATTATTTACTCTTCTAACTTAGAATCAGATCAACTATTAAAAATAATTTTCCAAGTTCCACTATTAAAAGTATATCACAATTACTTTAATTTACTTAAAGTATATTTTTAAGCATATACATATACATATTAACAAACATATAGAAGCTATAATAAATTAAGAAGAAACATTTAATCCTACCTTTATGTATTCCTAAATATTCAAGTTAAACTTGGGCTTCTTCATATTCTTTGAATAAAGCTCCTTTCTACTAATTGTTAATATGTCAATATACATTCTAATTCAACAAATAGTGAAGTATTCATTGTTATGAGACCCATAGGCAATGTTAGGTTCTAGTCTAACAATAACAGTACTAATTCTTTAGTGGCATACAGGGGAAATATATTATTCTAAAATTAGGAATTGGTCCAAATCTCATATAATCACACAAATATACAGACATATCTGGGAGATATTGTGGGTTTGGTTCTAAACCACCACAACAAAACAAGTCACACAAATTTTTTGATTTCCCAAGGCATATATAAGTTATGTTTATACTATATTGAATTATGTTAAGTGTGCAATAAAGTTATATTTAAAAAGACAATGTATATACCTTAATTTTAAAATACATCATTGCTATAAAATGCTAATAATCATCTGAGCCTTCAGTTGAGTTGTAATCTTTGTGCTGGTGGAGAGTCTTGCCTCGATGACGGCTGCTGACTGATGAGAGAAGTGGCTACTGAAGGTTGTGATGGCTATGGCAATTTCTTAAACTAAGACAACAATGAAGTTTGCCACATCCATTGACTCTTCCTTTCACAAAGATTTCTCTGTAGCATGCGATGCTGTCTGATAGCATTTTACTCATAATAGAACTTTCAAAACTGGGAGTGGGCCGGGCATGGTGGCTCATGCCTGTAATTCCAGCACTTTGGGAGGCCAAGGCAGGCGGATCACTTGAGGTCGGGAGTTCGAGACCAGCCTAACCAACATGGAGAAACCCCGTCTCTACTAAAACAAACAAACAAACAAAAAATACAAAATACAAAATTAGCCAGGTGTAGTGGCGCATGCCTGTAATCCCAGCTACTAGGGAGGCTGAGGCAGGAGAATCACTTGAACCCGGGAGGCGGAGGTTGCAGTGAGTCGATATCATGCCATTGCACTCCAGCCTGGGCAACAAGAGCAAAACTCCATCTCAAAAAAAAAAAAAAAATTTGGAGTGAATCCTCTCAAAACCTGCTACTGCTTTATCAACTAAAGTTTATGTGATATTCAAAATCTTTGTCATTTCAACAATGTTCACTGCACCTTTACCAGAAGTAGACTCCATCTCAAGAAACTACTTTTTTTGCTCATCCGTAAGAAGCGAATCCTCATCCATTCAAGTTTTCTCATGAGATTATAGCAATTCAGGCTTATCTTCAAGCTCCACTTGTAATTCTAGTTCTCTTGCAATTTCTACCACATCTGCAGTAACCTCCTCCCCTGAAGTCTTGAACCTTTCAACGTCATCCATAAGAGTTAAAATCAGCTTCTTCCAAACTCCTGTTAATGTTGATATTTTGACCTCTTCCCATGAATCATGAATGTTCTTAATGGCATCTAGAACAATGAATCCTTTCCAGAAGGTTTTCTATTTACTTTGCCCAGATCCATCAGAGGAATTACCATCTATGACTGTTATAGCCTTATAAAATGTATCTCTTAAATAAGAAGACCTACAAGTCAAATGACTCCTTGATTCATGGACTGCAGAATGAATGTTGTGTTTGCAGGCATAAAAACATTCATCTCCTTGTATATCTCCATCAGAGCTTTTGAGTGATTGGGTGCATTGTCAATGAACAGTAATATTTTGAAAGAAATTTTTTTTTTTCCTGAGCAGTAGGTCTCAAGAGTGGGCTTAAAACATTCACCAAACCATGCTTTAAACAGATGTGCTGTCACCCAGGCTTTATTTTTCCATTTACAGAGCATAGAGTAGATTTGGCACCATTCTTAAAGGCCTTAAAATTTTCCAAATGGTAAATGAGCACTAGTTTCAACTTAAAGTCAGTAGACACATTAGCCTCTAACAAGAATCAGCCCATCGTTTAAGCCAGACACTGACTTCTCTCTAGCTATGGAAGTCTTACAGCATCTTAATCACTAGAGGAAAGCTGTTTTGTCTACATAGAAAATCTGTTGTTTAGCGTAGCCACTTTCATCAATGATCTTAGCTAGATCCCCTAAATAACTTGCTGCAGCTTCTACATCAGCATTTGCTGCTTCACCTTGCAGCAGAGTCTCGCTCTTGTTGCCCAGGCTGGGTTGCAATGGCGCAGCCTCAGCTCACTGCAACCTCCTGGGTTCAAGCAATTCTCCTCCTTCAGCTTCCCAAGTAGCTGGGATTATAGGAGCCCGCCACCATACCCAGCTAATTTTTGTATTTTTAATAGAGACAGGGTTTCCCCAGGTGGCCAGGCTGGTCTCGAACTCCTGGCCTCAGGTGATCCACCCACCTTGGCCTCCCAAAATGCTGGGATTGCAGGCATGAGCCACCACACCCAGGCTACAACTTGCACTTTTCTATTATGGAAATGGCTTCTTTCCTTAAACCTTAAGAACTAACCTCTGCTAGCCTCCAACTTCTCTTCTGCATCTTCCTCACCTCCCCCAGCCTTTACAGAATTGAAGAGTTAGGGACTTCCTCTGGATTAGGGTTTGGCTGAAGGAAATGTTGTGGCTGGTTTGATCTTCTATATGGACCAAACTTTCTCCATATCTGCAATAAGGTCACTTCATTTTCTTATCATTCATGTGTTTACTGGAGAAGCACCTTTCATCTCCTTCAAGAACTTTTCTTTGGGCCAGGTTCAGTGGCTTATGCCTATAATCCCAGCACTTTGGGAGGCTGAGATGGGCAGATCACCTGAGGTCAGGAGTTCAAGAACAGCCTGGCCAACATAGTGAAACCTCGTCTCTACTAAAAATACAAAAATTAGCCAGGCGTGTTGGCAGACGCCTGTAATCCCAGCTACTCGGGAGGCTGAGGCAGAAGAATAGCTTGAACCCGGGAGGCGGAGGTTGCCGTGAGCCGAGATCACACCACTGCACTCCAGCCTGGGTGACAGAGCGAGACTCCATCTCAAAAAAACAAACAAAAAAAAAGAACTTTTCTTTGCATTCATAACTTGGCTGACTGTTTGGCACAACAGGCCTAGCATTTAGCCTATCTTGCCTTTCAACATGCCTTCCTCACTAAGCTTAATCATTTCTAGCTTTTTACTTAAAATGATGAGAGACATGTGACTCTCCCTTTCACATGAACACTTAGAGGCCATTATAAGGTTAATAACTGGCTTCAAGATTGTTGTTTATTAGAAAACAGGGAAAACCAAGGAGAGAAAGAGGGAAACAAGCCAGTCAGTGGAGCAGTCAGAACACAAACATTTACCAATTAAGTTTGCCACCTTATATGGGTACAGTGTGTGGCAACCCAAAACAATTAGAATAATAACATCAAAGATCACTGAATATAGATCACCATAACAGATAATAATAAAGTTTGAAATATTAAAATAATTGCCAAAATGTGACATGAAGTAAGCAAATGCTGTTGGAAAAATGGTGCCACTAGACTTGCTCAACGCAGGGTTGCCACAAATCTTCAATTGTAAAAAAAATCCATGTCTGGAAAGCACAATAAAGCAAAGCACAATAAAAAAGCACATACTTGTAAATGCTTTCCTCATATTTCCTTTATAGACATACCTTCAAACCCATTCTTTTTAAATCCTGAATAGCCAGTGGCGGGAAATAATCAAGCCAATGTTCTGCTTCAGAAAATTTTACTATCTCTTCATCAGACAGGCCAAGGGATTTCATAATGCCCCACTGGTATTTAGAAGATCCAGCTTTAGCAGCAGCTTTACTCTGAAAATAATGGAGAAAAATAAACTCGATCAAAGAATAACCAACACTCCAGGAAAATGACCCAAGATATTAATGAATGTAATTTTTTTACATTCTAAAATAATGCTGATACATCAGAACACTGCAGGAATTAGTTGTACTATTAGTCTGTACTAAAAGTACTAGTCTGTACTAAATAGTACTAATTTAGTCTGTCAAACTGTATAGCCAAGATATCCGCCAAGACACTGGCACCAATAATAACTAAATGGATGGCAACATAAAGAACTACCCATTATGAAGATAAGATCTCAATACCAAACCTTCTGTTTCTTTTATCCTAATACCACATTTACCTTATTTACCTATAAAGAGGCTACTCATAAGACTTTCCTCCTTTTCCAAAAATTATGAATATCCAAGAGACAACCAAATGCCAGAAGTTGAAGGTAGGAAATTTGGTTAAACTGTAACACTATAATGAGGCAGCATAAGAAAATTTTGAGGATGACAGAATTGCTCTATATGATACTGTGCTGGTAGAAACATGACTCCAGGCATTTTCAAACTCACAGAATTATACACCACAAAGAGGAAATTTTGGGCCTGGCACAGTAGCTCACACCTGTAATATCAGCACTTTGGGAGGCCGAGGCAGGCAGATCACGAGGTCAGGACTTCGAGACCAGCCTGGCCAATGTGGTGAAACCCCATCTCTACTAAAAATACGAAAATTAGCCGGGCATGGTGGCAAGCGCCCGTAATCCCAGCTACCCTGGAGGCTGAGGCAGGAGAATCACTTGAACCGGGAGGCGGAGGTTGCAGTGAGCCGAGACTGTGCCACTGTACTTCAAAGCCCAGGTGACAGAGAGAGACTCCATCTCAAACAACAACAACAACAATAATAAAAATAATAACAATAATACAAAAATTAGCTGGGCGTGGTGGCACACACCTGTAATCCCAGCTATTTGGGAGACTAAAACATGAGAATTGCTTGAACCCAGGAGGCAGAGGTTGCAGTGAGCCAAGACTCCACCACTGTACTCCAGCCTGGGTGACAGAGCAAGACTATGTCTTGAAAAAAACAAAAAAAAAAGTAAATTTTATGGTATGTAAATTTTTAAAAAATTCAACCACGATGCTGAAGGAACCTGAGGAATGCAGACTGTGACAAATCTATCTAACTGCATTACAAATATATGATATAACCACACTCAAGGGGGAGGGAAGAAAGGAGCTGATCTAGGCAGTTTTGGAAAACAGTGTGATTAGATTCTAAAGACAAAAAGAATTACACACAAACACTGTACTTTTGTCAGTAAAATTGTTTCTCCCAGGGGTATAGGTTGGCAATTCTGAAACTACTAGTAGTCTAGGATGGAACAAATAAAGAAATATACTATAGGTAATGAGAGCCAAGTTTCTCACTGTTGTAGTAAGAAGTCACAAATAAGCCAAGGGAAAATGCTAGAATGAGACCCATGGTGCTAAAATGGAGCCAGGGGTATCAATATGAACTTACTTGTTTTTTAATAAACATTCAAATACATAAAGAAATAAAAACAGATGTGTATGCATGGCTTAGCAGACATAAATATATTTCCTTGCTCTGTCCACTGAGAGTGCCTAGAAGCAGTGATACCCCCAGGCAATGAGCACACCCAGCATTCAGGCCATAGTTTCTGAACACCATTCTTCAATAAAAGAAACCTTGGAGAAGTGGTTGATTCCTTGGTTGAATCACGGAAAATACAAGCCTGGAACAGCTTGTGACACCATAAAGAAAGCAATTGCTTTGAACAAAGGAAGATGAGGGAATGTCTAATGGACACAGGAGCCAAGCTAAAAAAACTCCCAATGGCCACAGCTAGAACAATTTATTTATTCTAGCTTTATTCTAATAAAAAAGAACAATTTGACAACAAATTACGGTGTTGTTAACAACCACACACACACACTCAAAAACAACCCAATAGCCAGGCACAGAGGTATAAGCCTATAGTTCCAGCTACTCAGGAGACTGAGGTGAGAAGACAGCTTGAGCCCCAGAGCTGAAGACCAGCAACATAGTGAGACTCCATCTCTTAAAAAACAAAAAGCTCAATGGTATTGGCTTATAACCTGAAGAATAAAGTGAATATCCATGAATCCATATGACATAGAAAGGACAGATTAAGTAAGTGGGGGAGAAAGGACAGCTCTTCTTTTCAGAGGAATTATAGATAATAAATGTAAAAAGAAAGAGGAAAATGGAAAATCATGATTAGAAGACTAGAGTAATAATTGTTGTAGGCAAGATCCACTGATGAATGCTAAAATTAATGAGCAAATATTTAAAAAGAAACACAGTATTATTTCCATGGCCTCAAAAGATCTCTCCCAAAATATATATTAATTATTTAAAAAAAAATGAAATCTTTACAGGAGAAAAACCTGGCAGACGCCATCTTAACCAAATGATCAATGTTAACATCACCAATAATAAGACATATCAGTATCATATACTCCCTAACGCTTGAGAACGACAAATTACCTAATAGTCTTCCTCCAAATCAATAACCTCAATCTAACGATGAGAAAGCATCAAACAAACTCAAACTGAGGCATTATCTATAATTATCTGACCCGTATTCGTTAAAAGTATAAAGGTCATAGAAGAAAACGAAAGACAGAAAAGATTAAGGAAACATAGTAAGGACACATGACAACTAACTGCAATGTGGGATCCTGGATTGGACATTGGAAGAGAAAAGGACATTAGTGAAAAAACTGGTAAAATCCAAAAAGTCTGTAGTTTAGTAAACACTACTGTACTAATGTTAATTCCTTAATTTGAAAAATAGTATCATAGTTATATAAGATTTAACATCTATATACTATCTTGCAGTTCTTCTGTAAATCTAAAATTACTTCAAAAAAGAGGAAAAAGGAAATAGGAAAGTCAGAAAGATAATTTTTTTTTTTTTTTGAGACAGAGTCTCGCTCTGTTGCCCAGGCTGGAGTGCAGTGGCGTGATCTGGGCTCACTGCAAGCTCCACCTCCAGGGTTCACGCCATTCTGATGCCTCAGCCTCCCGAGTAGCTGGGAATACAGGCGCCCACCACCACGCCCGGCTAATTTTTTGTAGAGATGGGGTTTCACCATGTTTGCCAGGATGGTCTCGATCTCCTGACCTCGTGATCCGCCCGCCTTGGCCTCCCCAAGTGCTGGGATTACAGGCGTGAGCCACCACGCCCGGCTAATTTTTTTGTATTTTTAGTAGAGACGGGGTTTCACCATGTTAGCCAGGATGGTCTCGATCTCCTGACCTCATGATCCGCCCGCCTCGGCCTCCCCAAGTGCTGGGATTACAGGCGTGAGCCACCGCGCCCGGCCTACGACCGGCTTACGCCCGGCTAATTTTTGTATTTTTAGTAGAGACGGGGTTTCACCATGTTAGCCAGGATGGTCTCGATCTCCTGACCTCATGATCTGCCTGCCTCGGCCTCCCAAAGTGCTGGGATTACAGGCTTGAGCCACCGCGCCTGGCCAGAAAGATAATTTTTTGCTTTGATACTTTAAAAAAATGATCTAGTACATTTTATGTGTTGGGCACTGTGCTAGTACTGGGAATGCACATATAAATCAGAAAAATATAAAACTTCAACCAACATAAATATCAACCACTATCAAACCTTTTTTCCTTTAGCTTTATCCTTAATTATTATATCTTCTGTTTTAACACTGGTTTCTTCCTCTTCCTCTTCTTCATCTGGAAAATCAGGGGGGCAACCATACAGCTCTATTTCTCTTTTCAACTTATCAGCACATGCCTACAACGAATATTAGAGATAATGAAGTTCAAAATCAAGGTAGACACAATTTCAGTTTTTTACTGTTTTTATTGCCAACTAAAATTGACTCTGAAATTTTTTGCAATATATTGATACCTATGTGGCTCCACTACAGAAAACTGAAACGGAGGCTGGGAGCAGTGGCTCACGCCTATAATCCCAGCACCTTGGGAGGCTGAGGCAGGCAGATCACTTGTCAGGAGTTCGAGACCAGCCTGGCCAACATGATGTCTCTACTAAATATAAAAATTAGCTGGGTGTGGTAGCACACGCCTGTAATCCCAGCTACTTGGGAGGTTGAGGTGACAGGATCACTTAAAACCAAGAGGCAGAGGGTGCAGTGAGCCGAGATCACATCACTGCACTCTAGCCTGGGCAACAAAGCAAGAATGAGTCCCATGTCTCAAAAAAATAAAATTAAATTAAAAAAAGGTATAAATCATGTACCTCAAAATTCACTAATTTATAAAGTAGTATTTTACCTAATTTACTCAAAAACATTTATTCAACACCCAGAATATTCAATATAGTATACTATATACCATATATATTAGATATATAAAGATGTAGGAAACATAATGTGTTATCATTTTGGATAACATTAATAACATTGTTTCTCAATTTAAAGATTACTGTCAGGAGGGGGGAGGGATAGCATTAGGAGATATACCTAATGTAAATGACGAGTTAATGGGTGCAGCACACCAATATGGCACATGTATACACATGTAACAAAGCTGCACATTGTGCACATGTACCCCAGAACTTAAAGTATAATAATAAAAAATAAATAAAAACAAAAATAAAATCCCACCAGCAAGAAAGAAAGAAAGAAAGAAAGATAGATTACTGTCACATATACTCTATTAGTTATCATCACAAGCCTACCAAGTAGATAGGATAGGCTTTAAGTCAGAAAACAAACAGAGATGAAGTGATTTACCCAAGGTCATACAGCTAGCAAAGTTACAGACTTAACCTTGGACTTTCCACTCTAGCTCTTATCAATTATACCACAATGAGTCCACTGTCAAAAACAAAGATGACACCAAGTAAACACTGTTAAAGTTATGAGAAAAATAAGAAATACAGAAGTAAAAATTTTTTAAATGGAAAAGGCTCTTCTATTCAGAAGAATTTCAACCACTAATAGAATAATAAAAACAGGCAAGGATGATTAAAGGATGATAAAACCAGGGTTATTGAGTAACAGGACATTCAGAGGCTCTCAAAGTGTTATCCTATAGATTACTTTTTAATTTCTTTCTTTTTTTTTTTTGAGATGGAATTTTACTCTTGTTGCCCAGGCTGGAGTGCAATGGCGCAGTTTCGGCTCACTGCAACCTCTACTTCCCGGGTTCAAGCGATTCTCCTGACATAGCCTCCGAAGTAGCTGGAATTACAGGCACCTGCCACCACGCCCGGCTAATTTTTGTATTTTTAGTAGAGATGGGGTTTCACCACGTTGGCCAGGCTGGTTTTGAACTCCTGACCTCATGTGATCCTCCTGCCTCGGCCTCCCAAAGTGCTGGGATTACAGGCGTGAGCCACCGTGTCTGGCCTTACTTTTTAATTTTATAGGAGGAAAAGTCACCTTTAGAATGAGGAAACCTGGCAGGATTAACTTAATTTCACTAAATGGGACAAATTACCATTTTATATGCTTTTGAGGTGATACAATGGTAAGTTAATACCTCAACAATGAAGTATTCTTGTCAAAATATTTAGCCCAACCCTAATCATGAAAAAACAATCAGAAAACTCATATCATAGGACATTCTACAAAATAACTAGCTTAGACTTCAAAAACATCAATATCACGACAAACAACTAAAAGACAGTGAAAAGAATGGATAATTACATGCAATGTGTGCTCCACAAAATAAAAAGTGAAAAACAGCAGGGCATAGTGGGTCAAGCCTGTAATCTCAGCACTGTGGGAAGCCAAGGCAGGCGGATCACCTAAGGTCAGGAGTTCGAGACCAGCCTGCCCAACATGGTGAAACCCTGTTTACACTAAAAATACAAAAAACATTAGCCAGGCATGGTAGCAGGCACCTGTAATCCCAGATATTCAGGAGGCTGAGGCAAGAGAATCACTTGAACTTGGGAGGCAGATGTTGCAGCAAGCCAAGATCTCACCACTGCACTCCAGACTGAGTGACAGAGCAAGATTCCGTCTCAAAAAAAAAAAAGGGGGGAAAAACAGATGGAAAGGACATTTTGAGTCTACAGAAATTTGACTACAGATTAGATGAAGACGATAATATAACATCAATGTTGAATTTCTTGGAGGGGATAACAGGACTCTGATAATGTAGAAGAATGCCCTTGTTCTTAGAATACATGCTGAAGTATTTAGCAATGACACGTCATGATATCTGCAACTTTCTTTCAAAAAGTTCACAGAAAAAGAGAGAGAGAAGGGCTAGGCGTGGTGGCTCATGCCTGTAATCCCAGCACTTTGGGAGGCCGAGGTGGGCAGATTACCTGAGGTCAGGAGTTTGAAACCAGCCTGGCCAACATGGTGAAACCCCATCTGTACTAAAAGTACAACACTGCACTCCAGCCTGGGTGACAGAGCAAGACTCCAACTCAGAAAAAAAAAAAAGAAGAAAAAGAAAGAGAAAAGCACGCATGCATGCATGTGTGCTAAGAGACAGAACTAAAACAAATATGGCAAACGTTAAGACTTTGTAACTACAGGTGAAGGGTGGAGGGTGTTCATTGTACTACCATTCCACTTTTTCTGTAGGATTGACATTCTTTAAAATAAAAGGTTGCAGAAGGCCGGGCATGGTGGCTCACGCTTGTAATCCCAGCACTTTGGAAGGCCGAGGTGGGTGGATCAACTGAGGTCAGGAGTTCCAGAACAGCCTAGCCAACACGGGGAAACCTCGTCTCTACTAAAAATACAAAAATTAGCCAGGTGTGGTGGCGGGTGCCTGTAATCCCAGCTACTCGGGAGGTTGAGGCAGGAGAATCGCTTGAACCCAGGAGAAGGAGGTTGCAGTTAGCCAAGATCACACCATTGCACTGCAGCCTGGACGACAAAAGCAAAACTCCGTCTCAAAAAAAAAATAAAATAAAGTAAAATAAAATAAAATGTTGGAGAATAAAAAGAAATAGGATTTAAATTTCCTAATCCTATTATATAAAGGAATCCTTTCAACTCTAGTTTTCTTTCCTATTCTTCATTGAGAATTATTTCTAATACAAACTTATGACAAATGAAGATATTTGCAAAAATGATCAAAATACAATACAACTGTTTATTATTTTATGCCGGCATCTTACATATGTCATAAGTGCACAATGGCTGTACATTTTTCTTTTTAGTAAAACAGAATCAGTTATTACCTAACTGTAATACAGACATAAATACACAAGGTAACCAAAAGACATTAAAATCACTTAGTAATCACTTAGACCATAATGGATGCCCTTTATTTAAGCACTTCTTCACATGTTGTTTATTTTTAAATTAATTTTCACTATAATAAATTCAACTCATTTCATACTTTAATGCAGCAATACTTAAAAATCCTTTTAAGCTCTTGAATTGGGTATTACTATTTGCTCCAACTAAAAAGAGTAGAAACCAATCCTATTAGCGATCTTACCTTAATAGGCATTCCAGTACAGTGCAGGCCAAAGGGAAACAGACAACATTTTCCTTTCAATCGCTGGTACCCTACAGCAAACTACAGAAATAAAATTAAATTTAAATTGCAAATTTAAATGCCAGACAAATACAAAATGTGAACTTTTCACACAAAAAAATTAGTTTTCTTCTTTACATCCTCCTTTGGAATGCCAGTTAGATTTTAGGCATCCCAAAACTCACCAACCTAGGAATTACTTTTGAATATGCA
Source organism: Homo sapiens (assembly GCF_000001405.40). Lineage (NCBI taxonomy): Eukaryota > Metazoa > Chordata > Mammalia > Primates > Hominidae > Homo > Homo sapiens. Next base: position 146,172,162 of record NC_000005.10, read on the forward strand.
TACATGCCCAGACCCTTGCACACATACACATATGGCACATAAAAATTAAATATAAAAATTAAATTACTTAAATGGGCCAGGCACGGTGGCTCATGCCTATAATCCCAGCACTTTCAGAGGCCGAGGCTGGTGGATCACAAGGTCAAGAGTTTGAGACCATCCTGGCCAATATGGTGAAATCCCGTGTCTACTAAAAATACAAAAATTAGCTGGGCGTGGTGGTGCGTGCCTGTAGTCCCAGCTACTCGGGAGGCTGAGGCAGAAGAATCACTTGAACCCAGGAGGCAGAGGTTGCAGTGAGCTGAGATCACACCACTGCACTCCAGCCTGGTGACAAAGCAAGACTCCATCTCAAAAATAAATAAATAAAAATAAAAATAAATTACTTAAATATAAAAAATTATGCTTTAAGGAATTTTAAGTTCTCTTAACAGGAAATAATAAATTCTATAGCTGCCATTTTCTTCAAAACAATATTCGTTAAAAACCTTCCTCCCCATTATAGCAAACATAGGGAAACATTACCTCACATTTGGATAAAGAAAACGTGTGTCCCAAATGAAGGCGTCCATTCATATATGGATATGGGAAGGTTACAAAATACTTGCCCTTGCTGCAAAACAACAGTATAAAAAAGAAAGTACAGAAGAATAAATGTTAAGTTCCTTTTACAATAAGGAAGTGGGGTGAAGGAAATGCTTGATATAAATAACTTAAGGTTATTTAAAAAATATTTAAAAGTAAATTTATAAATCTACAAATTTAAAACTCTCTAAAATTGAAAATTACTTTAGATTTACAAGAAATAAGACATTGATAGGTTGCTATTAAGAATTAAATAGCCTTGTAACAAATACTAGAGGTTTAATTTGAGCTAAAATACTTGAGTAAAGATAATATACTAGGTCAGGCGTGGTGGCTCACACCTGTAATCCCAACACTTTGGGAGGCCAAGGCTGGTGGACTGCTTGAGGCCAGGAGTTCGAGACCAGCCTGGGCAACATGGTGAAACCCTGTCTCTACTAAAAACTAGCCGGGCGTGATGGCGTGCGCTGATAATCCCAGCTACTCTAGTGGTTAAGCATGAGAATCAAGAATCGCCTGATCATTGAACCTGAGAGGCAGAGGTTGCAATGAGCTGAGATCATGCCACTGCACTCCAGCCTGGGCGAAAATGAGACTCCATCTCAAAAAAAAAAAAATTCTTTAATACCCTTATGAACCTAGGCTAATTTAATATTTTACTGAATAAATGAGATTTGTTTTCACTAGATACTAGATATATATATAAAGCAATTCAAAGTCCCTCAGGTAATATAAAACATCCTCAATATTACTTGATATGTGGTAGATTCACTTTAAACGCATCCTTTAAAGCTTTTTTTTTTTTTTTAATTTTTTAGTTGTTTTTGTAAAGACAGGGTTCTCAATATAAGAACCACCATGAGCATGAGCTCATGAGCCACCATGCTTGGTCTGTATTCTTTTTTCTTATGAAGAATATCTAACATACATACTGTGTTATGAAGCATAATAAAATGAACACTTGTAAACACACCATCTGACTTATGAATCCACTGAAACTACCTGTTTCCTCTCTACTGTCCCACAAGAGATAACCGACATTCTGAAATTTGCTTTTACCGTTCCCTTGTTTTTGAATAGTTTGCACACTTGGCAGCACCCTTAAACTATTTATCATTTAGTTTCGCTCACTTGTGAGTTTCATACAAAAAAAAGGCATACTTCATATAGACTTCTGCAATTTGCCTTCTTCACTTGACATTATATTACTTTCTTCAGTCTTACTGCATACACCTATAGTTAATTCTCTTTCACTAAACAAAGCAGCTTTTTCAGTTCACTTGTAATTATTTTAAATTACCTTAAAGTTAACCAAACCTCTAGAAGAAAATAGAAGCTTCAAATTATAGCTTCAAGTATAACACCAGAGACTATATTACAGCAATTTCTTTTTCTCTTAAAAAAAAAAAAAAAAAAAAAAGGCTGGGGCCTGGTGGCTCACACCTCTAATCCCAGCACTTTGGGAGGCGGAGGCGGGCGGATCACCTGAGGTTGGGATTTCAAGACTAGCCTAACGTGGAGAAAACCCGTCTCTAGTAAAACTACAAAATTAGCTGTGCGTGGTGGCGCATGCCTGTAATCCCAGCTACAGGGGAGGCTGAGGCAGGAGAATCGCTTGAACACGGGAGTCGGAGGTTGCGGTGAGCCGAGATCACACCATTGCACTCCAGCCTGGGCAACAACAGCAAAACTCTGTCTCAAATATATATATATATATCCATATATATATATATATATCCATATATATATATATCCATATATATATATATATATCCATATATATATATATATCCATATATGTATATATCCATATATATATATATCCATATATGTATATATCCATATATATATATATATATATCCATTAGAATATAGCTTAATAAGCAAGGAAAAAAGACTTTTGAATCAGAAAGTCCTAAAAACAAGCCCAGGCCCAGTCAATTCCCAGTGATGTAACCTTGAACTGGTTACTTAGCCTCTCTGTGCCTCAGTTTCCTCAGCTGTAAAAGAGAAATTTTAAAAGCTGTTAACCTTAAAGTATATTGAGAAGATTAAGGCCAGGCATGGTGGCTCAAACCTGTAATCCCAACACTTTGGGAGGCAAAAGTGGGAGGATTACTTGAGCCCAGGAGTTCAAGACTAGCCTGGGCAAGACAGTGAAACTTCATTTCTACAAAAGAAATTTTTTCAATGCTGGGTGCAGTGGCCCATGCCTATAATCCCGGCACTTTGGGAGGCCGGGGTGGGCAGATCACTTGAGCCCAGGAGTTGGGACCAGCCTCAGCAACATAACAAGACCCCATTTCTACTAAAAATAGAAAAATTACCTGGGTGTGGTGGCGTGCGCCTACAGTCCCACCTACTCAGGAGGCTGAGGTGAGAGGATCACCTGAGCCCAGGAGACAGAGGTTGCAGTGAGCTGAGATCACACAACTGCACTCCAGCCTGGGTGACAGAGGCTCGCTCCATCTGACACCACAGACTCTGTCTCCAAATTAAAAAAAAAAAAAAGATAATGGGCGGGCACAGTGGCTCACGCGTGTAATCCCAGCACTTTGGGAGTCGGAGGCAGGCGGATCATTTGAGTTTGAGACCAGACTGGCCAACATGGCAAAACCCCGTCTCTATTAAAAACAAAAATTAAAACTTAGCCAGGCGTGGTGGCATGCACCTGTAATCCCAGCTACTGGGGAGGCTGAGGCAGAAAAATCATTGAACCCGGGAGGCAGAGGTTGCAGTGAGCCGAGATCATGCCACTGCACCCAGCCTAGGCAACAGAGCAAGACTCCACCTCAAAAAAAAAAAAAAAAAGGCCGGGCGCAGTGGCTCACGCCTGTAATCCCAGCACTTTGGAAGGCCGAGGCAGGCAGATCACGAGGTCAGGAGATCGAGACCACAATGCAACCCCATCTCTACTAAAAATACAAAAAAATTAGCCGGGCATGGTGGCAGCCGCCTGTAGTTCCAGCTACTCAGGAGGCTGAAGCAGGAGAATGGCGTGAACCCGGCAGGCGGAGCTTGCAGTGAGCCGAGATTGCGCCACTGCACTCCAGCCTGGGTGACAGAGCAAGACTCCGTCTCAAAAAAAAAAAACAAAAACAAAAAAAATTAAAAGGTAAAATGAGGCCAGGAGTGATGGCTCATGTCTTATAATCTTAAGAGCTTTGAGAGGCCAAGGCAGAAGGATCACTTGAAGCCAGGAGTTTGAGACCAGCCTGGGCAACATAGCAAGACCCTGTCTCTAAGAAAAAACAAATTAGCCAGGCATGGTGGCGCATGCCTGTAGTCCCAGCTACTCAGAAGGCCGAGGAAGAAGGATTGCTTGAGCTCGGGAGTTTGAAGTTACAGTGAGCTATGACTGTGCCACTGCACTCCAGCTTGAATGACACAGCAAGACTTTGTCTAAAAAAAGAAAGAAAGAAAAAGGCTAGGCACGGTGGCTTATGCCTGTAATCCCGGCACTTTGGGAGGCTGAGGTGGGCGGATCACGAGGTCAGGAAATCGAGACCATCCTGGCCAACATGGTAAAACCCCGTCTCTACTAAAAATACAAAAATTAGCTGGGCGTGGTGGCACATGCCTGTAATCCCAGCTACTAAGGAGGCTGAGGCAGGAGAATCGCTTTAACCAGGGAGTTGGGGGTTGCAGTGAGCCGAGATGGCGCCACTGCACTCCAGCCTGATGACAGAGCAAGACTGTCTCAAAAAAAAAAAAAAAAAAAGAAAGAAAGAAAAAGAAGATTAAATGAGAGTATACATGTAAAAAAATTTGCTAGCACATTTGCTAGCACACAGTAAGTGTTCAATGTTAACTTACTATTATTGTTGTTACTATAACCGTATTTCTTCAATCTGAAAAAGCACATTTTCTTACATCTCAACATATATGAATCTGGGATATATCTTATAATTGATGCATACATTTATTAAGGCAATGTTTGGGGGAGTTATTTTGTTTTTGTTTTTCCCAAATATCATGTCATGATCTACGTTTGTCTTTAAATCAGTATTATTTTAGTATCAAGGCAATGCAGTATTTATGAAATAATATCTTCAACATTTATACTTCTATAAGCATTAGGTTTACTTGTAAAGAAAAAACATAAAAATTTACATTTTCTGTCTTTGGAGATAATAATCGTCTATGAGTCTAATAGAATAATTTCGTTTTATCAGTCAGCAAAGAAAAAAATCTCAAAACATCCTTCTTTGTCTAAATATTTAAAATACTGTAGTCTTTAAAACAAAACAAAACAAACTTTATTTAGAAAAAAAAATCTTTACAAACCCCATAAGAAAAAAGATCCTAATTCATATGCAGAAAGTGAAAGTCACCTCCTTCACCCTGTTTCAGGCATTATAAATACAATCTACCTTATGGGTTCCACCAAGCTGTTTCTGTACTATAAAGCCAACGGTTTTAGAAATACAATGCACAGGGCCGGGCGTGGTGGCTCACGCCTGTAATCCCAGGACTTTGGGAGGCCGAGGCGGGTGGATCACGAGGTCAGAAGATCGAGACCACCCTGGCTAACACAGTGAAACATCATCTCTACTAAAAATACAAAAAATTAGCTGGGCATGGTGGTGGGTGCCTGTAGTCCCAGCTGCTCGGGAGGCTGAGGCAGGAGAATGGCATGAACCTGGGAGGCGGAGCTTGCAGTGAGCCGAGATTGCGCCACTGCACTCCAGCCTGGGCGACAGAGCAAGACTCCGTCTCAAAAAAAAAAAAAAAAAAATATATATATATATATATATATATAGAAATACAATGTGCAGAACTTCACAAACTATTACTCACCTGGTCTGTTTCTCTAAATTAGATGCATTGACCTCAAACACTCTCTCAGTATCCCATTTCTGTTGGATTTCTTTCTCAATCTTCTTCAAAAAGTCCACTTTGGCTGTTCCTTTTCTTTCCTATTGGACACAAAGAGAATAATCCACTCTGTATTTCAGCACGCTTGCTTTAAAAAAGAATTGGGTTCACAGAACTGAGCTGCTCACTGATAAAGACTGATTTTTCCATGGTTATCTTGAAATTTAAATGAACATTAAAAATTAGGGTTATCAGCCAGGCGCGGTGGCTCATGCGTGTAATCCCAGCACTTTGGGAGGCCGAGGCGGGTGGATTGCTTGAGGTCAGGAGTTCGAGATCAGCCTGGCCAACAGGGCGAAACCCATCTCTACTAAAATACAAAAATTAGCTGGGCGTGGTGGCGGGTACCTGTAATCTCAGCAACTCAGGAGGCTGAGGCAGGAGAATCGCTTGAACCAGGGAGGCGGAGGCTGCAGTGAGCCGAGATCATGCCATTGCACTCCAGCTTGGGTGACACAGCAAGACTCCGCCAGAAAAAAAAAATTAGGATTATCATGACCTGTGTACCTCAAACCTCAAAGAAATGGTTGAACAATTACTGAAATATGTAAAAGGCTTTGATATGCTTTTTTAAAATTATATACTACAATGTAACACTGTCATCAAATGTTTCTATTTAATTAAAATACATGAATATCAAAGATACTGATAGAGAACTTCTCTCCAAAATTGTTAAAGAACTGTTCATATGAAATTTAAATAAAACAGGCTGGACACGGTGGCTCACGCCTGTAATCCCAGCACTTTGGGAGGCCGAGGTGAGAGGATCACCTGAGGTCAGGAGTTAGAGACAAGCCTGGCCAACGTGGTGAAACCCCATCTCTACTAAAAATACAAAAATTAGCTAGGCAAGGTGGCACGCATCTGTAATCCCAGCTACTTGGGAGGCTGAGGCAGGAGAATCGCTTGAACCTGGGAGGTGGAAGTTGCAGTGAGCCAAGATTGCACCATTGCACTCCAGCCTGGGCAACAAGAGCGAAACTCCATCCCCCACCAAAAAAAAAAAAATACCTGGACTCTTTTCAAGTTTCCATAAAACAGTGATTGTATAAGGTATTTTCTTTTCTAAGAAATAATAAGCCTGCACAACTGTTCATCCCTTTCCATTCCTGCTACTAACCACCTTCATTTAGACTATCAACGCCACTGCCCCCTCTCACTTCAAAACCTCTTCTTAATAAGTAACTTGGCTGGATGTAGTGCCTCATGTCTACAATCCCAACACTTTGGGAGGCTGAGGAGGGAGGATTATTTGAGGCCAGGAGTTTGAGACCAGCCTAGGCAACATAGAAAGACCTCCTCTTTAAAAGAAAAACAATTTTTTTGGCCAGGTTTGGTGGCTCATGCCTGTAATCCCAGCACTTTGAGAGGCCGAGGCAGGTGGATCACCTGAGGCTACGAGTTCAAGACCAGCCTGGCCAATATGGCGAAACCCCATTTCTACTAAAAATACAAAAATTAGCCGGATGCGTTGGCATGCGCCTATAATCTCAGCTACTCGGGAGGCAAAGACAGGAGAATTACCTGAACCCAAGAGGCGGTGGTTGCAGTGAGCCAAGATGGAGCCACTGCACTCCAGCCTAGGCAACACAGCAAGACCAATCTCAGCTCACTGAAACCTCCATCTCTGGGGTTCAAGCAATTCTCCTGCCTCAGCCTCCCGAGCAGCTGGGATTACAGGTGCGTGCCACCATACCTGGCTAATTTTTGTATTTTTAGTAGAGACGAGGTTTCACCATGTTGGCCAGGCTGGCCTCAAACTCCTGACCTCAGGTGGTCCACCCGTCTCAGCCTCCCAAAGTGCTGTGATTACAGGCATGAGCCACCCAGCCCGGTCTGTAAAATATAATTTCTAATATTTTTACAGAGGAAAGGACCCACCCACAAAGGCAAAAGTATGTAGGGCCTCATGAAGCCTAGTCATATCTCCTACCCTACGGTCATGGGTAATATGAAATTTCACTGTATTTATGTGTGTGTGTCTGTGTGAGAGAGAGAGGGTCTCCCTCTGCCACCCAGGCTGGAGCATAATGGTGCAAGCACCAGCTCACCGCAGCCTTGACCTACTGGGCTCAATCAATCTTCCCATCTCAGCCTCCTGAATAGCTGGGACTACAGGCATATGCACCACCATACCCAGATAGTTTTTGTATTTTTTTGTAGAGACAGGGTTTCACCATGTTGCCTAGGCTGGTCTTGAACTCCTAGGCTCAAGCAATCCACCAGCCTTGGCTTTCCAAAGTGCTGACATTACAGGCTTGAGCCATCGCCTTTGGCCAACTTCCACTTTATTACTAAATTCCTCCTTAACCAACTTGAGTTGACTTCTGTTAAATGCAACCAATGATCTTAAGACATTTATGCAGTTGGGCTGTAAATTCTCAACAGGCAGGAACTTTTAAATTGTTTATAGTCACCTTAGCACAAAGTACAATGCCACAGACACAGAAGTTATGTAACAAATATCTTTTACCTAAAAATTACCATGAGCAGGACATGGGAACACTGAGGCCAGAGGATCACTTGAACCCAGGAGATCAAGGCTGGCTGCAGTGAGCTATGATTGCACTACTGCACTGCAGCCTGGTTGATAGAGTGAGTCCCTGTCTCAAAAAATAAAAAATATGGCCAGGTGCATTGGCTCACACCTGTAATCCCAGCACTCTGGGAGGCCAAGGTGGGCGGATCACTTGAGGTCAGGCGTTCAAGACCAGTCTGGCCAACATGGTGAAACCACAACTATACCAAAAAATACAAAAATTAGCAGCGCATGGTGGCGCACACCTGTAGTCCCAGCTACACAGGAAGCTGAAGTGGGAGAATCACTTGAACTTGGGAGGCACCACTGCACTCCAGCCTGGGAAAGAATGAGACTCCATTTCAAAAAAAAAATAAAAATAAAAATAAAAAATATGATCATGTCACCCATTGTAAAGAAGACTATGAAAGCAAGTCTTTTACAAATTACTTAGAACTATGTGTTTCTTTTCATTGTACTGAGTATGCCAAATGCAAGAAAGCTTTTATTTGAGTTTTCTGTTTCTCAGAAAAACTTGTTTCTCAAAACCTCAAAGATCAAGTATAATAAAATCTGATATTGGCCCAAACACCAACTTGTTGTATAACCTTGAGCAAGTCATTTGATCAATCTGAGACTCAACCTCCTCACTGGTAACAAAAGGCTATATAACTAAATCAGAGTTCCTAAACTTTGGCACTACTTACACTTTGGGCCAAATAATTCTTTGTTTTCAGGGGTTGTCCTGTGCACTGCAGGATGTTTAGAAGCATCCCTGGCTTCTACCCGGGATCCCTGCTTTTCACTTACACTGTTGCCCCTGCCTGGAAATCTCTTTCTTCCTATAGTTGCATAGGTTGCTCTCTTACCTCGTTTTTGCCACCTTTTTGGCAAAGCCTTGCTTGATCATCCTTTTAAAAATTGCAACAGGCCAGGCGCCATGGCTCACGCCTGTAATCCCAGCACTTTGGGAGGCCGAGGCGGGCAGATCACGAGGTCAGGAAATTGAGTCCATCCTGGCCAATGTGGTGAAACCCTGTCTCTACTAAAATACAAAAAATTTAACTGGGCATGGTGGCGCGCGCCTGTAGTCCCAGCTACTCGGGAAGTTGAGGCAGGGGAACCGCTTGAACCTGGGAGGAGGAGGTTGCAGTGAGCCGAGATCGCGCCGCTGCACTCCAGCCTGGCGACAGGGCAAGGCTCCGTCTCAAGAAAAAAACAAACAAACAAACAAAAAACAAAAAAAAATAAAACCAGGCGGGATGGCTCATGCCTGTAGTCCCAGCACTTTCGGAGGCTGAGACAGAAGGATCGCTTGACCCCAGGAGTTCGAAACCCTGTCTCTACTAAAAATACAAAAAATTAGCAGGGTGTAATGGAGCACGCTTGCAGTACCAGCTGTGGGGAGGCTGAGGTGTGAGGATCGCTTGAGCCCTAAGGTCCAGGCTGCAGTGAGCCATGATCACGCCACTGCATTCCAGTCTGGGTCACAGAGTGAGAACATCTCCCAAATTTAAAAAAATTTTTAAAAATTGCAACTGTACTACCCCACCGTACACTCCCTAGCACCCCTTCCTGCTCTATTTTTTCCCCACAGCATTTATCAGCACCTGACACAATATTTTACAATGTATTTTACCCACACACATAAACACTATGAAAAGAGAGATTTTTGTCTGTTTTACGGAGAGGCGCTCAATTTTTTCTTTTTTTTTTTTTTTTTTTTTTTTTTTTTTTGCTGTAAGTAGGAATCAACTTACATACTCCTCTCTCCACCTCGGCTTTATTTGTTTGTTTATTTATTTATTTTATTTTTAAGACGGAGTCTCACTCTGTCGCCCAGGCTGGAGTGCAGTGGCGCGATCCTGGCTCACAGCAGCCTCCCTCTCCCGGGTTCAAGCAATTCTCCTGCCTCAGCCTCCCGAGTAGCTGGGTTAACAGGCGCGCACCACTACGCCCGGCTAATTTATGTATTTTTGGTAGAAACGGGGTCTCACCATGTTGGCCAGGGTGGTCTCGAACTCCTGACCTCAAATGATCCACCCGCCTCGGCCTCCCAAAGTGCTGGGATTACAGCCGTGGGCCACCGTGCCCGGCTCTCCACCTCGATTTTAGAAACTCCAGAGAAATAACAAATATGATATCCAAGTACTCCGTAAAGTTAACAGACATCAGTTCGTGGTTCATAAACTAGCAAGAAAAAGCAAAGTCTCTACGAAAGGCACGCCTTAAGCGTGGCTCTCTTTTAGAAAAGGACTTTCCCTTCAGGACAGCACATGGAGAGCCCCTAGAGACTGGCCAGTCCGGCTCCAGGGCCCCTGCGGATTCTTCTCGCTCAAACTCACCGCCATTGCACCGCCCAGCCGACTGTGCAAATCCACGACAATGACCCTGGCGACCTCCACAAAGGAGTGGTTACCTTTCCCCTCCCTCTCGGGGATGCCAGGCCTCCCACGAAACTAAAGCACACGCTTCACACCTGCTGAGGCAATCATCCGGCTCCTTACTAACTACAGCCAAGGCATCTCACAGCCCGCCGGGAATTGTAGTTCCCAGACCACCCGAGCAGACACCCAGCAGGCGCTAACTGACTACAATTCCCAGAGAAAAACGGGTTATCGGAAGTCTACCCGATAGGCCCACTCAGAGGGGAACCGGCAGTGACGTCACTGGCATGTTGAACTACAAAGTCCATGATGCAGTGCGGGATCGCAGAATGCCGCGAGTGCGCCCTGGTTAGGTTGGAGTCCCTTGGCCATCAACCTTTTCACCCGGTAGAGCTGGTTGCCTGTCGGGATGCCAGGATACGCAGTTAATTACTATACGGTGACTGAGGTGCTACTTATGGCTTGCCACTATGCACAGATATTTTTTACTGTCAGTGGCATTCAACAGCCCAGCATTTAGACATTGTATAACCGCGTATTGACAATCTCCTTTTTTTTTTTTGAGACGCAGTATCGCTCTGTCGCCCAGGCTGGAGTGCAGTGGCGCGATCTTGGCTCAGTGCAACCTCGGCCTGCCGGATTCAAGCAATTCTCCTGCCTCAGGCTCCCGAGGAGCTGGGACTATGGGCGCGCGCCACCACACCGACTAATTTTTTGTATTTTTGGTAGAGACTGGGTTTCACCTTGTTAGCCAGGATGATCCCGATTTCCTGACCTCGTGATCTGCCTCCCTCGGCCTCCCAAAGTGCTAGGATTACAGGCGTGAGCTACCGTACCTAGCCAACAATCTCCTTTTTTTTTTTTTTTTTTTTTTTTTTTTTTGAGAGGGAGTTTCGTTCTGTCTCCAGGCTGGAGTGCAGTGGCGCGGTTTCGGCTCACTGCAACCTCCGCCTCCCGGGTTCAAGCGATTCTTCTGCCCCAGCCTCCTTAGTAGCTGGGACTACAGGCGCGCGCCACCGCGCCCAGCTAATTTTTGTATTTTCAGTAGAAACGGGGTTTCACCATATTGGCCAGGATGGTCTCGATCTCCTGAACTCGTGATCCGCCCGCCCCAGCCTCCCAAAGTGATGGGATTACAGGCGTGAGCCACCGTGCCCGGCCAACAATCTCCATTTTTAAGCAAGAGACTGAAAGCCTACCTGGTCCCATTGCCTGACTCAGACTATTTAGACCACTACCAAACAGGGCCAGGGGCGGTGGCCATAATCCCATTATTTTGGGATGCCGAGGTGGGCGGATGACCTGAGGTCAGGAGTTTGAGACCAGCCTGGCCAACATGGTGAAACCCCGTCTCTACTAAAAATACGAAAATTAGCTGGGTATGGTGGCGTGCACCTGTAGTCCCGGCTACTCGGGAGGCTGAGGCAGGAAAATTGCTTGAACCCAGGAGGCAGAGGGTGCACTGAGTCGAGATCGCACCACTGCACTCTATCTTGGGCGGCAGAGCGAGACTTCATCTCAAGGGAAAAAAAAAGACTGGTCGGGTACGGTGTCTCACACCTGTAATCCCAGCACTTTGGGAGGCCGAGGCAGGTGGATCACGAGGTCAGAGGTTCGAGACCAGGCTGGCCAAGATGGTGAAACCCCGTCTCTACTAAAAATACAAAAATTAGCCAGGCGTGGTGTCACGCGCCTGTAATACCAGCTGCTGGGAAGCTGAGACAGGAGAATCACTTGAACCCGGGAGGTGGAAATTGCAGTAAGCCAAGATGGCAGCACTGCACTCCAGCCTGGGCGACAGAGCAAGACTCCGTCTCAAAAACAAAACAAAAAAAAGACTATGCTACCATACAGAGATATATGGTGTCTGATACAGTAGCCACTAGCCACATGTGGCAATTTAAATTCAAATTAATTAAAAATAAATAAAATTTAAAATTCATTTCTTGCCGGGCACAGTGGCTCATTCCTGTAATCCCAGAATTTTGGGAGGCTGAGGCAGGAGAATCACTCGAACCCAGGAGGCAGAGGTCGCAGTGAGCTGAGATCATGCCATTACACTCCAGCCTGGGAGACAGAGTGAGACTCCATCTCAAAAAACAACAACAACAACAACAACAAACACAAATGGCCGGGCGCCGTGGCTCACGCCTGTAATCCTAGCACTTTGGGAGGCCTAAGTGGGCGGATTGCCTGAGCTCAGGAGTTCGACACCAGCCTGGGCAACACGGTGAAATCCTACCTCTACTGGAAATACAAAAAAAAAAAAAAAAATTAGCGGGGCTTAGCAGCATGTGCCTGTAGTCTCAGCTACTCAGGAGGCTGAGGCAGGAGAATTGCTTGAACCCGGAAGGCAGAGGTTTCAGTGAGCCGAGATCACACCACTGTACTCCAGCCTGGGTGACAGAGTGAGACTCCAGCTCCAAAAAAAAAAAAAAAAAAACCACAGATTAGTTACTCACGTGATAATTTATTAACCCAGTAAACATTAAGCATCTACAATGCACTTTAAGGGATTGGGGACCCTTTAAGGGGATGGGGAACGCAGCCCAGATGTGTGTCTACCTAAGGGTTTAAGGGAAGGGAATACACACACACACAAACACATACACACAGAACTTTTTTTTTTTTTTTACATTTTTCAACAACTAGTTTTGAAATACAAATTCAACGATGTCCTAAAACAATACTTGGCATATGATATGGGGTCAATACAAATTTGTTGGATGAAAGGAAAAAGTTAAGAAGGAACCTTAGGCTACCAGTCGCTCTCCTGCCTCTAGGCTGCCTCCCTCACTTTCCATACCCTCTTCCTTTAGCTACCAACCATTTAGTCATCACTTCCTGACAGCCCAAGTCTGAGTTAAATGCTCCCCACTAGATGTTCCCTGAAGCACCCCTTGCCTTGGAAATTTCATCTCATGAATTGCCTGTTTATTTATCACTAGACTAAAATCTGCATAACAGCAGAGACTGTGCCTAGCACAATGTCAGGCCCATAGCAGGTGCCTTATAAAGATTTATTAAATGAATGAAAGAATCCTCATCCTCCACAGCTCTTATAACTATAGCTTTAATTTCTTGTCCCAATTCTGCCCTAACCAGTACTATTTTCATCTCTTTGATTCATCACCTTCCAATCCACATTGGTAATTGAAAGTATTCATACAACAAATATTTATTGAGTACCTCCCATAAACCTGACGTAGAGCTAGGATGGAGTCAAGAACAAGGCAGACCATGGTCCCTTCCTTCATGGAGCTTACAGTCTAAAGGGCATGAGACATTAAATTAGAAAATAAACAAGTAAGTATTTTATTAGAAATTATGAAAAACCTGCCTTCATGTCTCCAAATTCAACTTTTGTAATTTTCCCATTTAAGTGACTGAGCCTGGTCATGGTGTTGCACACCTGTAATCCCAGCAGTTTGGGAGGCTGAGGTGGGTGGATCACTTGAGGAGTTCAAGACCAGCCTGGGCAACATGGCGAGACCCTGTCTCTACAAAAATTAAAATTAAAAAAATTAGCTGGCTGGGCACGGTGGCTCATGTCTGTAATCCCAGCACTTTGGGAGGCCAAGGCAGGTGGATCACGAGGTCAGGAGTTCAAGACCAGCCTGGCCAACATGGTGAAACCCCACCTCTACTAAAAACTACAAAAATTAGCTGGGCGTGGTGGTGCGCACCTGTAGCCCCAGCTACTCAGGAGGCTGAAGCTGAAGAATTGCTTGAACCCGGGAGGTGGAGGTTGCAGTGAGCCACGATCACATCACCATACTACAGCCCAGGTGACAGGGCGAGACTCCGTCTCAAAAAAAAAAAAAAAGTAGCTGAGCATGGTGGTGCATGCCTGTGGTCCCAGCTTCTTGAGAGGCTGAGGCAGGAGGCTGAGGCAGGAGGATCACTTGAGCCGAGGAGGTTGATGCTTCAGTGAGTCATGTTCGAACCATTGCACTCCAGCTTGGGTGATAGAGCAAGAGTCTGTCTCAAAAAACAAAACAGCCGGGTGCAGTGGCTCACGCCTGTAATCCCAGCACTTTGGGAGGCCGAGGTGGGCAGATCATGAGGTCAGGAGATCGAGACCATCCTGGCTAACACGGTGAAACCCCATCTCTACTAAAAATACAAAAAATTAGCCAGGCGTGGTGGCGGGCGCCTGTAGTCCCAGCTACTCAGGAGGCTGAGGCAGGAGAATGGCGTGACTCAGGAGGCGAAGCTTGCAGTGAGTCGAGATCGAACCACTGCACTACAGCCTGGGCGACAGAGCGAGACTCTGTCTCAAAACACACACACACACACACACACACACACACACACAAACAAAAAAATAAGTGACCAAGATTCCTCTTTTAAGGATCATTTGAATTCCATTCATTCAACAAAATGTATTTAGCTTCTCCTGTGTACAAGGCACTATTCTAAATGCTGGAGACACAACATTTGAAAAAGACAGGCATAGGCTGGGTGTGGTGGCTCACACCTGTGATTCCAGCACTTTGGGAGGCCGAGGCGGGCAGATCATGAGGTCAGGAGATTGAGACCATCCTGGCTAACAGAGTGAAACCCCGTCTCTACTAAAAATACAAAAAATTAGCCGGGTGTGGTGGCAGGCGCCTGTAGTCCCAGCTACTCGGGAGGCTGAGGCAGGAGAATGGCCAGAACCTAGGAGGCGGAGCTTGCAGTGAGCCGAGATCGCACCACTACACTCCAGCCTGGCAACAGAGCGAGACTCCGTCTCAAAAAAAAAAAAGAAAAAGAAAAAGAAAAAGACAGGCACAGCTGGGCACTGTGGCATACTCCCGTAATCCCAGCACTTTGAGAGTCTGAGGCAGGTGGGTCACCTGAGGTCAGGAGTTTGAGACCAGCCTGACCAATATGGTGAAACCATAGTCTCTGCTAAAAACACAAAAAAATTAGTCGGGCGTAGTGGCGGGCGCCTGTAGTCCCAGCTACTCGGGAGGCTGAGGCAGGAGAACGGCGTGAACCTGGGAGGCAGAGCTTGCAGTGAGCCGAGATCGCGCCACTGCACTCCAGCCTGGGCGACAGAGCAAGACTCCGTCTCAAACAAAAACAAAAACAAAAATTAGCCGGGCGTGGTGGCACACGCCTGTAGTCCTAGCTACTCAGGAGGCTGAGACAGGAGAATCGCTTGAACTCAGGAGGCGGAGGTTGCAGTGAGCTGAGATCCCAACACTGCACTCCGGTAGGGGCAGCAGAGTGAGACTCAAAAAAAGAGTTTCTTTTTGAAAAAGAAAAAGATAAAGACAGGCACTGCCACATCCTTCAGAGAGCTTCCAGTCTAGTGGAAGGGACAGACATTAAACCAGTGAGAGCAATGGGAGGCCATCGAAGGATTTTAAGCAAGGAAGGGACATGGTCCTATTTGAATTTTTTTTTTTTTTTTTTTTTTGAGACGGAGTCTCACTCTTGTCCCTCAGGCTGTAGTGCAGTGGTGCAATCTCGACTTACTGCAACCTCCACCTCCCGGGTTCAAGCAATTCTCCTGCCTCAGCCTCCCGAATAGCTAGGATTACAAGTGCCTGCTACCACGCCTGGCTAATTTTTGTATTTTTAGTAGAGACGGGGTTTCACCATGTTGGCCAGGCTGGTCTCTAACTCCTGACCTCAAATGATCCACGAGCCTCAGCCTCCCAAAGTGCTGAGATTATAGGCGTGAGCCACCGCGCCCGGCCCCTATTAGTATTTTATAAAAATCATTCTGAGGAAGAATTGGAAAAGAGCGAAAGTGGAAACAGAAGGGTATTGCAATTGTCCTGGTGAAAGGTGATGGGGTCTTGGACTATGGTGGTGACCGTAAAGATAGAGAAATGTAGACAGATTCAAGAGATACTTAGAAAATATATGTGTTACAGCTTAGTAATATGGCTTCTTAATTGGGAATTGTCAATTATTTGCTAGCCTATGTAAAATACCCTCTATACAAAAGAATTTAGAAAGGTGTCATAGTGGATAAGAACTTAGGCTGTGATTCAGACAGAGATCATCATTTACTAGCCGGGTGACCTCAGACAATTCAGCTAACCACTCTGTGAAATAGGGATAATAATGTGTAACTCATAGGATTGCTATGAGGATTAAAGAAATAATATGTGTATAAACTCTGTTTATGTATGTGTGTATGTCTGGCATATAGTAAGCATTTTAAAATGTCAGCTATTTTTAATATTGATCTATAAACATTAGTCTGATTAAAATGGAAAAAGCTTACGTGTGCCCCATAATAATCTCTTCCCTGGCTTAACTGAGCTAGTTATCACAATGTAATTGTGTGTTATACCTTTTACAACTTTCAAACCATATCGCATTCATTCTTCAAAACCTCACAACAAAACTCAATTCCTCCCTGATTTATTTATTTTTAACTTTTTTTTTTTCCAAGACGGGGTCTTGCTCTATCACCCAGGCTGGAGTGCAGTAGTGCAATCTCGGCTCACTGCAGCCTCTGCCTCCCGGGTTTAAGCAATTCTCCTACCTCAGTCTCCTGAGTAGCTGGGATTACAGGGGCGTGCCATTATGCCTGGCTAATTTTTGCATTTTTAGTAGAGACAGGGTTTTACCATATTGGTCAGGCTGCTCTTGAACTACTAACCTCAGGTGATCCACCTGCCTTGGCCTTCCAAAGTGCTGGGATTATAGGCATTGCCACCATGCCCAGCCTCCCCCGATTGATTGATTGATTGATTTTATTTTTTTGATACGGAGTTTCATTCTTGTTGCCCAGGCTGGAGTGCAATTGCACGATCTCAGCTCACCGCAACCTCCGCCTCCCTGGTTCAAGCGATTCTCCTGCCGCAACCTCCCTAGTAGCTGGGATTATAGGCATGCGCCACCATACCCAGCTAATTCTGTATTTTTAGTAGAGACAGGGTTTCTCCAGGTTGGTCAGGCTGGTCTTAAACTCCCGACTTCAGGTGATCCACCGGCCTCGGCCTCCCAAAGTGGTGGGATTACAGGCGTGAGCCACCGCGCCTGACCCCCCGATTTATTTTTAAACCCATCCCACTGGTCACTCTGCTCAATTTGGTAATTTGTTAGCATTTCTAAATTTAGATCCCTAAGGCTATAATTAGTTTTAGCTTGTCTGTGAGTCCTTTTGTATTTGTTTTTCGTGCATACTTACCTAGCTTCCCTACCTTCAGATGACAAAGTTCTTTCTCTGAGGAAAAAATTGTGGGAACTTCTTTATATGCTTCTGCTCCTAAGGCGTGTGGCATTCAATGAATAGCGTTATTTCCCTACCCTTTTAGGGACTTTTTGTTTTTCAATGTTTTTTTCTTCTACATCTGTGTTCTGCCTTTACCTGAATGCTTCCTGAATGGCAAACAGATTTCTTTTTTAATTGACACAAGCGAAGAGTAGAAGAATAAAGAGAAGAAGGTAGGATTTTTTTTTTTTTAATTTTTTTTTTTGAGACGGAGTCTTGCTCTGTCGCCCAGGCTGCAGTGCAGTGGAGCGATCTTGGCTCACTGCAAGCTCCGCCTTCCGGGTTCACTCCATTCTCCTGCCTCAGCCTCCCCAGTAGCTGGGACTACAGGCGTCCGCCACCATGCCTGGCTAATTTTTTTGTATTTTTAGTAGAGACGGGGTTTCACTCTGTTAGCCAGGATGGTCTCCATTTCCTGACCTCGTGATCTGTCCACCTCGGCCTTCCAAAGTGCTGGGATTACAGGCGTGAGCCACCGCGCCCGGCTCGAAGGTAGGATTTTTTAGGACTTACAGGTTTAGCTGATGCTGGGGTCGCTCTGCATGCAACTTCAGACAAAGCTAATGGGTCAGCAGAGGTAGGCAGGGTCAGGGTGGTGGTTGCATTCACGGGCTTTGGAGTCAGGTGCCTGGGTTTGCGTTGATGCTGTGTCCCAGGCTAGCTCTATGGCTTTAAGCAAGTTCTTTCAACCCTCGGACCTCTGGGTTATCATGGGACCCACGAGATAATGATAATACCTACCTCTTAGGCTTGCTATGAGAATAAAAGGAGCTAAGCCAAGATGATTAGCCCAATGCCTAGAATGTGGTAAGTGTTCAGGAAATATTAAGCTGGAAGGAAGGAAGGAAGGAAGGAAGGAAGGGAGGGAGGGAGGGAGGGAGGGAAGGAGGGAGGGAGGGAAAGGAGAAAGGGAGGGAGGAAGAGAGGGAGGGAAGAAGGGAAAGGTTAAAACTACTGGAATCCAGTTTGGTCAGTTAATTAATGAAAATTCTAAATCTGATTGACATGAGCTAGGAACAAGAACAAGTAGCCATGATAATTAGAGAAACTGCCTTTTTATTTAGATAAATGTAACCAAATTAAAGAAGTTGTACTTCTCTGGTGCCAAATTTTTGAGAAATCCCTGTTTTCTAGATTTCTTCTAAAGTGGTATATTCGTAACTCCCAGAAATTAAAAATCACTAACTCATGCTATACTACTCCAGACTTAGAACCCACAAGATTCAGCCTGCCATCTCATCAACATTCCACAGAGGATGAAAGGCTGTGTCATGGGCTCATATGGGAAAGGTGACACCTGAATCATCAAAACACGGCTTGTGGTTTCTAAATAGCCAACCTACCCACCACTACTGTTAATGTCTCCACCATTAGCATCACCATTATGGAGCAGTCTAAAGGCTCTACAAGAGATGGAAGAAAAAAAGGAAAGAAGGGAAGGAGAAAGGGAAAGAGGGAGACAGGAAGGAAAAGGGGAAAAGAAGGAAGAAAAGAAGAGAGAAAAAGAAACAGGTAGGCTGGGTGCGGTGGCTCACGCCTGTAATCCCAGCACTTTGGGAGGCCGAAGCAGGTGGATCACCTGAGGTCAGGAGTTCGAGACCCGCCTGGCCAACATGGTGAAACCCTGTCTCTACAAAAAATACAAAAATTAGCCAAGCATGGGAGCACACACCTGTAATCTCGCTACTTGGGAGGCTGAGGCAGGAGAATCGCTTCAACCTGAGAGGTGGAGGTTGCAGTGAGCCGAGATCACGCCATTGCACTCCAGCCTGGGCAACGATAGCGAAACTCTGTCTAAAAATAAAATAAAATAAAATAAAGAAATAGGTAAAGACAGCCAATCATATATTATTGAGATTCCAACCTCACTGAGTTTTTTTAGAATTTATTTTTGTGCATTTCCAAAGTTTAAGATTCCTGCCTCTATTGTATCAATAAGATTAGACTGGTGTAAACTATATGAACTGGAGAAACAACCACGGTCATACCCTTTTTTTTCCTAGTAATTGGTCAGATCCCTAATATCTTATTAGCCAGAAGTCTAGTATCTTCCTCTACATCCTATTCCATATAGAGTCTGAGACTGTGAATTCTGGAGTGGGATTGCCTGACTTTGAATCATGAACCCCACCCCCATCCATAACTTGTCGTGTGACCTTGACCTGTCTGCACCTGTAGCATGGTGATAATCATGGTACTCATCTAGTAATCATCTCTAGTAAATAGATGATTATATTAGATTATCCATTAAATATTTATTAACCATCTTTTTTTTTTTTTTTGAGACAGGGTCTCACTCTGTCACCTAGGATGGTATGCAGTGGGATGATCATGGCTCACTGCAGTCCTGACCTCCCAGCCTCAAGCAATTCTCCCACTTTAGCCTCCCAAGTAGCTAGGACTACAGGTGCACACCACAATGCCCAGCTTGTTTTTTAATGTTTTATAGAAACAGGATCTTACTATGTTGCCCAGGCTGGTCTCAAACGTCTGGTCTCAAGTGATCCTCCCACCTCAGCCTCTCAAAGTGCTGGGATTCCAGGTGTGAGCCATTGTGCCTGGCCAAGCCTCCATTATGTCCTAGGGATTTCTTTCTCAGTGCTACAGATAAAACTCAACAAAGAAGGCCGGGCGCGGTGGCTCATGCCTGTAATCCCAGCACTTTGGGAGGCCGAGATGGGCAGATCACTGGAGGTCAGGAGTTCGAGACCAGCCTGGCCAACATGGTGAAACCCTGTCTCTACTAAAAATACAAAAATTAGCTGGGCATGGTGGTGCGTGCCTGTAATCCCAACTACTTGGGAGGCTGAGATAGGAGAATCACTTGAAGCCAGGAGGCGGAGGTTGCAGTGAGTACAGATTGCACCACTGTACTCCAGCCTGGGCAACAGAGAGAGACTGTCTAAAACAAAACAAAACAAAACAAAACAAAAAAACAAACTTAACAAAGAACACAAAATTCCTGACCTCATGAAAATTTATATTCTAGATGGGGTGGGGCAGAGAGAGCACAAATAAATGAAAAAAACATTTTATATAGTGAGATATGCTATAAAGAAGATAAACCAGGATGATGCAATAGAGAGTAACTAGGGGAGGGAAGTGAGGTGATGGTTTAGGTTGGATGGTCAAGGCCATCCCGAAGAGGTGATACTTGAGTTGAGAAAAAAAAGTCAGCCACACAAAGATGTATGTAAAAGAGTTCCAGGCAGGAGTACTAGCAAGTGCAAAGGCATGAAGTGGGAAAGAGCCTAATTTTTTTGTTTGTTTTTGTTTTTTTGAGGCCGGGTCTCACTCTGCTACCCAGGCTGGGGTGCAATGGTGTAGTCATGGCTCACTGCAGCCTTGATTTCCTGGTCTCAAGCAATCCTCTTGCCTCAGCCTCCTAAGTGAGCTTAAAATGTTTGAGAAACCAAATATACTTTTCTCCTCATACCTCTCTTTTCAAACATCCAGCCTCCGCTTCTCACATTCTACTGGATAGCTTCTTCATTCACTGACAGCATAGAAGAAATCAATATACAACTTTCATGACTTCCTTTTACTACAGCTACTATCACACCTCTATCCACTAATATGTGCTCTTTTTGTCACTTACAGTGAACAACAATTAG
This sequence comes from Homo sapiens, assembly GCF_000001405.40. Lineage (NCBI taxonomy): Eukaryota > Metazoa > Chordata > Mammalia > Primates > Hominidae > Homo > Homo sapiens. The sequence goes on from NC_000005.10 coordinate 146,193,369, forward strand.
GGCTCCTATTAAGACCTATGCTCCATTGGTACATTAGACCCCATTGTCTTTTGCCCATTAAGAGCTTTTATTCCTCTAGTTTCTTATCTCACCTCTTGCATCATCAGATTTTTTCTCTCTAGATCATACTTGTCTGCATTCACACATATCTTCTAACCTAATGCAAGCAGACAAGCAAGCAAAACCAAACTGAACAAAATGCCAACAAACCCTATCCTTTGCCCTATCCCACAATACCCTTCCAGTACCGTCCAGTACCTTCATTGCTCTACTCCCCTTTACAGTAAAGCTGTTTAGGAGAACTACCATGCTTTCTCTAATTTGTCTTCTCCATTTTTCTCCTCAACCTTTAATTATATTTTATTTGTTTATTTTATTTATTTAAATCTTTTTGAGACAAGGTCTTATTCTGTAGCTTAGGCTGGAGTGCAGTGGCTACATCACTGCAGCCTCAAACTCCTGGGCTCAAGTGATCCTCCCACCTCAGCCTCCCAAGTAGCTGGGACTACAGGAGTGCACCATCTGGCTAATTTTGTTGTTTTTTGTATAGATGAGGGTCTCAATATGCTGCCCAGGCTGGTCTCAAACTCATCAACTCAAGCAATCCTCCTGCCTCGGCCTCCCAAAATGCTAGGATTACAGGTGTGAGCCACCATGCCCAGCCTCTCCTCAACCTTTTATTTATTTGTTATTTTTATTTTTTTTAGAGAGAGTCTAGCTCTGTCACCCAGGCTGGAGTGCAGTGGCGTGATCTCAGCTCACTGCAACCTCCACTCCCCGGGTTCAAGCGATTCTCCTGCCTCAGCCTCCCAAGTAGCTGGGATTACAGGCATGTGCCACTATACCCAGCTAATTTTTGTATTTTTAGTAGAGATGGGGTTTCACCATATTGGCCAGGCTGGTCTCGAACTCCTGACCTTGTGATCCTCCTGCCTCAGCCACCCAAATTGCTGGGATTACAGGCATGAGCCACCGCACCCAGCCTTCCTCAACCTTTTATCTGCTGTACTCCATGGAATTGTCCAGATCATCAGTGACCTCCATGCTGTCAAATCCGATGGCCAATTCTCTGTTCTCATCTTACTTGACCTATGAACTACATTTGACGTATTTGAAAACTCCTTTCTTGAAACATATTTCTTCTCTTGTCTATTCTTTCCTGATTTATTGGCCATACCTCTTCAATTTACTTAATATTCCTCACCTTTTCTCTACTGGCCCTTCCTTTCTAGATGTACTCATATGCTAAGTGATCTTATCCAGGCTAATGGCTTTAAACACAATTTACATGCTGATGAGTCCCCAATTTTAACTACAGGCCCAACCCCTCTCATCAACTTCAGACTTAAGATCCAACTGCCTACTTGACATCTCCACTTGAATTTTTATATTAGTTATCTATTGCTGCCTAACAAATTACCCCAAAACTTAGTGGCTAAAAACATTAATAACCAGGGCCGGGCACGGTGGCTCACACCTGTAATCCCAGCACTTTGGGAGGCCAAGGTGGCTGAATCACCTGAGGTCAGGAGTTTGAGACCAGCCTGGCCAAGATGGTGAAATCCCGTCTCTACTAAAAATACAAAAATTAGCCAGGTGTGGTGGCATGCACGTGTACTCCCAGCTACTTGGGAGGCTAAGGCAGGAGAATCGCTTGAACCCAGGAGGCAGAGGTTGCAGTGAGCCAAGATAGCGCCATTGTACTCCAGCCTGGGCAACAAGAGCAAAACTCTGTCTCAATAATAATAATAACAACAATAATAATAATAACCATTTTTTAAGAGACAGGGATCTCACTATGTTGCCCAGGCTGGACTCAAACTCCTGGGCTCAAGAAATCCTCCCACCTCAGCTTCACAAGTTGCTGGGACTACAGGCACATGCCACTGCGCCTGGCAGTATAACCATTTATTATCTCTTGCGTTTCTGTAGGTTAGAGGTTTTGGAGCAGTTTGGTTGGGTGGTTCTGGTTTATGAGTTTTCATGAGATTGTAGTCAGATGTTAGCTAGGAAAACATTTATCTGAAGCTTTGGCTGGGGCCGGAGGGTCTTCTTCCAACATGACTCCCTCACAAGGCTGAAAAGCTAGTCCTTGCTGTTGGAAAGAGGTCTCAGTTCCGCTCAGTGTGGGCCTCTCCACAGGATTTCTTGAGAGTCTTGCAATATGGCGACTGTCTTTCCCAGAACAAGAGATCCAAGTCAGAAGTTACAATCCCTAATCCAGTGTGAGGAAAGTACAAGTGAATGTGAATAATAAGAGGCAAAAATAATTGTGTGCCATCTTGAGACTGGCTACCACAATGTCTAAAAGCCATTTTGTACTTCTCATGTTCAAAACTGAATTCTGGATCTACCAGCTGTTTTCTGAATCTGTTCATCCCTCATTTTTCCCAATTTCAAGCCAGTGCTCAGACCATACACTTTGGTGTCATTCTTGATTCCTCTTTGTCTTTCATATCCACAATCTATCAGCCAAACTTGTTGACTCCACTCTCAAAATATACCCAAAATCCAACTTCTCACTATAAGTCTAGTCCACACCATCATCATTGCTTGCTTGAATTAATGTTGTAGCCTCCTAACTAGTTTTCGTACCTCCTCTTTTGCCCCCTTCAGTCTGATACCCATAAAGGAGCCACAGTGATCCCATAAAAAAAAAAAACAGCGGATGAGATTATTTCATTACTCTATTTAAAACCTTCAGTATCTGGCCAGGCATGGTGGCTCACACCTGTAATCCCAGCACTTTGGGAGGCCGAGGCAGGCAGATCATGATGTCAGGAGTTTGAGACCAGCCTGGCCAACATGGTGAAACCCTGTCTCTACTAAAAATACAAAAATTAGCTGGGAATTGTGGTGGGCGCCTGTACTCCCAGCTACTTGGGAGGCTGAGGCAGGAGAATTGTTTGAACCCAGGAAGCGGAGGCTGCAGTGAGCCGAGATTGCGCCATTGCACTCCAGCCTGGGCGACAGCGTGAGACTATCTCAAAAAACAAAAAACAAAAAACAAAAAACAAAACCCTTCTTCTAATCTCAGAAGTAATTTTTTGTTGTTGTTGAGACAAGATCTTGCTCTATCACCCAGGCTAGGCATGGTGCAATCACAACTCACAGCAGCCTTGACTTCCCAGTCTGGAGTGATCCTTCTATTTCAGCCTCCTGAGTAGCTGGGACCACAGGCACGCACCACCATGCCTGGTTAGTTTTTTCATTTTTTGTAGAGATGGGGTCTTGCTATGTTGCCCAGGCTGGTCTCAAACTCCTGGACTCCAGTGATTCTTCTGCCTTGGCCTCCTAAAATACTGGGATTACAGATGTGAGCCGCCGCACCTGGCATAGAAGTAAAATCTAAAGTCCTTACCGTTACATGGTCCTTCATGATCTGGCATCTAACTACCTCTTTCACTCATGTACCATCAGTTTCTTCCTGGTTCATTCTGCTCCAGCCCCATTGCCTCCTTCCTTTCCTCAAATGTGCCAAGTCAGCTCCTGCCTCAGGGTCTTTGCACTTCCCTGGAAAGCCTCTATCCCAGATATCTACACGGCTAACACCCACACTACCTTCAAGCCACTGCTCAGTCTTTTTACCTTCCCCGTCACTCTCTATCTCCTCATTTTGCCTTATTTTCCTTTTTAGAATGTATCCCACCTGACATATTATATTGTTATTTGTCATTATTATCTTGCTACTGAAATAGATCTCCAACAGAATGCCTATTTTCTTCATTGCTGTATCCCCAGGGCCTATAATAGTGTTCTACTTATGATAGATTTCAATCAATATTGCTTGAAGGTAAGGAAGGCTGAATGCAGGAACTGAAAGAGGCTAATTCATGTAAAGTTGCATGGCAGAGTGCCTGGCACACATGAGTATGAGTTATTTTTATTTGATATGTCTAAATCACAAGGGGCTTATTTAATCCAAAGAAGAGTGGACGGTTTTAAACATCAGAGTGGACTCTTCTAACATCAGAAGGATAACCAGATGGAATGGGAGTCTTGTCAGTCCACTACTGCTGTTTTGTATTCCCTGCTCCCCCCTGCCCAAGAAAACCCAACAGTCACTGCTGACATGGAGCTTTCCACATTTCTCCTGGATGCTTATATAATCTGCAAGGACGTCAGATCTGGGTCCCCACACAGGTCCAGTGGGAACACATAAAGATCTTGGGGAATTGGGGCAAGGACTATTTCCAGTAACCACACACCTAAAGATGCCATTCTCAACCTTTTCTCCCTGGTGACACTGCTCTTAACATGTGAAGCAATATTTTTGTCTTTTTTAAGAGACGGGGTCTGGCTCTGTCACTCAGGCTGAAGTGCAGTGGCACGATGTCAGCTCACAGCATCCACTACCTCCCGCCTTAAGTGATGCTTTCACCTCAGCCTCCTGAGTAGCTGGGACTACAGGCATTCGCCACTACACCTGGAAAATTTTTAAATTTTTTGTAGAGACGGGGTCTCGCTATCTTGCCCAGGTTGGTCTTGAACTCCTAGGCTCAAGAGATCCTCTTGCCTTAGCCTCCCAAAGTGCTGGGATTACAGGCTTGAGCCACTGTAGTCGTGTGAAGCAACTTTGTATTTATTTATTTATTTGAGGCAGGTTCTTTCTCTGTCACCCAAGTGGCACAAACATGGCTCACTGCAGCCTTGACCTCCTGGGCTCAAGGAATTCTCCTGCCTCATTTTTTGTAGAGACAGGGTCTCACCATGTTGCCTAGGCTGGTCTTGAACTCCTGGGTGATGTTCCTACTCAGCCACCCAAATTGCTTGGATTATGGATGAGCCACCATGCTTGCCTTGAAGCAACATTCTTTTTTTATTTTTTTGCCCCGAAAGAGTCTTGCTCTGTTGTCCAGGCTGGAGTGCAGTGGTGTGATCTTGGCTCACTGCAACCTCTGCCTCCCAGGTTCAAGCAATTCTCCTGCTTCAGCCTCCCAGCTAGTGCCACCATGCCCGGCTAATTTTTGTATTTTTAGTAGAGACAGGGTTTCACCATGTTGGCCAGGCTGGTCTCAAACTCCTGATCTCATGTGATCTGCCTGCCTCAGCCTTGCAAAGTGCTGGGATTACAGACATGAGCCACCGTGCCCAGCCTTGAAGCAACTTTTTAAAAAATTGAGATACTTCTAGAGTCATATGCAGTTGTAAGATATAATGCAGAAAGAACCCTCACACACTCTTCCCAGTTTCCTCCAATGGCAGCATTTATTTTTTTGACACAAAGTCTTGCTTTGTTGCCCAGGCTGGTCTCAAACTTCTGGACTCAAGCAATCCTCCTACCTCAGCTTCCTGAGTAGCTGAGATCACAGGCACCTGCCATCACACCCAGTCAATGGTAACTTTTGGCAAAACTGTAGTATAATTTCAAGACCAGAATATTGACATCGATACATGTTTTGTGTTCATTTGTGTGTGTGTGTGTGTGTGTGTGTGTGTGTGTGTGTCTGCATATAGGCCTTTAGAAGACACACACACACAGTCTTCAAAAAGTTTATGGAAAATGTGTATTATGAAAAAACTATGCATGGATTTCAAATGTTTTTAACAAAATAAACTCATACGAACTTGTTACAACATTTCTAAACAGGATCTAGTTTGAGGCCCTAAGAGGGATAAGACATCAGTTTGAAAAGGGCCTCTATTAGAGCAACATGAATTCTGCTAAAATTGAAGAAAGAACAAACATCAAATTTTTTGTGAAGCTTGGGTGGAATAATGGTAAATTATTCATGCTTTACAAAAACCTTATGGGGACAATGCCCCCAAATAAATCAGCAGTTTACAAATGGATAACTTGTTTTAAGAAGGGATAAGAGAGTGTAAAAGATGAAGCCCACAGCTGCAGATCATCCACATCAGTTTGCAAAAACAAAAAAAAATTAATCTTGTTTGTGCCCTAATGGAAGAGGACCAACAATTAACAGCAGAAACAGCAGCCAACACCATAGACATCTCAATTGGTTCCACTTACACAATTCTAACTGAAAATTAAAGTTGAGCAAACTTTCCACTTGATGGGTGCCAAAACTGCTGCAACCAGATCAGCTGCAGACAAGAGTAGCTTTCATTGGAAATTTTGAAGTGAGATCACAATCCTGAAGCATTTCTTCAAAGAATTGTAACAGGAGATGAAACACGGCTTTACGAGTACAATCCTGAAGACAAAACACAATCAAAACAATAGCTACCAAGAAAATGGCAATGGGCTAGTCAAAGCAAAAGCAGACTGGTCAGCAGCAGAGGTCATGGCAACAGTTTTTTTGGGATGCTCAAGGCATTTTGCTCGAGGGCTAAAGAACGATAACATATGCTTATTATGAGAGTGTTTTGAGAAAATTAGCTGAAGCTTCAGCAGAACAACATCTGTGAAAGTTTCACCAGAGATTCCTTCTCCATCTTGGCAATGCTCCTGCTCATTAATCTAATAGCCGGGTGCGGTGGCTCACGGCTGTATTCCCAGCACTTTGGGAGGCCGAGGAGGGTGGATCATGAGGTCAGGAGATGGAGATCATCCCAGCTAAAATGGTGAAACCCCGTCTCTACTAAAAATACAAAAAATTAGCTGGGCATGGTGGTGGGTGCCTGTAGTCCCAGCTACTTGGGAGGCTGAGGCAGGAGAATGGCGTGAACCTGGGAGGCGGAGTTTGCAGTGAGCCAACGTTGCACCACTGCACTCCAACCTGGGCGACAGAGCAAGACTGTCTCAAAAAAAAAAAAAAAAAATCTGGTCAAACAAGGGCAATTTTGCAAAAGTTTTGATGGGAAATCATTAGGCAGCTACCCTGCAGTCCTAATTTGGCTCCTTCTGCCTTCTTTTTGTTTCCTAATGTTTAAAAAATATGTAAAGGGTCCCATTTTTCTTCAGTTCATAATGTAAAAAAGACTGCATTGACATGGCTAAATTCCCAGGACTCTCAGTTCTTTAGGGATGAACTAAATGCCCAGTATCATTTGTGTGGTATCACTTGTATGTTCTCAATGTGCCTGGAACTTGATAAAGCTTATGTTGAGAAATAAAGTTTGTGGTTTTTATTTTTCTTTTAATTGCACTTTTCCATGAACTTTTTGAGGTCCCTTCTGTGCATATGTAAGTTTGGTTCTATTTTTCTTTTTTTACCCAGCCATCAACTTGACTTTATAGGTAAGTTTAGTTCTATTCAGTTTACCACCCTGTAGTTCCTGTATCCACCATCACAGTCAAAAATCAAAACAGTTCCAACACCAAAAGTGTCCCTCATGTTGTACTTTTATAACCACACCCACTCTCCCTTGGTTGGGAAGGGGTCTCAGTTGTCTCAGTTCCTCTCAACGTGGGCCTCTCCACAGGGCTGCTAGAATGTCTTGAAACATGATGACTAGCTTTCCCCTGAACAAGAGATCCAAGGTGGGAGCTAGGGTTTTTTTTTGTTTGTTTGTTGTTGTTGTTTTTGTTGTTGTTCTTGTTGTTGTTTTTTGGCAGAGTCTCACTCTGTCACCCAGGCTGGAGTGCAGTGGCTTGATCTCAGTTTACTGCAACCTCTGCTTCGCAGGTTAAAGCAATTCTCGTGCCTCAGTCTCTCAAGTAGCTGAGATTACAGGCATGTGCCACCACACCCAGCTAACTTCTGTAGCTGTTCGAAGTGAAGGGAAAATGTGGATAAACTTTAAAAAAGGAGGAGGAAGAGGAGAGAGAAAAGAAGAGGCAAGAGTTGCAAGTGAGAAAGCTCTTGGCTTGCTGTCAGAACCTCTGGATGCTACTTCTACTCCATAGAGGTGTAATTCTGGGTAAACCACTTGCCTCTCTGGACCTTTTCTTTCATTTGCAAAGTTATGAGGAGGGGGTTAGTGAGGGAGGTTCATTACATTATTTTTAAGTGCACCTCTGCTTTTACTACTTTATGTAAGGGGTTTACAAACTGTGGCCAGCAAGCTAAACCCTGCTGGCATCTTCTTTGTACACCTGTGAGGTTACAATGGCCTTTACATTTTTATTTGTATTAATTAATTAATTAGAGACGGAGTCTTGCTCTGTTGCCCAGGTTGGAGGGCAGTGATACCATCTCAGCTCACTGCAACCTCCACCTCCCCAGTTCAATCGATTCTCCTGCCTCAGTGTCTGGAGTAGCTGGGATTACAGGCGTGTGCCACCACAGCCAGCTAATTTTTTTTTTATTTTGAGACAGAGTCTTGCTCTGTCGCTGAGGCTGGAGTGCAGTGGCATGATCTCGGCTCACTGTAGCCTCCGCCTCCTGGGCTCAAGTGATTCTCCTGCCTCAGTCTCCTGAGTAGCTGGGACTACAAACACGCGCCACCACGCCCAGCTAATTTTTGTATTTTTAGTAGAGACGAGGTTTCACCATGTTGGCCAGGCTGGTCTCGATCTCCTGACCTCATGATCCGCCCACCTCGGCCTCCCAAAGCCCTGGGAATACAGGCATGAGCCACTGCGCCTGGCCCACGCCCGTCCCATGCCCGGTTAATTTTTGTATCTTTAGTAGAGACGGGGTTTCACCATGTTGGCCAAGCTTGTCTGGAACTCCTGACCTCAGGTGATCCACCCGTCTGGGCCTCCCAAAGTGCTGGGATTACAGGCATGAGTCACCGTGCCAAGCCCCCCCTTTTTTTTTTGAGATGGAGTTTCTTTGGCTCTTGTCACGATCTTGGCTCACTGCAACCTCTGCCTCCTGGGTTCAAGCGATTCCCCTGCCTCAGTCTCCCGAGTACCTGGGATTGCAGGCGTGTGCCACCATGCCTGGCAAATTTTGTATTTTTAGTAGAGACTGGTTTCACCATGTTGGTCAGGCTGGTCTGGAACTCCTGACCTCAGGTGATCCACCCGCCTTGGCCTCCCAAAATGCTGGGATTACAGGTGTGAGGCACCGCGCCCAGCCTGGCCTACATTTTTAAATGGAGAAAAAAATGAAAAGATAATATTTCATGGTATGTGAAAATTATATAAATTTAAAATTTTATATAATTTTAATAAATGTTTGTAATACAGCCACAATCATTCCATTTACATATTGTCCCTGGTTAATTTTAAGCCAAGACATTGTATGACGAGTAGTTGCCATAGATACCTCAAGGCTCACAAAACCAAAATATTTAGTATCTGATCCTTTGCAGAAGTTTGCCTATACCTGTTCTATGTATATATAGGATGTCTGTTTATTTGAGGTTGATCCATTTCTTTTATATGAGGTGCGTGCTCATTAGGTATTTTTCAAAATGTTATTACAATGCATAACCCCATAAACTGTTCATCATCTTAAGAGGAGAAGCTCTGTTTTGCTCAGCATTGGACTCCTAGTGCCTTACTCAGTGCTGGCAATTGCAGGGACTCAGTATATGTTATTGGGTAAACATTTTAACATCAGTGCTAAATCAGTGATTTCAAAACTCCAGAAAGAATTTCTCACCTACTAGAAAGTAAGTTGACTATTTCAGTAGTTTCTAATTTGTCTTAAAAATTTTTTTGTAATCCTTCTTTGCTGATTAAAATTCTCCCTTCCCGTCCCCCAACCACTGAATTTTAGATATACAATGAAAAGATAATTAAAAACAAACTATTGGAGTCATTTTTCTTCCTAAATAAAGCAACATTTATTAATAGTACTAGCAAAATTGAAATGGCCTCAGCCTTTTACATCCGTGCGCCACGTTTTAAAAATGACGATTACTGGATTCCAAGGCATGGTTGTCAGAAACATTCTGCGTAATTAAAGCAGAGCAGCAGAAAATACAAACGTGAGTGCCAATCAACATGAGTGTGTAAAGAAAAAAAGTAAAATTTTGCATTCTGTGCAATGTGTCGAACGTGAACGTATTGCACGTTGTGTTGCAGATTTACTACAGCTGAGTCATTTCGGGACACGAGTGTGTGTTTCCAAGAAAAACGAGAGGAAGGAACCAGGCTGAGGGGCTCGCCGGGTTCCCCCAGGCACTCCCAGCAGCAGACACCGGTATTCCGCGGCGGGCGGCGGCGTGGTCAAAAAAAGGCGCCGCTGCCCCTTTAAGAGGCAAAGCACCTTTTCCAAGATACCATCTTGCACCAGGAGTTCACTTAAGCTCTCCACCTACCTTGCTATATCTCTCCTCCCTGACTGGGTACCGCCTGCCGGCGGGGCGAGCGAGCCTTTTCATTGGTCTTGCCCTCAGGGCCCCCTCTCTCTTACTGGTTCTCAGGCCTGCCACTCGGCACTGTCTCCCGCCCACCTCAGCCTTCGGGCTAGGTTGAGTGAGGGCTCTTGGGTTAGTTCCTGTTAGGCCCCGGCCGGGGGAGTAGGTTGAAGTCTCCTAAGATGCCCGGTGGGCTGGGGCACCGGGAGCTGTGAAGGGAACGTGAGGGGGCGGCGTAGTGGAGACCCACGGCAGGCCTGAAGAAGAGCGGCGGCCGAGCCCGCCTTCCCTGCACCATGCTCATAGAGGATGTGGATGCCCTCAAGTCCTGGCTGGCCAAGTTACTGGAGCCGATGTGAGTGAGCCGGGCTGGGCCGGGGCCGGCGAACGTGGGCGTTGGGGGCTCGCGGGGGCGTGGGGGAGGGGAGGTGGCGTGGGGGGCGGCGCTGAGGGGCCGCGGCCGGGAGGTCCCGGCGACGCCTTCCCTGTAGTACTATCACCATTGTGGTGGGGGTGAGGGTGGGAGAGGAGCGCTGGGGACGGAGAGGCGCCGTGAATATGGGGACTGGGGGGGCAGGCAAGGACAGCGAAGGCTTTTCAAACGCAAATATCGGGGTGCTGGAAGGGGTAGCAGGGGCCGTGAGGGAATTTAAAACATTGCTGTTTGAGAACTGAGAGAGAGGTAACGGGGCTCTTGAGGGATTTTTAAAATGTGAATATTGAGATGTCGAAGGGAATAGCAGAATATCAAGGGTTTGATAAACATTATTATTCCGGGACTGAAAGGTCTAGAAGCAAAATATCGAGGGCATTTTCGAAATATGAGGGCAGAAGCGGATAGCAGGGACATTGAAACTGTATAGCGATTATTGGTAAGTTCTGAGGGATCAAGAATATTGAAGGATTTGAAAAATACTATGGAGTAGATGAAAAGGATGTGTGGGCATTGAAGGGTTTTAGAAATTATTGGGGAGGTGATAAGTGTGATAGCAAGGATATTAAGGGATTTTAAAGTATTATTGAGGGCTTGATAGTGCTAGGGGAACTGATGACTTTTAGATACATAGAGGTTGGAAAAAAGAGGTTTCTGTAAGTTTAGTTGAAGGTTGAAAGGGCTACACTGGTATGCAGCATTAATTGGTGGAGGAGTATACCTAACAGTATGTAGGGATTTTTAGATACAGGTGGTGTTGGAGGAATAAAAGGAGCGGTAGAAAGAATAAGAGATTTGTAAGTATTCTTGTGCCATTGAGAGGACAGTTTTGTAAATGTTTTTGTAAGATTGAGAGGACACCTGAAGATAATTGGGGTGTAGTATGAGGGACCGAAAAGAATGAGAGACCTGTCTTTTAAAAATATTTTGGGTGGTGTTAGTAGAAATGTTATTGGGAGGCTTGAAAGAGGTAACAGATGTATCAACATTTTGTTTTATAACCTTTTTTTTTTGAAACAATGTCTCGCTGTGTCTCCCAGGCTGGAGTGCAGTGGCTGGATTTCGGCTCACTGCAACCTCCGCCTCCCGGGTTCAAGCGATTCTCCTGCCTCAGCCTCCCGAGTAGCTGGAACTACCGGCGCGCGCCACCACGCCCAGCTAATTTTTGTATTTTTAGTAGAGATGGGGTTTCGCCTTGTTGGCGAGGCTGGTCTCGAACTCCTGACTTCAGGTGATCCGCTCGCCTTGGCCTCCCAAAGTGCTGGGATTACAGGCGTGCGCCACTGGACCCGGCCATGTTTGATAACCATTTTAAAGGGTAGAGTTGTGGAGTGCTTATTTGGGGGAATGGGGTATGGCTAGTTACTGGAAGGGAAAGAATCATGTTTTGCCTCCTCCTTGCTTCTGCTTTATTATTCTCTTATTGAAGGTTAGAGCTTTCTGCTTGAAAGAAAGGGGTAGAAGAAGAGATGGGCAGGCTTTGATTCATTAGGTCAGATTGCATTAGTGGAAAATTTGAGTGTTTTTCGGAGGTGAAAATAGGGAGTAGTTTGGGAGGTGTGGAGGCATGGTAAAGGAACTTCTGGGGGACAGTGTCAAGCTACTTCCCTGTTGATCTCTTTCAGTGAAAATGACTGAACACACTTGAAGGTTTTGTAGAAGAATATAGGTCTCTTGAATAGGGGTTTTTTTAACTCCTACAATAAAGTTTTGGGCACAAAGATGGAAATGGTTTGTGGTGAAGGTGGGAAATAAGATGGATGTAATGAAATTGACCATATATGGGAAAAGGTTGAAAAAAGAAAAATATCTGTATGTTTAAAGTATTCTTCATGTGGCTGGGCACGGTGGTTCACGCCTGTAATCCCGACACTTTGGGGGGCCTAGGCGGGCGGATCATGAGGTCAGGAGTTCAAGACCAGCCTGGCCAATATGGTGAAACCCCGTCTCTACTGAAAGTATAAAAATTAACCGGCTGTGGTGGGGCGTGCTTGTAGTCCCAACTACTCGGGAGGCTGAGGCAGAAGAATCGCTTGAATCCCAGGAAGTGTAGGTTTCAGTGAGCCTAGATCAGGCCACTGCTCTCCAGCCTGGGCAACAGAGCCAGACTCCGTCTCAACAAAATAAAAATAAAAAAAGTGTTATTCATGTTATTTAAGATTAAAAAAGAAAAAATACATCTCTTTATTTTGTATTTCTGCTGCTCTGATGCCTTTAGAAAAAACAACCTACTTTCCAGACAAGTTTAGTTTTGTTGGTAGCTATCCTTTTAAGAAGAATTAAACATACATTTTATGTCTTGGATAGAAGGTAACAACTTTTAGCCTTATAGTTACTTGCTTTTTCTTTTTTTTAAAGCTCCCTAAGATGTTTTACTCTGAGTAGTGCTTTTCGTTTTTTGTTTTTTTTTTTTTCCCCTTAATGTTGAAGGTTAGTCTGGGTGGGAGCTTCTTCTTGCTTAGGCTTTTTTTTTTTTCCTTCTTTTTTTTAAAGCTACTTAGACTCATAAGTATGATCATTCTGTAATTTTCATGAGTAAAAATTATCTTTCAAAATGATTACTTGAGTTTAGTTTCTCCTTTTGAGTTATATATTCAACTTAAAGTTCACATGCTTATTTTTTTTAATTTTGTTGCTCATTTAGGGTAAAAAAAAAAAGGCTAAAATACTTTATTTGTTTGTTTATTTATTTATTGAGATGGAGTTTCGCTCTTGTTGTCCAGGCTGGAATGTGGTGGTGCAATCTCAGGTCACTGAAACCTCTGCCTCCTGGGTTCAAGCGATTCTCCTGCCCCAGCATCACGAGTAGCTGGGATTACAGGCACTTGCCACCATGCCCGGCTAATTTTTTGTATTTTTAGTAGAGACGGGGGTGTCACTGTGTTGGCCAGGTTGGTCTCCAGTTCTTGACCTCAGGTGATCCACCCACCTCGGCCTCCCAAAGTGCTGGGATTACAGGCATAAGCCTTTGTGCCTGGTCTAGAATACTTATTTTTAACTCACCTAAGTAACAGTTTTGAATGGAGATATTAATAATAAAAAAGTAAATGCAGATACCACATATATTTTTATTCTTAGTATGTCATCATGGGAGATTATTTTTTGTTTGTTTAGATATCCTAAAATGTAATAAATGATATGCTAAAGTGGGTTGTGTTTGTAAATTTACTTTTTTGCATATTCCAGATTCAAGAAAATTTTCATGGCAGATTGGCATGTTGCTACAACATAGCATTTCAGAGCAGTTGCTAGGCTTTGAGATAGTATAGTTGCACCGGCTAGGTTGGAATCAAACTATGACTGTGCACATGATTTTCTTTCTTTTTCTTTCTTTTTTTGAGGTGGAATCTCTCACTGTTGCCCAGGCTGGAGTGCAGTGGCACTCACTGCAACCTCTGCCTCCTGGGTTCAAGCGATTCTCCTGCTTTAGCCTCCCGAGTAGCTGGGATTACAGGCGCCCGCCACCATGCCCGGCTAATTTTTTGTATTTTTTAGTAGAGAGGGGGTTTCACTTTGTTGGCCAGGCTGGTCTTGAACTCCTGACCTTGTGATCCACCTGCTTGGCCTTCCAAAGTGCTGGGATTACAGGCATGAGCCACTGCGCCCAGCCTGTGTGCACATGATTTTCTATTACATTTTCTTATTTAGCTTAGTTTACAGTAAATTAAATTTATGAAAGCTTCCAATTCCCGGGGGATTTTTAAAATGTTACATCTTGTCCCTAGTGAAACATATGCATGTAACGGGAGATATTTCTTTTTTTTTTTTTTTTTTGAGACAGGGTCTCTGTCGCCCAGGCTGGAGTGCAGTGGCACGATCTTGGCTCACTGCAACCTCCGTCTTCGGGGTTCAAGCGATTCTCCTGCCTCAGCCTCCCAAGTAGCTGGGATTACAGGCGTGTGCCACCATGCCTGGCTAATTTTTGTATTTTTGGTAGAGATGGGGTTTCACCGTGTTGGTCAGGCTGGTCTTGAACTCCTGACCTCAGGTGATCCGCCTCCCAAAGTGCTGGGATTACAGGCATGAGCCACCACACCTGGCCTAACAGGTTTTTTTTTTTTTTTTTTTTTTTAAGACGGAGTCTTGCTCTGTTGCCCAGGCTGGAGTGCAGTGGCGTGATCTTGGCTCACTGCAACTTCTGCCTCCCGGGTTCAAGCAATTCTCCTGCCTCAGCCTCCTGAGTAGCTGGGATTACAGGTGCCCGCCACTACGCCCAGCTAATTTTTGTATTTTTAGTAGAGATGGAGTTTCACCACGTTGGTCAGGCTGGTCTCAAACCCCTGACCTCGTGATCCACCTGCCTCGGCCTCCAAAGTGCTGGGATTACAGGCGTGAGCCACTGCGCCCGGCCAACAGGAGGTATTTCTAAACCAATCTAGTTTACAGTTGATTATTCCCTATGGACAAGTTAGGAATGTCATGGGCTATTAGAGCTTATCTGTTACCTTCCATTCCCTTTGTAGGTGGCGAACATGTCTATTACTTTTATTAGAGGAAGGACAGGAGGGAGACAGGAAGAAATGACTCCTTAACTGGCTGGAATAGACTAGTACCACCATTTTTGTTGGCAATGCAGTAAAAGGGAGGGAAACCAATATCTCAGTCGAGAAGTTTGTCTCTTTCCCTACAGCTGCATGAATAGACTAGACTCAGTTCTTGTTTGGGGACTTCATCTTTCCTCAGTTTCAAAATATCCTGGATATCCTAGTCATAGAGACTGTAGGGATTATGCACAATTTAGAGATGTCATGGTTTCTTTCTGTCAGAAATAACTGCTCATTGTAAGAATGTGAACCCCTTTAAAGTAAGGTTCTGCTAAATTCAGGAAATAAGTGCATCACTAAAGAAATTTCTGCAAGTTTAAAAAAAGATCAGGCAAGCATTTTTCAGTAACCTGCATTTCTATCAAAACATGTTGTATTTAATGGGGAATGTTTTATTTATATTATATAAAATGTATAAATATGTATTATTCACTGCTGCTTGTTTGGCTTAGTGTAAAACTTTCTCTTGGTGTGTGTTTTAAAAAGCATGGTGGGATTTGTAAACTCTGGACAATTTGTCTGTCTTACTTTAATAGACATTGTTGTGTGAATCGGCATTTAATTTCTAGTTCCGTATCTATCTCTAATTCACTCTGTGACTTAGGATAAGTTGTCTAACCTTTTTCTATTAAACAGAACTAAATTTTATTTGCCTTTTACCTACGTCACCAAGTCTGTTATGAGTATTAATGATGTAGACTTTAAGTGGTTTGTGTACCTCTGAATCATTCTATAAATGTAAACAACATTTTATGGTTTTTGGAATATGAAAATACATGAAACTTTCTGCAAAAGTATTTTGCTTATTAATGTTAAACACCACTGCCACTTAAAAAATAATAATCAGTCTATTACAAGACAGACTAGAGTCTCATTGCAGGTCCTATAGGTAGGAACAGGAATTGCTAGTCAAAGTCATAGACTTGATGTGCAGTTTTTGTGATTTCTGGCCATATCAGTGTCTTTTAAAGTGCCCTAGGAGATTGAATATGTTGTCAGCTTGGAGAGTGATAGAAAAGGCAGCAATAAGGTTAATAGACTAAGTTTATTTTATTGGTTCATATTTATGGGTTCAGTGATCATGATGCATATACTTTGGTTGAACTCTAGAGTTTACATGTTGCTGTATGTTGGCAGTCCTTATCAAATTGAACTCTGGATAGTAATCTCTGCAGTTGCCCAAATGGGAGGAAAAATAATTATCTAGCAATTTTTGGAGCTGACCACCTGGTAAATAAACTACCAGCGTTAAATAAGTATTTTGGAGGTATATTCTTAAGTTTGGGAAGTACTGGTAATTTTCGAAGTGTACTTAGTTGCTTCAGAGAATTAGTGTGTCTCTAAAGTGCTGTGGGACTTAAGGATACCATTCACTATTTCATAGAAAAGAACTTTGGCCAGAAGACTTCTTGGCAAGTTTTAGTCTACTAACTTAAGAACATATTTGTTCTTATGTCCTTTGGTCTGCCTTTTAAAGATGTCTGACTTCATCCTTCCTGGCCCAATAACTATAGGCTAAAGCCAGAAGTTGCCTTTTTAGCCCTGTGTTTCTTGCCACTGTCTTCTCTTATCCTCTTACAGTGTTGCTACTTACTTCCTTATTAATCTCTTTTTATACAATGTATTATTTTGTACTGTAATTATTTGTTTTCGTATCCACCTCTTGGCCATGGGCGTGCAGGGCAAGGTCTGTTTTGTTTAAAGTAATTCCATTACCAAGCAATATGCTTGGCACTTAGTAAACACTCAGTATATGTTTAAATGAATGAACATTCTCATATGTATATACAGGTAATTGACAATTAGAAAAGTAAGAATTTTTTAGTAGTCTAATTTTGTGCATGTATTTAGCTAGTGGCTACTATACTAGGAGCTATGGTCCAAATATCCAAATGGTATTTGCAACTGATGAATGTATGTATATATTTTCCTCCCAAATAAATCTAGGGTTATTTCTTCCACATGATACTCATTCATGAAAGCCCCTAATTACTTAAGGGGAAGATGAAAGTACTATGGTCTGAATGTTGGTGTCCCCTCAAAATTCATGTTGGACATCTCAAAAAAAAAAATATGTGAAAGGAGCCTGCTTGTTACCATGAGAGGACACAGAAGGTACCATCTGTGAAGAATGGGCCCTCACTAGACTCCAAGTTTGCTGATGCTTTAATCTTGAACTTCCCAGCCTGCAGAACTGTGAGCAATACATTTCTGTTTATAGCCGGGCACGGTGGCTCATGCCTGTAATCCCAGCACTTTGGGAGGCTGAGGCGGGCAGATCACGAGGTGGGGAGATGGAGACCATCCTGGCTAACACAGTGAAACCCCGTTTCTACTAAAAATATAAAAAATTAGCCGGGCGTGGTGGCGGGCGCCTGTAGTCCCAGCTACTCAGGTGGCTGAGGCAGGAGAATGACGTGAACCTGGGAGGCGGAGGTTGCAGTGAGCCGAGATTGCGCCACCGCACTCCAGCCTGGGCGGCAGAGCGAGACTCCGTCTCAAAAAAAAAAAAAAGAAAAATTCTGTTTATAAATTGCCTAGTTGGCTGGGCATTGTGGGCTCATGCCTGTCATCCCAGCACTTTAGGAGGCTGAGGTGGGTGGAGCACTTGAGTCCAGGAGTTCGAGACCAGCCTGGACAATGGGGCGAAACTCTGCCTCTACAAAAAAATAAAAAAAATAGCCTTAGTCAGGCATGGTGGTTCACACCTGTCGTCCTACCTACTTGAGAGGCTGAGGTGGGAGGATCACTTGAGCCTGGGAGGTTGAGGCTGCAGTGAGCTATGATCAAGCCACTGTACTCCAGCCTGGGCAACAGAATGAGACCCTGTCTCAAAAAATAAATAAATACTAAATTGCCTAGTCTAAGGTATTTTGTTATAGTAGCCCAAACAGACTAAGAGAGAAAGTTTTCATTTGAAAAAAAGTAGAAGTACCAATATATGTGTATCTTTAATAAATATTAACAAATGTGAAAGTCAACTCCATTTTTACTTACTTTGTCCAGTATGGTCTTATCTTTTTTTTTTTTTTTTTTTTTTTTTTTTTTACTTTGAGAGGAGTTTCGCTCTTGTTGCCGAGGCTGGAGTGCAATGGCATGATCTCGGCTCACCACAACCTCCGCCTCCTGGGTTCAAGCTATTATCCTGCCTCAGCCTCCTGAGTAGCTGGGATTACGGGCATGTGCCACCACACCTGGCTAATTTTGTATTTTTGGTAGAGACAAGGTTGCTCCATGTTGGTCAGGCTGGTCTCGAACTCCTGACCTCAGGTAATCCGCCCCTGGGATTACAGGTGTGAGCCGTCAGGCCTGGCCCAGTATGGTCTTACCAAAGGGATAATCTGAACACAGATCTCAGAGTCAGACTTTTTTTAAAATTCACTTTCATTCTTTTAAAATAAAAATAAGCGTATTATTGCATTATGACAGTATAGAAAGTAGAGAAAAGAAAATTATTAGTATTTATTTTGTTTTTCTTATGTGTATGAATTTTTATATAGCTACAGTCAGACTCATTGTAAAATTCTGATTTCTTTGACATTACATCAGAAGCATTTTTCACATTTATATATTGCTTTTATAACCATCACTTTGGTTTTTTTGGTTTTTATTGTTCCCGCCACCCCCGAGATGGAGTCTTGCTCTGTCACCCAGGCTGGAGTGCAGTGGCGCAATCTCGACTCACTGCAGCCTCCGCCTCCCGGGTTCAAGTGATTCTCCTGTGTCAGCCTCCCAAGTAACTGGGATTACAGGCACGCGCCACCACGCCTGGCTAATTTTTGTATTCTTAGTAGAGATGGGCTTTCACCATGTTGGCCAGGCTGGTCTTGAACTCTTGACCTTGTGATCCACCCGCCTTGGCCTCCCAAAGTGCTGGGATTACAGGCGTGAGCCACCCCGCCCGGCCCTTGTTTTTTATTAAGACAGGGTTTTGCTCTGTCACCCAGGCTGGAGTGCAGTGGCATGGTCATAGCTCACTGTAGCCTCAACCTTCCAGGATCAGACAATCCTCCCACTTCAGCCTCCTGAGTAGCTGGGACTATAGGTGCATGCCACCACACCAGGCTAATTTTTTTATTTTATTTTTTTAGAGATGGAGGTCTCACTATGTTGCCCAGACTGGTCTTGAATTCCTGAGCTGAAGCAATCCTCCCACCTCAGCCTCCTGAAGTGCTGGGATTACAGGCATGAGCCACTGTGCCTGGCCATAACCATAATTTTTTAAAAAACATTTGTTTATTGTATTATATTGTATTATAGTATATTACATATATATTTTTTGAGATGGAGTCTTGCTTTATTGCCCAGGCTGGAGTGCAGTGGCGTGATCTCAGTTCACTGCAACCTCCGTCTCCTGGATGGATTCAAGCGATTCTCCTGCCTCAGCCTCCTGAATACCTGGGATTACAAGCACCCACTACCGTGCCCAGCTAATAACCATCACTTTGGATGCCTAATATTTCACAAACATCCAACAATAAGAGAATGGTTACCTTGGCACTATTTTTTTGTTAAAAATTAATGCTGTTTTTATTTAATAAATATATTTTGTGTGTGTATAGCTTTAGGTACTAGTAATATTTTCTATATATGCCTTTATTTCCTTCGTCTAGTTTATCATAAGTGTAACTACTGGTCAGAGAATATGGATTTTTTTTGTTGTTGTTGTTGTTGATATGGAGTTTTGCTCTTGTTGCCCAGGCTGGAGTGCAATGGCGTGATCTTGGCTCACTGCAACCACCGCCTCCCGGGTTCAAGCAATTCTCCTGCCTCAGCCTCCCGAGTAGCTGGGATAACAGGCATGCACCACCATGCCCAGCTAATTTTGTATTTTTAGTAGAGATGGGGTTTCTCCATGTTGGTCAGGCTGGTCTCAAACTCCTGACCTCAGGTGATCCACCCTTGGCCTCCCAAAGTGTTGGGATTACAGACGTGAGCCACCACGCCCAGCCAAGAGTGTGGATATTTTAATGGCTGTTGATACACATTGAGATCAGGAGATTTTTTTTTTTTAAGCTGTGGCTCAGAAGCACATGTATTAGTTGTTTCACCTCTGAAAGAAAGAGCACATTAAGATGGAACTTAAAATTAGATCCATATTCAGAAACATGTAAATTTTTCTGCAAGTGGGAAAGGTCTAAGTAGTCTTGGCTTTTTTCCTAAAGCAAGTAAATGGTAATGGTTTTTCAGTAGTGTTTTTTGGCTTGGGGCCAAAGGTGTAGGACCTTACTCTTTGATCTTATGATTGCATGTCTGAAATTTTCTATGAAGCTTATGTACTGGCTCAGCAGTTGTGTAATATACGTGCAATAGAGATTTCATTAAAAGGGGAAAAAGATAAATTTGAGATTTTTACAGATGAGGTATTTTTAGGGCAATGTTTCTATTAGCTTACTCCGATAAAAATTTGTTGACTTTTATTTTTTAAATAACTTAAAACATAATTGAAGCATGTTCTTAAAACGTTATTGTGCAAGGTGTGAATTTTAAGGAGTCCTATTTGTAAGTTACATTAAGCTTTAGGAAATTTCTTTTGTTGATTCTTTAAAAGGTAACTGTTGGTTGATACTTAAGATACATTAATTTTTCCTGCAGATGTACATTAGAAAAAGACATGGTTGTGAAACAGATTTTACTTGTGTGGAATTGCAGCTGAGTTTTAGTTCCACAGATGTGCTGTCTGCCTGATCTTAAATCGATCTCTTAATTTATCTTTACAAATTTACAAATCTATAGTAGAATGGTAATTTAAGATGGATATTATTACCTTTTCTAATCTCCATGTTATAATAAAAGTCCCTTTTTGTCTAGAGACATGTGTATTTTGCATAGTCATGGATCCCAAATTTTACAATCTCTTTCATCCCCAAATATGCTTGTTTTTATAGTCAAGCAGTAATGGATTCCCATAAGCTTTAGTTGCAAATAAAGTGGCTAAAAGATTTTAAGTACTCTTCCTGAGTATGAGAAGAAAGAAGTGATGATTTTTCAGGAGAGGGAAGTGATGCTGCACTTGTCTTATATTCTCAAGAGTCTTAGTTGTACTCAGATTTTTGTGACATACTTCTGGAAGTCTTGTTGAGTAGTTAGCATTGATACTGTAGCTACAGTATCATGGCTGTTTTTTAGAGATTATATAGTGAGGGGTCAATGGGTGAAAGAATAAGAATAATTGTAAAAGTCTAGAAAATTACAGCACAAAACTTCCCAATGTATTTAAGTTTCACCATTCAATTAGTGTGAATTATTCAATTAGTCTATTATTTTAGACTTATAATTTTCTTCAGAGCGTACTTTATGGATACATGTTAGGAGCTGTTAAATGTAAATGGTCCTATTCCTTTGGCTGTAAACATGCTGTTGTATTTGGTGCAGATTTCTGTCAGTTATTAACAATCATTTGTTCCCTCACATTAAACAAATGTTTAGAATCTGTGATCATTCTCTTCTCCTGGAGTCTAACCTTTTCTACTCTTTTACTTTCCTGTATATTCATCTTGATTTTTAGCACTATCATATCAAAATGTGTTTCATCAGAAGCAGCCTAACTTGGCATATGGTTTTTAGAGTCTGTATGCTAAATATATGTAAAAGATATCTGGGTTTCTTTTCTTTTTTTTTGAGACTGAGTCGCGCTCTATCGCCCAGGCTGGAGTGCACTGGCGTGATCTCGGCTTGCTGCAACCTCTGCCTCCCAGGCTCAAGCAGTTCTCCTGCCTCAGCCACCCAAGTAGCTGGGATTACAGGTGCATGCCACAACACCTGGCTAATTTCTGTATTTTTAGTAGACATGGGGTTTCACCATGTTGGCCAGGCTGATCTTGATCTGCTGACCTCAGGTGATCCTCCTGCCTCAGCCTCCCAAACTGCTGGGATTACAGGCATGAGCCACTGCACCCAGCCGATATCTGGGTTTCTTAAACCCATTTCAGTTATCCAATATCTGAATGTTTTGCCCATTCCTAACATATAGAAACTTTATTATCCATACCCAGCACTAAATCTATCAGATCATTAGACTCCTTGAAGGTTCCTATAACGTCAGAGAAAATAACATTGCCATTTTCTTCCATTCTTATTTATTTTTCTAAGTCCTTTTCTTCTGTGTTAGACTACCCTTATCCAAGAACTAAACTTTTTAAGTAAAGGTGGAAATGTAATTTTTTTCCCCTTCTCTCCTCCATATGAATGTAGACTAGAACTACACTGATAAAAATTTTCTCATTATTCTCAGGGGTGAAATTAAGTTGGCCTACACATCTGTTTTTTAAGGTGTTTATAGAATAGCCAGGGTAAGCATGGCATGTGTAATTTTTTTTTTTTTGAGACTGTCTCTCTCTGTCACCCAGGCTGGAGTGCAGTGGTGTGATCTTGGCTCACTGCAACCTCTGCCTCCCGGGTTCAAGTGATTCTCCTGCCTCAGTCTCCCAAGTAGCTGGGATTACAGGTGCACACCACCACGCCTGGCTAATTTTTGTATTTTTAGTAGAGACGGGATTTCACCATTTGGGTCAGGCTGGTCTTGAACTCCTGACCTCGTGATCCTCCTGCCTCGACCTCCCAAGTGCTGGGATTGCAGGCGTGAGCCACCGCGCCCAGCTGGCATGTGTAATTTTTATTTTATTTTATTGAGACAGTCTTGCTCTGTTGCCCATGCTGGAGTGCAGTGGCACAATCTCGGCTCACTGCAAACTCCACCTCTTGGGCTCATGTGATTCTCCCACCTCAGCCTCCTGGGTAGCTGGGACCACAGGTGCATGCCACCACACCTGGTTAATTTTTTGTAGAAGCAGGTTTTCACCATGGTCTAAAACTTCTGGACTCAAGCGATTCCCCACACTTTGGCCTCCCACAGGTGTGAGCCACCACACCCAACCATAATATTTTTTGAAGATAGAAAGGCTACATATTCACTATTTTGGTTTTTAATTTAAAATTTTATTAATAAAAATTGTATGTATTTAAGGTGTGATGTTTTGATATATATGCACATGCTGAAATGTGCATATATATCAAAAGCTAGTTAACATAATCATCTCATATAGCTGTCTTTTTTTGTGTGGTGAGAACACTTAAGATCTACTCTCTTAGCAAATTCAAGTTTACAATATATTTATCAATTTTAGAATTTAACAGTTGGCCTTACTAAGGTTATCTGTTCATAATTCTCCAAAATGTAACATTTTTTACTTAAGAAAAATCTTTACTTTCTTTTATTTTTTATTTTTTGAGACAGGGTCTCACTGTGTATCCCAGGCTGGAGGGTAGTGGTGTGGTCATGGCTCACTGCAGCCTTGACCTCCTAGGCTCAGGCAATGCTCCTGTCTCAGCTTCCTTAGTAGCTGGGAGTACAGGTGTGCGCCACCATGCCTGGCTAATTTTTATATTATTTGTAGAGACCGGATCTCGCTATATTGCCCAAGCTGCTCTTGAACTTCTAGGCTTAAGCAGCCAGCCTTGGCCTCCCAAAGTGTTGGGATTATAGGCATGAGCCACCAGGCCCAGCCTTGAGTGACTCTCTGTCTATTTATTTATTTGGAGATGGAGTCTCGCTCTGTTGCCCAGGCTGGAGTGCAGTGGTGCGATCTCAGCTCACTGCAACCTCTGCCTCCCGGGTTCAAGCGATTCTCCTGCCTCAGCCTCTGGAGTAGATGGGACTACAGGTGCCAGCCACCTTGCCTGGCTAATTTTTGTATTTTTAGTAGAGACGGGGTTTCGTCATGTTGTCCAGGCTGGTCTTGAACTCCTGACCTCAGGTGATCCCCCCGCCTTGGCCTCCCAAAGTGCTAGGATTACAGATGTGAGCCACCGTGCCCGGCCAGGTGAATGGATGTTTAAAGAACCAGCCTTTCCCATGACAGTGTTAATATTGACAACAAAAAAAGTTGTGTTACTGAATTACGAACTTTAAGCATAAAAACTAGAAGGAAGTAAAGGTACTGGTGCTTGGTTTTTATTTTGTTTACTAATCTCATAAAGTTATTGGAAATGTGATTGATACTCTTGAGCTGAAGCCTGTTTTTTTTTTTTTTTTTTTTTTTTTTTGGAGACAAGGTCTCACTCTGTTGCCTAGGCTGGACTGCAGTGGCATGATCATGGCTTGCTGCAACCTCCAACTCCTGGGCTCAAGGTGTCCTTTTGCCTCAGCCTCCCAAGTGAGCTGAAACCTTTTAACTTTCTGGCTGCTAGTGAAGGCCCAAGGATTATAGAACAAGATTAGTTAGATTTGAATAGTGTTTTATAGGTTATATAATCACTTTGCTTGCATAATGGTTTTACTTACTGTTATTCTGAATTTTTTGTTTGTTTGTTTGTTTGTTTTTTGTTTCTTTGAGACAGGGTCTCACTCTGTCACCCAGGCTGGAGTGCAGTGGTGTGATCGGCTGACTGCAATTTCTGCCTCCCAGCCTCAAGCATCCTCCCGCCTCAGCCTCCCGAGTAGCTGGGATTACAGACGTGCACCACCACACCTGGCTAATTTTTGTATTTTCTATAGCAACAGAGTTTTGCCATTTTGCCCAGGCTGGTCTTGAACTCCTGGGCTCAAATGATCCTCCTGCCTCAGCCTCTCAGGATGTTGGGATTACAGGCATGAGCCATTGCACCCAGCCTGAATGTTTTCATTTTACCTTCATAACCTGACTGTGAAGGATATGTGTTATTTATGTATTCATCAGGAAGCCTAGAATATTTTATATATGTGTGTGTATATATATATGTTTACAACAAGAAAACTAAAAGTTTCATGTGATGTACATAAAACCTCGAGTCTGACAGATTACTATACATCAGGAGTTGACAACCCAAGGATTATGAGCTGTCCTGGAATAGGAGATGATTTTGAGTATCAGTGTTGGATTACTTACTAGAAAAAATGAGAAGTAGATAAAGGTTATCTCTGCTGTCCTTTCACCACTTCTCTTTTCCTTTCTGTTTCTAACTCCTAGATCTTTTCTTTCTTTCTTACAGCTGCTAAAGCATTTGCCAATAATATTTAAATGCCATTCTTTTCATGTTCTTATTTTTTAAAAAGATCTTTAAGATACTCGCTGAGATTAGCAAAAGGGCTGATAGCCATTTTTAGATACTGGTGCCTAGGGAGAGGTGTCTTGAGGAGAGGAGAAAGTTTTTCCATCACTTCCCTTCCTTTTGCTCATTAATCACCTGGAACAGATAGTTCCTGAAGGTGTTATTGACAGTGCTTCTATAGCTGGGAGCCAAACAGCAACTTAGGGGTCAGTTGCCACTCTTTGCCTGTTATCATTGAGAGAACAAATAAATGTAGAGCTCGCCCAAGATCCTTGATATATTTAGAACCTCAAAAATAGAAGACATACTAGTCATTTTGTAGAAATAAATGCAAAAGGAAAATCTCGCAGTATGTATATGTTTATTATAAAAGTTGCCTGTGTTTGTGGTCACTTTTTAGAATAGAGTTTTGATTTCTCGTTTTCCAAAATAAGGGTGACTTCATTAATAACACTACTGTTTGATAAAAAGTGTTTTTTAAAATTTTTGTTTTCTCTTTGTCTAACTAGAT
Organism: Homo sapiens; assembly: GCF_000001405.40. Taxonomy (NCBI): domain Eukaryota; kingdom Metazoa; phylum Chordata; class Mammalia; order Primates; family Hominidae; genus Homo; species Homo sapiens. Next base: position 146,218,987 of record NC_000005.10, read on the forward strand.
GTGATGCTGATCCTTCAGCCTTAGCCAACTATGTTGTAGCACTGGTCAAGAAGGACAAACCTGAGAAAGAATTAAAAGCCTTTTGTGCTGATCAACTTGATGTCTTTTTACAAAAAGGTAATTATTATGGGCCTTCAATCGAGTATTGAAGTAAAGATTTTAAGTTTAAAACTTCCTGAAAAGTCTTGGAGATATAAGCTTGATAGGAAAGAAAGTAGTCAGAGTCCTTTGAATACTTGAATATACCCATTCATACTTAATTATTTATCATGTTTTGTTAGAACTGGTTTTTTCCCTTTCCTTCTTTGCTGCTTTCCTCTATTGAGGCAATGGCAGCTCTAATGCTTTTTAGATGATTAGGTCTTTTGCAGCTTTTGACAGAGCCTACTTGATGATTGAGGGGTAACAGTTTAAGGATAATGAAGATGCTTATTCTTGGTGTTCATTAAGATGATGAGCTCATCAGTTTTTTTCCCCCCTTGGATGGGGCTTCTTAATATCCAAGAAGAGATGTGTATGATCCTCTTCTCTTTGTGCCTTTAACTTTTCATCTTCTTACCAAATCTGTTTCCATGGTCTACAGAGCTTCCTAAGGTTTCCCCTGTTGCCTCTCTGACCTTATCTCCTATCATTGCCCCTCACTTGTTCCACTCTAGCCACAACGACCACCTGTTTTTTGAATTATGGCAAACATGTTCCCAACTCAGGCCCTTTGAACTCATTTTACCCTTGCCTGAAACATGGATTCTTCTCTCGCTTCTTTCTGGTCTCTTCAAATGTCATCTTCTGAAAGCAGTTTCCCCTGAGTGCTCTACATACAGTGTAGTATACTCCATGCCTCCATCCACTCTCCTCCTTCCAACCCTGTTTTGTTTTATTTTTCTTTTTTATTTATTTATTTTTATATCTATGTATTTTTATTTTTGTAGTGTTGGGGTCTCACTTTGTTGCCCAGGCTGATCCTTGAACTTCTTGCCTCAAGCAACTGCCCCACCTTGGCATCCCAAAGTGCTGGGATTACAAGGCATGAGCCCCTGTGCCTGACTCCTGTTTTGTTGTTTTCATGGCACTTGTCACCACCTGTCATAGGTTTATTTGCCTGGTTATCTGTCTCTCTACCCTTTGTTTGCCTTTTGTTTGGTTGAGAGTGGAGACTTGGAACCTACAGTACTTGGTACATGGAAGATGTTCAGTAAATATTGTTAAATGGGCCAGGCGCGGTGGCTTACGCCTGTAATCCCAGCACTTTGGGAGGCCGAAGCGGGTGGATCATGAGGTCAAGAGATCGAGACCATCCTGGCCAACACGGTGAAACCCCATCTCTACTAAAAATACAAAATTAGCTGGGCGTGGTGGCGTGTGCCTGTAGTCCCAGCTACTCGGGAGGCTGAGGCAGGAGAATTTCTTGAACCCAGGAGGCAGAGGTTGCAGTGAGCCAAGATCGCGCCACTGCATTCCAGAATGGGCGACTGAGCGAGAGTCCATCTCAAAAAAAAAAAAAAAATATATATATATATATATATGTATGTATAGTTGAATGGATGAATAGGAATGTGAATAATACACATTTATCAGTTGATTTAGCTATTGGTGATGAGAAGATATCATTTAAAATAAGTATTTACTGAGAAGGAGAAAAGTAAGTATGGCTTCTCAATCTAAAACATAGGATTACATATTTTTTCCTACATTTTACAGCTCTTTTTGTAGAAACAAAGCAATACTGACAGAATTTTTTCCCAGTACAACAGCTACTTAAAAAATTCCTCCCCAGTACAGATGTTTTCTTTTCTAAATGTGTTAATTTACATTACTTGATTTACATTAAAGATGAGTCTTGTGAAATGTAGAGCCATGACAAAAGAGAAAGCAAAACATATTTGGGGTAAAAGGCCAAATGAATGTTTAGACGTCCAAGAATTCTTTGTTATAAAAAGTTAGAAAGGATTGGCCAGGCGCGGTGGCTCATGCCTGTAATCCCAGCACTTTGGGAGGCCGAGGCGGGTGGATCATGAGGTCAGGAGATTGAGACCATCCTGGCTAACAGGGTGAAAACCCAGTCTTTACTAAAAAAACACAAAAAAATTAGCCGGGCATGGTGGTGGGCGCCTGTAGTCCCAGCTACTCGGCAGGCCTGGACGACAGAGCAAGACTCCATCTCAAAAAAAAAAAAAAGTTAGAAAGGATTTTAGTAATTAAAAAAAAAATTACATAGGTAATATATATGAGAAGGAACTATACACTACATTTTTAAAAGGATAAGAAAATAAGTAACCATAAATTTGCCACCAGAGATAAAATCACTGTTATCAGCTTGTGTGTGTCTTTCTAGACTAGCACTGTCCAATAGAACTTTGTGCATATGGTCTATATCTGTACTTTCCATTTCAGTAGCCATTAGCCACATGTGGCTTTTGAGCACTTGATATCTGGTAAATAGGCCAGAGAAATTGATTTTTTTTTTGAGACAGAGTTTCGCTCTTGTTGCCCAGGCTGGAGTACAGTGGTGCAATCTCAGCTCACTGCAACCTCTACCTGCTGGGCTCAAGCAATTCTCCTGCCTCAGCCTCTCGAGTAGCTGGAATTATAGGCATGTACCACCACACGTGGCTAATTTTTGTATTTTTAGTAGACAGGGTTTCACCATGTTGGCCAGGCTGGTCTCAAACTCCTGGCCTCAAGTGATCCACCTGCCTCGGCCTCCCAAAGTGCTGGGATTACAGGCGTGAGCCACTGTGCCTGGCCAGAAATTGATTTTTAAATTTAATTTTAATTAATTTAAACTCAAATTTAAAGAGCTACATATGGCTAGTGGCTACTATATTGGACAGTGCAACTGTAGACTTATGTCTGTGTTTATATTGCATCTTAAAATAGTATTAAGTGAACATACTCTTTTATAATAACATTTTAAAAATTTAATAGTGTACCTTGAATATTGTTTTTATTTTTATTTATTTTTAATTTTTCCCAAACTCTTTGGTTTCCCAGAGAATATTGTTTAATAGTAGATGTTTATCTTTGCTTTTTAAAAATTGAGCTATGTGTCTTTCAGATTACAAAAGAAAATAACATGTTATAAATTGTTTTAAATAATAATTATAAGTGAAAGTATTCTGATTATAGAGGCTTTTGAAGGGTCTGATTATTGTCTTAAGTTTATATGTAATAGTCAATGAGAGCTAACAGTTTTATAATCGTGGAAAAATGCTTACTACACAAATTAGTAGTGTAAAGAAATTTATAAGAAGATGCTTTTCTGTAGAAAAGATAACATTTTAGAAATAGCTTTTATGTAAAAGATGTAATCATTGCAATGTAAGCAGAGTTTGTGTTGTGCTTTTAATATGCTCTTTAGCTGTTCCTTAGGGTAGGACCAATCAAAGTTATTTAGATTTGGTTTTAATAAGACATAGGCTGGATGTGGTGGCTCATGCCTGTAATCCCAGCACTTTGGGAGGCCGAGGCAGGCAGATCACCTGAGGTCAGGTGTTCAAGACCAGCTTGGCCAACATGGTGAAACCCTGTCTCTACTAAAAATACAAAAATTAGCTGGGCGTGGTGGCACATGCCTGTAATCCCACCTACTCAGGAGGCCGAGGCAGGAGAATCACTTGAACCCAGGAGGTGGAGGTTGCTGTGAGCTGAGATCGCACCACTGCACTCCAGCCTGGGCAACAGAGCAAGATTCTGTCTCAAAAACAAACAAACAAAAAAAAGCAGTATAAATATTTGACGTTAATACTTTTACTAAATTCATCTGGTTCTCCCATTCAGTTGTCTGAGGAAGTTTCAAACAGAGCACCCTTTAAGTAAAACACAAAAAGTTAGTTTCATGTCATTTTCATATCAGTAAATATTTAACTGATTAAAAAAAATTTTCGGTTAAGTTTTTTGAGTTGGCAGTGCCTTTAATCCAACAATATAAAGGTATACCATGAAAGTCTCTTACCTGTTTTATATCCACCGCGTTCCCACCTAGAGTACACAATTTTGTCAGTTTTTATTTTTTTCAGTTTCTTTATGCAGATAGATAGAAACACATATAAATACATACTGTTATATCTTTGAGATCAGGTATTATCAGTATTCTTTCTTTTTATAGCCGCTGTGTACTCTGTTGTATAGATGTCCCATAGTTTATTTAACTAGTCTCTTATTCATGGAAATTTGAGTTGTTTCCGATCGTTTGCTATTATATCCTCCAACAAATAATCTTACATATATATCATTTTGCAAGTAGGTCAGAAGGATTTAAAAACCTGAAAGTGGGATTCTCTTCCATAAGGTAGGACTCATTTTTAGTCCTACTAGCAGTGTACAAGATGTCCTGTTTTCCTGAGCTTTGCTGACAATGTGTTGTCAAATTTTTGTTTTTTGTTTGCGCAATATGTAAATGTTATTTCTTCTCCTTAGAAACTTCAGGTTTTGTGGACAAACTATTTGAAAGTCTCTATACTAAGAACTACCTTCCACTTTTGGAACCAGTAAAGCCTGAGCCAAAACCACTAGTCCAAGAAAAAGAAGAAATTAAAGAAGAGGTAATGCAAATTTTTTCTCCTGCTTTTGGGGGCTTCTTAGATCCTGTCACCAGTATCCTTAGTTGGAAGTTGAGCCTTTTAAAAGTAATTGTGTATTGATTCAAGTTTCCGGATTTTAGGCATGGTACAGATTCTTCATCAGGATTTCATAGTTGCTTGGACTGAAGAGTTGAAAAGTTTCAGATAGCTTGTTTAGAGATCCAAGAAATATTTCAGAAATATTGAGGAAGTCAGAGAAATCTTATCTAGTGACTTTTAGAAAAAGAAAACTTGGTTAAATATAGAGAGATTGACTGAAAGTGAACTGTTAACAAATCCTCAAGAGAAATCATTAGGTAACACATTTTCATGTATATGGAGAAACCAGTTGCACTTTTTGATTATATAGAGTTTTAAAAAATAGTTAATGTAATTGTGAACATCACTGTCAACATTGGAAAGAGGATTTTAAAAATGTTTTTATAATATTGAAGTATGAAAACATGGTTATAGATGGTAACCTAATTGTTTGAACCAAGAAGGAAATTTTACAGAGTTCTTTGTACTTCCTGTTATATACAGACAATATAGTATAGAAGAATGTGGATTCTGTAATCAGGTTGCATGAGTTAAAATAACAGCTCTACAAGTTAACTTCTCTGTCTCACTTTGATATCAGTAAAATGAGGATCAGAGTAGTACTTATTGAGGATTAAGTGAGATTATGTATGTATGTGTGTATATATATATATAGTTTCTAGTCCAGTGCCTGGCACATAAATGTTGGTTATCATGCAGAAATATTTCCCAGTATTTATTTTTATTACATTTATTCTGAAGGTAAAATGAATTTTTAATTTAGAAATAATTTTAAACAAATAAAAATTACAAGAGGCTGGGCATGGTGGCTCATGCCTGTAATCCCAGTACTTTGGGAGGCTTAGGTGGGCGGATCACCTGAGGTCAGAAGTTTGAGATCAGCCTGGCCAACATGGGAAACCCTGCCTCTACTAAAAATACAAAATATTAGTTGGGCGTAGTGGCAGGCATCTGTAATCCCAGTTACTTGGGAGGCTGAGGCAGGAGAATCGCTTGAACCCGGGCAGTGGAGGTTGCAGTGAGCCGAGATCATACTGTTGCACTCCAGCCTGGGCAATAAGAGCAAAACTTTGCCTCAGAAAGAAAAAAAAAAATTACGAGAATAATACCCAAAACACCCATATGACGTCTATCTAGATAAACTTTTCTTTTCGATGGAGTTGGAGTCTCCTTATGTTGCCCAGGTTGGTCTCGAACTCCCACCTCTGCCTCCCAAAGCTCTGGGGTTATAGGTGGTCTAGATATACTTACTGAAAATTTGCCCCATCTGCTCTCTTTAAATATCCATATGATTTTTTTCTCAGTAATTTGAGTAGTGAGTCACATACTTCATGTCTTTTCACCCCTAAGTAAAGTACTTCAGTGTGTATTTCCTACATATAAGGAATATTCTCTTAGGTAACTATGATACTGTGATCAAGTTCAGTAAATTTAACATCCATATAGTACTTTAATGTATTATCTGTGTTCAGTTTTATCAATTGATCAAGCAATGTCCTTTTTTTATTTCCTTTTAAAAAAGTTTTTTGTTGTTGTTAAAGAGACAGGGTTTCACTATGTTGCCCAGGCTGGTCTTGAACTCCTGAGCTTAAGCGATCCTCCTGACTTGGCCTCCCGAAGTGCTGGGAGTACAGGCATGAGCCACTGCACCGAGTCCCAAGTGTTTCTTTTTTATAGCATGTTCTTTTCCTCTCCATTTTCAGGATTGATTCTAAGGATTAGGTATCATTTAGTTATCATTTCCGATTCATTTTTAAATGCTAGGCTGATTGACCTGATCCAACATTAAAAGAAAAAATGTGGCTATATTTATGAAGATCAACTGAGACTGCTGTCTGTTTTTTCTTTTTATATCATGCCCTGTAATTATCTCATCAAGTTCTTTCAAAATTGGAGAGGCTTGTTGAATGTGTCTTAAAGTACTGGAAATAGGAAGAAGCCTTTCTGTTTTTTACCTTTCTGTTTTTTTTTTTTTTTTTGAGACGGAGTCCGCTCCATCGCCCAGGTTGGAGTGCAGTGGTGCCATCTCAGCTCACTGCAACTTCCACCTCCTGGGTTCAAGCGATTCTCCTGCCTCAGCTTCCTAAGTAGCTGGGATTACAGGCATGTGCCACCATGCCTGGCTGATTTTTGTATTTTTAATAGAGATGGGGTTTCACCATATTGGCCAGGCTGGTCTTGAACTCCTGACCTCGTGATCCACCCACCTTGGCCTTCCAAAGTGCTGGGATTACAGGGGTGAGCCACAGCAGCTGGCCACCTTTCTGGTTTTTTTTAGACAGAGTCTCATTCTGTCACCCAGGGTGGAGTGCGGTGGCGCGATCTCGGCCCATTGCAACCTCTACCTTTCAGGTTCAGGCGATTATTCTGCTTCAGCCTCCTGGGTAGCTGGGATTATAGGCCCTGTCACCAAGCCTGCCTAATTTTTTTTTTTTTTTTTTCAGTAGAGACGGGGTTTCACCAAGTTGGCCAGGCTGGTCTTAAACTCCTGACCTCAAGTGACCTGTTTGCCTCGGCCTCCCAAAGTGCTGGGATTATAGGCATGAGCCACTGCGCCAGGGCTGGAAGAAAACTTTCTTGAGTACTTTCATAGACATTTTTCTTTGGTACTTTATAGTATATAATTTTTGGTCTATGGTATAGATTATGTTTTTTATAAGTTAAAATTTTTTGTAACGTGTTTTTTACAGTCATTGAATCTCAGTGGTTTAGATGTATCTGTTTGAGAGGCAGCTGATTTGAATATGAGAGAAAATTTGCATTATCTTGAGTTTATTTATTTATTTTTTTGAGATGGAGTTTCATTCTTGTTGCCCAGGCTGGAGTGCAATGGTGTAGTCTCAGCTTACTGCCACCTCCACCTCCTGGATTCAAGCGATTCTCCTGCCTCAGTCTCCCAAGTAGCTGGGAATACAGGTGCCCACCACCACTCCTGGCTAATTTTTTTGTATTTTTAGTAGAGATAGAGTTTCACCATGTTGGCCAGGCTGGTCTTGAACACCTGACCTCAGGTGATTCACCTGCCTTGGCCTCGCAAAGTGCTGGGATTACAGGTGTGAGCCACTGCACCCAGCCTGTCTTGAGTTTTAAAAGAACAGTTTTAAAAAAAAACAAAACTGTTATACTATCTTGTTTGTATCTTTGTAGATACAATTTTGAGAATTGTGAAAAATGGATAATGCCAGTTTCTGTGTAGAGCTACCCCCAACTGACAGCTTTCCGGCGTTTCTCATTTTCTAAGTTTTAGAAAATTACATAACTTATCGTAATTACTGAAATAAATTGTAGTTCATTTAGTAGTGCATAAACATAATTGTTTATAGTATTTCTGTTAGATAATAGAGTAGGAAAGGAGTCTGAGGTGGCACACATCTTTGGCTAATTGTCTTTTTCTGGTCTGTGCTTAGTTGCTCTGAACAGGGTATAGAGAAGCAAATCTAGGGATTACCCATTTTAACTTTCTTCCTTGGTCTTCGGCTACATTGGGTTCCATTAGTGGTTTTCTAATTAGACTGTTGATCACCAGGGTAAGAGAATTTGGATCATTGGCACCAACTCATCCTGCTTCTGGAAAAACAACTTGGTAGACATGTGCCATGATTTATGAAGCACACTGCCTTCATTGCCTGTTTTCTTTACCTCATCTTTTTCCTTAAATTTTATTTTGTGAAGAAATTCAATCATTTGTCCTGTAGAGTTTTTTACTGTCTGGATTTTGCTGTCTGCATCCCAGTGGAATAATACATCCTCTGTATTTCCTGTGAATTAGGATAGAGAATGTTTTTTAAATGTAGTCTAGTGAGTGTGTAGTGATTTTGCTGCCATATGGTTGCCATATTGTGGCTGCCGTTTTATGTTGCCTGAATTTTATTAAATTATTATCTCCTAAGTCCATTCACTCACTTCCTGATTTGTGTATTTGTCAGTGAGCTTCTCCATTAGATAGGTATTTGTTTAACTCTTGCAAATAACTTTATTTCACCTTTCTCTGGTAAAGACTATATATTCGGTTTGAGATAAACTTGTTCAAAGACAATAATAAAAATTACTGGTTCTCCAGGAGGCAGAGGTTGCTGTGAGCTGAGATAGCGCCACTGCACTCCAACGTGGGCGACAGAGTGAGACTCGGTCTCCAAAAAACAAAAGAATAAAATAAAAAAATAAAAATTACTGTTCTCTTTGTATTTCTGGTCAATTTTGACGGTTAGGCTTTAAGAGAAAGCCTTAACATTTCCATTAGTTCCAATACCATTTTTCCATAGTTTACATGAATTACTTAGTTTTATAGCATTCATTGATTTAACCATTTTTTCCTAAAACGTTTCCTATGGAATAAATCTGAAGAGCTACTCAAATGAATTATGTATGTATATATATTTCATAATGAGGAAAACATAACCGTTTTACTCTATGGTACTTAAGAGATTTGCTGTTTTAATTTGAAGAATGAATTGTTTATACTTTTCCTACACTACCATTCCCTACTTTAACATTAAAAAATTAACAAACTGCTTGTTGAAGTAATCTGAGCATCTTTTTTATTTCTGCTGTTGCCTGACTCTTTTGGCTATGAATTGACTTTATTTTTTCAGTGTATTTACTCGTGCCCTCTCTTGCGCCAGAAATATTATCAGGTAGATGGACATGTTTCATAATTTATAGAGGGACCATTCTTTCTTTTTTTTTTTTTTTTTTTTGAGACAAAGTCTCGTGTTGCCCAGGCTGGAGCGCAGTGGCGTGATCTCGGCTCACTGCAACCTCTGCCTCCTGGGTTCAAATGATTCTCCTGCCTCAGCCTCCCGAGTAGCTGGGACTACAGGCACGTGCCACCACACGTGGCTAATTTTTGTATTTTTAGTCGAGACAGGGTTTCACCATGTTGGCCATGCTGGTCTCAAACTCCTGACCTCAAGTGATCTGCCCGCCCCGGCCACCCAAAGTGCTGGGATTATAGGTGTGAATCACTGCGCCCGGCCGAGAGGGACCATTCTTATTTTGTTTTTTGTTTGTTTTTGAGAAAGGTCTCACTCTGTCATCCAGCCTGTGGTGCAGTGGTGTGATCATGGCTTAATGCAGCCTCAAACTTCTGGGTTCAAGCAGTCCTCCCATATTGGCCTCCTGAGTAGCTGGGACTACATACAGGTGCATCCCACCATGCCCAGCTAACTTATTTTATTTATTATTTTTAGTAGAGATGGAGTCTCCCTGTGTTTCCCAGGCTGGTCTCAATATCCTGGCCTCAAGCAGTCTTCCCACCTGGACCTCGTAAAATGTTGGGATTACAGGTGTGAGCCACCGTGCCTGGCCCTGCTCTTACTTCTACTCAATATTTTCATATAGGTATTTCAGGAGCCAGCAGAGGAAGAACGAGATGGCAGAAAAAAGAAATATCCTAGTCCCCAGAAGACTCGTTCAGAATCTAGTGAACGAAGGTTTGTGTTTATCTTTAATTAGGAAGACATTGATAACTCACTTTTTAGTTGCCTTGCAAGGACATTAAAGGGATTTTTAATATATATACTTACTCCTCTCTCTGTAAACTCATTAAAGAAAGATGTTACCTTTCTTCCTTTCATTCTTTCTGTTTTTTGTCTTTTGTCTTACTTTCTGTTCCTTTTATAAACAGTCATTATTATGTGTTTTCCCCAAGAGCTCAGGGGTGGGAGCAGTCCCCTTAGAGAATATTAATGAAATGTTCCATTTGGTTAGGGGTGCTTAGTATTAAAATCATCCAAGTCATTTTTTTATGACAAGTAGTACAACTTGTATATTGAATCATCAGCCTAACATCAAAAATTGGTCTTTGTTTAGGAACACTTTTTTTTGAGCCTTTTTTCTTTTCTATTTCAAATTTTCTGTTTTCCCCTGCCCACCCCTCCCCATACTTTGGATTCACCTCTTTTTTTCATTTCTCCCCACCCAGTATAATTGCAGGAGGGATGTTTTTTCTCTGTATATATTTGATTAGAGGAATTATGTGGTAGATTTGCAACTTTCTAAAAAAGCATAGATATGCATTTGGATGACTCAAGAGTAGTATTTATACTATAGATTTGTTTGCAGACTTGGTTTCTATAGCCTGCATATGGCTTTTATATCTGTATATTATAGGACACGTGAGAAAAAAAGAGAAGACGGGAAATGGAGAGACTATGACCGGTACTATGAGCGGAATGAATTGTACCGTGAGAAGTATGACTGGAGAAGAGGCAGGAGTAAGAGTCGGAGTAAGAGTCGAGGCCTGAGTCGCAGTAGAAGCCGAAGTAGGGGGCGCAGCAAAGACCGGGATCCAAATAGGAATGTTGGTGAGTAGATGAGTGTCCCCCTAAAAACTCTGTAGTTATTTATCTGTCTCTATCACAGGGGTGCAAGAAATTCTCTTAAAGTTGTACCTTTAATATGTCTGAGCAGTGTAAAAACTGGAATTGTCTCAAGAAGCTCAATATCCATTTTGTTAGAAAACAGGGCTCTATTCTGGGGATGGAGTCAAGGGAGTTTGATTAAAAAGGAGCTATTCAAGTGTATCATTGTACATGTCTAGACTTAACTCATTTTGTATAATGGATACAAATATCCTTTAATCAATAAAGCTATCACGTGAGGAAGAGGGTTGCCTGCTTTTCTTCTTTGTTTGGTTTTCTAAAAGTAATTGATTTGCTGTAAGGGTGCTTGAAGTTTATAAAATTAAATGGATAAAATAAGTAGATTATTGGGATCCCAACCACTCATCTTCTGAGATACAAGTTTGGAAGTCAGTTCTTAGATAACCTTCTTATTAAATATCTGTGGAGAAGCTGACTCTTTTTCAGTTAAGTGTAACTGATGTTGATACTATAAAAGATGATTTTGCACAAGTTCTTGCCCAAGATATGTCACTTGTTGATGTCCCTGCTTTTAGGATATATTAATAAAGAGAGGAGTATGAAATATGGATAGCTAGATAAGTTTAATTCAACATTCTCATGTTTTCTATGTGAGAAAATAAATATAGTTTAAGAACATGAAATATCTGATCTCTTTGTTTTCTGTTTTTAATTTTGTCTCCAAGTAGAGCACAGGGAAAGATCGAAGTTTAAGAGTGAAAGGAATGACCTGGAGAGTTCCTATGTGCCTGTGTCTGCACCACCTCCAAACTCTTCTGAGCAGTATTCCTCTGGGGCACAGTCTATTCCCAGCACTGTTACTGTGATCGCACCTGCTCACCACTCTGAAAACACAACTGAGAGTTGGTCTAATTACTATAACAATCATAGCTCTTCCAATTCTTTTGGTCGAAACCTACCACCAAAGAGGCGATGCAGAGATTATGATGGTAAAAATCACCACCTTTTCTCATATTGTGCCCAAAAGTACTAGCAGAGCAAATGTTGCATATATTGCATATCTTTTAGTTATAGTCCAGTTTATTTTATTTTATCTTATTTTATTTATTTTGAGACAGAGTCTTGCTCTGTCACCCAGGATGGAGTGCAGTGGCTCGATCTTGGCTCGCTGCAACCTCCATCTCCCGGGTTCAAGCGATTCTCCTTCCTCAGCCTCCCAAGTAGCCTCCCAGGTAGGCACCAACTCATGGGGAATGTTGTTTAATCTACACTCCCACTGACTTCTATGGCCTGTATTATTTCAAGCAAGTCACACACAGGCATGTGCCACCATGCCTGGCTAACTTTTGTGTTTTTAGTAGAGACAGGGTTTCACCATTTTGGTCTGGCTGGTCTCGAACTCCTGACCTCAGGTGATCTGCCTGCCTCGGCCTCCCAGTGTGCTGGGATTATAGGTGTGAGCCACCGCACCATGCCTATAGTCCAAATTTTGTTAAAAGGGATGAATGGGGAGGAGAATCTCTGTTTGATTTAATGGTTTGGCTCTCATTAAGAGAATATTTAAATTTTACCCTTTTTTAGATTTTTTTTGTTTTTTTGTTTTCACTGTTATTTCAAACACTGTATGCCATAGTATACTGTAAAATTTCATAGACACTAGTAATTGTAATTTTTTAAAAGAATTTTATTTATTTATTTATTTATTTTTGGAGACGGACTTGCTCTGTCCCCCAGGCTAGTGTGCAGTGGCACAATCTCGGCTCACTGCAGCCTCTGACTCCCAAGTTGAAGCGATTTTCCTGCCTCAGCCTCCCAAGTAGCTGGGATTATAGGCGTGAGCCACCATGCCCGGCTAATTTTTGTATTAGTAGAGACGGGGTTTCACCATGTTGGTCAGGCTTGTCTGGAACTCCTGACCTCAGGTGATCCACCTTCCTCAGCCTCCCAAAGTGCTGGGATTACAGGTGTGAGCCACCATGCCCAGCCAGGAATTGTCATTTTTTTGAGTAGTGTTTGCTGCCGGGAATTTGTAGAAGTTACTTACAAGTTTGATTTGCTGACTTTCCATTTGAATGAATGAATCGGTATGTGTGTATTTCTTTTAAATTTTTATTATGGAAGTATTTATATATTCATAAAAGCTGACAAAATGATATGCTTAACCCCAGTGTATCCGTTACATCATTTAAATAGGCACCAACCCATGGGGAATGTTGTTTTAATGTATGCTCCCACTCACTTCTGTGGCCTGTATTATTTCAAGCAAGTCACAGACATCATAATTTTTTTCTATAAATACAGAATGCATACGTTTTTACATTTTACTTATTTTAAAGTAGGGAATAGAGTCAAATTATAATTCAAGAATTACCTCATTCTCGCCCTAATCTCTCAGCCATAGAATACTCCTTGCCAAGGCCAACGTAATGTTATCAATTTGTTGTTTATCTTTCCAAACATAATCTGTGCGTATGTACATAAGTAAATACACATATTTTCCCCACATTTTTAACATAAATACTAGTATGCTACTCATACTTCTGCATAATGTTTTTTCAGTTAGCAGTATTTCCTGGCGTTCATCCTATGTTAAAACATAGAGAGCTTTCTCAGTATTTATTTAGGCTTCTTAGTATTCTTTTTTTTCTCTTTTTTTTTTGAGATGGAGTCTCGCTCTGTCACCAGGCAGGAGTGCAGTGCCATGATCTCAGCTCACTGCAACCTCTGCCTCCTGGGTTCAAGTGATTCTCCTGCTTCAGCCTCCTGAGTAGCTGGGACTACAAGCGCGTGCCACCACGCCCAGCTAATTTTTGTATTTTTAGTAGAGACGGGGTTTCACCATGTTGGTCAGGATGGTCTCAGTTTCTTGACCTCGTGATCTGTCTGCCTTGGCCTCCCAAAGTGCTGATATTACAGGCGTGAGCGACTGCGCCCAGCCCTGCTTCTTAGTATTCTTTATGTACAAACGTGTTTAACTTATTCCTTATTGATGTATGTTTGGGATGTTTCTATTATTTTTCTACTATGTACAGTGCTACAAGTGATAACCTGGTACATAATGTTCACGTGAATATTTGAAAGTTTCAACTTCCAGATATAGCAATAATGGTTGCTTTAGAATAATGTAATGAGAATAGATTGAGAGTAAATAATCTAGGTCAATGCCCTTATTCTCCCCTACCCCACGCCTTTGCTAAATTGATATTTGTTTAAAATATCTGAGTTTTTATTATGAAAGCTTAATTGCAAATGGTTTAGTATAATGGTAGTTGGTAACCTGTTCTTGACTCTTTTATTTGCTTTCTCAACAAGTCATAGTATCATAGTGTAAAAAGTAGAGAGTACATCTGCCTCTACCTTGGGGATATGTGATGCTTAACAGAGTAACACTGAGACTTTGGATTCCTTGGAGAAAACCACTTTGTAAATGAGATTGGTGGGTTTTTCAGGGACATGTTTTGTTGTTTTCTGAACTCTAAGTAGATGATAATAAGATTCTTTTTTTATTCTTTATTCCACAGAAAGAGGATTTTGTGTACTTGGTGACCTTTGTCAGTTTGATCATGGAAATGATCCCCTAGTTGTTGATGAAGTTGCTCTGCCAAGTATGATTCCTTTCCCACCCCCTCCTCCTGGGCTTCCTCCTCCACCACCTCCTGGAATGTTAATGCCTCCAATGCCAGGTCCAGGCCCAGGCCCGGGCCCAGGTCCAGGCCCAGGCCCGGGCCCAGGTCCAGGTCCTGGCCATAGTATGAGACTTCCTGTTCCCCAAGGACATGGTCAGCCTCCACCATCCGTTGTGCTTCCCATACCAAGTAAGTATATATTTGTTGAATTTTTCTCTAGCGTTCTGTTTAGAAGAACCTCATCCCTTTTAGCTAACTTGACACTCGTTTAAAGTGTTTGAGAAATAGAGTAATAATATAATTTGGAATATATTCCCATAATTAAGATGCTATTCTTTTCTTTTTTTCATCCGTTATTGCATGATGTTATTTGTATTACCACAGTGTAAATTTTGTGTGTAGTGGCCTAACCTATATTGACCTGCAGTCAAATCTAGTTATCATCTTAAGAAAGCCAGTATTTATTTATTTATCTATTTTTATTTAGTTTTTCTTTAGAGACAGGGTCTCATTATGTTGGCCAGGTTGGTCTTGAACTCCTGGCCTCAAGCAGTCCTCTCCTGCCTTGGCCTCCCAAAGTGCTAGGATTACAGGCATAAGCCACCATGCCTGGCCAGGAAAGCCAGTTTTTAAGATGTCAGAGAAAAAACATGTTAGGAGTTTTATGAAATTTTCCAGTCTTTAAGGAAAATCTCTTCAAGAATATTGAAATAATATTAAAAAAATTTTTTTTATTACAGACATTTTTAGAAGTAGAATAGTATGTGTGTTGCAGGTACCATCATCCAGCCTCAATGACGATCAATATTCAGCTGTTTTGTCTCATATTTTCCCTTCTCTCCCATACACTTTCTTTGGGTTGGTTGGTTTTTTGCTGGAGTAAATTCTAAATGTCATGTCACTTCACCAGTATGTACTTCAGTATGGATCTCCTTTCTGATAAGGACTTTTTGTTTTTGTTATTTAAAAAAAAAAATCAATATGCCATTATCACATCCAGCAAAATTAGGAGTAAGAAATGTTTTAAAATGGTCATTTAAAAAGCATTATTAACAGTTGCCAATATAGTAGAAATAGAAGTAAGACTAAATTTTTAAAAAGTAATTGAAAAAATTATGGAATGAATTGTTTTCATGTATGCCAAAATATAAAACGTTATCTGCTTGAAGACTTTTAACATTAAAAGATGGCAAATTAGGCTGGGCATGGTGGGTCATATCTGTAATCCCAGCACTTTGGGAGGCCGAAGTGGGTGGATCACTTGAACTCTGGAGTTCGAGACCAGCCTGGGCAAGATGGCGAAACCCCATCTCTAGAAAAAATACAAAAATTAGCCAGGCATGGTGGTGTGTACCCATAGTTCCAGCTACTTGGGATGCTGAGGTGGGAGGATGGCTTGAGCCTGGGAGACAGGTTGCAGTGAGCCAAGATTGCACCACTCCATTCTAGCCTGGGTGACAGAGCCAGACCCTGTCTCAAAAATAAATAAATAAATAAATAAATAAATAAATAAATAAATAAAAGATGGCAAATTTTTATTTTTAGAAATATTGCTGTTCAGTTTAAGCAGTAGTTTTAATGAATTTCTTTTTAACATTTTATTTTGAAATAATTACAGACTCAGTTATAGAATTATAATTACGGAAATTGTGAAAATGGTTTCACATGATCCTGAGCTTCCCTGCAGTAATAAAGTATTCTGTAGAATATACATTTCATGGCCCGGCACAGTGGTGCACGCCTGTAATTCCAACACTTTGGGAGGCTGAGGCTGGCAGATCACTTGAGCTCATGAGTTTGAGACCAGCCTGGGCAACATGGCAAAACCCTGCCTTTACAAAAAATACAAAAATTAGCCAGGCATGTCGGGGGGTGCATGTAGTCCCTACTGCTTGGGAGCTTGGTGTGGGAGGATTGCTTGAACCCAGGAGGTCAAGGGTGCAGTGAGCTGTGATGGCCTCACTGCACTGCAGCCTGGGTGACAGAGCAAGACTTTGTCTCAAAAAAATTAAAGAATATGTTTTATTATTAAAGTTGGTAAATGTTTGGAGGGATTTAATGCATATGTTTGGCCTATAGAAACATGTTGTTGTTTTTTTTTAACTTAGCATTTGTGATTTTTTTTTTCTTTTATTTTCTTTTTGAGACAAGATCTCACTCTGTGCCCTAGGCTGGAGTGCAGTGGGGAGATCTTGGCTCACGACTCACTGCAACCTCCGCCTCCCAGGCTTGAAGGGATCCTCCCACCTCAGTCTCCTGAGTAGCTGGGACTACAGGCGTGTGCCACCATGCCTGGCTAAATTTTTTTGGACTTTTTTGTAGAGACAGGGTTCGCCATGTTGCCCAGGCTGGTCTTGAACTCCTGGGCTCAAGCAGTTTGCTTGCCTCAGTTCCCAAAGTTCAGGGATTACAGGCGTGAGCCACCGTGCCCAGCCCATATGTGAATATTTAATATAATCACATAAACAGTATAATTGTGAAGCTCAAGCTGAGATTTCATTTCCCAGATAAAGCAACATCGTTTTATATATGGAAATTCTAAAATAAAGAACGTTATCTCAGCGTGGGAACATATCTATTTAAAAGTTAAATTCAAGAATACCATTTCTCCCGACATTTTGCTATGAAAAGTTTGTAACAAATAGGAAAGTTGAAGGACTTGTACTTGTATACTTACCATCTAGGTTCTACAATTAGCATTTTACTGTATTTATGTTAGCACATATCTTTCCGTTTCTCCATTTTTACTTTTGATGCTTTTCACAGTATGTTGCAGACATCGTACACTTAAGCATGCTTATCATTAACTTGAATTCTGTAGAACTTTACCATCACCCTAGAAAGTTTCCTGAAGCCTCTTCTCAGCCGTTCTCCACCTTCACCCATAGAGGCAACCAGTCCTGCCTTTTTTCACCTTAGATTAGTTTTGCCTCTTCTAGAACAAGTAATGTTCTTTTAATTGATTATACAACTCCCAGTGCTTAAGCTTGCATATATTAAATTCTTTAATTCTATTCAGAACCAAATTAGGTATTTTAAATGTGAGTATCCAAGTTAGTACTAGTATGGTATTTTTTTCTTTTTTTTAAGATGAAGTCTTTCTCTGTTGCCCAGGTTGGAGTGCAGTGGCGTGATTTCGGCTCACTGCAGCCTCCACCTCCCATGTTCAAGTGATTCTTCTGCCTCAGCTTCCCAAATAGCTGGGATTACAGGAGTGTGCCACCACACCCAGCTTATTTTTGTACTTTTAGTAGAGATGGGGTTTCACCACGTTGGCCAAGCTGATCTCGAACTTTTGACCTCAGGTGATCTGCCTCGGCCTCCCAAAGTGCTGAGATTACAGGCATGAGCCACCGTGCCCGGCCTATGATGGTCCTTTTTTTTTTTTTTTTTTTTTTTTCGAGACAGAGTTTTGCTTTTGTTGCCCAGGCTGGAGTGCAATGGTGCGATCTCGGCTCACCGCAACCTCCGCGTCCCAGGTTCAAGCGATTCTCCTGCCTCAGCCTCCTGAGTAGCTGGGATTACAGGCATGTGCCACCACGCCCTGCTCATTTTTGTATTGTTAGTAGAGACGAGGTTTCTCCATGTTGGTCAGGCTGGTCTCGAACTCCTGACCTCAGGTGATCCGCCTGTCTTGGCCTCCCACAGTTCTGGATTACAGGTGTGAGCCACTGCTCCTGGCCTGATACTTTTATTAGGAAATATTAATGCTGTACTTTTCACTTTTTGTTGTCTGTATGTAGGACCACCTATAACACAATCAAGCTTGATAAACAGCCGTGACCAGCCTGGGACAAGTGCAGTGCCCAATCTTGCATCAGTGGGAACAAGACTACCTCCTCCTTTACCCCAGAACCTCCTTTACACAGTATCAGAACGTAAGTACATGTTGTTTGACTTAAAATTGACAGGGTATAGAAAAGCCAAGTTGTCTCATATCAGTATAACCCTTTAAAAAATGGTAAATAGTTTCTGTTCTTATGGATTCTAAAAATTGTATTTGTGTTTACAATACAGTTTATCGTGTGTTTCTGCTATATAGCCACATTTTAATTTTGTGTGATATGGGAGAGAAAGGCAAGGCTTTCTGTTTTGGAGAATTTTACTCTGCCATGGAGTAGCAACATTTAGTCTCTCCTTTTTATTTTTTTGAGACAGAGTCTCGCTCTGTCACCCAGGCTGGAGTGCAGTGGCACAATCTCAGCTCACTGCAACCTCTGCTTTCCAGGTTCAAGTGATTCTCTTGCCTCAGCCTCCCAAGTAGCTGGGACAGCAGGCGTGTGCCACCATGCCCAGCTAATTTTTGTATTTTTAGTAGAGACGGGGTTTCACCATGTTGGCCAGGCTGGTCTCGAACTCCTGACCTCAGGTGATCTACCTGCCTCGGCCTCCCAAAATGCTGGGATTATAGGTGTGAACCACTGTGCCCAGCCTAACGTCAAGTCTCTTCTAAAGGAAATTTATTTTGAAGCTTTTTAAAAAAATTGTTTATCTGATTGATTTTCTAAAGCATAAGATGTATCTCCTAAGAAGTATACAAAAGAGCGGGTTAATTATGCCTAATAATTAACTTGCATACTGAAATAAAGGTAGAGCATCATTTAAATTGTAATTTTCTGTATTTAGGCTGTTTGTGACATTCACATTTGATTGTAATAATACATTTTTCTTGGGCCAGGCGCGGTGGCTCATGCCTGTAATCCTAGCACTTTGGGAGGCCTGGGTGGGCAGATCATCTGAGGTCGGGAGTTCGAGACCATCCTGACCAACATGGAGAAAACCCGTCTCTACTAAAAATGCAAAATTAGCTGGGCGTTGTGGAGCATGCCTGTAGTCCCAGCAACTCGGGAGGCTGAGGCAGGAGAATCACTTGAACCTGGGAGGCGGAGGTTGCAGTGAGCCGAGATCGTGCCACTGCACTCCCGCCTGGGTGACAGAGCAAAACTCCGTCTCAGAAAACAAAAAACAAAATGATTTTTCTGGAATCCTAATTCTCTTTTGTTTCTTAGGTGTTTTATTGTTTACTAAAGCTTTAAAAAATTACTTCCTTCAAAAACATTTTTTAAAAAGGTAGTTGGTTGTTAAAAATGTCAAATTAGAAGATTTTTTTTTTTTTTTTTACAAGGCCTGGTAACTTTATGGATATGTTCCTCTTTTATGTAACTATGTATATCATAAAGTTTATTTTGCATCCTAAACATTTCTGTATCTCTTTGATGTCTTGGAGAGGCAATTCAGCAAACTCGTTAAGCCCAGTTTCAAATCCTGGTTTTATCATTTACTATCTTTGTGACCTTGAGTAAGTTGCTTAGTCTCTCTGTAGCTCAATTTCCTCTTCTTTAAAATGAGAATAATATTACCTCATTAAGGTTGTTTTGAGTAATAAATTAATACATCTAAAGCATCTAAAAAAGTGCCTAGCCACTAGTAAGCTATAAGGATTCATTATTATATTATTGTAGTTATTATTGTCTCCTGAAATTTCAAACTCTGAAATTGAACCTATTAACTTCTTAAATCTGTACCTTCTACCATCCCTGTTTTTGTCAATGGAGTAACACCCACCTAATACCTAGAATTGAAACCTTCACAGGACTGACTCATTGCTTTGCTTTTTTACATCTGGTTAATCAAAAATTCTTTTTCTTTGAAGTAGCCCTTTCTATTTCTTCTGTGGCCTCTGCCCTCATCCACGCTAGATCACTTCACATTTGGATTATTACTGCAGCCTACTTGACACCATTATGTTTTATGTTTAACTTCCCTAAGTCATACCACATAATGCTGCTAAGCTAATTTTCCTGAGAAATCCAACCATGAAAGTTCCTTATGAGAACTTTTCGGTGGCTACCATTTCTTTCTGAGCCATCAGTAAACCCCTCTCTAGGACTTCTAACTCCTTTTTTTTTTTCCTTTTCTTTTTTTTTTTTTTTTTTTTTTTGAGACAAAGTCTTGCTCTGTCACCCAGGCTGGAGTACAGTGGTGCAATCTCAACTCCCTGCAACCTTTGCCTCCCGGGTTCAAGCAATTCTTGTGCCTCAGCCTCCCAAGTAGCTGGGATTACAGGCATGTATCACTATACCCAGCTAATCTTTTTGTATTTTGGGTAGAGATGGGGTTTTGTTATGTTGGCTAGCTGTCAAACTCCTGGCCTTAAGTGATCTGGCTGCTTTGGCCTTGCAAAGCGCTGGGATTACAGGTGTGAGCCACCACGCCTGGACTTTTTTTTTTTTTTTTTTTGAGACAGAGTCTCAACTCTGTTCCCCAGGCTGAAGTGTGGTGGTGCCATCTTGGCTCACTGCAGCCTTGATCTTCCAGGCTAAGTGATCCTCCCACCTCAGCCTCCCAAATAGCTGGGGCCACAGGCATGTGCCACCACACCCGGCTAATTTTTGAAATTTTTTTGTAGAGACGGAGTCTCACTATGTTGCTCAGGCTGGTCTCAAATTTCTGGGCTCAAGTTTCTCCCACCTGAGCGTCCCAAAGGGTTGGGATTACAGGCGTGAGCCACTGTTCCTGGCCTTTAACTCTTTCAATAGTCTACCTCTTCCTTCTTGGCAATCTTTGTCCACTATTCCTCAACATGCATCTTCTCTGGTAATGCCAATTATACCCTTTCTGTGCCCCCGTCATGGCTCAACTTTCCCCCCCAATCTTCTTTCCTACTAATATACTCTGTCTTCACCTCTTTCTAGGCCCAAATTCTAAGTATACTTGGAAGACATGATTGCTGTTTTCTATCTGTCTGTCTGTCTGTCTGTCTGTCTGTCTGTCTGTCTATCTGTCTGTCTATCTAGAGTCTCACTTTGTCGCCCAGGCTGGAGTGCAGTGGTGAGATCTCAGCTTATTGCAACCTCTGCCTCCCGGGTTCAAGTGATTCTTGTGCCTCAGCTTCCCAAGTAGCTGGGATTACAGTCGCCCACCACCACACCTGGCTAATTTTTGTATTTTT
The DNA here is from genome assembly GCF_000001405.40 of Homo sapiens. Lineage (NCBI taxonomy): Eukaryota > Metazoa > Chordata > Mammalia > Primates > Hominidae > Homo > Homo sapiens. The sequence goes on from NC_000005.10 coordinate 146,240,507, forward strand.
AGTAGAGATGGGGTTTTGCCATGTTGGCTAGGCTGGTCTCGAACTCCTGACCTCAGGTGATCCGCCTGCCTTGGCCTCTCAGAGTGCTGGGATTACGGGCATGAACCCCTGTGCCCGGCCTTTTGCTCTGTTTTAAACTCTTACAATACCAAAAAGCATTTGTTACATAATGACATATACTTATATATAGGCCTACTGTTTGATTTTTTTTAATATATGTAAATCTTACATTCAACTGAGCTTCTACAGAACGGAAATCACATTTGATACTTAAGTAATTGTTTTTCCTGTTTCATACTTAGTATCTCGCTGTATTCTGATTGCTATAGCGTCTTTTCATAGAACATGTTTGTTGCTCATTTTTTAATTATGGGAAATCTCAAATATATATAAAAGTAAAGAGGACAGTATATGGAACTCCGGAGTACCCAGTATAATGAAGTTCTTTGTGCTTATCCCTCAGTTTCAACCTTTATCAATTTATAGCGGAGCCTCTTTTATCTATTTCCCCCCGAATCAGCTCTTAATATTGTTTGCCTTTTGGACTTGTAAATATGAAAAAGTGGACTATTCCAGAGTGTGTTGCAGATGGCATATTTTTATACTGTTAAATTTGGTATTATGACTCATGATAAAAATTCCATCTTGTTTTTAATTTAAAAAAAATCTGGCAATTACCATTTATTTTTATATTGTTAAATTTAACATTGTGACTCACTCTATAAATATTCCATTTGGTTTTAATTTTTAAAACTCTGGCAGTTACCATTTATTTCAGTGACTTAGCTTAATAAATAAATTAATTTGGCAAATATTTATTGAATGCCTACTATGTGCCAGGCATCGTGCCAGACACTAGGGAGCCAAGGTGAATAAGATATTAGATCTCATGTTTTTTGAAGTCCATTTTTCTGTTTTATTTAAAAGTAAGACTATTTTGTAGTATATGAGTAAAGGCCTTTTAGAACTGTATTTCCAAATTATTATTATTTTTTGAGACAGTCTTACTCTGTTGCCCAGGCTAGAGTGCAGTGGCGCAACCTCCACCTCCCAGGTTTAAGCTTGTGCCTCAGCCTCAAGTAGCTGGGACTACAGTCGTGGGCCCCAAGGCCCACCTAATTTTTGTATTTTTGGTACAGATGGGGTTTCGCCATGCTGGCCAGGCAGGTCTCAAACTCTTGGCCTCAAGTTATCCGCCCGCCTCGGCTTCCCAAAGTGCTGGGATTACAAGTGTGAGCCACTGTGACCGGCCTCTAAACTCATTTTTTAAAGACTGGTAACGTTTCTAAGAAAATTCTTGGGACCTGTACAGTTAGCAGCTTGTTATTTTGCCAGGTTAAGGTCTGTATATGAAAATATCTAATACTTTAATTTTAAAAATATGTTTTTAAACTGAAGAAAGGACATAATCTCAGAATAAAAGATAATCTTTTTAAAAATTTATTTAAAAGTTTTAAAATTTTTAGTAGGCACAGGTTCTTGCTTTGTTGCCCAGGCTGGTCTCAAACTGTGGGCTCAAGTGTTACTCCTGCCTCAGCTTCCCGAAGTGCTGGGATCACGGGTGTGAGCCATCACACACGGCCTCAAGGACAATCTTTTAATTAAAAAAAAAATCTTTTGTATGTAGAGGCAGGGTCTTGCTGTCTTACCCAGGCTGGGTGCTCAAGCAGTTGTGCCTTGGCCTCCCAAAGTGGGTAGGATTGTAGGCATGAGCCACCATGCCTGACTTAATCTTTTAATATTTGATTTTATGAAATAGCACTACATATCCCCCCCGTTTTGTTGTAGACCAATAAAAGGTGATAATTTCCCCTTAGCATTTGTGAATTACTGCTTTAGAGGATTGTCTTATATGCTGCATCAGTGTTGATAAACAGATTTGATTGGTTGGCAACTGAATATTTTGAAAGTTATAGAATATTCATATTGAACACTTCAGAAGTCTGCTATGCAGAGAAATATGTGGTTTTCTTTCTTGAGTGTGAAATCTGATTCTAAAATTTATAGAGAAATTTTGAAGACTAGTAGAGTTCCTGATAATCTAAACATTAAAAAGGGGATGTGTAGTATAGTTTGTCAGTCATAAGTTTATTTATTTATTTTTTTAGACGGAGTCTTACTCTGTTGCCCAGGCTGGAGTGCAGTGGTGCGATCTCAGCTCACTGCAACCTCCGCCTCTTGGTTTCAATCGATTCTTCTGCCGGAGCTTCCCCAGTAGCTGGGATTACAGGCACATGCCACCAAGCCCGGCTAATTTTTTTTTGTATTTTTAGTAAAGACAGGGTTTCACCATGTTGGCCAGGCTGGTCCCAAACTCCCGACCTCAGGTGATCCTTCCGACTCAGCCTCCCAAAGTGCTGTGATTACAGGTGTGAGCCACCACTCCTGGCCTCAGTTTTTAATATCTTTCTATTACCTTTATATTTCTAATAAGTTTTTAATATTTTTCTATTCAGTTGATTTTAAGATAGCTTTTGGGCTGGGCATGGTGGCTCATGCCTGTAATCCCAGCACTTTGAGAGGCTAAGGCAGGCGGATCACCTGAGGTCAGGAGTTTGAGACCAGCGTGGTCAACATGGTGAAATCGCATCTCTACTAAAAATACAAAAATTAGCTGGGTGTGGTGGTGGGCGCCTGTAATCCCAGCTACTCAGGAGGCTGAGGCCAGAGAATCACTTGAGCCTGGGAGGCAGAGGTTGCAGTGAGCTGAGATTGCGCCATTGCACTCTAGCCTGGGCAACAAGAGCGAAACGCCATCTCAAAAAAATAAATAAAATAAAGTAAAATAAAATAGTTTTAAAAATATTTTTGTCTTTGAGACAGATAATTGAATCCTTCACATTGTTCAAGTTTATTTTTCTAAATACAGGTCAAGCATTCCCAGTCTGAAATGCTCCAAAATTAGAAACTTTTTGAGTGCCAATATGATGCTCAAAGGAATTACTTACTCATTGAAGCATTTTGGATTTTGGATTTTAAGATCTGTGATGTTCAGCCAGTAACTATAATTCAGAGATAGAAAAATCTGAAAAAGTCTGAAATCTGAAACAGTTCTGGTCTCAAGCCTTTTGGATATGGGATACTCAACTCGTACTATAATTGGTAATTTCAAAAAGATTAGAAGTTTGATTCAAATAAAGTAAAAAGCTATATGTATGTTTTCAGTGTGTAATGAGAACTTGAGCTGTCTTAAAAGTTTAACAAGTTGGGAAAGTTTAAATTATGGATATTTTATTGTCATTAAAATTAATATTAAAATTCACAGCACAGAAAATATAGGTGAAAAATGCATATCAAATGGTGTTTAGTTGTGCAGATGATGTCAATAAGGACCCAAAGTAAACACAGAAAAACGAAATCTGGATTTTTCAAGGTAGGAGTTGGAGTCTGCTCAGTGTTAGGTACTAGGAATATACAGATGAATAAGAAATGGTCATCTAAGAATCTAAAAATCTAATAGTGGGAAAGAAATATGTTAAAAAAAATCTCCACAAAATGAAAACCCATTACAGTATATTTTGCTATTACAGCTAAAAAAAAACCCCAGGTAACAAAGGAACTAATTCTGTGAGAAATAAAGCATTCATTTAGGCTGCAGTTGTCACTGGTTTTGGAAAAAGACAAGTTGGATGTTAAAATAAGAAAAAGAATTAACCTGATTCTGAAACTGAATAGGATATACATGGTTCCTGGTAAAGTTAATATTGGCTGAATGCAGTGGTTTACCCCTGTAATCCCAGCACATTCAAAGGCCAAGGTTGGGAGGATTGCTTGAGCCCAGGAGTTCAAGGCTGCAGATAGTACCATTATACTCTAGCCTGGACAGCAGAGAGAAGTAAGACCCTGTCTTAAAAAAAAATTGATTATAATTTATAAAAAACTTTGAAATTTTGTTACTTTTCTTGAGTTAAAATGTCATAGACCCTGTGAAAATAAATAACTAACTGTGTTTGGAATTTTGTGTAAAGACAGCAATCAACTGTTAAAATCAACTATTTCCTCTGAAGTACTTAACATTTTACCCATGCCCCCCCACCCCCTTTATTTCTTTTTGAGACAGAGTCTTGTTGTGCTGCCCAGACTGGAGTATGGTGGCATCATGGGTCACTGCAGCCTCAACCTTTCAGGCTCTGGAAATCCTCCTACCTCAGCCTCCTGAGTAGTTTGGGACCACAGGCATGCACCACCATGCCCAGCTAATTTTTTAAATTATTTATAAAGATGAGGTCTTTCTGTATTGCCGAGGCTGATCTTGACCTCCTGGGCTTGAGCTCTTCCCTGAACCTTAGTCCCCCAAAGTGCTGGGATTACAGGCATGAGCCACCATGCCCAGCTTACCCCAATTTTAAAAACATTTATTTATTTATTTATTTACCTTTTTTTTAGAAATAGGGTCTTGCTCTGTTGCCCAGGGTGGAGTGTAGTGGCATGATTCTAGCTCGCTGCAGCCTTGAACCACTGGGCTTAAGTGGTCACCCCACCACAGCCTCCCAAATAACTAGGCTGTACAGGCACATGCCACCATGCCCAGCTAATGTTGAATTTTTTTGTAGTCTTGCTGTGTTGCCTAGGATGGTCTCAAACTCTTGGCCTGGAGCAATCCTCTCACCTTGGCCTACCAGAATGCTGGGATTACAGACCTGAGGCATTGTATTTGGACCCCTAATTTTTTTTTTTTTTGCATGGGGGTTTCTTGTTGGGAGACCAGAGAACTTGCTAGAGAAAATCTTAAAGAGCTGTACCACTGCAGCCTCCAAGTTTGAACTCACCAACTCAGTATATACTTTTGGCTTTTACAAGACCATTATTAAGTAAAGTACACTCTCTTTTCTACCTTGCTTTTGGTCTGTTCTGCTTCTTGAAGAAGCATAGTAAAAATATTTTGTAACTGCTAAGTTCGTTCGTTGTACTGGATGTGTGAAAAAGTAAGAGTAGCAGGTAACATCCTGGATTCTAGAGACTGATTCTTAGGTTGAAGATAACTGTCCAGTCTTAATATAAATTCACATAAATCTTTATCTTTCAGAAAATACTTTCCTACTAACTGTATAAAATTGTTAAAACAGTATAATTCTAAATTTGAGATTTGCTCATTTAATTCTGTGGCATTATGTAGAATAATGGGTTTGATGGCTAGAAAAGTAAGTCAGTGTCTATTAGAGTCCTTGTATATTGTCTAGAGCAGGGGTCCCCAAACCCCGGGTCACGGTGGCACTAAATTATCATAGGAGACTCAACGGTATTGTAAATTGCGCATATGAAGGATCTGAGTTGCGCATTCTTTATGAGAATCTAATGCCTGATAATCTGAAGTGGAACAGTTTCATCCTAAAGTCACCACCTCCACTCACCCCTGCCATTTGTGGAAAAATTGTATTCTGTGGAACCGGTCCCTAGTGTCAAAAAGCTTGGGGACTGCTGGTCTAGAGGCTTTCTCCCCCTTGTATTTGACCTGATTCATGTTGTATTAGTTGTGACATTGTCTATTTCAACATACAGATATTCATCCAAAGAAGTACTTAAGTTTCATTTGGGTACTTTAAGCTTTCATTTTTTCTTTAAGTGACTGTTTGATTTCTATTATACATCAGGCACTGTTTAGCCCTTGGAACTTCTCAAGTGTACCAGGTACCTTGTATTCTAATCAAGAAGACACATAAATATGGCCAGTATTGGGAAGATGTAGCTTTTTATTTTTTCTGGATTTGAGTTTTTAGCTTAAAACTTAAAATTTTTTTCCTGTGAATACTCTTAAAGACAAAATCAGGAAAATTATACAGAGTTGCTAAAATTTTAGGTTGAATAAAGACTGTCTTTATTCTGACTAGAGTTAATATTAAGAAGTTGAAAATATTGATATTAGGCATGTTACCTATATGAACAATTTAAGATGGGAACATGAACTTGGGATGTTTGCAGTTTGGAAACTACTCTGACCAAAACTAAACTGAATGAATATAAATTCTGACAGACTGATCTTCACCATTACTGTAACCTATTTGATAGTGAACATTTTTTAATGTAGCTGGGCGTGTGGGCATGTGACTGTAGTCCCAGCCTCTTGGGAGGCTGAGGCAGGGGAAGATACCTTGAGGCCAAGAGTTCCAGCTGCAGTGAGCTATGATCACACCTATGAATAGCCACTGTACTTTAGCCTGGATAACATAGTAAGACCTCATCTCAAATTTAAAAGAGAAAACATATTATGATGGAAAATTTCAAATACAACATACATAAAAGTAGACTGTGTAATGTAGTGAATCTTCATGTACTTATTTCTGGCTTCAACAGTTAATCAATGTGGTTAATCTTGCTTCATCCATAACCTACTCCTGACTTGATTATTTTAGTGCTGTGGTTTTTTTTTTTTTTTTTTAGACAAGGTCTTGCTCTGTCACCCAGCCTTGAGTACAGTGGCACAATCTTGGCTCACTGCAGTCTTGACCTCCTGGGCTCAAGCAGGCCTCCTGTCTCAGCCTCATGAGTAGCTGGGAGCACAGATGCGTGCCACCATACCTGGCTGATTTTTAAATTTTTTGTAGAGATGAGGGCTCCCCATGTTGCCCAGGCTGGTCTCAAACTCCTGGGCTCAAGCAGTCCTCCAGCCTCAGCCTCTCAAAGTGCTGGGATTACAGATGTGAGCCATCACACCTGGCCTTAGTTTTTATTTTTGTTTTCTTTTTTATTGCTCCTCAAAATTCAGCTTAATGACATGATTGTTTTAGAATAAGTCCCAAATATAGTAGCATTTCATCTGTAAAAACTTATGTATCTTTGAAGATAAGAATTAAACATACATACACACAAAATCCTACATACACACAGTACTATTATCACAGTCCCCCCCAAAATTTGTAACAGTTTACTATTCCTTGTGAAATATCCAGTTAGTTTTCATATTTCTCAATTGTATCATAAATGCCCTTTTGTACCTGGTTTATTTGACGCTATATCCAAACAGGGTTATACATTACGTTTAGTTGATATCTTTCTTAAGTCTTTATAGAAATATCCTTTACTTCTTTTTTTTTCTCCCTTGGCGTTTATTTGTTGAAGAAATAGATCATTTGTCCTAAAGAATTTTCTCACATTCTAGACTTGGCAGATTGATCTTCTGGTGTCATCTAACACATTCCTCTATCCCCTGTATTACCTGTAAATTTGAAGTTAGAGCTAGGTATTTGATAAAATTCAATTTTTTTCTTTTTTTGGCAAGAACATTTTATAGATGGCGTTATGTACTTCCTACACAGTACATTATAATGCTCATGATGTCTGGTTGTCTCCTTTCTGTGTTATAAATATTGATTAGTGTGTAAAGGTGTTTTCATCCTGATCCATTCATTTTAAAACTTGCTTGATGGTTTCAACAGCCATTTTTGATCATTGCCTGGATTTGCTGTTGTATGTGAAACTCTAAATCTATAGTTTCTTCTACATTTATTGCTAGCATTCCATATAGTTGACTATAACAACCATTTGGTTAACCTGAAATGCAGTTTTTACAGAAGAGACATGATATATGTGTATTTTCTTTCATTTATCAATTTTAAGAATGAGTTGATTCCCTAGTTTTTTCCAAAGGGAACTCCTGTTTTTTTTTTAAGTATCATTATGAACTCATGAATTTTTAACATTTGATATGTTTCACTCCATTATAGTCTTTTTTGATGTTCAGATTGTCTCATCTTTAATCAATAGGAGCCTCTTCATGTTGGCTTCTGCTAGTTTTTTTTTTTTTTTTTAATTTTTGACATGCCAGTTTTTGATAACTCTCTTGCTTCTGGAAGGACAAGGTATACTAAGGTGTACCAGGCTCATCTTATAAATTTTCTGCCCTGACCTAGAATTAGCCCTTTGTCTAAAGAACTCTGTTGCTTTAGAAGTAGTATTTAGAGACTCAGTAGGAATTGTTTAAGAAAGTCAGGCTACATTTGGATTAATTGCCATCTTTTTGAGGTATTTGTTTTTTATTTTGAGGCAGAGGCTTTCTCTGTTACCCAGGCTGGAGTGCAGTGGTGCAGTCTCGGCTCATTGCAACCTCTGCCTCCTGGGTTCAAGTGATTCTTGTGCCTCAGCCTCCAGAGTAGCTGAGATTACAGACATGCACCACTACGCCTGGCTAATTTTTGTAATTTTAGTAGAGACGGGGTTTCACCCTATTGCCCAGCCTGGTCTCAAATTCCTGAGCTCAAGGGATCCACCCGCCTTGGCCTCCCAAAGTGCTGTAATCACAGGTGTGAGCCATCGTGCTCGGCCTTTCTGTATGTTCTTTGTCAGTAGTTTTAAAAACAGACATTGGGCAAAGTAGCCTTTTGGTTTCCAGTTTACTTTGAGACAGCTATTATTAATTAGACATACTTAATTAGATAGTATACTTAGTACATCAAGTGATGTATCATACATTTAAAGTAGTCATATGGACTAAGATTGTACTTCCCATTTTTCTATATATGTATGTATTTCTATTTTTTAATTAATTTTTTTTCTTTTAAAGACAGCATCTCACCCTGTCACCTAAGCTGGAGTACAGTGGCACAATCGTGGCTCACTGCAGCTTTGACCTTCTGGCTCAAGTGATCCTCCTGCCCTAGCCTTCCAAATAGCTAGGACTACAGCTGTGCGCCACCATGCATGGCTAATTTTTAAAATATTTAGTAGAGACAGAGTCTCGGTATGTTACTCAGGCTGGTCTCAAACTCCTGAGCTCAAGTAATCCTCACACCTTGGCCTCCCAAATTGTTGGGTTTATGGATGTGAGCTACTGCACCTGGCCCCATTTTTCTCTTTAACATACTACTACATTCTGCTGATAGGTCACTCTTCACAAGTAATTCCCTGCCATTGATTGTGTGCTTACAACTATTTGTTCCCCTCATTGAGACTATGTTAAATTGGGCTGGGCACGGTGGCTCACGCCTGTAATTCCAGAAGTTTGGGAGGCCGAGGTGGGTGGATCACCTGAGGTCAGGAGTTTGAGACCAGCCTGGGCAACATGGTGAAACCCCGTCCCTACTAAAAATGCAAAAAATTAGCTGGGCGTGGTGGTGGGCACCAGAAATCCCAGCTACTAGGGAGGCTGAGGCAGGAGAATTGCTTGAACCTGGGAGGCAGAGGTCGCCGTGAGCCCAGATCATGCTACTGCAGCTCCAGCCTGGGCGACAGAGTGAGACTCTCAAAAAAAAAAAAAAAAAAGAAAAAGTAAAAAAAAAAGAAAAAAAGAAAATATGTTATATTGTTTTTGCAGTGTAATAATTAGCTGATTCTTTTTAAATGTACTTTTTTTTCCCCATCAACTTTTATTTTAAGTTCCAGGGTACATATGTAGGATGTACAGGTTTTTTACGTAGGTAAATGTGTGCCATGGTGGTTTGCTGCACAGATCAACCTACCACCTAGGTATTAAGCCCAACATCCATTAGAAATGTAAATTTTAAAAGGGTTAATGCTAAGTGCACAGTTATACAGTATGATTTGTTACTTCCTCTTTTGCTTCTTATATACGAAGAAAAGGGTAGTGAAGTTTAGCATCTCCATATTCCCTTTAGGGACTTACTGTGAAACCAAGTGGTTGCTTTGTAGCCTGTCCTATTAAGGTGCATTTAAAATCTTTAGGAATTTTACAGCTTTTAAGGACATTTCACCAGGTATAAAAAAAATTCAAGGCTGGGCGCTGGGTCCGGTGGCACTTTGGGAGGCCGAGACGGGCAGATCACGAGGTCAGGGGATTGAGACCATCCTGGCTAACACGGTGAAACCCCGTCTCTACTAAAAATACAAAAAAATTAGCCAGGCATGGTGGTGGGCGCCTGTAGTCCCAGCTACTCGGGAGGCTGAGGCAGGAGAATGGCGTGAACCCGGGAGACGGAGCTTGCAGTGAGCACCACTGCACTCCAGCCTGGGTGACAGAGCAAGACTCCGTCTCAAAAAAAAAAAAAAAAAATCCACTTTATTTTGTCTTGTGTCACATAGTAAATGTCTGATGTTGGACATATATAATAACTAAATCATATAAATATGTCTCAAATGGGGTTGTCGGTGAAAAAGATACTGTTAAATGGACACCCAAAGGGATTTTGCTCCTTGATACCTTATCTTTTTCTAATCCTGTCCTTCAGATTTTGGCTTCATTGTGTGTGCATTCTTGCATTAGCCTATATATAAATCCTAAATGTGTTGTCTTTCAAAAAGTGCTTCTTAATATCCAGGATAATTTCATGTGTCCAGTGCTGTGCTGGTCTGTTTATCTGTTTTTTTTTTGTCCTTTTTTTTTTTTTTTTTTTTTTTTGAGACAGAGTCTTACTCTGTCGCCTAGGTTGGAGTGCAGTGGCACGATCTTGGCTCACTGCAACCTCCACCTCCCGGGTTCAAGCAGTTCTCCTGCCTCAGCCTCCCTAGTAGTTGGGATTACAGGTGCCCACCACGACGCCCAGCTAATTTTTGTATTTTTAGTAGAGACGGGGTTTCATCATCTTGGCCAGGCTGGTCTTGAACTCCTGACCTCATGATCCACCCACCTCGGCCTCCCAAAGTGCTGGGATTACAGGCGTGAGCCACGTGAGCCACCGTGCCTGGCCTGTCCTTTTCCCTTTCTCAATTTTTGTTATCCATGTGCTCACAGAGATAACAAATTTTCACTATCTTTAATTTTTTTCTTTGGAGCATTTTTTATTCTTTGCGAAGGTATGCATATAGTGGTTTGTTTTTTCTTAATGTCTTTGTCTTTTTTTCTGCTCTCAGATACGGGAGCATATTTGGTGCAAACCTGAAATTATGTGGGTTGGTTGGAGAGGGGTTGTTTTCTTTTTAATGGATATGACAGTTTTCATACCTGCATATCTCATTGGATAGAAAAATTCTGTGTAATTAATAGCTCAGGGCTCCTTTGTCTAATAACCTGATATGGTTCACTGTTCAGCTTTAGATAAAATTAGCACGTAGTTTTCTCCACTTAAGATCATAAAAGATGGAGATTATATATACTACTTAATTCTTATTCTTTTCTTTATACCTCAATGGATCCTAACCAGTTGCACGTCTGTTCTTTCTTGAGTTAGAAAGAATCCCAGGAACATCTTTCTGTACTTCTATTCCTGTTGGTTTAATTTCTCTGTTTTTGGCTCAAAGTCTCAGGAAACACATCATCACCTAAGAGAAGCTTGTGACTCTCATTCCCAGCTGCCCTCCTATTCTTTCCTCTATAGGACAGCCCATGTACTCTCGTGAACATGGTGCTGCTGCATCTGAGCGACTTCAGTTGGGGACACCGCCTCCTCTGTTGGCAGCTCGTTTGGTGCCACCTCGAAACCTCATGGGATCCTCCATTGGATACCATACCTCAGTCTCCAGCCCTACCCCTCTGGTTCCAGGTAAGCTTTGCTACAGATGGCCATCCACCTCACTGATCTTTTTTACCTCAAGCTGGCCAGTCTAAGCGGTGACCTGGCATCCTGATCTGCTGTTACAAAGTCCCATTAAAGCTCATAGGTAGTTTTATTTTCTGCTCCTTTGCTTCTTTGGTTTGTCTCTAGTGGCTGCTAGATGATTAGGCCTCCTGTGTATCTGTCATCTCTGGTGTCCTCTATATTTACTTTCAGTGCCTCGGTAACAAAGTGATGCTAGTTCCTTGAGCTAGTTTCTAATCAGGTAGATAGAAAGATAATATCTACTTGAATGTTTTCTAATTAGTTATACACTGTAATAAACTAGGTTAATTTTTCTTTAAAACAAAACAAAAATAAACATCTGGTTTCTTGCCGATCATATCCTTTTTCCCCTTTTGCCCCTTGTATGTGTGCATAATGTAGCGATTCTTAAAAACTCTTTTCTCCTATTGACATACGTATTTTGAAGGATCTGTGGAATGCTTTGTGGGTGTTTCATGAGGTGTTTTTAACCCTTTCTCACTTTGCCTTTGGATCTTATTCTTATAATTAACTAAAGGGCTTTTAAGTTAATTGGTGTTCTGTGTATTCCCAGGATTTATGGCACAAGGTCATTTGATTATGTAACTTCTTTAAAACTTTCTGCAGTCTTAACTGTAGGAGATTTTCTGTCAGTAGTGCCAAGTGGTAACTGAAAACTTTTTAATCATAATTTGCTAATCCTTTTTTAAAAAGATAAAGCAGTATGCATTTTGTATGTTATATTGCATGTAATTTTTAGAGTTGGCATAAGCAGGGAAGCTGTTACTTTACATATCATTTTCAAACTGTGTCATCCTTAAACACATTGAAATTTAATAAGCAACTATGTTAGATTTACTTTTAAGCTAGACATATCATTACAGTGTGTTTCCATCAGGAGGGAATGCTCATGATTAAATACTGTCTTTAGTTGTCTTAAAGAGACAAAAAATTTATAAAGAGAGGAGTTAGAACAAAAGCTAAAATAATTAAGTATGAAGCCCCCAAAATACTCTTTGGCGGATAACTATAATCATAGTCCTGTAACCATTGAGGCAAAATTATTTGTTTTTATTTATTTATTTATTTATTTTTGAGACAGTCTCTCGCTCTGCTGCCTAGGCTGGAGTGCTTGGAGTGCAATGGGGTGATCTTGGCTCACTGCAACCTCCACCTCCAGGGTCCAAGCGATTCTCCTGCCTCAGCCTCCTGAGTAGCTGGGATTACAGGCGTGCATCACCAAGCCCGGCTAATTTTTGTATTTTTAGTAGAGACGGGGTTTTGCCATGTTGGTCAGGCTGGTCTCGAACTCCTGACCTCGTGATCTGCCCACCTTGGCCTCCCAAAGTGCTGGAATTACAGGCGTGAGCCACTGCGCCCGGCCCAATTATTTGGTTTTATTGATCATCATCAGGAAACTTTGAGACTGAATGCAAGCCTTAGGAATGAAATAAAAAATCTCTAATAGGAATGTCATTGTGATAATAATTTATTAAAATTTCTGTGCCATTGTTCTCTGAGGAGGACAGTACAGATGCCCCAAATGATTAATTTTCAACATCATTTAACATTTTATTAGAGGGAGACAGTTCTTAATCTAGTGATGCCTTTTTTGTGTGTAATTCCATGAGCTGTTTTCAAAACCTGAAAAAAGGGGAAAAATGGGGGTGGGAGGAAGAGAAGGAATGCCAACCAGCAGTTCTAGTTCTTATATTAGATATCTCAGAATCACCTGTGCTTTAATGGCATTTTATTATTATTGCCTCATTATAGCTTCTGGATGTTTTGTGCAAGAAGGAAATTAGCTTGTGAATCTGAAGTTAGGAGGAGCACAATATTCGTGGGAGAGGTTTAATCTAAGAGTATTGGGGGTGAGACGTTTTCTGGATTGAGGACTTCTGAATCCTAGTTGTGCTGCTTATTGGCCGTTGACTCAAATGCCTGTAGTGGCCAGGAAGATCCCCTAAATGAGGATAATTTGCTGATCTTATATTCTGAATCACTTCTATACTGTAAATCATAGAAGTGACTGACGTGTATGTGCGCGTGTGTGCTTTTTTATTTGAAATATGGTTTATGTGTGAAACCAGCTGTTCTCACTCTAGTTTGAAGAAGTGTACATAACCAAATGAATACATTTTCTTTTCACCTCAATTAAAAAGGTACCTAGAAATTGGAGATATGATGGATAACAGAGGAAACTCAATTCTTCACATATGGTGTTTGTGTATGTGAAAATTTGTATTAACAAATGTGCATTGGGCTGGGCACAGTGACTCACACCTGTAATGCCAACAGTTTGGGAGACTGAGGTGGGCAGGTGGCTGAAGCCCAGGAGTTCAAGACCAGCCTGGGCAAGATAGTGAGACTCCATCTCCGTTTTTTTAAAATTAGAAAAAAAAGTGCATTGACATTTGGATTAGGTAATTAATATATAGAGTAGAAATGAGTAGGTGAGTGAATCTGAAAGTATCAGTATTTAAGAATGGATGCATATATCTATATTCTGTAATAGGAGCATTTTTTTTTTTTTCAGTTTCAAAAGGTGTGTCTAGATACTGTAACACAAAGAGAAATACAGTCATCCCTTCACCTCAGGTTCCACATCTGCAGATTCAACCAACTACAGATCAAAAATATTCAGGAAAAAAATAAAAATAAAAAAAAACCAGTACAATAATTAAAAGGAATGCAAGTTTTAAAAACAATATCCATAACAGCTATTTACGTAGCATTTATATTATGTATTATAATTAACCTAGAGATGTTTTAGAGTATACAAGAGGATTTACCTAGGTTATATGCAAATACCACCACCCTGTTTTATATCAAAGTCTTGAACATTTGTGCATTTTTATATCTGCGGGAGGGTCCTGGAACCAGTCCCTCACAGATACTGAGAGGTGACTGTAGGTTGATGTATTTGTTGGAGAATATATGTTTTTTAAGCAGTTGTTTATTTTATAACAATGAGAGATGGTTTAACCTCTCTCTGATTTGTTGTGTGTTTTGTTGCTTTGTTTTCCCTCAGATACATATGAACCAGATGGTTACAACCCAGAAGCTCCTAGTATTACTAGTTCTGGTAGATCTCAGTACAGACAGTTCTTTTCAAGAACTCAGACACAGCGTCCCAATCTGATTGGCCTAACATCTGGAGATATGGATGTAAATCCAAGAGGTGAGAATACCTTGAACTTTTTCTGATGCTAAGTGTTATGCAGTAGTTGGATATAGTTATTACATTTGCATTTCTGGCCTAGCTTGAGGAAATTAAGGTCCAAATTACTTATATATTATCTCTTTGGAGGGTGCTATGTATTAATCTCAGATTTTTTAAATAACTTTATCTCCAAATTTTATTTTAAAGCTATAGTTAGGCTATATTTGTTTTTAAATGCAAATCATACTAATATTATTTAACTGCTTCTTTTGGTAGGACTTTAGGCTGTTTTAGTTTTGTTGCTAGGCACTGTGTTAGATATTGTGTATAGAAAGATGAAATTACTGATCCCCTGCCCTCAAAGAACTGATCATTGAAGGACCTGCTTTGTATCCTAAGAGCTATGCATCACACTAATTATATTGAGAATCTAAAATGTTACAATTATTTGATAATTTTTAACACTTATAATTACATCTTTAAGTTAGGACCTTTACAAAACTTAGGAATAAACCTTAAAAATGAAACAAAACCAAGATTAAATGCAAGCATTTACCTTTAATATGGCTGATAACCTCCTACCTACTCCCCCACTAAAAAGGTTGGTTAATGATGGTTAGTTTGATGAGATTCCAGTTTTTTTCTAGCTATTATGAATTTCCAATATATAATTTCAACATGAGTGACTGGCCATGGACTGCACTGACACAATAGTTTTTTGATTAATTTAATCATCTGGCAAACATTTTCCTTTTCTTCCTTTCTTTTCCTTTTTTTCTTCTTCTTCTTTTTTTTTTTTGAAATGGAGTCTGGGTCTGTTGCCCAGGTTGGAGTGCAGTGGCGTGATCCTGACTCACTGCAACCTCTGCCTCCCAAGTTCAAGGGATTCTCCTGCCTCTGCCTCCTGAATAGCTGAGATTATAAGCATGTGCCACCATGCCTGGCTAATTTTTGTATTTTTAGTATAGACGGGGTTTCACCATGTTGGCCAGGCTGGTCTTGAACTCCTGACCTGAGGTTATCCACCTACCTTGGCCTCTCAAAGTGCTGGTATTACAGGTGTGAGCCACCATGCCCAGCCTAGCATTTTCCTGTTCTTCCTTTCTATCCTAGCTTTATTAATTCTTTTTTCCTGCTGTTAATAACACTATTACCACTATAAGAATAACAGGTTTTGTATGAAGACTACACCAAATGCCTTCTCATATATATATATTTTATATATATATTATTTATATATATATTTTTATATATATTATTTTTATATATATTATTTATATATATATATTTTTTGAGACAGGGTCTCCTTCTGTCACCTATGCTGGAATGCAGTGGCACGATCTCGGCTCACTGCAACCTCCGCCTCCTGGGTTCAAGCGATTCTCCCACCTCAGCCTCCTGAGTAGCTGGGATTACAGGTGTGCACCACCACAACCCTGCTAATTTTTGTATTTTTAGTAGAGACGAGGTTTCACCATATTGGTCAGGCTGGTCTTGAACTCCTGACCTCAGGTGATCCAGATCTCACCTCGGACTCCCAAAGTGCTGGTATTACAGGCATGAGCCACTGCACCCAGCCTCATATATATTATTGTCTCTCATATTTCTATTTTTATTCTCCTTTTACAAGTAAAAACACTGAGGCTTAGAGAGGTTTAAAGAACTTGCCCAAAGTCACACAGCTGTTAAGTGGCAGAACTAGAATTCAGAGGAGAAGTCATGTTGTGTATACAACAAGATTTCTTTGTTGTCTTGGGTAAGTCACTTAACCTTTAGTGACTTCCTTCCTTTAATATGACACACTTCATTAAATTAAAAAAAATTAATTAAAAAAAAGCATTAGGCAATGTTAGCTGGTAATGATAAAAACTATTTAAGGAGAACATAATGGCATCTCAAACTCTAGAATGCTTTATGCCATCGCAGTTGCTATCTTCTTCATTAGCCTTCTGCAAACACAAGTCCCGCAAGAGCAAGGATCACGTCTATTTTATTCACTAATGTATACCCAAGGTCTGCTATAGTTGCTGAGCTGTAAAATAGCTAAACGTTAAGTGAATGAATCTTTACATCATAATTTCCCTGACAAAGATGAAATCAAATGTACCAACTCCTAACCATATACCTACCCCAGCATTCAGCTCTGAGTTATTCTTTGC
Organism: Homo sapiens; assembly: GCF_000001405.40. Lineage (NCBI taxonomy): Eukaryota > Metazoa > Chordata > Mammalia > Primates > Hominidae > Homo > Homo sapiens. The sequence goes on from NC_000005.10 coordinate 146,257,234, forward strand.
TTGGTGGAGTTGCTAAAGTTAAGAGAAATACTCAAGATTTAATAGGCATAGTTTTGTGTTGCTAATTTCTGTTTTGTTCAGTACACGTCTTCCTACCCACAGGTTATTTATTGTAAGGACAGATTCTTAGAGTATTTCTGCCAATTTATAGTATTGGCTTTGGATTTTCTTCCCAACTTTAAACCTGTGGAAAATCAAAAGAAACACAGTGAACATTTGAATGCCTTCATTTAGATTCACCAGTAATATTTTACTACCTTTGGGCATGAATGCTCTCTTGTATACTCTCTCTTCTCTTTCTTCTCTCCACTCACATTTTTTTGTTGAATCTCTTGAAATTAATTGGTAGACATTGTGAAACTTTAAGTCCTTTACCTTATATCTAAGAATAAGACAGTCCTATATAAGCACAGTATTATTGCCACACATAAAACCATAATTCCATAATAATATGTAATCCTTATGATTTGGTGAACTTCTTGTTGAATCATACCAGGAGGCAAATAATGTCCATTAATGGTGCTAAGTTTGATTGCTTGTATAAGGTGATCATTGTTGGAGCTCTCCATTGTTTTTGTTTTTTTTTTTTGGTTTCTTTATGAGACCGAATTTCACTCTTGTTGCCCAGGCTGGAGTGCAATGGCACAATCTCGGCTCACCACAACCTCCGTCTCCTGGGTTCAAGCGATTCTCCTGCCTCAGCCTCCCGAGTAGCTGGGATTACAGGCATGCACCACCATGTCTGGCTAATTTTTTTGTATTTTTAGTAGAGATGGGGTTTCCCCATGTTGGTCAGGCTGGTCTCGAACTCCCGACCTCAGGTGATCCGCCCGCCTCGGCCTCCCAAAGTGCTGGAATTACAGGCGTGAGCCACCGTGCCTGGCCCAGAGCTCTCCATTGTAAATGTAATTTTTGGAGTGGTACTTTGGCACCATAAATATCTTGTTTTCCAGCAACCTTTCACCAATATTTTTTTCATCTATTGATCATCCATGCCTGAGTCAATTATTACATCGAGGTTAACTTTGAGTTTTGAAACATGGATTTCTATTTTTTATAGAAAAAGGCATTTGTAACTTTTTCTTCTGTTAGGCATTTCTAAAAGAGAAATGATAGTAGTTGAGCTATTCATAGTAGTTTTTAGCTTTTAGACTAAATATATTAATCATTGAGACTCCTGAAAAACTCAGTAATTTCAATTTTTTTTTCCAACAGCTGCTAACATTGTGATCCAGACTGAACCACCAGTTCCTGTTTCGATTAATAGCAACATAACCAGAGTAGTTCTTGAACCAGATAGTCGAAAAAGAGCTATGAGTGGTTTGGAAGGGCCACTCACAAAGAAACCTTGGCTGGGAAAGTAAGATAATTTGCTAATTAGTAGCATCTAATTGTTATTGTCGTTTGCATTGGTAAATTCATAAAAATAAGATTTGTCATTAATTAATGTTTTTCAAACTAGGTATCTTGAAGTTAGGGTTCCAGGAGACATCTTTAGAATGTTGTAAAAATTAAAAAGTTAACAATATTTATAATTTTTTTTTTTTTTTTAAAAGACGTAGTCATCCAGGCTGGAGTGCAATGGTATAATCTCAGCTCACCTCAACCTCTGCCTCCTGGGTTGAAGTGATTCTCTTGTCCCAGCCTCCTGAGTAGTTGAGATTACAGGTGCCAGCCACCATGCCCACCTGATTTTCTTGTATTTTTAGCGGAGATGGGGTTTCACCTTGTTAGTCAGGCTGGTCTCAAACTCCTGACCTCAGGTGATCCACCCACCTTGGCCTCCCAAGGTGCTGGGATTACAGGTGTGAGCTACCACATCCAGCCCAAAATAGGTATTTCTAATTCGTACCTACCTATTTCTACGCCTAACCCAATATTAGAAATTACTGAGACACTAGCAATGGATAGAAAAGAAGAAAAAAATGAAATCAACGGTGAAAAAAAAAAGCTTAGTACCTTTGCAGAAGTTGAAAATATGCCGTTAAAGATGATGTTCTAGCTGGGCACAGTGGCTCACGCCTATAATCCCAGCTCTTTGGGAGGCCAAGGCGGGTGGATCACTTGAGGTCAGGAGTTCGAGACCAGCCTGACCAAAATGGAGAAAGCCAAAATACAAAATTAGCCAGGTGTGGTGGCACGCGCCTGTAATCCCAGCAACTTGGGAGGCTGAGGCAGGAGAATCGCTGGAACCTGGGAGGCGGAGGTTGCAGTGAGTTGAGATTGCACCATTGCACTCCAGTCTGGGCAAAAAGAACAAAACTCTGTCTCAAAAAAAAAAAAAAAAAAAAAAAGGTGGTGTTCTAGCCTTCATTTAATGATGTTAGAGTCTTTGATAATTGTGGTAGATCTTTATGGTAGATCTATTTAGCATATGATTTTAAGTGTTAGTTGGGCCTTTTCTTTTTGTAATCTATTGCTGTTCACCTTTTCTATTCTCATGTAATAAGAATAATGTGGCCGGGCGCGGTGGCTCACGCCTGTAATCCCAGCACTTTGGGAGGCCAAGGCGGGTGGATCATGAGGTCAGGAGATCGAGACCATCCTGGCTAACAAGGTGAAACCCCGTGTCTACTAAAAATACAAAAAATTAGCCGGGCGCAGTGGCGGGCGCCTGTAGTCCCAGCTACTCGGGAGGCTGAGGCAGGAGAATGGCGTGAACCCGGGAAGCAGAGCTTGCAGTGAGCCGAGATTGCGCCACTGCAGTCCGCAGTCCGGCCTGGGCGACAGAGCGAGACTCCGTCTCAAAAAAAAAAAAAAAAAAAAAAAAAAAAGAATAATGTTGGCCGGGCGTAGTGGCTCACACCTGTAATGCCAGCACTTTGGGAGGCCGAGACGGGTAGATCACCGACGCCAGGAGTTCAAGACCAGCCTGGCCAACATGGTGAAACCTTGTCTGTACTAAGCATACAAAAATTAGTCGTGCGTGTTGGCATGCACCTGTAATCCCAGATACTCAGGAAGCTGAGGCAGGAGAATCACTTGAACTTGGGAGGTGGAGGTTGCAGTGGGCCGAGATTGTTCCACGGCACTCCAGCCTGGGCGAATGAGTGAGACTCCGTCTACAAAAAAAAAAAAGAAGAATGTGAAAATTGCTTAGTAATTTCCGAAGAATGTTAAGGGCTCACAAAAGGAACTTTAAACAAATTAATCAATCAGTTAATTTATTACATAGAGATGTGGTCTTACTATGTTCCCCAGACTGGTCTGGAACCCCTGGGCTCAAGCAATCCTCCTGCTTTGGCCTCTCAGAGTGCTGGCGTTACAGGCATGAGCTACTTCGCTCAGCCTGTAATCTGTTTCTGGATGCTTATGTATTTTCTGTGGTTTGAATTTTGAATATAATGTTTCATATGATTTTGAAGAAGTTTTCTGGGATTATAGGTGGAGCCACCATGCCCAGCCACAAAAGGCACTTAAAAAAATTATAAACCTAAATTCTTTGTGGTTATATCTCTTTGCTAGGCATGAAGTAGGAGAATTAACCAAGATGTATTAATCTTCCTTTTAGGCAAGGAAATAACAATCAAAATAAACCAGGGTTCTTACGAAAGAATCAGTATACAAACACCAAATTAGAAGTCAAGAAAATCCCTCAGGAATTGAACAACATTACCAAGCTCAATGAACACTTCAGCAAATTTGGAACTATTGTTAATATCCAGGTAAATGTGGCTATGTCAGTGACAGAATCCAGGCATTTTATGGGTCTTGGGAATATTTCTATCAGCTCACCTTGTTTAAATGAGTCAGTGGTTATTCTGATCATCTCTGCTAAGTGCTGTAAATGCCACCATATATCTATATACCCACTTTTATGATGGACTTGTTAAACCATGTTTGTTCTTGTGAATTCATTTGGTTCTTTTCTGCAATCTCTTCCTGAAAGAGAATGGGTAGCCTCACAGTTTTGGAGACTGAGAAGTCCAAGATCAAGGTGCTGGATGATTCATTTCCTAGGGAGTGCTGTCTTCCTCGCTTGCAGATGGTTGGCTTCTTGTGTTCTCACATGGCAGACAGAGAAAGAGAAAGAGGGGGTCAGGGCAGATCTCTTTCTCTTCTTTTAAGGCCACCGATACTATTCATTAGGATGCACCTTTGTGACCTCATTTAACCTTAATTACATCCTAAAAGCTCTATCTCTAAAACAGTAATGTTGGAGTTTAGGGCTTTAACATGTGTATTTTGGGGAAAACATTCATTACATAGCAGTGGGTCATAATTTATTTAACTATTTTCTGTTTTTGGGAATTTATATTGTTTTATTTTCTTCAAGGTTGCTTTTAAGGGTGACCCAGAAGCAGCCCTAATCCAATATCTTACCAATGAGGAGGCCAGGAAAGCCATTTCTAGCACAGAAGCAGTTCTAAACAACCGATTCATTCGAGTCTTGTGGCATAGGGAAAATAATGAGCAACCGACACTACAGTCCTCAGCACAGCTGCTCCTGCAACAACAGCAAACACTTAGTCACCTCTCACAGCAGCACCATCACCTGCCACAGCATCTACATCAGCAGCAGGTGCTAGTGGCCCAGTCTGCTCCTTCAACAGTGCACGGAGGTATCCAGAAGGTAATCTGGTTCACTGGGAATTAAAGGTCTTTTAGTTACACCCTCTAGATCAGTATTTTTCAATTCCTGGTCCTTGGGTCTTCTACAGAAGAGCTACTCTTAATTTGAACTGCAGACCAGTAGCATCTGATCTCCTGGGATCTTATAGAAATGCAGATTCTTGGGGGAAAAATTTCAGATTCTTGAGCCATACTCCATCCTACTGAATCAGAATCCCTATGGGTGGGGCCCAAGGATTTGTGTTTTAACAAGCTCTCCTGGTGATTCTTACATACCTTAAAGTTTGAGACCTGCTATTTTACATCAGAATCACTTACCTGGGTGCAAATTTCTGGGCTTCAGCTTCTCAAACCTCTGTAGAGTCAGTCTCTAGATACAGGGCCTATAAATATACATATTTAACAAGTACTCTTAAGTTATTGTTATGCACCCTAAAGTATAATAACCATCTACCACAGAGCAACTTTAACTGTAGAGCTATTTATTTTTTAGAATCAGTCTTTTTTGTGTCTACCCATTTGCCCTCCTTTTTCCCATGTAAAAAAGTTATATGTTCCTTCTAAAAATGGGAATAGAAGCTCCAAGAGAATTGGAATTTTGCCTGTTGTGTCCATTCTATCCCTAGTGCCTAAAACAATGTCTGGTACATATTGCTCAAAGCATATTTGATTGAATAGATGAAGGAAGGAAAAAACAAAACAACAAACTACCACACATCAGAGCCATTCAGAGATTGACCTAGATAATCTCATGCTTAGATTAAATACAGTCAGATTTTTAAAAAGTATTCCTTACAGTACATGGCATCAACTCCATTTATCATCCTGCTCATTTGCATCTAAATTCTCTTTCAGTTATGTTTGTATCCCACTTCATGTAAGGGTGCAAAGGTGAATGCTTCCCCTAGATGTTGGGTGAATAGTGTAGAAAAGAGTTCATACTATCACCTTCATGGTGATGATTAAACATGTTCTGTTAGTACAGCCCAAGATTGCATTATGTTTTTGAGGTGATCATTTCACAATTATTCATATTAAGCCACTGTCAGTTAAGACCCCCTAATTCTTTTCTTCTTCTTTTTTCCTTTTTTTTTTTTTTTGAGACAGTCCTGCTTTGTCGTCATTCAGGCTAGAGTGCAGTGGCTCAGTCTTGGTTCACTGCAACCTCTGCCTCCTGGTTCAGGCTACCTGCCTCAGCCTCCTGAGTAGCTGCGACTACAGGTGCATGCCACCACCCCTGCCCAATTTTTGTATTTTTAGTAGAGACGGGGTTTCACCATGTTGGCCAGGCTGGTCTTGAACTCCTGACCTCAGGTGATCCACCCACCTTGGCCTCCCAAAGTGCTGGGATTATATGTGTGAGCCACTGTGCCCAGCCAAGACCCTCTAATTCTTTCAGAGCATTGCATACTAGAGGAAACATTAAAAAATAATTAATGGTTTTTTTGTGTGTAGGTGCATGTATATTTTGTTGTGATATGTTTTAGACATCCCAAAAAGTATGAATAATCTATCATTTGTATATTCACCAGTTCCCCTTAAAAAATAAAACCTTACGGATAATTGAAGCACCTTCCCGTTCCCATTTTCTTATCTTCTTCCCTAGAGTAATCATCTTAAATTTGTACCATTTCTAGGCATGTTTTTAAACTTCTGCCACATAAGTGTTCATTTTGTATGTGCAGATGATGAGCAAACCACAGACATCAGGTGCATATGTTCTTAACAAAGTTCCTGTTAAACATCGTCTTGGACATGCAGGTGGTAACCAGAGTGATGCATCACATTTGTTGAATCAGTCTGGTGGTGCTGGAGAAGATTGCCAGGTATGCATTTTTGGGAGCTTCAGATATATTTAGAATCATTCAGTGAATTAACAGAATAAATCAGTTATCATTCAGACAGTGAAGACAGTTGTGACAGTTAACCTAAGTGTGGCAGGTATACCTCTCTAGTTTCCATGTTTCAGTCAGAAATTTGCTGGTGAAATTTTTTTCCTATTCAAAATTAAGTAGGAGGCTGGGCGTGGTGGCTCACACCTGTAATCCCAGCACTTTGGGAAGCCTGGGTGAGTGGATCACCTGAGGTCAGGAGTTTGAGACCAGCCTGGCCAAAATGGCGAAACCCCCTCTCTACTAAAAATACAAAAAAATTAGCTGGGCGTGGTGGCAGACACCTGTAATCCCAGCTACCCGGGAGGCTGAGGCACGAGAATCACTTGAACCCGAAGGAGGAGGTTGCAGTGAGCCAAGGTCGTACCATTGCACTGCAGCCTGGGTGACAGAGCAAGACCCTGTGTCAAAAAAAAAAAAACACAAAAAACAAAAACCAAGTTAAGTAGGAATTTGAGAATTTTAGATATTTATTTGTTTGTTTGTTTGTTTGTTTGTTTTTTGAGACAGAGTTTTGCTCTTGTTGCCCAGGCTGGAGTGCAATGGCACAATCTCGGCTCACCGCAACCTCCACCTCCTGGGTTCAAGCGATTCTGCTGCCTCAGCCTCCTGAGTAGCTGAGATTACAGGCATGCGCCACCATGCCCAGCTGATTTTGTATTTTTAGTGGAGATGGGGTTTCTCCATGTTGGTCAGGCTGGTCTGGAACTCCGACCTTAGGTGATCCACCCCAGAGTGCTGGACTACAGGCGTGAGCCACTGCACCCGGCTGAATTTTAGATATTTATTAATAGATAAGTGTCTTTATTAATTTCTTTAATTTCATCTTTAAGAATTTAGTGAAGGGTATTCTGTCATAGTAAAAAACCAAACTTTGAAATATGTTTTAAGTAATTTATTTTTAGTAATATATCTATACTATAACTCTTGAGCATGGTGATTATTACAAAGAGAGCTAAAAAAAAAAAAAAAAAAAAAGGGAAAGCAAAGAAAACTGCTATCCCAAAAATACTATGTAGCTTCTGTAACTGAAACAACCTGATAATGACTCATGAATAGACAGACTAGTGGAACAGAATAGAAAATCTAGAAATAGACTCAGTTGCAAATAGGAGTTTATTATATAATAACAAAGTGGAACAGGTCAGTGGGGAAGTTATAGACATGTTGATAAATAGTATTGGGATGACTGGATAGCCAGTAGGGAAAAGATGAAATAAGATCTGATCCTTTTTTTAAAAATTATATCATAAACCAGTATAAATTCCAAATGGATCTGAGATTTAGATGCTGATTGAAAGTCTAAATGATACAACCCTCATGAAAGGAAATTTGGCAGTACAGTATCTGCAAAAATTATGCATATGCATTACTAAACTAGTTATCTTCCTTCTAAGAATCTATGTCAAAGGTATACCAGCCAAAATATGGAAAGACATATGTGCAAGGCTAGTAATGATATACTCTTTATAATAACAAAAGACTGGAAACAACCCAAATACCCATCTGTAGGGGACTGGTTACTGCAAATGTAGTATATCTACACAGTAAATATACAACTATATAAAGAATGAAGAATATTTTTATATGTACCATGGAGTGATTATCAGAATATATTAAGTAAAAAAGCAAAATGGAAGAAAAAAATACATAGTTGACTACTGCTGGTGTGAAAAAGTAGAGGCACTGAACACAGAGAAGTATTTGCTTTTAACAGGAAAAAAACCAAAAAGATAATTCATATTATTTAAATCTTGTGGTTATGGCAAGTATAGAAGAAGCTAGATGACTTTTGATTACGTCTTGTTTTGTAGATTTAACTTGGAACCATGTAAATAAATTCTGAAAGTAATTATAAAGTAAAATTAAATGAAATAGAAGTAATCCCTAAAAAGTGAAAAGAAAAGTGAAACACATGAACTAGCATATCTGCATTGAGTGCTTTAAAACAGTGATTTGATGATGTATTCCTAATGTGATATACCCTGAGGACAAAAAACAATTTAAAGAAAGCTCTTTCTAATCATATTGTTGACAGTGTTGATATTCTAAAACCCATCTGTGAGCATTGTAGGGTAAATCAAATGAGGAATTACACTGATGTCCTTGACAACTCAGACTTTCAGTGTGGTTGAAAAGAGAGATAGAAGATAGATAAGACTAAGTAAATACCTGTAGTCCTGCATTTGAATAGAAACTATCCGTATTAACTCAGGTTGTATTTTATCTTAAGCGGGAAAAAAAAGGCAACAAAATATTCCCCAAACATTTCCCAATTCTATTCACTGAAAAGGTCTAGAAATAATGACCAGCCCAGTCATTGAGCATCCCTAGCACTCAAAGGGACCCAGGGATCCTTGAAGAAATAGCTGTCTCCAGACCTGAGACTGGCAGTACTGCAGATGAGCCTAGAATATGGTATCAAACCAGAAACTAAGGAGGGTGTCAAAGATTACTAGAGTCCTGTCAAAGAGAAAAACAAATCTGATCAGGCCTCTAGATCTACCCACTAATTTAAAAGAAATTTGGGGGACAGAGGGACATCTTCAAGGGTACCACAGAATCCTATGGGGGAGTACTACTGGATGAGTGACCTGGTTTCTTCAACAAACAATTTGCAATGAAAAGCAAGAGATAGAGAGGGAAACTATGAAGTAAAGGAGACTATAAAGAGATGTAACAAGTTGCACTTACATGGACTTTAATAGATCCCATTTCAAATGGGGGGAAATTGTTTAGAATATTATAAGCTGGAACTGGAGAGGTGAATATTATGGCACATGCAGGACTTTCCTGTGTAAACTAGTTTAATTTTGATGATAATTAAGTGTTGTGGTGATTGAGAGAAGTCTTACATTTGGATATAATATTTATGTGATTGAATTTTCCATGGATTTCTTCATATTATTTTCTATATCTCTTATATTATTCAAAGTTAATTAAGAAGTTTTTAAAAAGACGGGTGCAGTGGCTCACACCTCTAATCCTAGCACTTTGGGAGGCTGAGGTGGGAGGATCACTTGAGCCTAGGAGTTTGAGACCAGCCTAGGCAACATAGAGAGACCCTATCTCTACAAAAAAGAAAAGAAACCAGCTAGGCTTGCAGGCTCGCACCTATAGCCCCAGCTACTCTGGAAGCTGAGGTGGGATTGAGCCCAAGAGATTGAGGCGCAGCAAGCCGTGATTGCACCTCTGCACGCTAGCCTGGGTAGCAGAGTGAGACCTTATCTTTAAAAAAAAAGAAGAAAGGAAAACTTTAAAAAAAGAACGTAGCTTAATACTTAGAAGGATTTTTCAGTTACTGGAAACAAGAGTTTTTATTTGGCACTTCACTTACGAAAAACAACTTGTGAAATACCCTCCAGCCAGATACCACCTGTAGCCAAACAAATTCAACTTATTATTCAGTGAGAGGTATACACAATGAAACTGGATGCCAAAAGGACTTATTTTAGGATTTTGGCTAAGTTAGATGATTTAGAAGGATTTAAGGAAACAGGCATAAATTCTATGATAGGATATCTCACTAAATCTTACCTGGAATGAGGCTAAAGCAGTAAGTGGTAAAGAAGCGGCAGTCATTACCAGGATAAACAGATGTTTAGTCATTTTATAGTTTGGATAGCATTCATATTTTTGTCTCTGTTCAGTCATGATTAGGGATTGGTCTTGCTTTTGTCTTGATCTGTTATGGTCACAGGAGCACCTTTGTCTGATGTTGGTGTTTTGTGAAATTGTGTTTAACAGAAGGGTACTTAGGCTGTTTTTATCTTTTGGGTGACAAATTTATGCATAAAGAACTAGATTTTATAATGAAATTTTTAAATGTAAAAAGAAAATTTAACTCCTAAGAAGAGTAGAAATATATGCATCTTTTCTAAAAAAGTATTCTAAGCATTTCTAAGATATAATTATATTTGTGTGTGCTTTTTTTTTTTCTTTATTTTTTAGATATTTTCAACTCCAGGCCATCCAAAAATGATTTACAGCTCCTCAAACTTAAAGACACCTTCAAAGCTCTGTTCAGGGTCTAAATCTCATGATGTTCAAGAAGTGCTTAAAAAAAAACAGGTAACAGTCTTGATTCTTCTTGCCTTACAGAAGAAAAGATGCCTTGAATTTTTAAGTGGTTACATTATCACTTTTAAATCAGTTCATGTTGGCAGGGCATAACATCATAATGCTTATTTAGCTTCTTCTCTAATGTAAACTTGGAAAAAAAAGGTGGACATACAGAAAAAATGTTTCACAATTGCCATTCAGAATTTTTTTTTGATACACTATTATTCCCTCCAATTCTAGTGTTTATTTTCTTTTTTTAATTCCTAGGTAGATAATGATTCATATAAAATATAAGACTTTTGTAATTATTATCTATATGATTCAGTTCTGAGTTTCATTGTCATCCTGTTAAGTTCACATAGGGTTTTCCAAATTAAATAGATATTTATATGTACTATCTCAGTATAATTAGAGATTTAACAGGAGGGTGGGAGGCAAAATTTTCCTGGTGAAATCCATAGATTTTACTCTCTTATTTCTTATTTCTTTTTTTTTTTTTTGAGACGGAGTTTTGCTCTTGTTGCCCAGGCTGGAGTGCAATGGTGTGGTCTTGGCTCACTGCAACCTCCGCCTCCTGGGTTCAAGCGATTCTCCTGCCTCAGCCTCCAGAGTAGCTGGGATTACAGGCATGCGCCACCACCCCTGGCTAATTTTGTATTTTTAGTAGAGATGGATTTTCTCCATGTTGGTCAGGCTAGTCTTGAACTCCCAACCTCAGGTGATCCACCTGCCTCGGCTTCCCAAAGTGCTGGGATTACAGGTGTGAGCCACTATGCCCGGCCTACTCTATCATTTCTAACCTATAGCTGCATGTCACTTTTTTCTTTTCTTTTCTTTTCTTTGAGACAAGTTCTCACTCTGTCACTCACGTTGAGTGCAGTGTCATGATCATGGCCCAGTGCAGCCTTGATGTCCCAGGCTCAAATGATCCTCCCACCTTAGCCTTCTGAGTAGCTGAGTAGGCATGTGCCACCATGCCCTGGCTAATTTTGTTCATTTTTTTGTAGAGACAGGGTCTCATTCTGTTGCCGAGGCTGGACTCAAGCATTCCTACCACCTCAGCCTCCCAAAATGCTAGGATTACAAGTTGAGCCACCATGCCTAGCCTCACATTTTTAAACTTTAAACTTAAAAAATAAGGATTTAGCTATTACATTGGCAAGTGAAAACAACTTTGGTTTTTCTTCATAAGGACATTCAGGTCATTCAAGTCAATAAATCTCATAGATATAGCTAATTAGGTCCAATATTTTAAATATTTTTTAAGTACAGTTGTAAACTCTATTATGCTGAAAGTGTTAGGGAAAATATATTCAAAGGTTTCATCTATGGTGTCAGCTATTTTTTTATTAGGAGGACAGTCTGTCTCAGGGATGACCCAGAAAAAATGAGTTGAGAATGGTGGCAAATTACATTATCTGTATTAATTTCTTTTTTACTTATACAGGAAGCAATGAAGTTACAACAAGATATGAGGAAAAAAAGACAGGAAGTGTTAGAAAAGCAAATAGAATGCCAAAAGGTAAGACAAGAGCTCATTATTTGCATGCTAGAATTGATGTATAGAATTGATTTTAAAAGTATTATTCATAATTTTTAAAGACTTCTTTATATTAAAGTTTATTAAGCATGGTTTTACCTTTTTCTATTTATTTCGTAGATGTTAATATCCAAGTTAGAAAAAAACAAAAACATGAAACCAGAAGAAAGAGCAAATATAATGAAGACTTTGAAAGAGCTTGGAGAGAAGATCTCACAATTAAAAGATGAATTAAAAACATCTTCTGCAGTCTCCACACCATCTAAAGTGAAGACAAAAACGGAGGTATCTATTTGCATTTTTTATTTAACATAGGGTTATTGAACATCTGCCATGTGCTTGACACCTTGAAAGTACAATGGGACCCTTAGGTAGCTAATATCCTAACAGGGATATAGGCAAACAATTATAGTACTTAAAAAAAAAATCCTAATTATAGTACCTTTTTTTTTTTTTTTTTTTTTTTTAAGAGACAAGGTCTCACTATATTGCCCAGGTTGGCCTCAAATGCAGTCCTCCCACCTTGGCCTCCCAGAGTGCTGGGATTACAGGTGTGAACCACTGCACCCGGCTGCCACAATTTTTTTGTTTTAGTGTTTCTGTAGATGCTCTGTACCCTTTTTGGGAAGAGGTTGATAATACCCTGTTTGAACAAAGATGTGTTTTTTAACTGAATATTTTGGTTCTCTGCTGAAGATGACACTATTAAAGTGATGGTGGTGAAAGAGGTATTTCCCATTTCAGCAGTGTTTTTCTAATGCTGTAATAGTATTGTAATAAAACCATCCTTTAAAAAAAGAAGCCTGGCCTATTCATATGGGTAAAAATGTGGCATGTTATTAAAAAGAATAATCAGAAGTTTTAGATCTATTTAAGTCTAATTTTTATTAATTTCCATGTGTTTCCTTGCTGTACTTGGTTTAGTCAGTGGTTCCATTACACCACAGTTCTGTGGTGTGATTATAGATAATTCTAGTCCTTTGAGAACTGGTAATGAATTTGTCAGATATGTAGAATGTAAATTGTTATATGTAGTATTACATTAAATTTGAAATTATGGTTCTCTATCAGTATAGAAACATAAAGTGTTTAAGATTTCTTCTTAAAGATATAATAAAAATGTTTTTTATTGAAATCTTTTCTAATTATAGAAAGAATATATATGCACATTTTAAAAATTAAAGAGGTGAAAAAATCATTGGCAGTCATGTCTTTTAAAGACTGATAAATAATTCGTCTCTAACAAAAAAGAGAATGTCAACAGTTGTGGATTCCAATCTGGTAGTAATTATGTAGCTGTTACTTTGTATTATAAATACATTTTTACTATATAATTTATTTTGCTCCATTGTGTTTCATTTGTGATACTTTATTATGTGACAGTTATTCTCAGCTCCCTCATCTCAGGTGTCTGTTCCTAGGATGTAATTTTTAAGCCGTCTAATGCTTACTCTTTTTCACTGATATCTATATACTTTTTACATGTTGGCACTACTATATCTGTAAAGTTACTTTTTTAAAAACACCCATGTTTATTGCATCCTCTCATTCTCATGTTCCAAAATACATGTGTGTCATTGTGTAACTATCATGTTCTGGAGGAGATCTTGTAAGTTATCTAAAAAATACCTTTTTATTTTCAATTTTTCCAAAGGCCCAGAAGGAGTTATTAGATACTGAACTGGACCTCCACAAGAGGCTGTCCTCAGGAGAAGACACCACAGAATTACGGAAAAAACTCAGTCAGTTACAGGTTGAGGTGAGATTTAAAAGGAGTTAGCGCCCCACCACATTTAACGTCTCAAAAAAGTTTTCCTTTGACCGGGCGCGGTGGCTCACGCCTGTAATCTCAGCACTTTGGGAGGCCGAGGCGGGTGGATCACCTGAGGTCAAGAGTTTGAGACAAGCCTGACCAACATGGAGAAACCCCGTCTCTACTAAAAATACAAAATTAGCCAGGCATGGTGGTGCTTGCCTGTAATCCCAGCTGCTTGGGAGGCTGAGGCAGGAGAATAGCTTGAACCTGGGAGGCAGAGGTTGCAGTGAGCCGAGATCGTGCCATTGCACTCGAGCCTAGGCAACGAGAGTGAAATTCCATCTCAAAAAAAAAAAAAAAGTTTTCCTTTGTTTTTAAGGTTTAGTCTAATAATGTATGCTACATTCTACTTTTTGTTGTTATTCAGGCTGCACGGTTAGGTATTTTACCTGTGGGTCGAGGAAAGACCATGTCCTCTCAAGGTCGAGGAAGAGGCCGAGGGCGTGGAGGAAGAGGAAGGGGCTCACTAAATCACATGGTGGTGGACCATCGTCCCAAAGCACTAACAGTTGGAGGATTCATTGAGGAAGAAAAAGAAGACTTGCTTCAGCATTTCTCAGTAAGTTTTTAAAATAGCAAATGCTAACTGTAAAAACACTGTGCTCATCATTTTCCTTGCTGCAGTGTCTATAAATGTCAGATGTTTTATAGATTAGAAAAATTAGTTGTAAAAAACATGAGTACTACCAAATGCCTATTTAATATATTTAAAAGTCAAGAAGCAGCTCTTGCTTTTGATTCCATAATACTCCACTTAAGTGCATTTGTAGTGACAAGTTGTTCCAGAGCTATATTTAATTTTTGTTTTAGGATTATTACATGGCTTACCAGGCATTTATAGTTAATAGTGAAACAGTCTGGGATGGAAGCAAAATTCAAATAAAGAATTTATTAGGATAACAGGTATATTTAGTTACATTCTGTATATAGTGGCAACCACTTACTTTTAGGCAAACATGCAAATAGAGATTTGCTACAGGCAAATGTCTTTACTGTTTTGGACATATGCAGTATATACTCTTTCCAGCCACTCATTCATTCAGTAAATATTTTATTGACATTATTTGTGCTAGAACATTTTCATACATGATCTCATTTAATTTTAAATGACTGTATAAATGTGAAATACATGCAAACTGTATATACATGCAAAACTGTGTACATGTGAAATCCTGTGTGTACAGATGTGAACACCACAAGTTAAAATGTCAACCACAATCATATAATTAATAAGTAGTGGAACCAAGATAACCAGGTTCCCTATTCCTCAAACAACTCTTTTGAGAGGAAGTATTTTCAGTCCTATTAAGTTTTAAAGATGGCCAGGGACAATGGCTCATGTCTGTAATCCCAGCACTCTGGGAGGCTGAGGCAGGTGGATGACCTGAGGTCAGTCAGGAGTTTGAGACCAGCCTGGCCAACATGGTGAAACCCCATCTCTACTAAAAATACAAAAATTAGCTGGGTGTGGTGGTGTGCGCCTGTAATCCCAGCTTCTTAGGAAGCTGAGGCAGGAGAATTGCTTGAACTCGGGAGGCAGAGGTTGCAGTGAGCTGAGATAGTGCCATTGCACACCAGCCTGGGCCACAAGAGCGAAACTCCATCTCAAAAAAAAAAAAAAAGTATTAAAGATGGTGAGGGAAATCATAAAGAGCAAGGCTTCACTTCAAGTGTTTTTATTAGTTTGATGCCCATTAACCCTGTTTCACCCTGATTCTTGGGGAAGATAGGCCAAGAAAAGTGTCCAGATTTGAATGTCCTCTGGGTTGTGAATGGTTCACTCTTGACCCAGTTCTTTCCCTGATGTAACCCTTATTTGCCTTTTTTGTAAAGTGGGAGAATAGCTCTAAGTGACTTCTTGAGGAGTAAAGAAGATGGAGGAACACTATACAAGTGCAGTGTATTGTGAAGGCCGCACGAATGTTGATTTTTGCCTTTTAAGGTTTAGTATATAAAATTAAAATCTCTTTGCCAAATAAATTGGTCTTGTAGAACCAGTACCAGTTCTGGTGAGGTGATATTGGATTATGTGAAGCAGAATTTCTACAAATTTGACTCATTGCAGAAAGTTTCAGTTACAAAAAATAGTTAATCTTACTAGGGAGACAGCTACATGTTCTATCCTGTGGTCACTGGAGACTATATGTAGATGTTTAAATTTTAACCCAGAAGCCATGCTCAAATGGATCTCCTTCCTTCTGAAAAGTAGAACCATTCTAAAGCATCTAAAAATAACCAATTTTTATGTACATATACCTGACAAGTCTGCAGTGTGGCATTCAGTTGGCAGATGTGGTTATGTCTAGACACTTAGAAAAGAGCAAGCAAAGCTAAGGCAGATGAGGTAACTTCAAGAACAAAACACTTCCTTTGATTTGGATGGCTCTTTTTTTTTCTTTTTTGATAGCATACTATCAGAAAGGGTATTGAGTACTAGGAGCACACTTCCCTGATAATAACTACCTGGGCAATATAGTATGCTTTCTTTGAAAGAAATACAGAAATACATATTCTTAGGCATTATTGCGAATAGAGTTAGCAAACATAAAAGGAAACTCTTCTTCAAGGTCTTTTGTATCTCACAGAGGCCAAGGTAAAATCTATATTTTCAGTATTCTTCTATTCTTAATGATTATGAAAGGATCATGGGTGAGCCATATCTATATGAGAAAATGATGGATGGATTTTAATGAAGCTATTTGGAATCTAATTCTGGAGTCCTTCAGAGTTTGCTCTTCAATAGTCTAAGAACTTATCATAAGTGGATTATGGTCGTATGCAAATGGCAGCTATAAGTATGCTCATTATAGTGCATGTAATAGTGAAAAATGATAACCATGTAAATGTTTGACAGTGTTTTGCTGCCTTTAAAAATGTATTTTTTTTGAGACGGAGTTTTGCTCTCGTCGCCCAGGCTGGAGTGCAATGGCACGATCTTGGCTCATTGCAACCTCCACCTCCTGGGTTCAAGCGATTATCCTGCCTCAGCCTCCTGAGTAGCTGGGATTACAGGTGTTAGCCACCACACCCAGCTAATTTTTGTATTTTTAGTGTTAGTAGTATTAGCATTTCTCTATTTTCCATACTTCCTGAGGAACACATACTCCTTTTTTTTTTTAATAGGTGGTTATCTTTTTTTTGTTTTTTGTTTTCTGTTTTTTGTGACAGTCTCCATCTGTCACCCAGGCTGGAGTGTAGTGGCATGATCTTAGCTCACTACAACCTCTGCCTCCTGGGTTCAAGCGATTCTCGTGCCTCAGCCTCCTGAGTAGCTGAGACTACAGGCACGCACGACCACACCCAGCTAATTTTTCTGTATTTTTTACTAGAGATGGGGTTTTGCCATGTTGGCCAGGCTGGTCTCAAACTCCTGGCCTCCAGTGATAACTGCCCGCCGGCCGCGTTGGCCTCCCAAAGTGCTGGGATTACAGGCATGAGCCACCGTGCCCGGCCCACACATACTACTTTTAAAATCAGACTTTTTTCTTCACATTCACTTTTGGGATGAAGCATCAGTGTTTTATATTATGTATTTTAAAACCAAATTTGAGGATATTGATTGATCTCGATCTTTTTGGTCCCAGGTACTTATATGAAAGGTATATTTACATTAAAGCATATACAAATTTAAAATACATAGAATATTTAATTTACAGTGCAGGTTATATATATAACAGCATAAAAACATACATTAATATATAAATATATTAATAGTATGTATCAGAGATCAGCAGACTTTTTCTGTAAAGGACTAGATAGTAAATACTTTAGGTTTTTTGTGAGGAGATACAGATGATCTCCTTTACATTGTCTTCTCTCCTTTCACCTGCTCTTCCCTCTCTTCCTCTTTCCTTTCTAGTTCTTTTTCTTTTTTTTCTTTTTCTTCTTTGTACTTCAATGGATGAACATATTTTTCTTTTAATAACCTTTTCAAAAATGTAAAAACCATTCTTAGCTCCTGGGTCGTTAAAAACAGGGTGCTGGGCTACATTTATCCTGAGGGCTGTAGTATGCAGACCCCTGGTATGTTATTATGTTACTTTATATATCAAATATTTAAGTTAAACATAATTGAAATATATAAATATAATTTTATATATTTTAAAGATCAAAATCAGCGAATCCAGAAAGAACTTTTTAATTTTAATTTTTTTTTATTTTTTATTTTTTTGGAGACGGAGTCTTGCTCTGTCGCCCAGGCTGGAGTGCAGTGGTGTGATCTCGACTCCCTTGCAATCTCCGCCTCCTAGGTTCAAGTGATTCACCTACCTCAGTCCCTCCAGTAGTTGGGATTACAGGCGTACACCTCCTGGCTAATTTTTTTGTGTTTTTTAGTAGAGACGGGTTTCACCATGTTGGCCAGCCTGGTCTCAAACTCCTGACCTCAGGTGATCCACTGCCTTAGCCTCCCAAAGTGCTAGGATTATAGGCATGAGCCACTGCGCCCGGCCCAGAAAGAACTTTTTAAAAAATAGAAAAATCTTTATTTACCTATCTTTATTTCACAGAAATCTTAAGATTTTTAATATCTTAATGAAGTTAATGTTAAGTATTTATAATTAAAGTTTAATTCAGAAGCTGAAAATTTTAACTCAGAGCCTTGCCAAGGGCACAGATGGGACAAAAACTAAAGTACTTCATCCCTGTTGAAGGGAGGTTCGGCTAGATACAACAGGAAAAGTTATTTTCTCTAAATATTTGGAATATATAGACTGTACTTTGATATTTTTCAAGTAGTGTGGCTCATTTAACTGTAAGAATTTTGAATTTTTCCTTCTTTTCAAGAAGTCTAGAGTTAGGTTTTAGGATTGATCAATTCAGAAATTCAGCTGCTCAGATTAATATATTTCTCTTCTTCTATCCTACCATGTTGCCTTTTATTAGGCTTTTTTCCTCTTGCCTTGACCTCCCAAAATGTTGGGATTACAGGCATGAGCCATTGCACCTGGCTAGTTTTTTTTTCTTTTTTTAAATTCCTGTTTTTACTGTTACTTCTTGATTTCTAAATTGTAAGCATTATATATTGACTTCCCATTAATCTTTCTGCTTCCCACCTCTCCAGTTTTTTTTTGACCTTGTCGTGTTTTCTTTTATTTTTTTGTTACGGATTTATACCTTAAAAAAATAAATTATTCTACTGTCATTTCAGTGGGTGTCTGGGGAAGGGTATGAAATTGCATACGACAGATGGTCAGTTCCCCATCTTTAGCCAGAAGACCCTTTGAGTCTTGAGAAAGTAAGAGGTTTATCTCTAAAGTACTGTTTAGAACCTGTGCTCCCACAATATTTATATAATTCGTTATAATTTTTATGTTCTTACTGGCAAAAACCTCTAATGTCTCACTCCTGTCATTCCTGGAACTTCATATGAGGCAACAGAATACCTCTGCTGTAATTACCAAAGACTTCGCACATAGTTAGCTTTTCCCCACAGCCTCTCAAGACAGGGATTTTCCCCCATCTTCCAAGTATCTGAAAAATATATTTGAGAATTTTACTGTACATGGAAATGATACTTTATAGTTAGGCAGATAGTTTTCTTTTGTGCTTTCCAGAACAAAAATTAACCTTTTCTGTGTATTTAACATTTGGAGAAAGTTTTTTAGATAGTGCTTCATTGATTGCCCTTCATCAGACCTTGTTAAAAAAGTAATGTAGGCCTGGCTTGGTGGCACCTGCCTGTAATCCCAGCACTTTGGGAGGCTGAGGTGGGAGGATTGCTTGAGCCCAGAAGTTCAAGACCAACCTGGGCAGCATAGTGAGACCCTATCTTTACAAAACAACTTAAATTAAATTTAAAAGGTAATATGGGTGATTTGTGAGCTATGACCATTTACTGTTGTTATCTGTCACAAGTGATCAGGAGTTTACCTTTTCTGCACACTTTACTGTGTTCAGGGTTCTTCAGGTGAAAATATAATTTTCGTAGCTAGTTCTAGGAGTGAAATATGGCAATGGTAATTCTGTGACCTTTACAAAGACATTGAAACTCTAAACTGCTGTAATTTTTTCTCTTAATTTTGAAAATTTCTTTACAAAGGTAGTTACTGCTTTTAGAACATTCAAACAATACAAATTATAAAGGAGAAGGCACAACAAATTTGAAATCTTACCAATTACATTTTTATGAACATCTTTCTAGCACCTGTATCTGTCATATGTATACATACTACCCATGCTGTTTTGGAGTTTGTTTTTACATCCATAGTGTATCATGGAGAATTGTTCATGTTTATGAATATAGATATACATTTGTCTTATTTGAAGGCATTCTGTTATAAGAATATGCCATAATTTTTATGTACAGCCCCCTATTGATGAGTTAGGTAGGTTGTTTACCATTTAACTATTATGAACAATGTTATATACATCATGTTAGATTTAGCATATTTACTGGGATAATTTTTTTTTTTTTTTTTTTTTTTGAGACGGAGTCTTGCTGTGTCACCCAGGCTGGAGTGCAGTGGCACGATCTTGGCTCCCTGCAACCTCCACCTCCTGGGTTCATGCCATTCTCCTGCCTCAGCCACCCGAGCAGCTGGGACCACAGGCGCCCGCCACCAGGCCCAGCTAATTTTTTTTTTTTTTTTGTATTTTTAGTAGAGGCGGGGTTTCACCATGTTGGTCAGGCTGGTCTCAAACTCCTGATCTCAGGTGACCTCCCACCTCGGCCTCCCAAAGTGCTGGGATTACAGGCATGAGCCACCGCGCCTGGCCAATAATTTTTCATTATGTGGGACAGTGCTGCACATTGTAAAACTTCTGGCACCCCTGGCTACCACCTACTAATTGCCAGTAAGTGCTACTTAGTCAGTGTGACTGCCAAAATACCTGCTAGAGTGATGTCTCCAATTGAGAACCACTGCTTTAGGTAAATTCCTAGGAAGGAGATAACTGGATCAAAGGCATGCATTGAAATTTTGGTACAGCTCGCTAAATAACCCTTCAGAATGTTGTACTAATTTATACTTGTAGTGACATTGGATGAGAGTACCTATTTGCTCATTCCCTCATATAGCACTTGAATTTTGTTTTTTTATCTGCCAGTCAGTTGATTGATACATGATGACTGGCATAGATTGGGCGTCAGTTTCTAATCGGGGAAAATGGCTGGACTAGATGAATTTCTCTTTGAGCAGCTTCTACCAAGAACCCTAATATGCATATAATTTTTAATTTATGGTATATATAGTTGATCTCATATTCACATATATATGTATTTTATTTGAATTATTTCCTTGGCCAACACACGTAAACAAAATGAAAAAGGAATAAAAGTGTATACAATGAAAAATAAGATTTCCTTCTACCTCCAGTCACTCAATTTCACTCCCCATAGACAATTATTGTTACGAGTTTCTCATACATCTGCTTAAAGATATTCTCTCTCTATATATATTATTTGTTCTCTCTTTTATAAAAATGGTAGCATGTTATACAACACCGTTTTGCCATATGTACTTTTACTTTATATTAGATTTTAAATTGTTCTACACTAGTGCATGTGGTGTTGCTTCATTCTTTTTAATGACTGCATGGTATTTCATTGCACAGATATATAATACTACAGTTGAACCATCCTGTATTGATGGACATCCAATTTTTTCCCAATTTTTTTTTTTTTTTGAGACGGAGTCTGGCTGCCTCCCAGGCTGGAGTGCAGTGATGCAGTCTGAGCTCACTGCATGCTCCGCCTCGCAGGTTCATGCCATTCTCCTGCCTCAGCCTCCCGAGTAGCTGGGACTACAGGCACTCGCCACCACGCCTGGCTAATTTTTTGTATTTTGAGTAGAGACGGGGTTTCACCGTGTTAGCCAGGATGGTCTCGATCTCCTGACCTCGTGATCTGCCCGCCTCTGCCTCCCAAAGTGCTGGGATTACAGGCATCAGCCCCTGCGCCTGGCCTTTTTTCCCAATATTTTATCATTTTAAACCATATTTAGATGTGTATGTGAGAGAATGTATATGTATGTGTAGAACAATTAGGTACTGTAATAAGTAACAAATATGTTAAGAGATTAATCCTAGATTTTTTTAAAAAGTACTTTTTAGGGCTGGGTGCGGTGGCTCACACCTGTAATCCCAGCACTTTGGGAGCCCCAGGTGGGTGGATCACGAGGTCAGGAGATTGAGACCATCCTGGCTGACACAGTGAAACCCCATCTCTACTAAGAATACAGAAAATTAGCCGGGCATGGTGGCGTGCACCTGGAGTCCCAGCTACTCAGGAGGCTGAGGCAGGAGAATCACTTAAACCTGGGAGGCGGGTTACAGTGAGCCGAGATCGCGCCACTGCACTCCAGCCTGGGCGACAGAGTGAGACTCTGTCTAAAAAACAAAAAAACAAAAAAAAAACAAAACTTTTAAAAATAAAAATATAATGTATGCAAATGGTTAAAAGGATGACTAGGGCCAGGTACGGTGGCTCACGCCTATAATCACAGCACTTTGGGAGGCCGAGGCGGGTGGATCACCTGACCTCAGGAGTTTGAGACCAGCCTGGCCAACATGGCAAAACCCTATCTCAACAAAAAATACAAAAATTAGCTAGCTGTGGTGGCATCTGCCTGTAGTCGCAGCTACTCGGGAGCCTGAGGCACATGAATTGCTTGAGCCCAGGAGGTGGAGGTTGGAGTGAACCCAGATTGCGCCACTGCACTCCAGCCTGGGCAATAGAGCAAGACTCTGTCTCAAAAAAAAAAAAAAAAAAAGTATGACTAATAAAAGTAAAATCTCCCTTTTATTAATCTTTTTCCATTCTTAAAAGATAGTCACTATTCTTAGGTATCTTTATAGAAAAATACTATGTATGTAAGAAAACATATATAAAGCTTCTCACTTTAAAAACATTTACGAAAATGTGATCGTATTATACATACAGGGCTGCATTCCAAACCTTGCCTTTTTCACATAAAAATCTTAGCTATCTGGTATTCCTTTAATTTTTTTTTTTTTTGGAGACAGAGTCTCAAGTCACCTGTCACCCAGGCCGGAGTGCAGTGGTACGATCTCAGCTCACTGCAACCTCCACCTCCCAGGTTCAGGGATTCTCCTTTCTTCGCCTCCTGAGTAGCTGGGATTATAGGCATGCACCACCGCGCCCAGCTAATTTTTGTATTTTTAGTAGAGATGAGGTTTCACCATGTTGGCCAGCTGGTCTCAAACTCCTGAACTCAGGTGATCTACCTGCCTCAGCCTCAAAGGGCTGGGATTATAGGCATGTGCCACCACGCCCGACCTATTTCCTTAAAATTTTTAAAGGTTATACCTATAGTCAACTAAAAATGTTTATAAAAACCAACTATACTGATCATAAACATATAGTTCAATGATTTATGAGAAGGCAAACACCTAATATACCTATACCTCAGGTCAAGAAATAGAACATTTCCAATACCCCAATCTCCCTTGTTGCTCCCTCCAGCCTCTATCTATCTTCTCTCCTTCTCAGAGCAGTAACTGTTAGCCTCACTTTATGATAGTCACCTTGCTTTCTTTATACAGTCAATCCTTATTATTTTCAGATTCCACATTTGCCAATTCATCTACTCACTAAAATTTATTTGTAACCCCAAAATCAATACTTATGGTGTTTTGTGGTCATTCTCAGACATACACACAGTTGCCAGTCCCCTCATGAGCCCGTTTTCAGCTGAGATAGAAATAAGGTGGTGCTATGCCTTCTTGTTTCAGCTTTTATACTGTAAACAAATGCCCCTTTTGCAGTCTATTTGTTTTATTTATTTATTTATTTATTTTTGAGACAGAGTCTCGCTCTGTCACTCAGGCTGGAGTGCAGTGGCATGATCTTGGCTCACTGCAGCCTTCGCCTCCCGGGTTCAAGTGATTATCTTGCCTCAGCCTACCTAGTAGCTGGGATTACAGGCGCCCACCACCACACCCAACTAATTTTTGTATTTTTAGTAGTAGAGACGAGGTTTCACCATGTTGGCCAGGTTGGTCTCAAACTCCTGACATCGGCCTCCTAAAGTGCTAGGATGACAGGCGTGAGCCCCTGCGCCCAGCCTTTGCAGTCTATTTAATGCCACATTTTTCTCAATTTTTTTTGTTTTCTTGGTGATTAAACTGTTTTAAATGGCCCCCGAATGTAGTTCTAAAGTCCTGTCTAGTGTTCCTAAGTGCAAGGCTGTGATATGCCTTACAAAGATACATGTGTTAGTTAAGCTTTGTTCAGGCATGAGTGAGTGCTTTTGGCCATGAGTTCAATGTTAATGAATCAGTAACATATATTAAATAAGATGTCTTTCAACAGAAACACATAAAACCAAAGTTTGTGTTGATTAGCTGACAAAAATGTTGTGACCCTCTAAAACAGGAGTGTCCAATCTTTTGGCTTCCCTGGACCACACTGGAAGAAGAATAATTGTCTTGGGCCACACATAAAATACACTAACACTAATGATACCTGATGAACAGGAAAAAAAAATCTCATAGTGTTTTAAGAAAGTTTATGAAATTTGTGTTGGGCTGCATTCAAAGCCATCCTGGGCCATATGTGGCCCATGGGCCACAGGTTGGACAAGGTTGCTCTAGAGGCTCATAAGAGTCTAATTCTATTTCCCCTATAAGTAGTGGCTATTTGCCAGTTAAATGTTTGCATCAACTTTTTAGAACAAAACTACTGCAAGTAATGAGAATTGACTGTAGTTTTATCACCTAAATATGCATTCCTAAATATTAGAGTAGTATTCTGCCTGTTTTTAAAATGTTATGTAAATGGAATCACACAGTGTATATTCTTTTGTGCTTGGCTTCTTCTGTTTAATGTTTGTGAGACTCATTCATGTTTTTACATGTAACATTAATTTGCCATTTTTATTACTATATAATAGTTGTATCAATATACCACAGTTTATTTTTCATCTTTTTTTTTTTTTTTTTTTTTGAGATGGAGTCTCACTCTGTTGCCCAGGCCAGATCACAGTGGCGCGATCTCGGCTCTTGGCAACCTCCACCTCATGGGTTCAAGCGATTCTCTCCTGCCTCAGCCTCCTGAGTAGCTGGGATTATGGGCGTGTGCCAGTACCCCTGGCTAATTTTTGTATTTTTAGTAGAGATGGTGTTTCTCCATGTTGGACAGGCTGGTCTTGAACTGCTGACCTCAGGTGATCCGCCCACCTCGGCCTCCCAAAGTGTTAGGATTACAGGCGTGAGCCACCGCACCCAGCCTCATCCTCTTACTGATGGATGTTTGGGTTATTTCTACTATGTGGCTTTTGTAAGCAGTGTTGCTATCTTATACATGTTTTTAACTACACATGTACACACCATTTCTCTTGGATATACAGTTGGCCCTTCATATGTGTGGGTTTCACCTCCATGGATTCAACCTATTTTGGATCAAAAATATTGGGAAAAAAATGAAAGGTTGCATCTGTACTGAGCATGTACATTTTTTGTCATTATTCCCTAAACAATACAGTATAACAACTATTTACATAGCTTTTACATTGCATTAGATATTATAAGTAATCTAGAGAGGATTCAAAGTATATAGGAGAATGTGTGTAGATTACATGCTAATACTACACTATTTTATGTAAATGACTTGAGCATTCATGGATTTTGGTATTCACAGAGAGTCCTGGAACCAGTCCCCCAGAAACACCAAGTGATGACTGTATGTGGAATTGCTGAGTGAACCCCATCAGTTTTAGATTCTTACCAGTTTAGAATCAGTTTGAGATTCTCACCATTTGTGTATGAGAATTCCTAACTTGGTAGCGTCATAATATATCTTTATTCTAATTGCTAATTTATTTGATTTGTTGTAAGTTAGATAGTAGAAATTATTTGTTCTTAATTTCAGACTCTGTATACATTTCTTATTCTTCCTTTAATAATGTATATGCAATACATTTAATGCCTTAATATTCCTTTTGGAGGACAGACCTCTTATCCTCTTTGGAGAGCAACACAGTTATTACAGATTTAAAAATCTTTATTACTTTTTCTGTTTATAAAAGTAATATGTTTTTATTTAGAAATTCAAATAATAAAGAAATGAACAAAACAAGCAGGGAAAGCCTCTCTATAATTGGGCTGTGTGTTAAAGGATAGAGTAAAGGGTAAAGGATCTCTGTTACGTACATTACCTAATTTTTAAAAGATGGTAAATATAGACCAGGTGCTGTGGCTCGTGCCTGTAATTCCAACACTTTGGGAGGCTAAGGTGGGAGAATTCCTCGAGCCCAAGAGTTTGAGACCAGCCTGGGCAACATCGGGAGACCCCGTCTATAAAAATAAAAAAATTAGCCAGGTGAGGTGGTGCATGCCTGTGGTCTCAGCTCCTTGGGAAGCTGAAGTGGGAGGATCACTTGGACCCAGGGAGTCGAGGCTGCAGTGAGTGTGATCTTCCCACTGCACATTCCAGCCTGGGAATCAGAGCAAGACCCTGTCTCAAAAAGAAAAAAAAAAGGTACATATCTATATTTGGTAGGGCTATTTTGATACATCAGTTTGGTATGTCCCATGAGTCATAATGTTTGGTGTTAGGTTATGAGCATTTAGACCCTTCAAGGAATGGTGGGAATTTTTCCCTTAGAACACAGGACGATGTCTGTGCAGGCAGTAATGGATTTATGAGTCTGCTCTAATGTACATTCTCACCATGCTATGCTCCAAGTGTTTTATGGAAACATTTGGCAAATGCTTCAGGAGGTTTAGCAATGATTTTGCTAGATAGACTAGAATGAAAGCCCAAATAAAAAAGAATCTCTTCTATTATGTTTTTTAGAACCCCCAGTTCTATAAATGAGGACCTTTGATAGGAAAGCTATAGGGATGGCTAAACTTCTACTTTTCTGAAACTTTGGATCCCTAGTCCCTTGTCTGTGTTGCTTTGTCTTTAAAATTTGCTTTCCCCTATTGGAATTTGCTGGGGAGAAAAAAATGTTTAAAAATTAGTACCAAGTAACATTTGAAATGGAGCAGTTTTATGAGTTAGGATAGTATTAGGCATTTGTTTAATGTTTATTGAATGCATAGATGAGCTGGGAGGTGCTTATTAGTGTATAGCGTTTCAGAAGTGGAAATAAGAAGAACTTTATCCAACATAGGTGGGGCTGTGAGAGATGCAGTGAGATGAATAAGCAGATGATTCACCTTTTTTCTAAGGTTTGAGTCTATATATGTAGATATCAAAGCCAAAGGTCAATACCTGTATTAAGAATATTTCTTGTCCTCATCATGACTTTTGTAAGTAGAGCAACTCTACTTAGAAAAAAAATTATTTCTTCAACCAAGACAGATGCTAACATTTACCTGACACAGATATAAACCATGGGTTATCCTAGGCAAACCAGAACATATAGTTGCTCTAATTAAAAGGGACTTTATTTTTTTTAGCTCTCATTGGAGATTGTAGATCCACCTTAACAGATTTCTCTCCTGCCCTATGTTATACTTTTTAAATAACACAGAATTTGCAGAAATCATTAGTAAATTTGAGTGCAAACTTGTATGTTCTTCTAATATATATTTTAGACCGCAAACCAAGGGCCAAAATTTAAAGACCGTCGGCTACAGATATCATGGCACAAGCCCAAGGTACCATCTATATCCACTGAGACTGAAGAAGAAGAAGTCAAGGAGGAGGTAAATTTAGTGGTTGGAAATAAGAGTTGAATTAGATCACTTCTCAATTATGTATTTTTTATGATATTAAATAGTATAAATTAAAAAATGCTGGGTTTTTCTTTCATGCATGCAAATTAAGACCCGTTTAGATGTTTATTAGAGAATTAAAACAGGTCTAGAGATATAAGAAGCTGTGTTAGGGGTTATTTTCTTCTGATATAGGAAAGACTGTTCTTTTTTGTTTACATTTATATTGGATTTATTTGAGCTCTAGAAATTTTTATTCTGATGAATAAAGTCAGAGATTACATAAATGAATTAAACTTTAATTGGTTGGTTTCACTTTTTGTTTATTCAAGTTCCATAGTAATAGATTTGAGTTTCTTATTTTCCTTCTGTGTACAATTGGTTAAAATCAGAGTGTGCAGAAGTTGAACATAGAGGAGAGAATTGGAAAACTAAAGACCTAAATAATAAAAGTACTGAATAATCAGCTTCTTAAAATATATGAGAATTTATTTTGCTTTTTTACTCCTGTTGTTTATCATTAGTTTATTTAGTGAACACTTAGGCTATATTGCGAGGTTTTCCTGATTTATATGACAATCTTGGTTTTAAAAGATACCTAGCTAGCATTTATAGTTTGATCAAGTGTCTTCTCACTATATAGGTAATTTTACACAGCAAAAGCAGAAATGTTCCCTAGATTAAAAGAAAAACAGAAGTCATGGTATTTGGGTAGTGTTTGCAGATACATCTACTTTGTCTAAGATTTTAGATTTTTATATAAGATTTGGAATATCAGTGTCATGGGGAAGCTAGTATATTCACCTCTCACAAACAATTGGATGGATATAAAAACAAAGATTTAGGTGTTTGGTCATTTATTTTCCTAATTTTTTATAGAATAAAATTAATTTTAATTTATCAGAAATGTATCTCATAGTCTTTTTTAAATTTTCTGTACTAAATGTCCACATTATTTTCCTGATGATATTAGAGTAGAAATCTCCTATTAAAAGTAGCAAAATTAGCAGGGGAGAAGAATTCATATTCATTTACAAAAATATTTTGGGCTTTTTTTTTTTTTTGCCCTGAAAGATACTCTTGCATGCATCCCTTATGAAATCTAGCCTGGGCTTTGTATACTAGCCTGTTTGTCCTTTGGCCTAAAAAGTATTTTACTTACCATTCTTGTGCCACTAAGCAGATTTTAACCTCTCTTTCTTCAGGAAACAGAAACCTCAGATTTGTTTTTGCCTGATGATGACGATGAAGATGAAGATGAATATGAGTCTCGCTCATGGCGAAGATGAAATCTGATGCTAGCTGTATAATTTTTAGGAATATTGTTTAGAAGAACAACTTTTAAAAATTATTTAAAAGAAGTCAATGAGCCAAAAAAAATTTTTTTATTTTTCTTTTCAACACAGTAGGTTCAAGAACAGCAAGTTTGCTATTTAAACACATCTCATAACTGTACATGATATTAAAGCACCAAAGGCCTAGTGACTTTTACACAGTTGTGAAGATCCACAGCAATGACATGGATAATCTCTAGAGCCTTATTTTCCACACCACCTTTTTTTTGTTGCTGTTGGTGTTGGATTATGATGTAAATGACAGGGTGTTCAGAAATTTTATTTTGGATTATAATCTACTGATAAAATTTAATTAAATGTCAAAATCACCTGTAATCTTTTAACTCTCAGTTGTTATGGATGGGTCATCAGACAGTAGGAAATATTTGTAATTAAAATACCCTTTTGCTTTCAAGAGTGGTCTTGGAAGAAAAATATGTTTATTTTAATTTTAATTTTTTTTTTTTTTTACTTTGGAGGAGCCCAATTTGTATTCAGTCTAAATTTGTTTTTCATGGTTTTTATGTGTGGTAGTACTAGTTCAGTGAAAATCACAACAAACTGTGTGTTCTTAAATGCTACAGCAATGGTAGCTAGCTCTATAGTATTTCCATTCTCTTGTCATATGAACTCCTGGACTTTTCCTGCTACTGATTCTTAGTTTGCTTTGATATTTAGTGAGCGCTGGTTCGGCTGGTCTTTTTAAAAATTTTTATAACTCAGAATGTAAAAGGCTTTCACCTATTGCCCCTTTCTCGTCCCCCTTTTCTTCCTCTTGCCTTTCTATTAATAGGCCTGACTTAGTCATCATTGATATAAGTGGTTCATTTGGGCAACCGCAGGCAGTCTCCAATAAAAGGTTCAAACCAGCACCTGGATAAATAAGTGATGTTTTGATGAGAATGATGGAAGGATTTTGGGGAGAAGAGAATCACCAGCTTTATTTTTTCCCTCTTTTGAAGCTTCAGTTCAGTATAGTTACACAGAAGGGTTTAAAAATGTCTGAAATTCTTTTCCTAAATTTAAACCATGATGGTGAGGTGACTGGGGGGTGGGGGGTGGAGGTGGGAGGGGGTTGAGGGCTGAGTATGCTAGTAATAAATGGGAGTCATATATGACTTTGTTCAGATGACCTTATTTTTTCATAATTTTGTAGCTTGTTGCTATCCATGAACATACGCATCCCTCAGTAGACAGTTTCCTTTACTGTGTGCATTTTTACTGTACACTGTATAGAGTAGAGTATCTGTTAAGTAAAATATATATGTAAATTTATGTCTTCGTGTTCTGAATGTTAGATGGAAAAGCAGAGGAGCAACACTACACTGTACTGACCCCTGGGAAAATAAAATGATTAATGTACCTAGGCTGTCACTTTTTCAAGGATATACACATCTGTGTTTTTATATATGTGTGGTATGAAAATTTGAAACCTCCTGTTGTCTCCAAAAGGGTCTTGGTGACCACTATATCAAGGATTTTGTTTGCTGAGGTAAAGACAATTTCTCAATATAGAAACTATTCACTAAGAACTTAAAACCATCAGGATTCTAGATTTACTTAGCTATAAGAAGTTAAATCCCACGTTCTGATAATCTTTATTCTTCTACATGTTTTCCTGGAATGATGTGTCAAACCAGGGTCATTTTTAAGTTCATATAATTTTCTTTCATAATAATGAGGACTTCCTTTTTCTAGGTTATTGTTATATTTCTAGTAACACTGAAGGTAAAATAAGCTTATAAAAGAAGGAAAACATCAGAATGGTGTATCTAGAATACACAATCTTGCTCCTTACTCCTCCATCATCTCTAATGAAATTTTTCTTGATGTCTGTGGCTCAGTCAGTATATATTTTGAAAGATTCATTGTGGTGAATATTTTGAGTCCTGACAGTTTAAACGTGATAGAGGGAACAAAGGATTTATATATTTTTTGTACAAAGTTTTTTCTTAAACTGTATAATTTTGTAAATAATTTGTTTGGGTTTTTTTTTTGTGTACTAAAACTACCAGCGTATAGATTTCAATAAGAATTGTTGTATTTTTGTATTTGGAAACTGAAAATTACAGTAAATAAATGGAACTCTAAGAAAAATTTCAGTAGACAGTTCAACAGAATGAGATTCCTTTTCATATGATTTTTTTGACCTCAAAATGGACATCTTATTTCACTCTCAGTAAAAAGTTGAAAATTTGACTTTTTAGTATTGGGGGCAGAAGATAGAAGTGTGTTAAAGTGAAAAACAGTTTTTTCAGTAAGGTTTGAGGCCCTTTCTATAAGTTTTCAGTACACCTTAAACAGGACTAAAAATACTTTAAAAGTGTGCTTTCAAAGAATTTTAAAACATGTTTGACTCAAAGATGAATTTGAAGTGAGTTAATTATAATACTGGAAAACTTCAGGTTAGCATAAAATAGTTTATATATATCCCCTGCCCCCTTTGGGATTTACTTCCACCATCAAATCTTCAACTGTTAGAATTTCACTTAAAAGTGAATAACTGCCATACATGTTTTCTTGGCATCTTCATTTACAGAAATAACATACAGCATCTAAAGCAAGTTCTGTCCCTCTTAATGTGTATGACATCTTTTTAAGTAGCTGATCAGCAATAATAGCCACCAGTTGACTAGGTCAGCCTGATATACTAGTGGATCACTGTCCAAGATAAAAAGGTAACCCCAAGTATTGCAAAATTTCCCTCAATTTCTTTATGTAACATTGAAGAAATGTTGTTACCAGCTAAGATGATAAATTGGAAAACAGTCTTGTTAAGGTGAAAGGGGTCCTTGGTGATGGATCATTATTTCAAAAAAGAAAAAAATCATGTGAAAAGGAATAGTGGTTCCTCTTGATGTATAGTATGCCTGTATTATAGTTTTTACAAAATTGTGAACTTGTGTAATAGTATAATAGGAGATATTGTTGAATTTCTAACTGTTTATACATTTAAATTCATATATGTAATGTTTGTTTTATCAATTACAATCTGAATTTCTAAGAAGCATGTTGACTTTTGCAATAAAGATGCAATATGGAATGGTTCACAATTGGAAAAAAAAAAGAAAAAAGATGAAAGTATTACAAATTTAAAAGAATTTGGAAAATTTATGAACCATTCCAAAAATTATAACAATCACCAAAAGAGCTGTAATTCTGGCTTGTTCTGGAAAGAAAGAAAATGTGTGTGTATGCTTGCTTGTGAGAGTGAGTGAGTAGTGGCTATGTATGTGTGTTTTATGTTGTGTTCATAAACATGAGAGAACATCACTCAATATGAAGTTGGGTTCGAAGTCACTGGCTATTAAATATTAAGTAGGATAACTTTCTCAACAGAGTAGCCTGGAGAATGAAAGAGAAGGTATTAAAATGCTACTTGTAAGTAACCTTTGATAGCCACATTATTTTGTTCCTGGATGGTTCTTGGTATCCCAGATAAAAAAGCACAAAACAGTTTCTTGAAAGCAATTATTTTAATGTTGTCTTGAGGATATTCATTATGCCTGCCATCAGTAGGAGGGACATTTTCCTTAAGTAGAATAGGGAGAAGGGAAAAAACACCTAGAAGAGATGATTTAAACATAAATCAGTTCTGAATGTGACAAAGATTTGTAAGGACAAACGGGAAGATAGTGATGTTATGCACTAAGGACTGGGTGGTGATGAGAAAGAGAAGGGAAGTGTATCACCTGGTTTTCCCATTTTAAAAAATGCTATTATAAAATTCCCCCTCCAATGATTATGCATTGTTTAAGAAGGAACATTCTTTGAATTTCAGCTTATACAAGAAAATACTCAAAGAATGAGAGTAAAGTTATTTTCATTCCTTTCAAATAAAATTTATTTTATGTATTATGTAAATAGCAAATAAGCTGTTTGTCACCATTTGCTTTGAGTAGATCATAATTAATCCTAAATATATTTACAATAAACATTAGTTCTGGGACTTTTTTGGAGGGAGCAGGCAAATTCTGAACATAGTTATATCTATTGAACAAATCAAATGTTTTACTAAGATGGAGCTCTCATTAACAGAAATTAATGATTTTATGTGATATTTTTACTGATTTTGAAGTAAATTGTGCTAAAGCCAAGGATAAATTTTGAATAAGCCCCAGCATACAGTCAAATCTGGATCTAGATATGTTACCGTAAACACAGAATTGTGTTTATCAACATGTGGGGATATTGGATGATAGGGTTGCTTTAGACTAAATGGACCAACATTACCTTGCTGTGCAGAGCTGCTCATTTTATGTTCATTTTTAGTCTGAAAGACCTAACTTGAGAGACCAACCAAAATTGACCCAGAAAAGAAAAAAGAAAAGGCAATCTACTGCTACTGCTTGTATTATGAATCACCTTCATTTATGCTAAATTGGTTTTATTGCCAAGATCTCTCCTTTCAACAGGATCATCTACCATTTGGCCTCTTCCCTGTTCTCCAGTTGACCTTAGGTTAACTAAACCATTTCAACATTCTAAGATAGGCAATTTGATATGGGGTGAAATCAAGGGCAGAATAGTGTTGGATGATTGTGAGTTATTTGTGTTTCCATCTACTCTTAGGCTTCTGCAAGCATTTCTTTTTGTGGTGGTGGTGGTGGTAGTGGTGTTCGTTAACATAAGCACGATTAACATTGCTGTTACTTTTTCTTTGCAATTGTATTAAATTATTTTTTTGTGAAAGAGCAGCAAGGAAAGAAGACCGCTTAGCTTGTTTTAGATAAAGATAAGCCTGAATTTCTGACCTCACTTCCACTTCAGTTTTCTGACCACTTCATAGAGGTGTTTTTTTTTTTTTTTTTTTTTTTTTTTTTTTTTTTTTTTTTTTGAGATGGAGTCTTGTTATGTTGCCCGGGTTGGAGTGTAGTGGCATGATCTTGGCTAATTTTTGTATTTTTAGTAGAGACAGGGTTTCACTGTGTTGGCCAGGCTAGTCGTGAACTCCTGATCTTAAGTGATCCTCTAACCTTGGCCTCCCAAAGTGCTGGGATTACAGGCTTGAGCCACCACCCCCAGCCAACTTCATAAGAGTTTTACTAGTTTGAATATAGTGACCTACTAATTCTTAAAATAATATGTAGAGTTGGAGTTCAGGTTTAGCACTTGATTGTTCAAAATTGTAATTTACTCAATTCTTTGAAGGCAAATATAGGGGCGGAAACACGCCTTTTCAGCACTTAGCCATTTCTGTTGATTAAATTCTTAACACGCCTTTGTAAAAACCTTATAAAGATGAATGTCTTATTAATAGTTTTCTAAAGTCCTTGTGATTTTACTTCTTAGTTTGCCTCCAGACTTCTATCACTGTGAGATACTGATATATTTCTTCTAATTTTAAATTTAATTTGTAAGGGCTAATACCTTGCCAAATTAATTTTTTCTTGAGGATAATTTTGCTTCAAGATTGAGACTATTCACATAGTCAGTTCGAGTTCTTAGACCAAACGCTACCTATTTATCTATGTAAACATGTATTCCTGCATAAATTATTGAATGGTAGTTTCTGAACCACCCTCCAACAGTGGGGCTATTTATTTACTTTAGGATTTACGTTATTAACATTTAGAGCCTGTAGGGGGCTCCAAAGGGCAAAATTTAGTCTTGGAACAGGGACTGAATCTTTTTTCACAGCAACTCAAAATGAGACACCTTTTGCATTGCAACCCAGTATACACACACGAAACAAAAGTTTACAAAACAATACCTACCCAATATGCACCTGATATTTTCATCCTATTAGATAAAAATTCTTGTCAGGACCCACTATATGGCTTTCAAAATTACAGTTTGGAAAAACAGCCTATTGAGTTGCCTGATGGAGTGCATTTTAAAGTCACTGTCTTCCTTGCCGTGACATTGTAGAAACTATTTTGAATATAAAATGTTATTACTTTATCTTCTGTTTTTCCTTTTTTTTTTTTTTTACTTGATGTTTTTTCTTGAAGGGTATTTTGTAGTTTTTAATTTTAGAAGCAAGACAACTCAGTGACGTTTTAAACTTGCCTACAGTTTTATATTTTTGTCATTACTTGTCTTGGGAAGGGAGTGGAATATTAATATATTGGTGCTACATTTTATGCAATTCAAATCACTCTGCAGTACTTATTTGTATATTTTTTAAAAAGCTGTGAAGTCCATAAAACTACAGCTCTTTCTTCTTTTTTTTTTTTTTGAGACGGAGTCTCGCTCTGTGGCTCAGGCTGGAGTCAGTGGCACAATCTCGGCTCACTGCAACGTCCGCCTCCCAGGTTCAAGCAATTCTCCTGCCTCAGCCTCCCGAGTAGCTGGGACTACAGGCATGTGCCACCACGCCCGACTACTATTTGTATTTTTGTAGAGATGGGGTTTCACCATATTGGCTAGGCTGGTCTCCAACTCCTGACCTTGTGATCCACCCGCCTCGGCCTCCCAAAGTGCTGGCATTACAGGCGTGAGCTACCGTGCCTGGCCCACAACTACAACTCTTTAAGGGCTATAAATCAATAAAAGATTATTTGGCTTTGAATTAAATTTTGCACTTAATTTAGAGTTCACTTAGCCATCAACAATTTAAAGTGAACCAATTTTGATATCTAAAAATATATATTCTAACATTGTGCCATTGAATTTCACCTTTTTCAAACATATCCCTATAAGTTTATAAGAAATGTAAGAAATAGATAAGCCCTATATAAAACATAACTAACTGCCTTTGCCACTTTTCTTACTCTTGGGCAAGTGTGTCACTTGTCTCTACATGTCTGACCTTTCCCAGCTTCTAAAGTGCAAAAAGAAAGATTGGGGACATGTCCATAAGAATATTCCCATATCTTCAGAAATGCAAAGGAGAAAACCATTAAGTCTGCAAAGTAGTGAAATCAGAACTCATCATGGAGTTACAAGTTACTAACACATTTCAGTATTTCTACCCTCTTGTCTATGTACTTTTCTTTTGGAATTCCTTAAGCAATAAAACCTGACTTTCTTATAATACCATGGTACCAAACAAATACTTTGAATTAACCTGATTGATAATTTTCAACTCACTTTGAGGAAATAACTCATGGACTGAATGCAGACTGTGACCCAATTAGTGGAGTGAGTAGTTTGCCTACATTCTGTGCTTACCACAGCCTTTGAGGAAGGTGTTCTTACCACCTTATTCAGCTTTGAAAACAGTTTCAGAGAGATAAAGTTGCATTCCTGAGGTCACACAACCTTGTAGTGATGGAGTCAGCATTTGAACACAGGTCTGACTCTGGAGCTCAAGTTCTTAACCTCTGTGCTCCACTGCTTCTAATAAAATAGAATATTGCAAGTCTGTAGAATGTCACTGGTCTTTTTTATTAGTGTCTCAAACACTGCCATTCTGGCTCCATCTATCTCATCTGCCTTGGATTGGAACCAGACTCCCTTGGGGAGCAACACTGTGTTTTTAGGTAGCATATTGGAAACCACAGAGAACAGTTTATTTATGTTAATTTGTGGGGGAACATTTTAAAGTAGTAATTTTCTGTGACCTCCACAATGTACAGCCAGCCAATTTGATACATTTCACAGTAATTTGGCTATATCATAACCTGTGTTATTTTGTTTTCAATTTTATCTTAAATGTTTTTTTCCCTGTGACAAATTGAATTATGATAATCTTGCAGTATTTCTACCTTGCTTCTTTGTGTTTTTCAATATTTCTCGTGCCTTTTTCCTTTTAACTTTGGCATTAAAAAAATCACGTACATAAATAAGTTTACATGCTTTAATGATGTTTTCATATAGAACACTGAATTTTCTAGACAAAAAGTGCTGAGAATAGCAGTGTTCATTTATAGTTATGTTTATGCCATATTTTTAAAAAGTATATTCTCAGTGAATAAAACTGATGTTCATGTCATTGTTCTGTTTGGGGAGTTGATTTTTTTTACATGTTCAGATTTCTTAGATCATTCCAAATCTTTGTGGATTTCTAATTTTTGCTATTTGGAGAACTTCAAAATGTTTATTGACTTGTAGTTGTTACGGTAATAGTTATCTGAAAAAAGAAAAAGATGTAAGCGGCCTTGAAGAAGAGGGGACTTTTTATTCTTTGACAGCCCATGAGAAAACTAGCCATGTTCTAAGAGATTGAATGAAAAAGTTTTTTATTCTTGACAAATTTTGTAGCATTAGGGAATATTTCCAATATGAAAATTGTATCAGGGAAATTGCTGAGACAAAAGAGAATGATTATAACATCCTGGCCACACAGCACATGTTTTAAGAAAGGTATTTCACCCTAAAAATAAAATCGGATTATGTCGTGTGCTTTTTTTTCCTCTGTGAAGATTCCAGAAGTATGTCGTGTGTTTTTTAAAAATTTTACTGTGATCGAATGCTAAAAAAAAAAATGCATGTTATTAAAGAGTTTTTCAGCATATTTTGCTTTGAAATGTTAAATATAGGGAAGGAAGAATTTTATATTTTATACGTAGAAACTTAATTTCTTAGAATTATAACTTTATTTTTTGAAAATTTTCTACCAATAACTTTAAAGCACTTTTCTCCCTGATTTATTTAAATCCTAATAAATTATACATTTCTGCACTTTAGCCATTCATGTGGAAATTATTTGGAGTCATCTCAATAGAATGGTGCTGTGTGGTCTCCCAAGGCCCCCAAGAATGTCAAAGAAGTTTCATCTACTCTTTGTTTTAAATTTTCAAGTGAATATTATTGATAAATTAGATGAAGCTGAAGAAAAGTCTAGAGATTGAAGTAAATTATTAAAATCTACTTAAGAGTGAGGACTTACATAAGAACTCTTTATGGAAAGCTGTACTGAGATCCTAGTATTTTTGGAAAGCTATTTGTGAGTTATAGACACCTGTCAATTTCTCAGAAATGGTCTTATCTGGAAAAAGAAAAGTAGAACCTAACTGGTACATTCAGACGTGTTCAGAGAACTTTCAATATTGTAAAAACAACATAGCATATTTTGCCTCGTCTGTTTTACAACCATGGAGGATTGCCTTTTTATTCATTTTGAGGTTTTGATTATCATCACTGGCAGTTTTATGCTTCATAGACTTAGGGTAGCAGAAGTGGTAACAGTAGATGGCTTCACTTGTCTTTCTTTCAGCATGGCCTGCATGAATCAGAATCCAAAGAAAACCAGCACACTTAAAATAGAAAAATTGCACTTTGGGAAGCTGAGGCAGGAGGATCACTTGAGCCCAGGAGTTTGAGACCAGCCTGTGCAACACGGTGGAACCCCATCTCTGCTAGAAATACAAAAATTAGCTGGGTGTGGTGGCGGGCATCTGTAATCCCAGCTACTTGGGAGGCTGAGGCAGGAGAATCACTTGAACCCAGGAGGCGGAGGTTGCAGTGAGCCAAGATCATGACACTGCACTCCAGCCTGGGGGACTGAGCGAGACTCCATCTCAAAAAAAGAAAAGAAAAAAAAAAAAAAAGGAAAGAAAAGAAAGAAAAAAAAGAGAAAAAGAGGAAAGGAAGGAAGGAAAGAGAGAGTACAATGAATTTTGATTGGTCGGGTCATCCTTTACCATTCTTGCCCAGAAACATGGATTTTTGTATGTGTGTGTGCCATAAATAAGAAATTAAGAAAACAGATGAGACGGTAAAATATTCCGCACACAGAAGCACTTTAATGACTGTCGAGTAAACGACTTAAATGAAGAACCAGGAGAGAGAACGAAGAACAAGCTATCTCTCTGCCTTTTATTTGGTTAATTTTCATTTCATTTCACCACAACTTTAATGGTGCTAAGAAGAAATTGTTGAAAATTTAGAAAAGGAATTGTGGAAGTTACTACATCACAATATACTTGCTTTTTTTTAAAAAAAATAAAATTAAGCCTTGGTTTCTTTAAGCATGGTTTCATTTTCATTCAGTGCTTTTTTTTTTTTTCCCTCCATGCAGTACTTTTATGTCCGCACTCTTTTTTGTTTGTTTTTTGAGAGAGTCTCACCCTGTTTCCCAGGCTGGAGTGCAGTGGCACAGTCTTGGCTCACTGCAACCTCTGCCTCCCGAGTTCAAGTGATTCTTGTGCCTCAGCCACCCAGCAGCAGGATTACAGGTTTGTGCTACCATACTTGGCTAATTTTTTTATTTTTTGTAGAGACGGGGTGTCACCATGTTGGCCAGGCTGGTCTCGAAATCCTGACCTCAAGTGATCCACCCGCTTTGGCCTCCCAAAGTGTTGGGATTACAGGTATAAGCCACCCCGCGCAGCCAATGTTAGTATTCTTGACCTGAGAGAGGGATGGCAAGCAGAACTCAGGGCCCGCAGAGCTGATGCAGGTAGCTCATCTCCCACACCTTGGGCATTTCTCAGCCATAAAATGGTCCGTAGAGCCTTATGATCAAAATAAGATTGTTTACCATGTCATTGCTCATTATGTGACTCACTGTGCTGTTTCTTAAACATTATTAAGTTTCTTAAACATTATTATTTAACTCTGAGGTATACTATTATTTTTCCTTTTTTGTGCAAGAGGAAACTCGGGCATAGAGCAGTTGTGTCACCGATAGTCTCAAAGCAAAGCCAACAATTAAAACCACGTTATGCCTGACATCAAAGTGGGGCTTTTAACCATTGCTTGATACTGTGCTCACATCTCAATTCTTGCTACTTGTGAGTAGGGATTAGTCTTTTTTGTTTTGTTTGTCTTTTTTTTTTTCGTTTATTTGGAGACAAGGTCTCTCTCTGTCATCCAAGCTGCCTGGTGGGAGTGCAGTGGTGCTATCACGGCTCATTGTAGCCTCAACTTCCTTGCTCAAGTGATCCTCCTACCTCAGCCTCCCAAAGCACTAAGGTTACAGGTGTAGTCACTGCACCTGACCTTCTTAGTCTTTAGAAGACTCAGTTTACTCATATAAAATGAACATTATAATATTAGTACCCATTTAATGTTCACAGGGTTGCAATGAACATTAAATGGGAGTTCACTGAAGGTATTTTGTGAAATGTACATCACTATTAGCAGATCTAAGCTTCATCAGATTGTCTCGAATTATTTTCAACTGCAATTGAATTTTCTACCTTGGTTATTAAATCTTGTGGGATCACCTAAATAAATGTGTAAGCAATGTTGAAGAAAAGAGAAAGGTATACTGCATACCTGAGTTGGCACCTCTATATTTCTATAGTACTGTACACCATGATAATCAACTAGATAAAGACAGCTATAGGTAACGACATTTTCTAATCCTTAGCAGTTGTAAGTACACATTGCATGTAGTCATGAGTTGCCTCAAATACAGCATGTTTTAACAGTCTTATAAATCACTTCCCAAGATGGTAGAAAGGGCTCACTTTCCAGACAAGAATCCTTTCTTGGCCGAGCGTGGTGGCTGACACCTTAATCCCAGTACTTTGGAAGGCCAAGGCGGGTGGATCACGAGGTCAGGAGATCGAAACCATCCTGGCTAACACGGTGAAACCCCGTCTCTACTAAAAAAAATACAAAAAAATTAGCCGGGCATGGTGGCGGGCGCCTGTAGTCCCAGCTACTCAGGAGGCTAAGGCAGGAGAATGGCATGAACCGGGGAGGTGGAGCTTGTAGTGAGCCAAGATCATGCCACTGCACTCCAGCCTGGGCGACAGAGCGAGACTCCGCCTCAAAAAAAAAGAAAAAAAAAGAATCCCTTCTTACCAGTTTTCCTTATACCACATAAAAGCATAAACACTTCCCTAGTCTTGAGCTCTTTGTTCTGGGTGTTTATTTAAGAGAGTCACTTCAGAATCCCCCTTACTGGCTGTTCTCTTGTCTGTTATATGATCTGCTCCAGCCCAGTAAATCCTTTAGTGTGAATCCCTTAGTTATAGAAAATGAGATCTTTCCTTTCCTTAACTATTCTGTGGCTGGGCACGGTGGCTCATGCCTGTAATCCCAGCATTTTGGGAGGCCGAAGTGGTGGGATCGCTTGAAGTCAGGAGTTCGAGACCAGCCTGGCCAACGTGATGAATCCCTGTCTCTACTAAAAATACAAAAATTAGCCTGGCATGGCTGCGCATGTCTGTAATCCCAGCAACTCAGGAGACTGAGGCAGGAGAATTGCTTGAACCCAGGAGGCAGAGATTGCAGTGAGCCAAGCTCGCGCCACTGCACTCCAGTCTGGGAGACAGAAAGAAAAAAGAAAAAATTCTGTAAAGCGTGTATACTTGTGTAAAAAAGCTGACCAATGAATTCTGCTATAGAGTGTGGCCAAAGGAAAACAATTCAAATAGAAAATTGGATGAAACTATTTTGTGTATAGAGTAGATTTGTTTGGGGGACACTAGAATAGCTATTGAATAGATATATCATTAGTACAAAGTATGTGAAATAACTTCACAAGTCATTCATGGATTTTGTGTTTCTGGATAAAAGGCAGAAAAAAATTTAAAAGGAAGCTGTCATTTTCTTCATCTTGTAACTTTTATAAAATTATCATTCAAATGATACACACTGAAAATAATCATTATTAAAACTATTTAACATTTCTTTTTTTAGTGAGTTCTATTATAACCATTTAAGCAAATGTATTGATTTATTGAACATCCTGGAAGATAAAAATATTTTAAACACGCAAATGGAAAATAGACACACTTTTTGTTTGGAAATGATGAATCTGTGCTTGTTTCCCCTCCTCCCTTCTAACATGCCACACTATTAAAGTGACCAGAGGGAGACTTTACTTACTTTTATTTTTTATTAGATTGGTATTTTTTCCCTTTTAAAAATTTCAATAGCTTTTGGGGTACACTTGGTTTTTGTTACATGGATGAATTCTATAGTAGTGAATTCTGAAATTTAAGTGCACCAATCACCTGAGTAGTGTACGTTGTACCTAATGCATAGTTTTTTTTATCCCTACACCCTTTTCATCCTCCCGCTTCTGAGTCTCTAAAGTCCATTATATCACCCTGTATGCCTTTGCGTACTCATAGCTTAGCTCCCACTTATAAGTGAGCACATAAGGTTTTGGGTTTCCACTCCTGTGTTACTTCATTTAGAATAATGGCCTCCAGCTCCATCCAAGTTGCTGCAAAAGACATTATTTCATTCCTTTTCATGGCTGAATAGTATTCCATGGTGTATATATGGCACATTTTCTTTATCGGCTCTTTAGTCAATGGGTGCTTAGATTGGTTCCATATCTTTGCAATTGCAAATTGTGCTGCTATAAACATACATGTGCAAGTGTCTTTTACATATAAGTGACCTCTTTTCCTTGGGATACCCAGCAGTGGGATTGCTGGATCAACTGGTAGATCCACTTTTTAGCTCTTTAAAGATCTACTTTTAGTTCTTTAAAGAATCTTCATACTGTTTTCCATCAAGGTTGTAGTAATTTACATTCCTACTAACAGTGTATAAGCATTCCCTTTTCCCTACATCCACACCAACATCTATTGTTTTTTAACTTTTTAATCATGGCTATTCTTGCAGGAGTAAGGTGGTATGGTATCTCACTGTGGTTTTAATTTGCAGTTCTCTAATGATTAGTGATTTAAGCATTTTCTTCATATGTGTGTTGGGCATTCGTACGTCTTCTTTTGAGAAATGTCTATTCATATCCTTTGCTCACTTTAAGAAATTTTTATTATTTTTATACATTTATTTTAAATTATTAAATTAAGTAGAGTTGGGGTTTCACCATGTTGGCCAGGCTGGTCTCAAACTCCTTGGCAGCAAGTGATCTGCCCATCTAAGCCACTCAAAGTGCTACGATTACAGGCGTGAGCCAC
Organism: Homo sapiens; assembly: GCF_000001405.40. NCBI lineage: Eukaryota > Metazoa > Chordata > Mammalia > Primates > Hominidae > Homo > Homo sapiens. The sequence goes on from NC_000005.10 coordinate 146,299,797, forward strand.
CACGCCTGGCCACCTTTGCCCACTTTTTTTTCTGTTTGTTTTTGAGATGGAGTCTTGCTCTGTTTCCTGGGCTGGAGTGCAGTGGCATGATCTCAGCTCATTGCAACCTCCACCTCCCAGGTTCAAGCTATTCTCCTGCCTCAGCCTCCCAAGTAGCTGGGATTACAGGTGCCGCGCCACCACACCCAGCTAATTTTTTATATTTTTGGTAGAGATGGGGTTTCACCATATTGGCCAGGCTGGTCTTGAACTCCTGACTTCAAGTGATCTGCCCGCCTTCGCCTCCCAAAGTGCTGGGATTACAGGTGTGAGCCACCGTGCCCAGCCCTTTGCCTACTTCTTAGTGGGATTATTTATGGTTTCTTTTGGTGATTTTTTTTGAGTTCCTTGTAGATTCTAGATACTAATCCTTCGTTGGATACATAGTTTGCAAATATTTTCTCAGAGAAAGACTTTTCTATGAGGCTGTTTTTATATCTCAATTTTATACTTCCTTAGGATATCACCTCTCTATTCATAACCTTTTTTTAAAAAAAAAAACCCATTCCCTATAGCAAAGGATACCCCTTTAAGAAGAAGGGAGGCCGTAGCCACATAGATTTCCTCCAGGATAGTCAGGGGCCCTATGCTTAATTCACAGGGAGTCCCTCTGCTTCATTTTCTGCTTTATTCTTCTTTCTTGTTGCTGGAGTGATTAACTTAATGTGACTACCCAGAAGCCAGAGGCAAAGTTGTTCTTCAAATTTCAAATCAAAACAGGATAGCAGGTGTGAAATTTTTAATAATGGCTTTATCTAGACTAGATCTGGAATATTAGGGGAGGGGACTTTTTAATATTACCTGTGGATTCCATTCTAACACTCCACTGTCACCCCAAAGGGTAAGCACCTGCAGGAAAAAGCCTATGTTATAGCCAACAGGACACTTTTTTCAGGCAACAAATGTAAGGATTATGTAATCATTCAAACTTTTACATTGTTCTAGCACTTCCTACTAGAGAATACAAAGATTACAAAGTTGCATTACAAAGTTATTGTAAATAAGATTACAAAGTGCATGAGAGACTGGGACTTTGAGGTGGGTAAAGATAATTTGCTATTGCTACTTCATGAATTGGTAGTAATACTAAAAAGCAACTCACACAATTTTTGAAGAACTTTACCACCTACCGCATTATGTCAGGAATAAATGAGTGTCATCTGCACATTTGTTTCAGGAGGGTAATAAATTATATGATAAACACAGAGGAAACATCCTTGCTATTTCTCCCCATACATGTTGACTTTGCATAAGCTTAGTGCTCAGGTTTTTATGAAAATTAACTCCTTTTTCCCAACAGAGGCTGGCAACACTGGGAAGAAGAGAAATTCTAAAATAGCTGCTTAATTTTCTTCCTTCTCCCACTACCTGGTTTATTTGTTATTTAAATACTCTATAGATACTTTAGTAATAGGTGCAGTTCTGGATGTTGCTTTTTAAAGGTGATAGTATCTGTTCTAGAGTAAAAATACCTGAGAGGAAATTGTGATAAGTGAAAGAGTGGTCTGGAAATCATAATTTTGAATATGTGCATAGGCACCTTAGAAAGTTTTGCTACCATGTGGCACAAGACACATAAGTATCACCAGTTTTGGTAGTCATCAAAATATATATCACTCCCCCACGTTTTTTTCATTTTTGTGGTTTATAAAGAGTCTGTGTTTCTATTTCAGATTAATTGCATTCTGCTCTGTGAGAGCTTACACATTTTTACAGACAATACAGCAAATAAGCATGTGCTGCAGATCAGGAATATGTGGAGAGGGAAATAGAAACATGGCCAGTGTGGGTAGAAAGACCTAAACGTTGCCATACAGCTGAGCAGCTCTTAGAATTCAGTTGGTCTGTGACCAAAAAACAGCGCCTGTTACATGGCTCATAGGTTTTGTTGTTTAATAAAACACAGAAGTGACACAGAAAGCTTTGGCTGCATGTGGATTTTGTTTTGTTAGTACAACTAATGGCATGTGGGCTTTGCCCAGCTCTGTGTATTTTCCCCACATTTGGATGAATGAGGTAATGTGCTACTTACAGGGAGCTTGGTTTTTGGTCATAGGCTGTCTTCTCTTTGTGGTATTTCTATTTTAATTTCACATCCTACCAGCTGCTTCTGGGATCATTGATGCTAAAGGGGTATGTTCATGGGGGTGGGTGGAAAAGAGGGAGGATGATATCAAAGGAATCTACTGTTCTTGTGTTGTTTCATGTCTTTATTTCCTCTACAACCTCCTGTAAGTCCAAGGCTGAGGCCATCCCTGTTGAGCAGGCAGAGAGGAAAAGGCATACGGGCATTAGGGAGAGGTCGACTGTGGGATGAAGGAGGACCTGTGCCAGCGAGGGGTTCTAGCTTGAAAGGTGAGACAGTCATTCTGGCTCATAGGAGAACATGCCATTGGCCCGCTGAAGGCTAGAGCAGGGTCTTGCTGTACCCCACTCGATATGTACTGCATGATCATGTGAGCAATACATGGTCATGATGAGCTAAAAATAGCCCCCCACCCCTGACTTTTTTCTGGTAAGCAAATGAATATTTCAACCACCTTTTTTAATGGACTATCAGTGGCACTCACTCCCTAGACTGCTGTAGAGATTAAACAGGATGCCAGTTTATGCACAGCAATAGAACTGCCTCTTCTCTCCATGCAAGAAAGCATTAGAGAATGCAAGTGAGGGAGAGAGAGTTCATTAGAAGGGATAACCTCAAATCCACCCTAATTTGTGACAGCGGATCTTTCATAAACAACACTCTTTAGGTCAAATGTGCAGTGACCCAAGATGTTAAGAATCACTGCCTTTGAACAGTAGCTTATGAAATGTGGGGAAAATACACAGGGCTGGGCAAAGCCCACATGCCATTAGTTGTACTAACAAAACAAAACCCACATACAGCCAAAGCTTTATGTGTCACTTCTGTGTTTTATTAAACAACAAAACCTATCATCTGGTCTCAAACTCCTGATCTTGAGTGATCTGCCCACCTGGTCATCCCAAAGTGCTGGGATTACAGGCATGAGCCACTGCGCCTGGACAATAAATATATTATTAAATATATATATTAAACTTCCCCAAGTGATTCTGGCATGCAGAATGGGAAGTACTTTCTAGAATCACTGATGTCATATACTGATGACAGCAGGCAGGACATAGGTGACCTTTCCAAAGAAGTGCAAAGACACACCCCCTGTGACAATTTGGATAAAAGATCCGAGTGACAAAAGTGCCATTGAAAGGACCTAATCCCCAGTCTCCAGCATGGGTTGGAGGCAGAACACTGGAAAAAGGACCAAATTTTCAAGCCATGCCTCCTGTGGCCCCTGTACTGATCACCACATTGATACCAACCGTCCTTCAAATCTCCCTTGGACTATGAAGGGAATTGTATTCTATTCAAAGGACTGTGAGAACATCATGACTAGGAATATGAGTTAGGAGGCAACCTAGAGCCTGTCACTATCATTCCATCGTGAAAGCTGCAGCTATACAAAATGTGAATTCTAGGAAACATACCCAGTATTGTCATTCTCATGCATGGACGATAATAAGGCCATCTTGATAATAATAATAACTCACAAAAACTCAGCACTTCTTTTGGACTGTCCTAAGAACCCATTTTATAACCTTTTGGGGTGGGTACTCTTATTATTCCATTTTGCCAGTGAGGAAGTTAAGATACTGAGAGGTTAACTTACCCAAGTTACAAAGCTAGTAAATGGTAGAGCTAAAATTTACGTTTAGATGATCTGGTTTCAGAAATGGCTCCACTTTAACTACTACTCCATACTGCAGATCACAGAACCATAAGGGGTGCTGTGATAACACCATCTTTGCAACTCCATAAAGGGACCAACAGATTTAATTCTGACCAAATTTGTATGGAGGCAGAAATAAAGGTTAGAATAATTTTGCATTTATAAATGATGACTTTAAAATTTACAACCTTACCATTCATTTAACATCCATGAAAGATGCTGCTTTTAGAATGTTTATGGAAATTGGACAGCTTTCTAAATGCTGTTTTAAAAAGTAGGATTCTTTTCATTTTCTAGCATTAGTTTTAGTCCCTATAAATTCAACTCCTATTATTATTGCTTACTATAGTATTTAAATACTAGAAATCATGAACAGAACTCACTCTGACAATTTTACTATGCTTTGCACTTTAAACAAATATTGTCTTAGGAGCAGTGATGCATTCACTGTTATTTCCTGTCATCGCCATACATATCCATATTTTTTCTATTTGTATCTCTTTTATACTCATTCTATTTTTCAAGATTGTCTTTATGAAGATACATCTGTTTAGCTTTGGTGATTAGCAGAAACATTAGCAGACCTACTGTTTCAGAGCATAAATAATTAATGGATGTTCCTCATTAATTTCTTCTGAGACTGACTCTTGTTAGACTACAGTTAGATATATTTCTTGAATTAAGATCAGATATAAGGAGCACAGACTCTCCACCTATTTTGAAAATAGGCCATTTACTTTTGAGGGAAAATTATGACATCCGAATCCATCAGTGGCAATAAAAGAAAACCTGTTTTAATGAGATGCAACACATGTCTTTTGTTTGTGAAGGGCCTTACATCACAAGGTGTCCATTCTATGATTTGTTTCTTTAATTCTCTACACAAACCTGCCTTTTAATCAAACAGATTCAAAACACCAGGATCCTGCCTATTCCTGCACCTGACCTCCTTCCTCCCTTTGCTTTGTAAAACAGCCCCATTTCATTGCCTGCTGGGGGTCCGCTCTGAGTTGATATACATACAGTGGAACCTTTGCCCTGGTTTAATTTTTAGTTTCCACCCTTAATATTTATTAATATTACTATTATAAAACATCCCTTTTAAATAATCTGTTCACAATTAATGAACAGGCTATAAAAATATAGGTTCTGAGGCAAATAGCCCAGTGAAATACTTCGCTTGAAGGCTTTAGCCTAATTCATTGTTAGGTTTTCTTCCAAGAAAAAAATCAAATGCGCATCAGTGTTTGTTTGGTTCTGACACATAGAGTAGGTAAAACTTACCTGCCAAATGTCAACAGAATGTCTTCTTGGTCTTCCCAGGGATCTCAAGAAAATTGTTCAGCCTAGCTCTAAACTGGACTATACTTCACCCAAACAAAGGCAAATTGTGGATGGTTTAAAAACAAAACAACAAACTAAACTAGTAGAATAAGTGTATTATACAGAAGTGGGTGCCTCAAAGGTAGTGCTAAAGTGTCATATCTCCCAAATGTCTGTGCTAAAACTCTGAGTAATGGCAACCATTGCAGAAAAGAGAAGCTGTATTTCCTAGAAATTTTCTTGGGCATACTGGCTCCTGAGGATTTATCCCAAGGTAATAATGCCAGGTATTAATGAAAAATGTCTGTGTCATCCTGAAGGGCCAGCAGTAGCAAATTGATTAAATAAATTACAGGAGAGCAATATGATTGAATAGACCCCACCAATTATAAATAATATTGCCATAATAAAAATAGCTAACTTTTTTGAGGACTTGTCAGGCATAGTGCTAAGTGTTAAATAATGATTTTAAAGAATGTTTTTTAAAAAGTCTCATTTAGTTTTACAATGATCCTTAAGGTACGTATTATTATGCCCATTTTACAAAGAAGAAAAACAGAAGCACGGAGAGGTTAAGTAATTTGTCCAGGATCACATAGTAAAGAAATGGCAGAACTGAGCTATGAATCCAGGTAAAAGAAAAATTTAAAAATGGTCCGAAGGGATTGTTAAAGGAGAAAAGGACACTATAAAACTGATTATCCAGTAAACTTGCATTTTAATTTTGAAAAAGGTAGGTTTTTTCACTAGTGATTATGTCATCTTTCTATTTTTAAAATTAAAAAAATAATTTTATATTTGAGACAAAATTGGGTTGTATTTGATATAAAACATTTTGGCTATTTATAGTTCTACACTATGATGTCTACTTGGTGTCTACTTAATGACAACAAGATGACATTCCTTCCCTTGAGATTGCTGTCTAAATTCAGTAAAGAGCAGGCAGCTTATTAAAACAAAAAAAAAGTCTAGAAAAAAATACAAAGCCCTAGTTTGCTGTTACATTTGTTTTGACTGTAATTTAGAACTGATGCATAAAGAAAAAACTAGGCAATGACTCCTAGATGTCTAAACAACTGCAATGTACCCTGCAGATTGTGGCGGAGAGCCTGCCTGGCAAGAGTTAGATAAAGGTATACAACAGGAAAAGTGCTCACTAGTGCACTCACAACTCAATCCCAGCATTGGTTTCTTTAATAAATGGAGCCATTAAGTTGCATTGAAGTGAATATACATTATTAGTATCGCTTACCATGTTTATGATCCACTCCATATCAAAGTGACATAAAAAGCAGAGTTAGTACCAATTAATATCCAATTGCTCATCAAACTTTAATTTGTATTTGCTTTCCCCTGATTGATACATCTTTTATAACTGAAAGGCTCCATCTCTTTATAACATATGCTATCATTCAGGGCCACTTGTTGTAATCACTCTGCAAACCAGCGTGAAATTGTCTAATAATTCACCCAGGTTTTGTCACAAGTGCCTGAAGTTACAGCAGTCTTTTAAAAGGAGCAGCAGTCTTGCTCAGAATGTTTGAAATTATTAAAACAGCAGATCAGATCCTTGGCTAGAAAGCAATCTTTTTTTTTTTTTTTGAGTTGGAGTCTCACTCTGTAGCCCAGGCTGGAGTGCAGTGGCATGATCTCGGCTCACTGCAGCATCTGCCTCCCGGATTCAACTGATTCTCCTGCCTCAGCCTCCCAGGTAGCTAGGGCTACAGGTGCATGCCACCATGCCCAGCTGATTTTTGTAGTTTTTTTAGTAGAGACAGGGTTTCACCATGTTGGCCAGGCTGGTCTCAAACTCCTGACCTCAAGATATCCACCAGCCTTGGCCTCCCAGAGTGCTGGGATTATAGGTGTGAGCCACCGCACCTGGCCAAAAGCAATCTTGTCTGATTGATTAATCAGATGATGATTTTTCAGAGGCATGAGGTTTAATTGTTTTTACACTGATTGGTTTGGATTTTGGTAGCACAGTTGCAGAATAGAATTAATAGTAGGTTTTGGAGGAAGGTTGCAGTTGAGAAGTGTCACCTGTCAGCTTGGCTGAGCAACAGCAATTTTCAGTGGTTACTCATCCACAGCCAGTGCTAATTTGGATTGGACATACAGTGAAACAAACAAACACAAGCACTGATATCCTTCATGTTACCCTTTAACAGGCCTTCTGCAGATAGTGAATTCAGAATCACTCAAGAGTCTTTATTTAGTCTGGCTGTTGCAAAGGCTTGAGGGTTATCCAGGGCATCAGATGGAATTCTCAGCACACAGTGGGACCTACGAGACTCTGGACCTTCCCTCTGCAGCAGAGTCAAAGCAAACCTTCTCAGTCGTCCAGGCCACGTCTGTTTTAAAGGCTCCTAAATATACATAAAATTTTTTCAGAAAAAATACTAAGATGGAACTATGAAACTGGCATATTTTAAATCCTCACCTTAAATAATGTAAATGCTATTTGAATTTAAAGAAAAGGAAGAAAAGAAGGAAGACAAGTGAAGAGGGAAAAGAATAAGAATGACAGTGACTTTAAGTATAACCTCATTTAGAGAAAAATCTCAAAGATCTAAAGGTCTGGCCCCAAAAAGCCTGTCAGCCAACCTTTGTGGTAGGTCCCAAGCCCTAGTGAGCTTTGTTTGGAAGGATGGAGGCTGGGCAAATGCCTACATTCAGTGGTGCATCTGAAAGGGTGGTTTCTTCATCAAAACTGTAATGAAGAAGGATTTGGATGAAGGTTACATTCTCAGTGCTCCTTTTACATTTCCATCCTACAATTGGTGTCTGGGTGAGAGTATCTTGTGGGAGGGAACAGGCAAACTGACAGCATCCAAACCAAGCCGAAGGCATCCCTCACTCTCCCAACTAGGAAGCAATGGTATGGTTGTGAGAACACAAATCCTAGAGGCCTGCTTTCAAATCCTGGCTCTGCACCTTCCTAGCTGTGAGAAGTTGGCCATGTTACCAAACTTCTGAGCCTCAGTTTTCTTAGCTGTAAACAGAGGATAATAATGACACCCTCCTCCCCGTAGGATTGTTATGAGGATTAAACAAGATCACCCTCTGAAAGCACTGGGCACAGTGCCTGGCATAGCATAAATGTTCAATAATACCACTAGGTATTATTACAAAACGATTACTGGCTGAGCTCAAGCTTACAGAGCCAGGAATGTGGATATGTGGGAAGCTGTGCTTTCTTGCCTACTAGGACAGCCATTAACAGCCAGAAGCATTATGTTATCCAGGAAAACCCAAAAGAGAGCACTCACTTTATTTTTTAAATCATGAAATATTTCAGACTGCTATAAAGTTTAGAAGAGGATATAACATACACCAAAGTTACCCATCACTCAAGAAATGAAATGTATCATGAGCAATAAAATGCTATGCAGTTATTAAAATGAATGAACTAGATCCATGTGGATAAATCTCAAAAACATAATGTTGATCAAAAAGAGCAAGTGGCAATAGAAGGCATATAATGTGATGCCATTTATATCAACTTTATAAACTTGCACAGTAATGCTATGTATAAATTGTTTAGTGATGCATGCATAGGTAGTAAAACAATCAAGACATGCAGGGGAATGATAAGCAATGCTTGTCTTAGGAAAGCTTTGAAGGATGGGAGCCCTTCAATTCTCAGGTGTCCTGGCTTTGTTCTCAGCAGGGCCTAGGTCAGGAGCTCCTCTCCCTGCTGTCTTTACACAGATGTTAGCCCCTGTGGAGGCAGAACTCCAGGCAAGCAGTGTTAAATACACTGAAAGCAAAATTCTCCCTTTGACTGTACTCGGCTCCCATTAAAGTCCAGGGGCGCTCTCTCTGCAGGCCTCAGTCTCTTTTTGACGCCGCGATGCCCCCTGCGCATCATGACGTGACATATCCAACCTGAATTCTGAAGGTTGGATGTAACATAAAAGCAGCCAACCAACAGCATAAATGTATATGAAATGAAATCAATAGAAAGTGTATTTTTTCCTTCTATTGAAGCTACTCCTGCGAGGGTACATCATAGGAGCTAGGACAGTGCTAGAGAGATACTAGCAGCAGGCAGGAGGCAGGAAGGGTGTGAGCAGGGGTGGGGGGAGCAGTGGAGGAGGGAGTCAGTGTTCACATTCACTGTGTGAACCAGGGCTTAGTGAGAAACCTCCTTGCTTTTCCCTCATCACTTAAAAAACAATCAATTATCCATGCTTCTGTGATAAAATAGAGATTTCTGCTTTGTTCACTTCATTTTAGCCTAAGAGGTCATGGCGAAAAAGAATGAGTTCTGAGATTGCATTTTCTGTCGCAAAAGGTTGATAGCAGATTATGAATTCATGATAAAATTAAAAACTGAAATCAGGCAAAGAGAGAAATGGTTTTGTTCATGCATTTTTTTCCCTGCTAGCTTCACAATGGAATTTTTATATCTCATAATAATAAAATTCTAGGCATTGCAATGAGTCCTTTGCATCGGTGATTTCATTTATCTCTCATGATAGACATACAAAGTGGTATTAGCATGCTTACATGAAACCAGAGGTACGCTGTAAGCCAGGATTGAACTCAGGGAGCCTGATTCCAAAGTCTGTGCTCTACTTGTCACCATACAATATGCCTGCCCCGACTGAAATTCGTGCTGTGAATAAATGTTCTTTGTGTACTAACGAAGTAATCTTCAAACTGCAGAAACTTTGCCACAATGCTCTATTGCTGGCAGGGCCTTGAGAATGATCTAACATGACCCTTTCTATCTTTTTTATTTTATTTATTTATTTATTTATTTATTTATTTATTTTCTGAGATGGAGTCTTGCCCTGTCACCCAGGCTTGAGTGCACTGTTGCAGTCTCGGCTCACTGCAACCTCCGCCTCCCGTGCTCATACGATTCTCCTGCCTGAACCTCCCGAGTAGCTGGGATTACAGATGCCTGCCACCATGCCCAGCCAATTTTTGAATTTTTAGTAGAGATAGGTTTTCACAATGTTGGCCAGGCTGGTCTCGAACTCCTGACCTCGTGATCCACCCTCCTCGGCCTCCCAAAGTGCTGGGATTACAGGCGTGAGCCACCGTGCCCGGCCCGACCCTTTCTATCTTAAAGCTTATTTTATAGGTGATAATGTGGTCAGGTAGTTGACAGGGGACCTCTTCTCTAATCCCCCTCTTGTTCTAAAATTGCTACAGAGGTCAAATTGATACCTCTTTCTTGGCTCTTGCCATCACTTCTCATAACTCTCCTCTCCTTTCTCAGGGCTGACCTCTGCACCTCCTTATATTACATGACCCTGTCCATCTCAGTCCTCAGGTGATTGGACTGTAGGTGAACACCTAACCTTGGGGAAAGCAATCACTAGTGGGTAGAATCAGCCAGGCTGTCTTCTGGGAATCTGGACAAAGAAAGAGAGAGTTGAGAAATAATGCTGTCTCCTTTCTTAATCAGAGTGATGCTGTTTAGAAATTCCTGAAGTCATCAGCTTCATAATTACATCCTACAGATCTGCTCTGTTGATTCTCAGCCTAGAGCAGTTTGTATATGTTGCCCCATCTTTGCTTCTTTTATCCCCTTCTCTCTTTTCAGAACTCTTTACTTGGGAGTCACTAAAACTTTTGCTACTACCACATCTTCATTGCTTTGGGGGATGTTTTGCAGGATTCCAGCTTATTTTACATTAGTTACACTTCAGAATGTTTTTCTTCTTATAGCAGATGATAGTAGAGGGGACTCATCTTAATCTCAAAAGTGTGCTATTTTTTGGAGTTGAGTATTATAATACACATTGATTTGCATTCATTGCATTTTCAGTGAATAATAGATATTTTCTGACCTCTTGTCATCAGCCTCCAGGCACACATTTTTAAAATGCACATGCAATTATCTGGTGTCATCTTGTGACTTTGCAGTGAATCCAAGGGCTGGATGGGAAAGTAGTCCATAAATGAGGCTTAGTATCTCTTTGGGTTCCTTGGTTGTGACAAAAGAAATTAAGTGTAACTTAAACAAAAAAAAAATTTACTAGAAACATGCAGAAGCTTACAGAATTTAAGAAAGGCTGAAAATCTCAAGGAACGACAGAAAGCAGACAGTTCAGAAGGAGCAGGAATAAAGGAACTGTACTTTCTTTCTTTCTTTTTCTTCTCTTTCTTTCTTTCTTTTCTTTTTTTTTTTTGACACAAAGTCTCGCTCTATCGCCCAGGCTGGAGTGCAATGGCATGGTCTCGACTCACTGCAACCTCTGCTTCCCGGGTTCAAGCGATTCTCCTGCCTCAGCCTCCCGAGCAGCTGGGGCTACGGGTGCACACCACCATGCCTGGCTAGGTTTTGTATTTTTAGTAGAGACAGGGTTTTGCCATGTTGCCCAGACTGGTCTCAAACTCCTGGCCTCAAGATTCCCACCCACCTCGCCCTCCCAAAATGCTGGGATTATAGGTGTGAGCCACTGCGCCCAGCCAGGACTGTACTTTCAGGTTGAACTCCTGCAGGTCTTGTCAGTGCACTCAGGATCCTGTTTCTATGTAGAGAGCATGGGCCTGGCCTATGTCACACCATCAACCAGAACAGGGCAGGACTCTTGATTGACAGGCTCACCAAAATTGTCTCCACTCAGAAAGGGCTGGTTCTCAAAGCAAAAGTGGAGTGCATACCAGTAGAGGGGGTCAGGTTAAAAGCAGTTATTTATTTTATCCTTTCAGTATTTTATTTGATCTCTTCCCCAGAGTGGTATGAGCAAGCAGTCCGTGGGAGCCACCATGTATAGGCTTGTTATTGCCGTGGTCACGGATGGAGATGCCATGTGGCTCCATGTTACTTAGCACAATAGGCTTATACTGGGTATTCATGGGCCCGTGTGTTCTGGCAGGAGAGTCTCACGTTACATGAGACTTCATGGTGCTAGGTGCTGGGTTGTCTACTGCTACTGGAATATGAAGAGGAAATGAGTATTTAGATGCTCCATCTCACCTTCAGCTAGGTCTGTGGTTGGAACTAAAATCTGCATCATCTGCAGAGAAGGAGAACCTGATCTGTAACAACAATTAGAGACAGAGTTTTCTAAGATGTTATACAAAAGTCGGTAATTGTTTCTAACCAGGTCTCTGAACGTGTCTACTTCAAGTCAGGAAATGCTTGCTCCTCTTGATTTACTTACTTCTTTCCAATGAAAACAAATATTTCATATTACTCAGTTTTGGATCGTGTCCATATATATAATATAAAAGCTTCCTGGTTTATTTTCTATTTAGGTTCACAAAGATCATTGTCCTCTAAAATATTCATCACTTACTTTAAAATAATTTTTAGCACTCAAGTAATTCATTTAGCACTCAAGTGTTCATTGTAGAAAAATCGGAAAATAGAGACAGGCCAAAGGAAGAAGTGGAAAATCCACAGACAACCACCTGAAAATTTTTTGTATGCCTCTAGATTTTTTTTTATTATGTTAATGTATTACATATATATGTGCTCACGATTTTCAAAAATGATCATATCGCTTTCATTATCTTTTTCATTCAACAATAAGTTATTATCTTTCTTTAATTATAAACACACATTTATTGTACCTTATTTTCATACTTCCAATAAGCTTCTTATTTTAATATGAAAATATTAATATGTAATTAATATAAAGTATTATGCTTACTTGGTCATAGTGGAGACAGGGAAGAGACAATTTGCCCCATTTGTTTTTTTTCTTTTTTTTTCTTTTTAAGACTGAGTCTCGCCGTATTGCCCAGGCTGGAGTGCAGTGGCACAATCTTGGCTCACTGCAATGTCCACCTCCCGGGTTCAAGTGATTCTCCTGCTGCAGCTTCCCAACTAGCTGGGGTTACAGGTGCCTGCCACCACAACTGGCTAATTTTTGTATTTTTAGTAGGGATGGGATTTCACCATGTCAGCCAGGCTGGTCTTGAACTCCTGACCTCAAGTGATGTGCCCACTTCGGCCTCCCAAAGTGTTGGGATTACATGCGTGAGCCACCGTGCCCAGCTTGCCCCGTTTCTTATACATAACCATTAAACTTAGATTTCTCCGAAGCAACAAAACCTCTGATACAATGGTGATTAAAAAAAAAAAAAATGAATTGCTCTGGGCAGCAAAGTTTCCTTTATGGATGCCCAGATGTGTTAAAAGTCTTCAAGCATTTGGTTGTATTCTTTATGTGGAAGAAGCTAGCATTCTTGTCTCCATTTTACTGCTGAGAAGAAGGAGACAGACAGACAGCATTGAGGCCGTCGGAGAAGTCATTGGCAGAGCCCAAAGAGAACTTGAAGTTGTAATGGCCCAGTCCTCTAATCAAACCACAAAGCCACACTGCTTCCCTTTTCCGCTGCTTCAGGGCTGGGCTTGAAAGGGAAAGTGCTGCCTCTCACCGAGGGCTGAATGGTGATTTGCCATTCACGGTCCAGGTTGCTCTACAGAGAGGCACAGACTCCCCAGCTCTCAATTGCGGGTGAAAGCTTGTTATCATGTGCAAGACCCATTGATCTGTTTCGACAATGACTCCTGAATTATATGGCACCTAAATGTTTGCTCCCAGAGAGATCTATACTGTGGATAGATGATGGGTACTTACTGGAAACTATTGCCTGACGGATGAGTTTTGCTGTTTTGTCTCAATGAAATATCCCTGAGCAATTGGAGATCTCTTCCTCCCAACCCTTTCCCTCACCTCTGGTATAATGTATTGTGCTAGAAAATAGTGAAATAAAGTGACTTTCCATTTGTCTTGACATTTAAAGAAAAGTCATACTGATTGTGAGTACAAAGAGGCAGAAGCTTTTCTGAGAATGATTTGTCAGTTCACAAAAAGAAAGAAAGAAGAAAGAAGGAAAGAAAGAAAGAAGAAAGAAGGAAAGAAAGAAAGAGAGAGAGAAAGGAATTTAAAAGTGTGCACACCCATTTACCCAGCAACTGTGGTTTGAGTAATTTATCCAAAGCAAATAATAGTGGAAGAGTGCAAAGACTGAATTACAAAGGGTCTTCTCTTTAGTGTCATTTACTGTAGTGAAAAAATGGAAACTATTTCAAAGTTGAATGATAGGAGATTGGATAAATGAATTATGACTTGACTGTATAATGGTGTTATATGCTGTCATTAAAAATAATGTGGGCTGGGTGTGGTGGCTCTTGCCTGTAATCCCAGCACTTTAGGAGGCTGAAGCGGGTGGATCACCTGAGGTCAGGAGTTCAAGACCAGCCTGGCCAACATGGCGAAACTCCATCTCTACTAAAAATACAAAAAAATTAGCCAGGAGTGGTTGTGGGCACCTGTAATCCCAGCTACTTGGGAGACTGAGGCAGGAGAATCGCTTGAATCCAGGAGGTGGAGGTGGCAGTGAGACGAGATCATGTCACTGCACTCCAGCCTGGGCGACAGAGCAAGACTCCATCTCAAAAAAAAAAAAAAAAGAAAGAAAAATGTGTATTAGAATTCATAACAACAAGGAAAGTTGTTTATGATATAATGTTAAGTTAATAGAAAAGCAAGCTGTGAAACAATTTGGGTTCAGTATCTGCTTTGTAAAAATAATACATACATGCACACTCTCACCATCACACAAATGCACAAGAACACAGAACCCTGGCCCTGCCTGCCTCTCTTACCCTGTCTCCAATTATTGTCCCCTTGATTCTTCTTTCAATGACTCCCCCCACCATAGATCCATTGCCCAAGAAGTCCCCTCTGTCCCTTTAGGGACACATCCTTCAGATGTCAGCTCAAATATCACTTTCTCAGGAAAGGCTTCTGACCCCACAAATAGGATTCAGATCTCTGTGATTTGTTCTCAGAGTCACCACGGAGGAGATAGACATTTTCTGCACAGCACTGAGAAAGTCATTAGTGCCGTCCACCAAATACCAGGTAGCCAAAACTCTGGAAATGAGATAATGTAATTCTGTCACAAATTGTAGTATCAGTAAACTATTATGCATTCTCCTGTTTTCAGACTTCGTGGATACTTCTTTTGTTTGGACATTTAGTAGAATTCTTTTTTTTTTTTTGAGATGGAGTTTTGCTCTTGTTGCCCAGGCTGGAGTGCAATGGTGCGATCTCGGCTCACTGCAACCTCTGCCTCCCTGGTTCAAGTGATTCTCCTGCCTCAGCCTCCCAAGCAGCTGAGATTACAGGTATGTGCCACCATGGCTGGCTAATTTTGTATTTTTTTTTAGTAGAGATGGGGTTTTACCAGGTTGGTCAGGCTGATCTCGAACTCCTGACCTCAAGTGATCCACCTGCCTCGGCCTCCCAAAGTGCTGGGATTACAGGCGTGAGCCAACACGCCCGGCCAAGAAAAATAGCTTTTATAGAGAAGTTGTATTTTTCCAATTATAACTTGGGGATTGTGGGAGTCCAGCAAACTTCTCTGGTGGCCCTCAAAAATTCCTACAGTCTTTTAAAATTCTTTAAGACTATAACATTATAGTTTTTAAAAATACTTTTCTTCTTCTTGCAGCAGCACTGTCATTGCTGTTGTTTTATTATGTGTGATTTGGGGGACTCGACTAATGGTAGAATAGCCTCTGCGTATGCGACCTTGGCTTATTTGTCTGCACCAATCGTAATAAGCACTCACACCTATCCCTGTGAAGCAGGTACTAATAGTATTCCTGTTTCGTAAATGAGGAAACTGAAGCTCAGAGTGATTAATTAATTAGCCCCAGGTCACACAGCCTGGAAGAGGCTAAGCCTGGATTCCAGCTCGTGTCCCTCTGACTCTAGAACTGGTGCTCTTTTTTTGTTTGTTTGTTTGAGACAGAGTCTTTGCTCTGTTGCCTAGGCTGGAGTACAATGGTGTGATCTCGGCTCACTGCAACCTCTACCTCCTGGGTTCAAGCGATTCTGCTGCCTCAGCCTTCTGAGTAGCTGGGACTACAGGCATGAGCAAACATACCTGGCTAATTTTTGTATTTTTAGTAGAGACGGGGTTTCACTGTGTTGGTCAGGCTGGTCTCAAACTCCTGACCTCAAGTGATCCTCCTGCCTCAGCCTCCCAAAGTGCTGGGATTACAGCCCTGAGCCACCGTGCCCAGCCTGAACTGGTGCCCTTAAGCCATTATTTCAAACCATCTTCCAGTGGAGCTGATGTGTGTACCCTCTCTGAACACTATGTGTTTTGCGTGTACCTGCTGGGCCCCTGTGTAGGAAAAGTCTGTTCTTTGCTTCTCGTCTGCCATTTCTGTATTGTTGCAAACATGTCCTCTTGTGGCATTTCCCAAACTGCAAGATTCTTGGCCAGAGTTTGACAGAAGGCCCTCCAGTTTTATCTACACCTGCAGTTTTTAGCACCAGCCACTACTGTGGGCTACGTCCATTGATGGGTCCCTGGGGAACAACTCTAACTGCCTGAGAGCATTTCATCCAAACATTCTGTTTTCCAAATCTGTGAACTGAAAGACTTTTTGGAGGTTATTATTGTATCTGAAGTTCTTTTCAGGAGCTGGATACGTCGATTTGCTCTCATCCCATTTTGTTTTAAGGAATAGATTCAGGCACCAACTTTATTACTACCACACACACATTCATGACACAGATGGAGTTAAGTCGCACTCATAGTTTCACAGACACAAGTCTGAAATGCCAAAGACAAAGCATGTAACAGTTACATTTTAATTTACAAAACAGTAGAAGGGATCCTGTGGGTAAGGGCTGGGATATATATATTGTGACGGCACAATCCTTCCATGCTCTCATGGTCTCTGCGGTGGACTGAAATGGCCCTTTGCAAAGTGTTGCTTAAGTTGCTGGATAAGCTTTCTCCCTCCCACACCAGTGCCTTTCAAAAGCCTTGAAATAACTGTGTAATTAAAACAAGGCAGGCCGGGTGTGGTGGCTCACACGTGTAATCCCAGCACTTTGGGAGGCCAGCACCCTGGCCAACATGGCAAAACTCTGTCTCTACTAAAAAAATACAAAAATTAGCAGGGAGTGACGGTGGGCACCTGTAATCCCAGCTCATCGGGAGGCTGAGGCAGGAGAATGGCTTGAACTTGGGAGGTGGAGGTTGCAGGGAGCCGAGATTGTGCCACAGCACTCCAGACAGAGCTAGACTGTGTCTTAAAACAAAACAAGGCAAATGTCACACCAAAAGTAACAGGAAGACACAATAAGATGTGTAGCAAAGCTGTAACTTATTCACACATTTAGAAGAGAAACACGGTTTTCAGAAAAACTTCAATGAAACTTCCAATGAAAAATAAAAGCTTTTAGTTCATTTTAGAGCTGGATATGTGAAATATTCCATTTGCCAAAACAAAACAAACAAAAACAAAAACAAAAACAAAAAGTCCAGGCTGGGCGCAGTGGCTCTTGCTTGTCATCCTAGCACTCTGGGAGGCCGAGGCAGGAGGATCTCCTGACGTCAGGAGTTTGAGACCAGCCTGGCCAACATGGTGAAACCGTGTCTCTACTAAAAATACAAAAATTAGCTGGGCATGGTGGTGTACACCTGTAATCCCAGCTACTTGGGAGGCTGAGGCAGGAGAATCACTTGAACCAGGGAGTCGGAGGTTGCAGTGAGCTGAGATCACGCCATTGCACTCCAGCCTGGGCAACAAGAGTGAAACTCTTGTTTCAGGAAAAAACAAAAACAAAAACAAAAACGAAAAGCCAAAAAACCAAAAAACGAAAACTCCTGTATATTGTGAGAAGAGATCCATTACAATAGCTTTGAAATTATTATGTGCTTTTAAAAAGTTTATTTGATATTTTAGATGTTTTTCAAAATAAAATAGATAAGAAACTATCTTTCAGTGACCCCATGATTCCCCAAATAGTTATGCCTATTTACATGTCTCTGTGGCTTCTAAAATAGCCCATTTGCCCAGCCGGGTATAGAATAGGAGACACTGTTGAGGACCCCATGTTTACGTAAGGGTTCAGGCTAAAATTCTCACTCGGGCTCTTAATGACATGAGTTAACCAGCATAACATTAATCTCTGCAGTCTGATTGCTGCTAAACATTGCAAAGAATAAACAAAGAGATTTAATGTTCTCAATTTAGAAGGGTGTCACTATTTGCTAAGTCTCTCTAAGATGCTTAGTAATAATGTAGGAAATTTGTTGTTATTTAAAGATCAGCTAGGTGAGACTTTCTTCAATAATCCTAAAAATAGCACATTTTATATTTAAAAGTGTGTATGTTTAATGAGTACTTTCTTTTTTTTTCAGACAGAGCCTCACTCTGTCACCCAGGCTGGAGTGCAGTGGTACGATCTCCGCTCACTGCAACCTCCACCTCCTGGGTTCAAGAGATTGTAGTGCCTCAGCCTCCCATGTAGCTGGGATTACAGGTGCCCAACATCACGCCCGGCTGCTTTTTGTATTTTTAGTAGAGACGGGGT
This sequence comes from Homo sapiens, assembly GCF_000001405.40. Taxonomy (NCBI): domain Eukaryota; kingdom Metazoa; phylum Chordata; class Mammalia; order Primates; family Hominidae; genus Homo; species Homo sapiens. The sequence goes on from NC_000005.10 coordinate 146,318,233, forward strand.
TTCACCAGGTTGCCCAGGCTGGTCTTGAACTCCTGACCTCAGGTCATCCACCCACCTCTGCCTCCTAAAGTGCTGGGATTACAGGTGTGAGCCACTGAGCCCGGCCATGAGTACTTTACTTTCAATATCTACCCTGTCCAGCACACCAACATGGCACATGTATACATATGTAACAAACCCGCACGTTGTGCACATGTATCCTAAAACTTAAAGTATAATAATTAAAAAAAAAAAAAAAAAAGAAAAAAACTACCCTGTCGCCTAGGCTGGAGTACAGTGGCATGATCTCATCGGCTCACTGCAACCTCCGCCTCCCAGGTTCAAGCGATTCTCCTGTCTCAGCCTCCCAAGTAGCTAGGATTACAGGTGCACACCACCATGCCTGGCTAATTTTTTTTTTTTTTTTCGTATTTTTAGTAGAGATGAGGTTTCACCATGTTGGCCAGGCTGGTCTTGAACTCCTGACCTCGTGATCTGCCCACCTCCAGCTCCCAAAGTGCTAGGATTACAGGCGTGAGCCACTGTGCCCGGCTACAATATCTGATTATCTTTCAAAATTTTATTTTAAAATATATTTAGGGAGTGCAGGTACAGATTTCTTACATGCATATATTGTGTCATGGTGAAGTCTGGGCTGTTAGAGTCCTCATCACCTGAATAATGAACATTGTACTCAATAGATAACTTTTCAACCTGATTATGATCTTTTTGGTAGCAAGAACAAGTGGCTGCAAGTACCAGTTAAAAATATATTTTATTACTTATGTGATACATAATACTCTAAGACATTCAGAAAATACAGATGAATAAATAAATTACAAAATATCTCTACAAGGGAATACTATACAGTCATTAAATGGCTAAGGAAAAGATTGGTGAGGGAAAGATACCCAGGTTATGGAAAAATGCCCATGATGGCCACTGTCACCACCACAACAATGGTGACAACTACCATTTATTGAGGGCCTAAATGTTTTGGACACTGAGCACTTTGCTGACATACATTTATTTTTCCCCCTATGCTTAGATACTAAATATTATTCTATGAATGCAGACACATTACCCTCTGTAACTTTTCTAAGCAAGGGTAGAACTTTCTGGCCCCTAGGCTTGAGCTGATGTAGGGACTGAACAGCTGAGCTCCATTTGCCCATGCTGTCCATCTACAGGTCTCTGTAATTACTTTGTGGGCAAAATGGACACAATTTAAGATGTGAAGTTGCAACAAGATATTTTGAAACCAATGGATACGAGGGGGCTGTCAATTCAACAAACTTTCCCCAATGTTCTATGTCAGAATAGCTCCTTTTGGTGGTCTAGACAGGCCCAAGCATTTGCACTATATATAGACTTTAGCTAGTTCTTAAGAAGCATATGATGGGAACTTCTTAAAATTAATGTTATTTACCTGCTAGGATGTAAATGCTAAAAGGATGTGGTCTGCATTATGGACAAGAGCTCTGTAAAATGTGATATTAGAAAATGGAAATTTTACGAGTTCTGGGAACAGAAACAGGTGATGAGAGCGAAATGGGGGAAAATTCTAGTTTTTGCTGCATTGTTATAACTTAATAATCCAAAATACTTTTAAAAATTATTAATAATACAAGTACAACATTCTAGGGTTGATTGTGCTCACTTTGGTTCCATCAAGTTGCCTGTTCCTGAAAAAAACCCTTCCGCTTAAAGCAAGGGCCCTTTACATCAGTGTTCTATGTTCATGGGGCTAAATTTACAGAATTCCAAGCTGTAGAGGCATGCAGAATTGTTAAATCTAACTTCCAGCCTGAGGTATAAATTCTTCTTTGCTTGGAGACTTCTAGGATGGGTGGTATTAGAGTGTAAAGGATGAGACCTCAACAGGCTTTGCTTTTAGATGATCCTCATTGATGAAGGCAGCTACACTGTGGACTTGGGTGTTGTTTAGCTTCTTAATTCTTGGTAACGAATAATAGTAGAATCTACCTCATAGGACTGTTGGAAGGATTAAATAAAGAAATCTCAGTAAAGCCTCTAGCACAGTGCCTGGCACAGTATCCATAACTATCTTCATCTTCATCATGATCGTCAACATCACTGAGAGGAGTAGCCACTGTCGTGATGTGGGGGATCAGAGGCCCCTGCTGCTGAGGCTGCGGCAAGGCCCCAGGGCTACATTTGATCATAAACCACACAACTCATCTTGAAATTCAAAAAATATTGAAGGAAATTAATAGTGCTACTCCACTGGACACACGAATGGTGAGACAGTGAAACAGCCTTATTGCTGATATGGAGAAAGCCTGAGTGGTCTGGATAGAAGATCAAACCAGCCACAATATTCCCTTAAACCAAAGCCTAACCCAGGGCAAGGCCCTAACTCTCTTCAATTCTGTAAAGGCTGAGAGGGGTAAGGAAGATGCAAAAGAAAAGTTGGAAGCTAGCAGAGGTTGGTTTATCACCATGACACAAAAGCACAAAGTAAAGCAGCAAGTGCTGATGTAGTAACTGCCTCAAGTTATCCAGAAAATGTAAGATCATTGATGAAAGTGGCTACACTAAACAACAAATTTTCAATGTAGATGAAATAGCCTTCTATTGGAAGAAGATGCCACCCAGGACTTTCATAGCTAGAGAGGAGAAACCAATGCCTAGCTTCAAAGCTTCAAAGGATGCGTTCTCTTATTAGAGGCTAATGCAGATGGTGACGCTAAACTGAAGTCAATGCTCATTGACCATTTTGAAAATCCTAGAGCCCTTAAGGATGATGTTAAATCTACTTTGCCCGTGTTCTATAAATGGAACAACAAAGCCTGGATGAGCCAGCTGTAGTGGCACAAGCCTGAAATCCCAGCTACTCAGGAGGCTAAATGAGGAGGATCTCTTGAGTCCAGGAGTTTGAGACTAGTCTGGTCAGTGTAGCAAGACTTGTATTAAAAAATACCCTGGACAACAGCACATCTTTTTACAGTATGGTTTCCTGAATATTTAAAACCCGTTGTTGAGATCTACTGCTCAAAAAAAAGATTCCTTTCAAAATATTACTGCTTACTGACAATGCATCCAGTCACCCAAGATCTCTGATGGAAATGTACAAAAATTTAATGTTTTCATGCCTACCAACACAATATCCACTCTGCAGCCCATGGATCAAGAAATCATTTCAAGTTTCAAGTCTTCTTATTTAAGAAATACATTTCACAAGGCTATAGCTACCCAAAGATGATGATTCCTCTGATGGATAAGGGCAAAGTTAACTGTAAGCCTTCTGGAAAGCATTTGCCATTCTAGATAGCACTAAGAACACTTGTGATTCCTGGGAGGGGGTGAAAATGTGAACATTAAGAAGAATTTGGAAGAAGTTGATTCCAGCCCTCATGGGTGACTTTGAGGTGTTCAAGACTTCAGCAGAGGAAGTCACTGCAGGTGTGGTGGAAATAGCAAGAGACCTGGCATTAGAAGTGGAGTCTGATGATGTGCCTGAATTGCTGCTATCGCATAAGAAAACTTTAACAGATGAGTAACTGCTTCTCATGGATGAGCAAACAAAGTGGATTCTTAAGATGGAATCTATTCATGGCAAAGATGCTGTGAACATTGTTGAAATGACCACAAGGAATTTATTATAGACTATCACATCAACTTAGTTGATAAGGCAGTGGCAAGTTTTGAGAGGATTGACTAATTTTGAAAGTTCTACTGTGAGTAAAATGCTATCAAACAGCATTGCATGCTATACAGAAACTTTTCATGAAAGAAAGGGTCAATGCATGTGGCAAACTTCATTGTTGTCTTATTTTAAGAAATTGCCACAGCCACCACAACCTTCAGCAGCCACCACCCTGATCAGTAAGCAGCCATCAACACTGAGCCAAGGCCACACACCAGCAAAAAGATTATGAGTTGCTGAAGGCTCAGATAGTTGTTAACATTTTTTAGCAATAAAGTATTTTTAAGTTATGTACATTTTTTAGACATGAAACTATTGCATACTTAATAGAATATAGTATTGTATAAATGTAACTTTTATATGCACTGGGAAACCAAAAAAGTTTGTGTGAATTGTTTTATTGCAATTTTCACTTTATTGTGGTGGTCTGGAATCAAACCCATAATATCTCCCAGGTATGCTGGCATAAGCTTCTAGACTGTTGTCTTTTTACTACGGCAGGGAAAGCAGAGATGTGTAGCCACTCTCTCATTCTTCACCTGTAACAGACATCACTAATTGACCACAGCATTCTTTCTTACCACCTGAACTCATGCTCAGAATCATTCTTATCACAATTCTTCAGACAGCCACCACCAGTTGAATATAGGTGGCACAGGAGATATAACAAACCTATTGGTCATTCCTGGACAAGGCTATCTAACTTTCATCAATTATTTCATCATCTAGTTAACTTGGCATATTAAAGCTGGAGGGGGATTTTTTTCCTCTAGAAACCTTAGGCCAGGTTCTATTTCCAGTGGTGTATGTGGTCGACATTGATTGTGTACTCCTCCAGGGCAGAATCTTGGTCATTTTCATATCCCATAAGCAAAAATGGAACCTAACACAGATAGACACTAAACTATGTTTTGATGGATGAATGGGTGGATGGATTTAGCAGTTGAATAGGCCCTTAGAAACAGGTCCAGGGTGGAAAAGAGCTTCCACTGCTGATAGTTTTATAGACTTTCACTCCAGATGATGGCTTGACGCCTTTGTGTCTCCTAGGACTGGGTTGTCAATCTAGAAAGCACTGTCCATCTTCCAAACATCATTTATCTCCATTTATCAGAGGATATTATTAGACATGGTGCTGCTGAGGTAGCAAATTAGTTAGGGCTTTTAGTTCTGGGCCTGTGATAAGGATTTGGGAAATGTATTCTGCCAGGGGAGGGCGGGTACACGGTCTCTCTATTACTCTGGCCTAATGACAGCTGCTAGCACTCTGTTGAATGATCAATAACTGGCTGCCAGTCCACCTACTCCTCACTGGCTATTTTAAGGACTGCCATAGAGATCTACCATGGACTCATGAGAAAATATTTGAAAACAATGAAGCCCCTTGTTCCTCCTCTCTACCAGGGTCTAGCTTTGACCATAGATCCTTGAGATGCAGGCAAACCAGGAGTCCCTTCAGAGGGGTACAGCTGGAAGCCATTTATGACAGGACAAAAGATCAGTTATTCCCATGCACTTAAACATTGATTGGGGAGCTGTTCCACTGGTGCCTAGGCTTTGGCATTGTTGGTGAGAATTTGAGGTTCCAGCTATTTTTGCCTTTGCTGGATTGCTTTTCATTTTAGTTGCCTGTTTCCAAAATAAAGATAAAGGAAATTTTCCAGGGGTCCAGCCAGTCACCAAAGGTTCCTAGTTTAGAAGAAGAGTTGCTTTTATAAGGACAGAGTAAAATAAGTAAAAGGAGCATTCCTTCCTTCCTGTATACTTGTGTTATATACAGAAGCCCTGATAAGAACTTACAGGACCGAGGAAAGTTTTTATCCAATAAAAATTTGTGTGGGCTTGGAGTTTATTTACCCTGCAGTACGTGGTATAATTGACACCACATGGGTATTTCCTTTTTTTATATTCTCTTGAAGAACAGATGATACAATCTCTTTAATGGTAATGATGGCTAATAAAAAATACTCAGTGTAGGCCGAGCGCAGTGGCTCATACCTGTAATTCCAGCACTTTGGGAGGCTGAGGTGGGTGATCACCTGAGGTCAGGTGTTTGAGACCAGCTTGGCCAACATGGCGAAACCCCTTTTATACTAAAAATACAAAAATTAGCCAGGCATGGTGGTAGTCACCTGTAATCTCAGCCACTTGGGAGGCTGAGGCAGGAGAAGGGAGGCAGATGTTGCAGTGAGCCGAGATCGTGCCACTGCACTCCAGCCTGGGTGACAGAGAGAGACTCTGTCTCAAAAAACAAAACAAAACAAAACAAAAACAACAACCAAAAAGACCCCCTCAGTATAGACTAGTTAACTTTTTCTTAGAAAGTGAAACTATACTTCAAATTATAAAATTTGTAGAGAATAAGTTCATGTTTCTATCCCCAGCTTAGAAATAAAACATTATAAAAAGCAGTTGAACCTCCCCAGTGATATTCTTTTCCCTAACCTTGTCCTCGAAGGAGCCACCATACTGCCTGGTGTTCATCAGTCTTACCCTTGTCTTTATACTATATGTATGTATCCATAGACAATAATAGCATTTTTCACATTTTAAAATTGTATATAAATGGCATCAGACCAAATATATCCTTCTGGGAATGGACTAATTGAGCTCATCAGGATATGTGAAATATTTTTTCCCCATTGATACATGTGGGAAAAATTTAAGCTAATTTTTGGCATCAAGCGATGGATTTTTCCAGGAAATTTGAAAGTCAAAAGGAGCGGTGCCATGGGTGGGGGAGTATGCTTCTGTAATCCCAGACCAGGTTAGACCTCCCTGTTATGGACTTTCATCACACCCTGTTCTTCTCTGCAATGTGTAATCACAGTGCTTTTGATTATTTTTATTTAATGATAAAATAATAAATAATTGTGTCATGTCTGTCTTTCCGGCTAGAACGTAAGCTCCCTGAGGGCAGAGACCATGTTATGTCTTGCTCACTGCTGTATCCCTTGTACTTAGCCCATGCTTGGCATACGGCAGGCAGATACATGCAAGATGCTTTATTGCCCACAGTATACAACTCAGATTCTTCAGAATTGCATGCAAGGTCTTTTGTGATCTGGTTCCCATTTCCATCTCAGGACCTAGTTCCTGCTCCTCCTGTCACCTGACCCTTGCCCCTCTGCCTCCTAAAACACCTGCGGATCCTGAGCTCTCTTGGGCCTCTTGCTTTTGCACATGCTGTCCCCTCAATCTGGATTCACCTGCCTTTGTTTGCCCATGGAGCTGCCTCTCACCCCTCAAGGCTCATCTGAGATGGCACCTCCTGTGAATGGCACCTCCTTCAGTAATGACTATAGGCAGAGCACCGTGCTCGTCCTCTGTGTTCCCACGTCACCATCAAATTCCTCTAGGACTTGATTAATTAATTTGTTGAAAAATATTTACTGTGCTCTTATGCAAGTCAGGTCTTTGTTCTAGAGACACAGAGATGAACCAGATATTGTCCCAGTTTACAAATAAGTCAACAGGATCTAGGAAGGAAATGCATGGGGTGATGTGACAGGGTCATTGGGTAGTCTTCTTGAGGGAGGGTAGTTGAGGAAGACATGTCCAAGGGGCTGACATTTGAGGTGACATCTACAAGGATATGAGACTGGGCATGGTGGTTCACACCTGTAATCCCAGCACTTTGGGATACTGAGGCAGGCAGATCAGCTGAGGTCAGGAGTTCGACACCAACCTGGCCAACACGGCGAAACCCCGTCTCTACTAAAAATAAAAAAAATTAGCCAGGCATGGTGGCAGGCGCCTGTAATCCCAGCTATTTGGGAGGCTGAGTCAGGAGAATCACTTGAACCTGGGAGACGGAGGTTGTAGTGAGCTGAGATCGCGCCACTACACTCCAGCTTGGACAACAAGAGCGAAACTCCATCTCAAAAAAATAAAAAAATAAAAGAATGTGAGCAAGTCAGTCATGTGAAGGGCTGGTGGCAATATTTTCCAGAATGCATGTCCCATGCCCATTCCCTGTCCCTAAGGATAGGAATTGCATATAATTTATCTGCTTCCTCCTCAATACCTGGCATAGTGCTCAGCATACGGCAGGTGCTCAGTATACGGCAGATGCTCAGTATGACCATCAAAGTATTTAATGAATAAATGAACCAAATTATTTTGACTTGGAATGAAACTTAGTTATCAAACTTGCAACAGCCTTACCTCCAATGAAATATTTACATCAACCCAAATCAGGTCCTTCTCATGTGCTAATAGCTGTGGGAAGAAAGGAATTCCACTGAACACTGAGAATAGGTGATACCCAAGTGAGAAGAGAAAGGGATTTGCATCATTTTTTTGTGTGCTTCTATTAAAGCTACCCTATGCAGGTGCTTAGCACCAGGCTTGGCAAAGCCTGGCCCCATAGTCACGGACTTGTCATTAACATTTCCACAGCATTAAAGATAATTATCCCTGATGAAATGATTAGCATGTGCCAGGCATGGTCTTGTTTAATCCTCACAAAACCTTATTATTATTTCCATTTTACAAATGAGAACATGGAGACTTATCAAGGCCTTACAGACAGTAAGGATAAAATGGGCTTGCACTCTGATGTGTCTCACTGGGAAGCCTGTGCTCTTAACCCTATAGCCCAGGGTCAGCTTCAGGTGTGCAAACTGGGGTTGCACAAGGTCCTGTGCTTAGAAGGGGCCTGTACCTGATTAAATGCTCTGCTGTTGCTATCTGGAAATTCTTAATAATTTCTGAACAAGGGGATCCACTTTTTTTTTTTTTTTTGAGGCGGAGTCTGGCTCTGTCACCCAGGCTGGAGTGCAGTGGCACGATCTCGGATCACTGCAAGCTCCGCCTCCTGGGTTCACGCCATTCTCCTGCCTCAGCCTCCCGAGTAGCTGGGACTACAGGTGCCTGCCACCACGCCTGGCTAATTTTTTGTATTTTTAGTAGAGATGGGGCTTCACCGTGGAAATTATGGGCTCGATCTCCTGACCTCATGATCTGCCCTCCTCAGCCTCCCAAAGTGCTGGGATTACAGGCATGAGCCACTGCGCCCAGCTGGATCCATCTTTCATTATTCACTGGGCCCTGCAAATTATGTAGCTGGGCCTGCCTATACCCACCCTGTGTCTGGCGTCAACATATCAGGTCTGGTGAGCATCTTGATTTTTTGGTGACCCTGTTCAAATGCTGTATGCAGTGAAGTCCAAAAGACAAACTCTTTTCTTCAAGATCTACATGCTCAAGTCTAAAAATACATAAGCCTTTGTTCTGATGATAAAAGTAATATAAGCACTGGAGGTAGTAGTCGAGGGGACTATAGTTTTATATATAGTGGAGAAAGATTTTACAAGGAGAAAGTTAATTATGTTGAGTGTATAAAGCCCTGTGTCTTCTGTATAAACTTTTATATCCGGCTTATAAATTTCCTTATCCTTAGAATGATTTTTAGACTCACTCTGAGATGGATACCTGAAGAGAAAACCCAAGAATCTTCATCACCCGGGGGAATCTCGGTTATACTTGTAGTTTACTTTCATTCATTAAATGCTAGATAAGCATCTCTGACTTCTTACTTAAATAGTAATTCATTTGTGTTGTGAAATATTCGCATTCCTCCTGGCAAACACCCACTTCATTTGGAGAAGATGAGTTAGCTTATATCTTGCACATTTCTTCTGCCTTCTCCAAATCTAGCCCGTCCACCCTCAGCCTCCTTCCCTTTGCTAAAGCTGAAGCTAGCCCCAGTGGGGTTTACCACTTGATCTCTCCTGCTGGTGATCCCTGGGCCCTCTCTTGCCATGAAAGGACTCATATTGTGGAGGCTGCAGTGTTGTGGCTGGTCAGGTAACTTCTGTTACTTAGCAACTTTCTCCAGCTTTGTTAAGTTGGGCTGTTCAATCTCCTTAATGAATAAGAGCATCAAGCCAGGTAATTGATGCCTGGACGTTTAGCTCATGAATAATTGACTGTCTGGGTAATCCTAGATACATTTCCTCGATCAGATTGTACAATGGAACAGTCATGTCATAGCCAGTGTTGACTTTTTTTTTTTTGTCCTAATCAGTTTTATGATGTCAGAAATCTGCTTTCTTGACCCACAGGCTCAGGTGAACAATGGAAGCAGTGATCCTCCCAAAGCCAGGACATGCTTCCTCTTTCCTCCACAAGAGCTTAGCATTTCCCCTTTAGTTTGGGCTTAGAAAAGTTTCAGCTCTTCTTGTTTATCTTTTCAGGTATCTTTTCCCACATACATCGGGAAGGCAATGTGGTCTAACAGGGAGGAGGGGACTGGGAATTGGGTTTCCTGGGCAATGCCAATCACTTACTCTGCAGCCCCAGGCCAAACTTTGCTTGTCTGACTCACTTATTCATTTATTCATTCATTCAATACACATACTGAGTATCTCCTGTGTGCTAGGCACTGGAGATTTCATGACAAACAAGGTTAGCCTTGTCTGCTTTCATGGAGCTTATATTCTAGTGAGAGCTCACAGGTGATTTAAAGAAAAAGTAAACCAGTAAAGAAACAAGTTATTTTCAGGTAGCAGTAAGTGCTAGGTTGAAAAGTAAGAATGAAGTAATGGGATAGAATGTGACTGACGCGGGGATGGGGTAGATGGAAGTTAATTTTGATCAGTGGTCAGGGAAGGTCAGGGAAGTCCTCTCTGATGAGGTGACATTTGCTAAGAACTGAATGACCAGGAGGAGCCAGCCACATGAAAAAGTGGAAGAAAGAAGATTCTAGATAGTGGACCATGAAGGCAAAGGTTCTGAGACGGGAATGGGGTTAGCATGTTTGAGGAACAGAAGG